>NC_000015.10:98150627-98789054 GCF_000001405.40 Homo sapiens
ATACAGAAGTATTCCAGCTAATAAAGGAAGAGAAATAACAGGATGAAAACTTCAGCATTTCATCACCCTGAAGCAATTAAGGATGAAAACAATGATCAGCCATGAGGGTGGCTGACGTTACAGAAAGAGCCAGCCAGACCCAGGTGCTTCCTGAGAGAGACACCAACATTAACGGTGAGTCTGTCTTGCAAAAATCAAACAAACCAAACAAAAAAAATTAATTGTATCAATTGTTTAAATCTAACTACAGGGAATACATCCAGGACAACATCTAAAGGGTACTTTGAGGATACGATCAGGAAAATCCAGACTGATCCAAACTGTGGAAAGTTCTACAGGACAAACAATGTAGTTTTGTCATTAAATAACTGTAAGGAGAGAGAGAGAGGGAGACAGCCCATAGAGTAAAAAGGAATTAATAGCATAAAATCAATTTCAGTGAAGATATAATTCCAGTCATAATTCAAACAAAGACATTAAAATTGTGTGGCTGTCTGAAAACTGACTGCGTAGTTAGTAATAGTGTCAGGTTCCAGGTGAGACAATAGTGTCATTGTTGTGTTTATAAAAAAGATTTACTTTTAGAGATACATGTTCAAATGCTGCACATGAAATAAGCTGATATCTAGAGTTTGCTTCAAAATTATTCAGAGAGGTGGGTGTGGCTGGATGTGGGTTTAAGAAGGAACAAGACTGGCCATCAGTCAGCAAGTGTGCAAGCTGGTGATGAGTACATAAAGATATACTAAAGTATTTTTTCACTTGTATATTTTTAAAAATATTCCATAATAAACAAAATTAAAATGTTGCCTCAAATAAAATGAGAAATAGTCTATGCCGTGTATATGATAAACAAAAGTCTTCTGACATTAATAGAGACATCTCTTACCTATAACTGAGAAAAAGAACAATCTAACATAAAAACACTTGAAGAATATGAAAACTTCAAGAAAAAGACACACAAACGGCCAAGACATATACAAAAGGTTGTAAATATCACAATTTAAAATTTGATTAAATATTTAAAGAAGTATTTAAAGAAACGCAAGGAGTGACCATAATTCTGGAGGTGAAGGTGGAGTAATTGTGAGGCTTCACTGAGACCAGAGAGAGAACAGGGAAAGATCAGCATCCAAACAAGTCTCTTGAGATACATTATATAGTAAATTTTTTATTTTGAGATGAGTGTGTGTTTGTGTGTGTGTGTGTGTGTATAAATGAAGCTGGGAGGACAACTTTAAACAGAAGTGTTCATTTGTTGGCGGTCTTACTTCATTAAATACATAACTATGTGATAAAATTAGGCTAATAGTTTTACTCTAAATAAAAAGAAAGCTCTTCAGAATTGTTTTAAAGCTACAGTGATACAGTGTCCTGGCATTCTGAGTAGGCTTCCAGTTTTAGACCTGTAAGTAAAAATATTCGCAAACAACCTTAAAAGCAACAAAAATGGAACTGGCCCCATAAAGAACAGTTTCCCACACATGGAGGATTGCCGGTCAGTGACTAAAGAAGTTTGAGGCCCACTGAGTGACAGAACACCCATAACCCATTTGCCCTCCTGACATTGTCAATCCCACTTTCCAGTGGAAAATGTGCTAGATAGTCATTGAATGATATGGTTTGGCTCTGTATCCCCACTCAAATCTCATCTCATAGCTCCCATAATTCCCACATGTTGTGGGAGGTACCCAGTGGGAGATCAGTGAATCACAGGGGAAAGTCTTTCCTGTGCTCTTCTCCTGTTCTTGTGATAGTGAGTAAGTCTCATGAGATCTGATGTTTTTAAAAATAGGAGTTCCTCTGCACAAGCTCTTTTTTCTGTTTGTGTGTGTGTGTGTGTGTGTGCATGTGTGTGTTTTGTTTTGTTTTTTGCCTGCTGCCTTCCATGTAAGATGTGACTTGCTCCTCCTTGCTTTCCACCATGATTATGAGGCTTCCCCAGCCATGTGGAACTGTGAGTCCAAGTAAACCTCTTTCTTTTGTTAATTGCCCGGTCTCAGGTGTGTCTTTATCAGCAGGGTGAAAATGGACTAATACACTAATATAATCTAGCATATATGATGTGAGGTAATATAATATAACATAACATAATATAGACATCTGCTTAAACAATTGGAATACACAATATTCACAGTCAAACCACAGTACAAGCCTGAAGTCTAGTTATTGGAAAATTATAACCCCAAAATGCCATTGATGCAAAAACATATCACTGTATATCATGGAGTTAAACAGAACATACAACAAACTAAATTGATGGAACCAACATAATTTATAGCAAATTGCAATTAAAAGTAAGAAGTAGCATCAACTGAAACATGAGATGAGAACGACTCAATACAACACTTATAATACAGGGTTTTCCAAACTGGGGGAATTCCAACCGTCTGAGAATGCACACATAGGAGATCTACAACATGGCTAGTACTGCACATCAAAATTTTTTTCCAATACAAAAGTAATTCGTGAATATTATTCATTTAATAAACTTCAGCTAAGACAGAACTGTGGAGAGTGAAAATTCTTCCTTGACCTTCCTTCCTTTCCCACAATGCACTTGACTCCCCAGTGAAAATTTCCCACACACAAATGCACAGTGTGAGGGGTGTGAGGTTTCCATAAACGGGGTTTACTTCACATGTTAATCTGCAGCATCTTTGCTTCTTCTTAATAATAAAACTTGGAAATCTTTCCATGGTAGTGCCTATGTATCTACCACATCCTTTTTTAACAACGTCCAAACTTAGTGAATTAGAGTCCTCAGAAACACCAAGCAACATACTGATTTCATCTCATGAACATTAAACTTTAGTAACTCTTAGTGGGTTTTTTGGGTGTTTGTTTGTTTGTTTGTTTTGAGACGGAGTTTCACTCTTGTTGCCCAGGCTGGAGTGCAATGGTGCAATCTTTAATCACACACACACACACACACACACACACACACAATATCAAAGTCAAAGAAAGGACTGTCACTTTTGGACCAATTGCTGCCTATTGGGAGGACCCAGTGAGATTAGTAGCTTATTTTCAGGCTTAAAATTATTACATAATTTAAAATAACATGAACTATTGAATTACTGAATGTATGTATGAATCACTATAAATTTTAAGGTTGAAAATGTGGAGCAAAAATAGTAGGTCCATACTGCCTATAAATATATTTCCACATGCCTATAAAATTTTATTAAAATATGAGCTCCTTGAGGGAAGAGAGAAGGAACTATACCTTCTTTCATCTCATACTCCCAGTTCCAGGCACAGGCAGAAGATAGATGTACCAGATAATCAACCCTCTGTTCATTTATTCATATCTTTAACAAGTATGCCAGTCACTGTTTCAGGTAGAGAGTGAAGCCATCCTCACAGGGTTAACAAGAATTCTGGACAGAAATATAATTAAGCATTAATCAAACCACACTTTGATCCACTTTCTTGCAACCCAAACTCATGTAACACTAGATACTGGCCATTTGCTTCCTTATTGTTCCTATAGATAGGACTTCTAATGTTAGAATCATAAGGCTTTTAAGATAGATAGGATTTCTCACATTCAAATAAGGCTTTTGTTCAAGAATTGCTTAAGATGTTTTTCAAATCCTGAATTCCAGCAAAACAGCGGATGGCAACCAGTTTGAAGACCCCCCACCACACACACACACACACACACACACACACACACACACACACACAGAGGCACAGAATAAGCATGAGAACACAGCTTCTTCACCTCCCTGTCCCATGACTTCACCCTGCACTCTTTGACGAAGTCAACAATCTCCACACTTTGGCCCACTCCAAAACCCTTAAAAACCCTAGCCGAAAACTCCTTGGGGAGATGGATTTGAGGTTTCCTCCCATTTTCTCGTTTGGCAGCCCTATGGTTAAACCTTTGTCTCTGCCACAACCCGTTGTCTCGGCGTATTGACCTGCTGCATACATTGGGCAATGGACCTGTCATGGTTCCACGAAGATTCAAGGATGAACGGAGTAGGCATGCTTCCTAAGCCCATGGAGCTCACATTCTAGTTTGGGGAGATAGACAATTAAAAATGGTAACAAGATCAACAAGATAATTTTAGATTACATCAAGTGCAGTAAAAACAAATGTATCATGTAGTACAATGACTAGGAGAGGGTATTTTTAGATAGGGTGTCCAGGAAGAGTCTTTCTCAGGAGGCAACATTTGAACTGGGATCTGAATGACAAGGAGCCAGCCTTGCAAAAAAAAAAAAAAAAAATGGAGGTAAAGACAGAGGGAATTGCAAATGCAAAGACCTTGAAGCAGGAGCACCCAGGTTGGTTCAAGGAACTGCGAAAGGTTCAGAGCTGCCACGTGGCTGTAGCACAATGAGGAGGGAGAATGGTGAATGTGAACTCAGGAATGTTGGCAAGGGCTCCTTACGGGAGCCTGATGAGGAAGTCAGAGGAAAGATTTTTTATGAGTCAGTGGGAGCCCCTCAGGGCGTTATGAACAGGGGATGGCTCCATCTGATTTGTGCATCAACAGGCTCCTCAGCCCATGCTGCTGCTGTGTGGAGAGGAGACTCCAGAAGGGAAAGATGAGCCAGTGCAGAATGAGGATGCTGAACTCAGAGGCTGCTACAGAGCACAGAGTGTCTGGAGAGGAAAGAGGGCAGCTGGCAGGGAGTGCGGTGAGGAGTAAGAACAGAATGAAGTGCAGTTATCTGTTTTGGAGGTAAAAGAAACTGAACTTGTGAATGGATTGATTGTAGCAAGCAGGGTAATGAGAAGAATACAATGATTTCTCAAGTTTTTAATTGAACAAAAGGATAGATGGACTGGCATTTATTGAGCTAGGAAGACAGAGGAGAAACAGGTCAAGGGGAAGAGAAAAGAGTACTTTGGGTGCTGTTTCATCTAACATGACTGTATGCGTAGACCCAGTGGAGATTTCAAGCAGACATTTGGATGAAAGTCTGGAGCTCCCAGGAGAAGGCTGACCTCAGAGATATAATCAGATGAGTCACCAGCACATGATAATTAAACAATGGGATTGAATAATATCCTATAGGGAAAGAATGGAGATAAAAGAGAGATAGGACTGGGGACCAAGCAGTGGGGCTCCAGTTCTTAGTGAATTGACTAAAGTCAAAAGTAGAGTTAAAAGTAATAAAAGTGAGTTTAACATTTGTTTGATTCTTTGCTCTCTGAAAAATTACATTTGTTAATAATTTTAAAACAAAATAAACTCATCTAAGCAAATATCCCTGCAGCGTGCTCTACCAGGCAGGCAGGTCACCTCCTGCTTATAGAGAAGGAGTCTAGCCATCTCCTGCAGTCACCACCTCGTGCACCTCTGACATCAGTGATGAACCATCCAACTCATTTTAGTTGTGTGACATTTGCTGTTGTCAAAATCTTGAGCCAAACTGAAGCTGAACTCATAGAAAATCATCAACAGGACTACGGGTCCATTGCAAATGCTGCTCATGTGTATCTGCTCTAATTTAATTTCTCTGGTGTCAACACAGACGATTTGAAGTGTACCAATTGAGATTTGGGCACAGTTTGAGTGGGCAGCTTCCAGTAGTTAATGATGTGTGTTTCTCTAGTGATTGGGCTTCAAATTGAAGGAAGTGTGAAGGAAAGGTCTGAAGCTCTTCTGTGGACAATTTTAATCTAGTTTAACCTCCTACTCCACTTAGGTTATCTTCTCCTTCTGTTTTCTTTTCTCTCAAAAGGAGGATAAGTTAGTTGGGTAAGAAGTATTACCAAGGTTCTTTTTTAGGCCAACTTCCAATCACTGTGATGGTTAATTTCATGTGTCAACTTAGTTAGGCCATGGTGCCCGGTTGTTTGATCAGACACCAGTCTAGATGTTGCTGTGAGGTATTTGTTAGATATGATTAACATTCAAATCAGTAGACTTTGAGCAAAGCAAATCACCCTCCATAATGCAGGTGAGCTTCATCCAAGCAGTTGAAGGCCTTGAGCAAAGACTGAGAATTCCCAAAGCAGAAGCAATTCTGCCTCAACATGAAATCCCAGCCTTGGTTTCCAGCCTGCAGACTTTGGAGCCAAGACTGCAAAATCAACTCTTCTCTGAGCTTCCAGCCTCCAGACCTACATGAACCGATTCCTTAGCATAAATCTATCTTTATAGATAGATAGATAGATGGGGAGTTTGGGGAGACAGAGAGAGTGAGAGAGAGAAAGAAATCTCCCATCTCCCATTGGTTACGTTACTCTGGAGAACCCTGACTTCCCTTCTCTGTGCCTTTGTCAGCCCGTTTCATCACATCCACCCAGGTTAACACAAAGTCACTTAATGTGAAGCCCTTGTGGAAAGTTTTGCACTGAAGGCTGAGGAATAGGGGACATAGGCTCTGACCCTGGGGTTTTAGTATCTGAGTTCCAATTGACTCCAGCACTTCGAAATCATGTGAACAAGTGATGCAAACCCCGAGTCTCAGTGTCCTCACCTGGGTGAAGGGAGGAGTAGGAGCTGCACATTGATTTTATGCCTAAACCTGAAGTAGTTTCCAAAATCAGGATGATGGTGCTTTTACAAGAATCCAACAGCTCTGTCCCCAACACTATCTATAATATTGAGGTAAGTAGGTTTAAGTAATTTATTCTGAGAAAATATCTAAGAAAGAATGAGAGGATTGCCCCTCAATCCTGGTGCAATATTTCCTCAGCTGAGTATTTTTTGTCATTACAACTTCTGATAAAATAAAATGGCTCTTTTTGTCATTACAATTTCTGATAGAATAAAATGGCTCTCAGTGCTCACTGTATTCCAATTTTTTCAGAAAATTAGCACACACACACCCCCACACTCAGTTGAGGATTTTGAACACTATTAGAATCAACAATAGGTTATAATTAGATTAACTATTTTGGTTAAAGAGAAAGAAACAATGAACACACACAATTTGATAACCAATGTAGTTTTAAGTCTTTGTTCAGCGTTCAAAGTGAATCAAGCCCACTCAAAGCACGTGGTCAGGCTTCAGTGGGCTTTTTTCTTTAAGCCAGATTTGAAGACAGAGAGTAACCATGTTAAAGAAATCCCTGGTGCCTAGGTAGGAGACTGGGGAAGGACAGATGACTTAGGTGGCAAGGCATGGGATTTAATGGAAAGGCTACTGAATTTGGCATCAGGAACCCTAGGTGGTTTCTTCCAACTCTAAACTGCATGGCTTCATGAAAGAAAGGTAATCACCCCTGCTGAGCTTCAATTTCCCCAGGTCTAAAATGGGTCAACCAATCTCTACGTGGTCTTCCTCACAGTTTTATTATGAGACTCAAATGGGATAAGTGTGTTCAAGGGCTTTATACTGCACTTTACTAATAGCAGCTATTATGATCACAGGACAGTATGAAAGGGTTAGTGGTTCCATTTTGGCAAAAATTCTAGAAAGGGAGTCCTTGTTCTTTGTTTTTTCATACAACATACAGATCCCAGAAGAAGCAATCCTCCTTCTAGTTTTGCCCTGTGTGGTGGTGCAGACCAGCTCTCATCTTTGCACCCAAGAGATCATGAAGATTATTACACGATCTCAGAAACCTCATCAAGCTGATGTATTGGGCCTTTTTCCATTACGGTCTAAGGCAGGGAACCTGGAGGTAGAGGGGCTCAGGACAGACTCACGGTGTGAGGTTAGAAGGTTTGCTGGGACTAAGTTCTAGGGTTAAATTTAGTCTGTCTCCACTGGCCAGAGGAGGTATGTGATCTCTCTGGGGACACCTGGGTGGTATCTGAGTACCCCAAGTTTTGCGAATCCCTGCTACTCTTCAGTCAGAAATTTCAGATGTTTCCAAAGCCTGGTTTAATGCAATACTGCTACACTTTCTTCAAATGATGTAATTTTTTCCTAGGCATCTATTTATATTATCACAGTGACATGGGTACTGAGTTGCCCTCCTGGCAGATTAGAGGCCATAAAAAGGTGGAAACCATGAACATGTGAGGAAAGTTCTCAATAAAGAAAGAAAACCCATCTGCTAAAGGCTGTCCTCTGGGACTAGGGATGAAGGCAGTGCCAAGTACAGCGTGAGCAAACAGATGAACAGAAACTGTCAGAACATGTGGCTGAAAAACAAAGAAAAAGTAACTGTTAACCTTTACCAAATACTCTGTTATGCCAAGTTTCCTGACAAGCATTTAAGATGCTTCATTTCATTTGATCATTTAAACAATGTTAAGTTAGACTACTATTATCTCCAACGTGCAGATGAGGAAACTAAGGCTCAGGAAGGATGTGTCTAGTTGAAGGTAGCACAATTAGTAAATGGCAGAAGAGAATTCAAAATCAGCCTGTTCAAAATCTTTTCACTCTGCAGCCTTCCCAGAATATTGAACAACCCCATTATAAGGTCCATTTATTTTGATCATCTTAATAGCTTTCTCCAATTGACCACTCAGTGACCCAAATGAATAATGTCCTATTTAAAACTGATGATCAAAGATCAGGAAACAGGATCTGTAAAAGGAACTGAGAGAGCAGCTGGAGGGAAGAGCCCGTCACTTTTACCAGGTAACACTTGTTTGGTCTCATGTTTAAGCCAAGTCTTGCTCCTTAAAAGAGCAGCCCAGCATATGATAAGTGGTAGAAGGGCGTATGTTCATCAGTCACTCCTAATATATAAGGTCTTAAATGGATGCTTGTTGCCAATATATATTGAAATGTATCTAGATGGAGCATCACTGCATCTAAGTAAAGTGTCAAGATGATACAAGCAAAGCATAAGGTCTTATGTCAAATATGTGAGAATATAATCATATCTTTCACCTTGCAGGTAATTATAATTGCCAGCTGGGTACTTCATGCCTTCAGGTAGGTAGATACGTTACTTGCAGAAGTAAAAGAAAATCGAGGTAAATACTTCACTGATGGTTTTCAGATGGGCCTTGGCCTGTCAACTCTCCAAGAAAAGGAGGTACCAGAAATTCAAAGCAAATGAAAACCTTAGGATTTGGCCCCACTGACTGTATGCAGGATGCCTCAAGGTAAATGCCAGGAGGAAAGGAACAAAGGGAAATAAGGGGAGTGAATTAGTCAGGGTTCTCCAGAGAAACTGAGCCAGTAGGAGATATAGATACATGCATAGGAGATTTATTATGAATTGGCTCATGCAATTATGGAAACCAAGAAGTTCTATGATATGCTGTGTGCAGGCTGGAGACCCAGAAGAACCAGTGGTCTAATTCAGCCTGAATTCAAAGGCCTGATAACCAGGGAAAGGTCTAAAGGCCCAGGAACGAGGAGCTCTGATGTCCACAGGCTGGAGAAAATGGATGTCCCAGCTCAAGCAGGGAGTGTAAATTTGATCTTCCTCCACTTTTTTTTTTTCTATTCAGGCCCTCAAATGATTACATGATACCTACAAACATGGGTGAGAGAGATCTTCTTTACTCAATCTACTGATTCCAAACTAATCTCTCCTGGAAATACCTTCACAGACACATCCAGGGATCACGTTTTACCAGCTATCCGGCACTGCAAGACCAGCCAAGCTGACATCTGAAATTAACCATCACAGGGAGCATCTGCCGCCCCACATCCTCAGGTATGGGGAGACGTGCTTGATGGTCACTGACACCATGAATACTTGACGCTGATGATGTGGCATGGCTCCTCACATGTGTCTTCACCCCATCCTCTTCCAAAAGGAAACTGCTGCTCTCCTGCCCAGTTTTAGAGTCTCCCAGCAGGCCCTCAGGGGAGGGCTGGAGCACATCAAGTTATGACGGGGAGCTTCCTCCAAGACCAGGCTGCCACATCCTGTGCACAAAGCCTCGTGAACCGCAGTGACAGGCTCATTTAGAAACAAATTAGGGGTTAAGTAAAAAGTGCAGGACAGAGGCAAAACCGAGTTTCCCTTTCCCCTTCCTGTCGGTTAGCATTAGAAGGTGCCCATGAGCAGCGTGTGTCAAGAATATGAACGTGAGATGTCATTTTGGCTGCCTCTAATTGAAGCCAGGATAAATGGAGTGGAAAGGCAGCGTCTAATCCAATCAAAACATGAAAAAGGTATTTTGACATGTAAATTACAAACTTCCTGTGTATTTTGTCTCCCCAATTACACCCTCCCCTGTCATGTTTTTTTAAATTATATCTTAATCTCCCAGTCTCCTAATAATTATGTCATCATTCTTGCGCCCTGAACACTGTGTAATGGTATTTTATGGGATATGCCATTCATTATTAACTAAACTCACTCTCTGTCCCCAGTGATACCATATCTCATGGTGTTCAAATATGCCTAGTGTCAGCTCCTGCTTTGTAAATGCTACGGCAGCTCCACTCTCTGCTTCATGGTTGTATGGGAATGAGTTTGGGAAGCACTTGTGGACAGTTAATCCGACTCATCGGTATTTTTATATGGGGATAACTGACACTTTTTGGTTAGTGAAAAGAGAGATTGGTTTCAAATATAAATCTCTCATCACTGGGGCTCATGAAAATAGGGATTTTAACCGCTGCTCTTAAAGAACTAGCCAATATGAAGATCACACAATTAAGATCACAAAAAGAAGTAAAGAAAAATGTCAGTTTGATATGCAGAGAGTGGCTGTACTGTAGTGGTTGGAGGAATTACTAAAAGCAACCACACATCACTTAACAACGGGGATACATTCTGGAAAATGTGGCCTTCAGTGATTTCACTGTTGTGCAAATATTATAGAGTGCACTTACACAAAGCTAGGTGGTAGAGCCTACTACACACCTGGGATGTATGGTATGACCTATTGCTCCTAGGCTACAAACCTGTAGAGCATGTTACTGCACTAAATACTATGGGCAATTGTAACTCGTGGTATTTGTGTATCTAAGCATAGCATACAGTATTAAATCTTGTGGGACCACCATTGTAAATGTAGTCTGTCGTTGATGGAAACATCACTATTTGGCACACGACTGTAATGCTACAAATAGTCTCCAAGCAAAAGAGAGCCTTAAAGACCCTCTAGCCTAGACCCCTGAATTTACAGGTTTGAAAAAAAAAAAGGTGGCAGTCAGGTAAAGTATTTTCTCCAGGTCTCTCTGTTCTTTAGAGCTGGAAACAACAAGATTTCCCAGCACACCAACTGGGCTACACACGGATCTCATCAGCTTCTGCCTCAGACCCCCAGGAGCTACATTTGTGAACCAATACGTTGCACTTAGGGCCACTGATCAAGCAGAGCTGACATCTTTGACTCACCAAAGGCTTGGGCCATGAGAGGAGCAGGTAAAATTGAAAGTCATCATCGAACAATCCCGGCTTCCACTAGGCCCCTGATTTCTTTGAACTTTTTTTCAAAAGGCCGTCTTTTATTAAATGGCTTGCTCAGACTTAGAGCATTGCAGTGGGGCAAGAATAGGAATTGGGTTTGGAAAGACAGAAGTTCTAATCCTGGACATTGTACATTCCGGGGCTTGACCTTGGGCAAGTTACTGTGTCACAGGATCCTTAGGGTGTTGCTTTTCCAGGTGGAAACCTATGTGGCTGGTGGTACCTTTCCTGAGTTTGCCTGGGCCCACTGCATTCATTCTGCCCACTTGTCCCTGCAGGCTGCACTTGGCTTGTGCTACCAGCCTGGATCCCATACCTGCCAAGGGTGAGCCAGGCATGAAGTGGCAACAGGTATGTGAGCAAGCATGAGGTCCAGCCACTGCATACAGCCAGGCATGCCAGCTACAGCGGGGCAGGCAGCTCCAGGCACCAACACAGGCACCAGCTCCTTGCAAGGCTGTGACTGGACCAGGTGTACTGCAGGTGGCTTCCACTGCAGGCATGAGGGAATGTAGTGGTTCCCAGAAGCTTGGAGGTGCCAGGAACCACAGAGCCCCAAAGAGGGTGTCAGCCCTGGGTCAGGGAACCCCTAGGGCTGGGCTCCCCAAAAAGCTGCAGTACTTCTCCTCATTGCCTGCAACCTGGCGAGCAGGGGATGTGTTTCAGCCCTGTTTGTGCTACAGTTCTTTCAGTCCTGCCATTCAGCAGGTCCCAAGATCTGGTCTAGAGTCCAGGAAGAATGAGGAATATGGATAACTGGAGGGTGAGCAAGGCGTAGAGGAGCTTCATTGAGCAACAGAACAGCTCTCAGGAGACCTGGAGTGGGTAGCTCCTTTCTGCAGGCAGGTTGTCCGAATGAGTGGAGGAGACCTGGAGTGGGTAGCTCCTTTCTGCAGGCAGCTTGTCCGAATGAGTGGAGGAGACCTGGAGTGGGTAGCTCCTTTCCACAGCTGCTAGTCCTGATGTGTCTGTGAGTCTGGCTGAGTCCAGGATTTTTTTTTTTTTTTTTTTTTTTTTTTTTTGAGACGGAGTCTCGCTCTGTCGCCCAGGCCGGACTGCGGACTGCAGTGGCGCAATCTCGGCTCACTGCAAGCTCCGCTTCCCGGGTTCACGCCATTCTCCTGCCTCAGCCTCCCGAGTAGCTGGGACTACAGGCGCCCGCCACCGCGCCCGGCTAATTTTTTGTATTTTTAGTAGAGACGGGGTTTCACCTTGTTAGCCAGGATGGTCTCGATCTCCTGACCTCATGATCCACCCGCCTCGGCCTCCCAAAGTGCTGGGATTACAGGCGTGAGCCACCGCGCCCGGCCGAGTCCAGGATTTTTAAGGGCTTCAGAAGGGAAGAAGTGCATGCCGATTGGCCCATGGGCAGCCACGGGCAGGCCAGAAAAAGCACCATAAGTTCTCACTCTGGGCCGCAGACTTCACCCAGAACTGACAGCTGGGCCCCCATACTTCAGGCCATCCCTGGCTTGAAAGTGGTGCTTCACCGGGACCTGCCCCTTTCTGCTGAGAAGCCTGTCTGCCTCCTGCCACCATCAATCATGTTGTCCATGGTGCCCAGGCTGTTCCTGCGGAGGAGCTCCTGCAGGCCCCACCAAGCCACCCTCAGCCCCTGTGGCCTCCCTCCCGTGCTCGATTGCACCCAAAGTCCAAATGGAGCCAAAGTAGCATAGGGCTGGTGTGTCAGCACCGCCCCAAGCGCACGCAAACCTGGCCGAGTGGCGATAGTGCCCAGGCTCAGCCTCAACTTTACTCGGAAATAGGAGTGGGCGCCAGGAGCAGGGAGAAGCCAGGAAGCGGGAGCAGGCACTTCTGAGCCTGCGAAGACAGGGAGGCTTCCCCGGCTCAAGAGCACAGGGATGCCTGGGTCTGCAGCCTCGGCTCTCTGTTGCAGTTGTGCCTGTGAGGGCTGGGTTCCCACCCCACCAACTCAGAAGGGGCCAGGGCTCCCGCCTGTTCCCAGCTCCTGCTGGCTGCATGGAACTGCAGCCCTGGCCACGCCTCCCTCCACTGCAAGCCGCATCTTCAAAGCGGCCGCTCCAGACAGGCTGCCACTGCCATCAACTGGGACACCCCGAATGCTTACCCGAAGCAGAGAGATTATAATAACACAGCTCTACTGGGACAAGTAAAAGCAGACATCGTTTCCTCTACATAATCCAAAATTAGAACATTTAAAGTGTAAGAACCCTGAATTCGTGTCCTTTTTCTGCTACTCATTAGCCCTCTGACTTCAGTTTCTCCTTTTTAAAAAATGGGTAAAATAATGTACCTCCCAGAGTTAAAATGAGGTAACTTGGACCTATGTGTTTTACGAGGGTCTTGGCATGTGGAAGATGTTGAACACCCATCCGGGCTTAGACTCTTTTATTAGAATCTAAGTGACACCACTCACATGAGTCGGGGTAAACAGTGAAACTGGATGTGACAAAGGTGCTGAAGATGATCAAAACCTGTGGACAGATTATTAGACCACATCAGTTACCACACTGAATCCTTTGGCTGAATACACTATCCCGCCCTCAACCAGTGTTGAGAGGAACAGCAGATCCCCAGGGGCATCTTTCCCACCCACCTATACAGGTGTGGAAAGGAGGTCTCAGGTACCAGCAGTCAGTCGGCAGCTTCAATCTTTATGCTTCAAATAGCATTGATGTTGGTGCCATGAGAAATCAGAAATGATGAAGATACAGTATCTGTCCTCAACAAGTTCAGAAGCAGAAATAGGAGCTATAAGGAAATCATCCCTAATTCAAATCAGAAAGTGAGGTATGCCAACACAGTAGTGTAATCCTAATCTTTATTGTGTTAGAAAGTTCCTCAAGACGTAGATGGAAGTCCATACCCCAGGAGAATTACTCATAAAAATGAAATTTCCTGTTTTCAAAAATGACACATATGGTATAAAAGTGGAACCACACATGGTGATCTTACTACCCTGGGGGGTGCTATGTAAATGGGCCAGGGATGGTGTCTGGACATTTTCCTAAAATTGCTCCTATGTTCTTTATTTCTTCACAGGCAGATTAGGGCCTTTAGCCTAAAGCTTGCCAATACCAAATTCAGATTCTTACACAACCAATTGCTTTAAATATTAAAAATAAAATCCAAATATCTTTAATTTATATTTAAGTCTTAAAAATGCAAAATCTTTTTTAAAAATCAAAGTAAGCATATATTTAGCCATTTAGAACCTACCTACTTTGCGTACCTCACAAAACTACACCCAACATCTGCAGACCATAGAGGAGACAAGCCCTGCAGCTGCTAAAGACCCCAGACAGGTGCTGCCCTTCAAGGCTGTCAGAGCCCCCACCTTGCTGCTGCGCAACGTGATGTAGACAGGTGGTCCCTCTTTGGTTCCCCTCTCCCCTGGGTGAAGGCGTCACACCACTGTCTCTGGAAGGTCTCCTGCTGGAAGAAACTTCCCCCCTCACATAACCCTGTCCACGCACCACCCAAGAACACTTGTTGTGTATTTACTGCCTCTCACAGTCGTATTTCTTCCTTGATCGACCCTGAAATCCTTAAACTGGCCATAGAGAGCAACCACCATCTAATGGAATAAAGACTGGAATCATAGACTGAATGTGAGTCCCAGCTCCAACCATGTGCGTGCTCTGTGGCCTCAGGCTGGTTAAATATCCTTTGGAGCTTCATCTGTGAAGTGAAGATGCCCACCTCACAGCCTCGATGTGGCCAGGGCAGTGAACACCTGAGGAAGATCCAGAAAAGGAACTCAACAGGGCGTCAGTAAAGTGCAAGGGATCTTCCCCTGTGTCCCAGCAGAATTCCAGTGTTGGAGCTATGAAAAAATAATGTCTCAGGTCATGGCAAACATCTAGCCCTCCCAAATAATGGGAGGCTCCCAAGAGATTACAAGGGAAGTACCTTAATAGTTTAAGCAGTACCATGCTGGTGTCTGCCTGCTCCAGTTTTGCGCAGCTGCACATAAAGATGACCATCCACCAGTGGGCCTGAACCAGAGAGGCTCTCTTCCTCGTTTCCGAAGGGGAGTCTCCTACTCCCAAAACTGGTATCTGTTTTCTTGTGGTTTGAGTGAACCTGAGGTTCCTCAGGTGGCCAGTCAGCCGCCCTGGCTTCTGGTTCCCATTTCAACATCCCCAGCCTGGATGACTAAAGTTGTGGCATGCCTTCATCCAGTGTAGACTTGATTCTGGTATTCATCTTCCACTGACCACATCCGTCAGCCCATACGCCCATCTGTCTTAATTCTGGTAACCTGGACAACTGCTGTCTAGGTACTCCTCCCCATGGGCATTTTCCACACCATAGATCAAGCCCTTGCCAAATGGAACACAGTTTTTTTGGGTTTTTTGTTTGTTTTTGAGACGGAGTCTTGCTCTGTCGCCCAGGCTGGAGTGCAGTGGCGCGATCTCGGCTCACTGCAAGCTTTTGACCTTCTCCCCTGAGTCTACAAATGTCCAAGAGATATTTCTTCTATGATGGAAATATTATATGTCTGTGCTATCCAACATGGTAGCCACTATCAACACTGAGGACTTGAAATGTGACTAGAGCGACTGAGAGACTGAATTTGTAGTTCTATTTAAATAGTCCCATGCTACCAAATTGGACAACACAGCTATATATAATTTGTACATTCACATGCTCCTATGCTATTCTTTAACCATACTGGTTAGTTTTCCTTGCTCTCTCTCAACTACAGCTAAATTCCTCTCAAGTCTTAGAGCTTTTAGACTAGGAGCTTAACCAGTTTAATTTAAATAACACTTTTCCTCTTAGACCTGCATCTCCCTAGGTCATTAGCGCATCACTGGCTATAAGATGCAAGCCGTGAGTGAGCAGGTGCTTTGCACATGGAACATTCTGTATGTATAGCCCAGAAAGTCTGAGGAGCAGGGAGTCAGCCCTAAGGGAGCTTGTCTCAGACAATGGACATTGGATTTTGACGATGGCAATAGTGGTAGAGGTAGGGAAGAGAAGCCAGTTTCTAGATACAATTTGAAAGTAGAGTCAGTAGACTTTGAATTGGTTTGAATGCAGTAAATATAAGAGATGATGATATGGAGGAATGAAAAAGGACTCTGGAAGTTTGAACCTGCAAAAAAAAAAGCCAGTGCTACTAGAGTTTGGGCACTGGGGAGAAATAGCAAAATGGTTCCAAGTTGCTCTGTGCAGTTCCCAAGATCCTGAGCCCCACCCAGTGTTATGTCCCAAGTCTCCGAAGATGGCAGCTCCATAGAATGCTTTTTTCACAGTCCTGAGCACTTGCCCTGTTTGTTACAACCTGGAGGCTTTTACTCATGTCCATGACCCCCCACACACCCCACACTTCTATCTTCATTTTCATTCTATATTGTTCAAGGAGAGCTTCCCAAAAGATAATTGTCACTAGTCCTGACCTTCTCTAATTCTGCTTTCCATTGCTATGATTGTTATATTGTTACCTTCCTTATGTCACCTTTCTATTTAAAACCGTGTGATAAGCTGTAGAATATACATTATAGCATGTCATAGGTACAAAATAAGTCCCAAAGTCATTAGCATCCTCTGTGAACATTGCTAGATATCCAGTGAAGAACTAACAGCCCCCTCCTCTATGCCACTTTTGTGGTTCATTTCACTTACCACATGATTTTATTTTTCTCTAAACCCCATTGTCTTACAACACATACCCTGTCACATGGCAGATACCCAATAGACATTTATTATATCATTGAATTTTACATTTACAATTTTACAGTTTTTCAAAAGTCTTATTTTTCTCAGTCCCATTTCCTAGAATGTAGTGGCCAGAAGTCACAAATGAAATTAGGGAGAGCAAATAAATATAGTTAAATGTGCCATAATAGGGAGTGGTGGGGGGACTTGTGACAAATCACAGAGCATGTGGCCTATCTAAAGTCATTCAAACACACGCACACAAAGAATTAACTGCTGTGTCAGCCAAACAAAAAAAGATTGCAGCAAATTTAATTTATAGTCAATGTAACTCAGTGTACTGGTAGATCACCACTTCTGATCTTCTTAACGTAATAAAGACTTCTTCCCACTGGTATGAAGTTTCTGTGTTTTGCAAAGTAATTTGTAATTTACAGGACAACGAGGATAAGTAAATAGAAAACTCCTTGGGAGGCTGCAACTAGAGGAGAAATTACCATGAGATGTGCACATGAAGTAGTCTAGAGATTCTGAAGCTCCCCTCACCCCAGCCTCTCTGTTGGAGGAGTGACCTTGCTGCTGAGTTCATCCCTGTATGCCCAGCACAATGTCTGGTACCTACAAGAGGCTCAACAATTACATGCTGAATTAATGAATAAAAAAATTCGATGCAACCAATGCCTTTCCCTTTTCAGCATACTCTTGAAGCTACTCTTCCTGACAAAACTCCAGGGGCAGCAAAGACTCCCCATCGCCAAGGTGGGTGTCAGAGACAGCCATGGGACAGCAAGTGGCTGGGCTAAAAGTGCAGCGCTCAGGCAGAGAGAACCCAGTGCCCAGCAGAGGCAAGAAATGTAACAGGCACTTGCCGTCTTTTCCAGCATGTATGGGTGGTAGAAGTGACTTCCTGAATGCTCTGCAATGCAGGGCATAGATAACCAAAGTAATATTGATGAGGATGCACAGTTAAAGCCCAAACCATGAGCATTTGCTGACCAATAGGCTGAGCAATCCCTGCAATTGGTAACCTATGGCCTGATAAAGACAGTGACACCTAATGATGGAACAAGAGGATTCAGACAGAATGCAAAGGGACACACGTCCTGGTTATGTGTTTCCCTAGTCCCTGGAGAAGAGGGCTGGGAGCTGAGGCCAGAATTGCATCATGTATTGGTTATACTTCATATTGCTTAATGGGCTTACATTATCTGAAA
Source organism: Homo sapiens (assembly GCF_000001405.40). Lineage (NCBI taxonomy): Eukaryota > Metazoa > Chordata > Mammalia > Primates > Hominidae > Homo > Homo sapiens. Next base: position 98,168,742 of record NC_000015.10, read on the forward strand.
GGTAAATTATACTGAAAGTACCCAGTACTTCCACATTGATTGATTGATTGTTCAAACAACACCCTCAATACTCTGCAAATGGGGTTCATAGTTTATCCAAAGGCCACAAATTTCTTCACCTTCCCTACCTTGGCACCCAACTGTCTCCTGAATGAACACAGAGCATTCCTCCCATACTCCCACCCTGCCCTGCTGTATCTCAGCATCACTCTTGCTCTAGCAGTATTGTCTTTGGTGTGCTTTTTAAACAAGCTTTGAGACTTCTCTCAGTGATGAAGTGGGTGTCTTCTTTCAGTGAATTAATAAAACAGTGATTCATATTCCACTTCAATGCTTAAAAAGACTTCAGGGAAGCTTACAGCAATGCATAAACTATAGCTAGATAAAAATAATTTAAAATGAATAACAACAATGAAGTAATGGGAATAACAGAATAACAATAATGAAGTAAAGAGAATATCAGAAAAGTTGAAGCCAAGAGCATAGTTTACAGAATACAGACAATGAAATCTTATACACTTGAAATGGATGAGCCTCAAAAGTCACAAGAATCAAAGTGTCAAAAAGGAAGGGAGAACACCCTACCTGTCAAGTGGTAAAAACTATAGCATCGCTTCTCAAGACTTGAAGGGAGTCAATAAGATAATGGCTGTAGGGCACTAAAGATGGTTCTTTTAAATACGTAAATAGTACATGTTTAGTAAGTGTTGGCTGCTTGTATAAAAAGCACATGAATTTCTTGATACTGAGGCCAGGGAGAACGTACTCTTCAGGTTCTCTCCCAAAGAGTCAACTGTGTGTTGGATAATGAGCATCCTTATAGGAAATCCAGCATGAGGTCCAACAAGTTCTCATGGTGCCCCCAGAGAAGGCCACGGTGTACCACACCAGCATCCAGTTCAGTACAGTTCTGCCCATGGCCCTAGGAAGCAGGCTTCTAGTGGCTTTGTCTTCATGTACAGTCATGTGCCATATAACATTTTGGTCAACAACAGACCACATAAGACTATAACGGAGCTAAAAAATTCCTATCACCGAGTGACGCCGTAGCCATTGTCAGAGTGCAACACATCACTCACGTGTTTGTGGTGGCACTGGTGTAAACAAACCTACCACGTTGCTAGTCATATAGAAGCCTAGCACATACAAGTATTCTTCCTAATGATAATAAACGGCTATGTTACTAGTTTATGTATTTACTATACGATACCTTATATTTTACAGTGTACTCCTGCTACTAAAAAAAAAAAAAAAAAAAAAAAAAAGGCAAAAGCTAACTCTAAAACAATCTCAGAGAGGTTCCTTAGGAGGTTTTCCAGAAGAAAGCACTGTTACTATAGGAGCTGATAGCTCCATACCTGTTATTGCCCTTGACGACTTCCAGTGGGACAAAATGTAGAGATGGAAGACAGTGATATGGATAATCCTGACCCTGGGTAGGCATAGACTAATGTGTATGTGTGTGTTTGTGTCTTAGTTTTTAACAAAAAAGGTGGGTTTTTGTTTTTTTGTTTGTTTGTTTGTTTGTTTGTTTTTGAGGTGGAGTTTTGCTCTTGTCGCCCAAGCTGGAGTGCAATGGCACAATCTCGGCTCATTGCAACCTCCGCCTCCTAGGTTCAAGTGATTCTCCTGTCGCTGCCTGTAGCTGGGATTACAGGCATTCACCACCACGCCCAGCTAATTTTTGTATTTTTAGTAGAGATTGGGTTTCACCACATTGGCCAGGCTGGTCTCGAACTCCTGACCTCAGGTGATCCACCCTCCTCGGCCTCCCAAAGTGCTGGGATTACAGGCATGAGCCACCGCACCTGGCCAACAGAAAAGTTTTAAGGTAAAAAATAACAATAATAATAATAATAGAAAAAAATCTTATAGAATAAGGATATTAAGAAAGAAAATATTTTGGTACAGCTGTACAATGTGTTTTAAGTGTTTTTACAAAAGTGTCAAAAAGTATTTAAAAAGTTAAAAGTTTATAAATAAGTGACAGTAAGCTAACATGAATTTGTTGTTAAAGAAAGAAAAGTATTTGTAGTAAATTTAGTGTAGCCCAAGTGTACAGTGTTTCTAAAGTCTACAGTAGGGTGTAGTAATGTCCTAGGCCTTCACATTCACTCACCACTCACTGACTGCCCAGAGCAAATTCCAGTCCTGCAAGCTCCATTCATGGTAAGTGCCCTAGACAGGTGTACCACTTTTTATCTTTTATACCGTACCATATGTTTTCTGTGCCTGTTCCATATTCAGATATCTCTAGATACACAAATACTTACTATTGTGTTCTAATTGCCTTCAGTATTCAGGACAGTAACATGACATACAGCTTTGTAGCCTACGGACAATAGGCTATACCATATAGCCTGAACGTGTAGTAGTCTATACCGTCTAGTTTGTGTAATTGTACTGTAGGATATTCACACAATGATGAAATAAAATCGCCTAACAGTGCATTTCTCAGAACATATTCCCATCATTAGACAATGCATGACTCTATTTTGAAACTCTGTTATTAGGCACGCAGATATTTAAGAAAGTTGGCCCTTTCATAGATTAACCATTTTATTATTATGAAACAATCTTTTATCTGTAATAATATATTTTTGCTCTGAAACCTACTTTGTCTAACATTAATGTAGCCACTCTACTTTTTTTGTCAAGTGAATGTTAGCATGGTATATCTTTTTCCATTTTTTTGTGTCACTAGTGTGTAAGAACTTTAAGATTGTATTCTTCCATTTCCTTTAAAATTGTATTCTTCCATTCTCCATTTGTACTATTTTGCCATACATTTATTTCTACACATGTTATGAACTCCACAATAGATGGGTCATTTTTTAATGGTCAAATATCTTTTAAAGATATTTCAATGATAAAAACCTTTTTAAATTTGTCCCCATAGTTACCATTTCTGGAGCTTCTTCATTCCTTCGTGTGGATCCATATTTCCATCAGGGATCATTTTTCTTCTGACTGAATGATAATCTTTAATATTTCTTGTAATGAAGTTCTGCTAGTGATGAATTATTTTAGTGTTTCCATGTCTAAATTTTTTAAATTGTATCTTTGTTTTTGAAAGATATTTTGCTAGCTTGACAGGATGGTCTATCAGTACTTTAAAAATATTTTCCACTGTCCTCTGATGTGCATTCTTTCTGATGAGAAATCTGTTATTTCTATCTTTGTTTTTCTGTACCTACCTAATGTGTTTTTTTAAAATATCTGGCTGCTTTTAGAATTTTTCTTTATCACTGGTTTTGAACAATTTGATTATGATGCACTTTGGTGTAATTTTCTGTATGTCTCTTTTGTTTATAGTTTGCCTAGATTCTTGACTTGTGGGTTTACAATTTTCATGAAATTTGGAAATTTTGGGGCCGTTGTTTATTCCAGTATCTTTGCTGTCATCTCTCCTTCCTCCTCTTCAATTACTTGATTATTATACCATGTGAAGTTGCCCCAAAGTTAACTGGGTTTTTTTCCAGGGTTTTTTTTTTCCATTTCATTTTAGACAGTTATTATTGCTAAGTCTTCAAGCTCACAAATCGTTTCTTCTAATGGTTATCCCAACCAGTGCATTTTTCACCTTGGACACTGTGGGCCTTTTTATGTATTCTATGTCTTTACTTAGTATGTTCAGTGTTTCTTGTAGCCTGTTGAATATACAGAATACATTAAAATAACTTTAAATATCCTGGTCTAGTAATTTTATTACCTATGCTATTTCTCTCTCCTCATCTCAGGGAGGTCTCTGGGCACTCCTTGGATTTCCTCTCCCCGCACTACAGCCCAGAAACTCTCTCCAGGCCACGAGCTAGGGACAATTCACCTAGATTCATCCTTTCTCTCAGAGACCACTGCCCTTCATTGCCTAATGCCCAATATCTTGAAAACCATTATTTCATATATTTTCTCTTTCTTTTTTGAGGTGAGAGAATCAATGAAGCCTGCGTTACTCCATCTCGTCCAGATGTTCTGGTCTTGTCTCATGGATGATGTCAGGCATCTGATTTCAGCTCCGCCAGGCAGCAAGAAGTGTCTCACCAAGTGCTCAGCTGCAGTGGTCTTCTTACAGGCTGTAGTTTTGTTTGTTTGTTTGTTTGTTTGTTTGTTTTAATTATCTTCCTCTCTTCTAACTTTCCTGGGTCTCACACTTTCCTAATTTTCTCCTTTTCCCTCTTTCTGTTGCTTCCACCCTCTCTGTTTTTACTCTTTCTCCTTCCTTCTCTCCTGCTTCCTCTCAAACTTTCAACAAACATTCCCAGCCACTAGGTGACAGGCGCCCAGCTAGGCTCTAGGGAGACAAAGATGAATAGGACAGGATTCTGGCCTCCAATGAGCATTTTGGGTTTCTCTTTCCAAAGCCCCATGCACTCTCCTCACACATATATTCTGACAAATCACAACTGAAGACTGGGGGGGTGGGGGGACTCTCTACAAGTGTCCAGAGTGCAGTGTGTGTGTGTGTGTGTGTGTGTGTGCGCGTGTGTGTGTATTTTATAAGATGTGTATCGTTTTCAAAATTGGTCTGGAACAAATTAGAAAAAGAAACCAAAAAGCACACCAGTGTCATTCAGCTTAGTGTGAGAGAACGAGTGCACACTTTGGAAACAGACTGTGTGTCTCTTCATCGTTTAAAGTTAAGCAAGTCCCTTACCTCTCAGTTTCCTAAGCCAGAAATGAGGGAAGATAACCCAATTCCTCACAAGACCGCAGTGACTATTAAATGAGATAATGTGTAGAAAGTGACCCTGCAGCACCTGGCACATAGTAGGTGTTCGGTAAATATTGGTTTCTCTTTCCCTATTGTCTTTTTCCAAAGAACCTAATGCTGTTTGTAATTCAATGCTTTTGCCATCATATTACCACACTCTATAAGCGATAAAAACTCAAACAAACCAAAAGTTGGTGCCACCACCGTGAGTATACTCTGAGTACTTAGGTAGAAGAATTAAATTAGCATAAAGTTCGAAGGTAAAAGCTGCCGCCTTTCTCACAGGGTTAACTCTTTAGTGACCCTCTCATGGTGTGACACTGTCACCATAACTGCTGGTGTCAAGAATTCAATTGAAAACCAACAGCCTGAGGGTTTTAAAATCCTGTACCTTTAGTAAGTTATTAACTTGAGGATCACAGTGGTATTTATTACTTTAATAATGCATTTAAGGCTACTGTTGCATGCTATTGCATGCTTTTTTTTTTTTTTTTTTGAGACAGAGTCTTGCGCTATCATCCAGGCTGGAGTACAGTGGCATGATCTCAGCTCACTGCAACCTCCTCCTCCTGGGTTCAAACAATTCTCCTGCCTCAGCCTCCTGAGTAGCTGGGATTACAGGTACTCTCCAACAAGCCCAGTTAATTTTTGTATTTTTAGTAGAGACAGGATTTCGCCATGTTGGCCAGGCTGGTCTCGAACTCCTGACATGAAGTGATCCGCACTCCTCGGTCTCCCAAAGTGCTGGAATTACAGACATGAGCCACCGTGCCCAGCCCAGATGCTTCTTTTTTAAGGAGGAATTGACTTTATGTTAACTTGCTATAAAGAGAGAAGCCAATCAGAAGATCCACAGGACAAAAAGCTATGAGAGCAAAAGGGCATATGAAGACAGGGACAGGGCTTAAGGCACTGCCATGGCTTCCCGAGGCAATGAGGATAAAAGCTTATGCTGAGGTCATGATATGCCTGCCCCATTTCTCCTACATTCCCCCGCCTCCCATCTGTCTGTTGTGCTGCTGCCTTCATGTCTCCCAGGTGCCACCTGCTGTCACATCTTTAAGCCTTTGACCTTGTTATCTTCTCTGCCTGCAGCACCTTTTCTCCTTCTTCCTAGACCAACCCCGGTTCCACCTCTAATACTCAGATAGAAGCTTGCATTTCCAAGAAGCCTCTCTGACTCCCCTCACCCTTGCCCTTCAGGCTTGGTTAGATCTTCCCAAAGCTGCAGCCATCGTAAAGTGGAAAAGGAAAGAATAAGCACAGATCAATAAGGCAAACTTATTCTTTAGTTTAGTTGAGTTTACATAGAAATCTGGAATGACATTTGTTGAGAGGCTAATCCCTAAATGGATTCTGGACCATAGAGAGATTTTTCCCATAAGATCAGAGTCTAGCCTATACTTAGCAGCCTCACAATGGGAGAGTGGCTGAAATGAAATCAATGCCTGAAATGCTGGATGTGGGAAACACACACAGGAAAAATATTACAGTTATACATAAGGAAGTGGCCCCTGCTGAGTGCAGCGCATACACCAGTTCACAGCAAAGGCTCCTGTGACATCCCCACTTTAATACACACTGCCTCATCTCTGTCCTCTGCTTTTATGACAGGTCAAATAAAACTACCAGAAAACTGCAAGGGAATGTTACAAAGACCATCATGATTAAGAAGCCATTTTTCTTTTTGTTCTGGGGTGCTGAGATCTCACTGCAGGAGAATAAAGCCTGTATGATTTGGTGTAAATTCATACACATGCACACACTCGCCGCATATAAATGCAGGCAAGAACAGCCATGGGCATGAGCTCATTGTGCAGACAGATCATTTGCACATCCAATTAGGTGAGAGGAGAAATCAGAAAATCCAATTACTTCATCTCAGGTACCCTAAGTTATTATTTCCTCCCAAACCTATTTTCAGGATGAAGACCACCCTGACAATATGCAATCTGATACTTCTGTGTGTGCACTTAGTTACTGCACAATCTGTATCTACAACTCAATGCTCATATTCCAAGTTGGAATCTCTTTCAGGATGCAACCCTGCTTCCTTCAAGTATGTAGTTCGTATTAAGTTTAGAGCTTTTCTCACAACAAAATCATAGGGGAATGAGTTATATTTTCCTTGTTTCAGTCATTGTCAGTTGGGATTTCAAAACACTTATTTTACCAAGTGCTTGTTTATCATTCTAATTGGTTTATGACTGTGTCAAGATGATGAAAGCAACACAGCAATAAACAAGTAAAGACTGTATTTTAAAAATCTTAATGAATCAAGCAAATCCACATACTATCAGTTGTGAAACTAGGTGGAAGCCCAAGTCAGATGCACAGGGGTTTATTCAGCTCCTAATACCTGTGTCCCACGCAGCCCCCAAATGACAGACAGAAGCGACAATAGGCCTTTCATGACAAAGACAAAAATCAACAGTGGCCTTGTTGCTTCTCCATGGTCTTGTTTAATGGCCATGGGAAACCACTGACTACTTTAAGGCCAAATTTTTCTCTGAATATTGGTGAAATGGAAAACGTATCCCCATATCTGGTCCAGGGTATAATACAGAGTACTTGAAAAACATTAATTGAATAAGTAAATATGTATAAGATATACGTGTATATAATTTGCAGAATACGCTGGCACAGTATGTCAGAGAAATTTAACCCTGAGGGCCTCTTCTAAGAGTCATTCAGCTTTGCTGTCATCAAAACAACATCCTTCCCAGGAATGTAAGAGCAGATCAACATCTGGGAAATCTATGCATGTAATGTACCACATTAATAGACTGAAGGAGAAGAGTCATGTGATCATCTCAATAGATACAGAACACGCATTTTAGTACACTATAAATAGAAAGGAAAGAAACTTCCTTGAATTGACAAAAAGTATGTACCAAAGCCTATAGCAAACATTATAATTAATGGAAAAACTGGACTTTTTAAAATTAAAAATAAGACAAGAATTATTATTACTACTATTGCTTATGGTACTAGAGGTCCTAGCATATGTTTTAAAAAATGATACATAAACGAGAAGGATGTTAGGACAAAAAGGCAAACTGTCATTATCTCCAGGCAACATATTCCTTATGAATAAAATACAACAGAATCAACAGATAGACTATTAGGATCACTAGTATTGTTCAGGAAGAAAGCGAAATACAAAATCACACAAAAAAATTAACAGCATTTTTCCACACAAGCAATACACAACTAGAAGATACAACTTTACGAAAGTCATGATAGCTACAAACATTATAAAATATCTGGGAATTGACTAAAGGAATACACAAAATTACTATTTTTAAATAGAAATAATATTTTTAAACTCTAACAAGAAATCTAAAAGAAGATCTGACAAATGGAGAGAATGTCCTTGTTCTTTAGACAACACCAAGTCTGGGACATGGAGAGAGGATCAGGCTCTGCCGGTGGGAATATAAAGTGGTGTGGTCATCATGGAGAGCCATCAGATTCGCCACACCTATGTCCTATGACACAGGAATCTGGTGGTCAGGTTCAGATCACCAAGAACCTCCCACAAATGCTCAAGGAGATATGGGTAAGAATCTTCCCACCGCACTGTTTGGGATCTGGAGAACCAGAGACAGTCTAGGTGGCTACTCTTGTGGGAGTCGGAAAGCATCATGTGTGGGATAAAATACTCTGCCACCACTGGAAGCAAGAGACAGGAGGCACATGCAGCAACATGAATAGATCTTTAAGGCACTCATACTGAGTGGGGAAGAAAAAGAAACAGAATGAGATCAACAGCCGAATACTGTTTATGCAAATTAGAAAGCATACCCACAAACAAACAATACATATACATTTTTCAGCAATACATGCTAATAAACAGATATATATAGGATATTGTATATTATATTTATTATATATATATAATATCTTAGCATGGTTGCTGTAAGGGAAGAGTGGGAGGAGGCAATGGAAGTGAGGAATGGGGATTTGGAAATAAATGATCAATCAATCAATCATTTAACTCTCGAATATTCACAAATATGCCAGCAGATGAGGCACATGATCAAGCTCAACATTTGACTTTATTGTAGATTTTGTTATTGCTTCTATTATGCAATATCCATGCTAGAATATATTTTATCTACCAAGCCAGTACTAGAATATATTTCAGCCTCCATGCCTATTCAATGTATCTAATTTCCTTCTAAAGGAAATAGACAAGTTGTACAAGAAAGCCTATGACTTCCTTTCCTTCCATACTTTAGAGAAAAGTTGTCATAACCCTACACTCTACAAGAACATTTACAGCTTTAAAAAATGTATTCAGTTATACTTCACCCCATTCAAAAAAGAGATGTGATGGCTACAGAAGGAATTGTAGACTATAGAAAAGAAGCAAAGAATAAGACAAGAGAAAGAATGGAAAAAGAAAGGGTTCATAATAGAATAGTGAGAAATAAAACTAAAAATAATAATTGTATCATTTCCTACCTAAATAAAGGCTTGCAAAATGAAATGTAGAGCTTGGCAGGAAATCGTTTTTTGAATTTGCCTGTGATCTCATGTACTCCAGTGTGACGCGGACTTGAAAGATTATGTTATCTGATCTCAACCTCTGTCTTTGCATTCTTCCCTGCTATAGTGCCCAATGAAGCTTGTGCACATACCTTCACGGACAAACTTTCAGGACTAGCTGCACACCAAGGCTCCATCTGTGTTGCTCTACCCCCATCTACTGATAAAAGCCTGCTACTTCTGCTACTTCTCCGGGAAAGCCTCCTCGTCAGTCCTCTTCCTGAGCGAGCTCTGTCTGAGGACCATTCGCAATAGAACGAGAGGATTCACTGCTGTTGTAAATCACTCCACCTTGGAAACTTTCAGGTCAATGTGGTGTATGTTCCAAGAATAATTAATAGTGTTCTAGTTTACTAACTGGTAAGTTACTTTTTTCCTTTTTTTATATCACTTTTGACAATCAAAGAAAAGACAATTATCACTTGAAGCTGTTTTCCCTTCTTTCTTTTGTTTTTTTTTCAAAGTGGGGTGTCAGTTTAATTAGAAAAAAAAATCACACATGTTGTGGTGGTTTTCAGAACATATTGTTATTCTAAATGTGTTGCTGTTGAATGGGTTTTTGTTTGTTTGTTTGTTTTTAAGCTTCACGGATCATCTTTCCACTGGCTTAGAGGGAGGTAAGCATGGCAGTAAATGAGATGCTTACGAAGTGGTTAGGATCCTTCTTGGATGGAGTTCCCCAGCTGGCAGCTGGGGTGAACGGACTTTGAGTGTTTCTGAGTGCTGGAAGAATATTACAGATTTGGTTGAAAAAAGTAGGAGACTTTGCATCTCCACAAATTCATGACGGGAGGCTTTGTTTAATTAAATAGCAATGATTTGAGAACAAAATTATAGCAAATTTTTGTCAAGTTTATCACTTCTGTGAGTCTATTCCTCACCCCACAAACCAAAAGAGAAGACAATTCACCTTTAATTTTGGTCTGCAAGATTAGTCGAGTCTGAGAGAAATTAAATGTCAATTTTTATCTTGGTTCATCATAGCTCTTTAATCAAAGTTGATGCGTCACTTCCCCTGGTTACCCCTGCATCAAAGGCTGACCTGAAAACCTGACACCAAGCTTCCCTGCGCGGGCTGGCTAATTAGGAACTTACTTGTTCCACCTACGGCCTTGGAGAAAAGGGGAGGGCGGAGCTGCCCCAAGGAGGTGGCCTCTTTATGGAGAAGGGTCCAGGAAAGAGGTCAGTGGTAATTACCAAGCCGCAAAAGAGCCCATGTACTCTTTGGACATTATTGGTTCATAAAATGTCTGGAGATTTATTCTAGAAAACAGAAGTCTCGTGTGTTGCATGTCAAGCTGAACTAAATCAGCCTGGCGTGATGAACTAGAGGACTGTGTCGGGACAGTAGGAAAGAATCCATGAAAAAGGATTGTCCTTGGCTTAGGGTGCAACCCAACTCTCCCCACATCAGCCATGTGGTTCTTTCTTTCTTTCTTTCTTTTTTTTTTTTTTTTTTTGAGATGGAGTCTCGCTCTGTCACCCAGGCTGGAGTACAGTGGTGCAATCTCGGCTCACTGCAACCTCCGCCTCCCAGGATCAAGTGATTCTCCTGCCTCAGCCTCCCCAGTAGCTGGGATTACAGGTGCATGCCACCACACCCAACTAATTTCTTGTATTTTAGTAGAGACAGGGTTTTATCATCTTGCCCAAGCTGGTCTCAAACTCCTGACCTCGAGCGATCCACCCTCCTCAGCCTCCCAAAGTGCTAGAATTACAGGCATGAGCCACCGCGCCCGGCCTGTGGTTCCTTCAAATAACGTCGTGGTTGCATCCTAGGCTAGTTGAACTTCACAAGTTCAACTCAAGGCCTCTGTGAAAGGAAAAGAAAGAATTTAAAAATGGAAGGAAATGCTGCCCATCAGTACACTTAGGAAGCGATCGTCCCAGAGGAAGAAGGAGATGGAAATGGGACTCTGTCGTCCTCTGCACAGATCTCAGGGTTTTTCGTAGGTCGTGCCCTTCTAATTGAAAGTAGTCAATTGCTTTATCTGGAGCTCAGTTGAAGAAATAATGGTTTATTCCAAGTTGAGAGAGCAAATATGTTGTGTTATGGGCAACCTATATGTTGGTCTCCAAAGCAGCAACTCCATGAAGGAATTTCGGCTGACTGGACTACATGGAGTTTTTGCTTTGTATGCTAACTTTGGAACCCAGCCCCACAGAGGGGGCTTCTCCACTCCACTCAACTCTGAGCCTAAGCTTTCTCTCCATAAAGCAGAGATAGTAGAAGTACCTTTCTGTTGAGAGGGCACCCAAAAAATGCCTGCCAAACAGGAGGTGCCCTGGAAGAGCCCATGAGCATCAGGTGACCTAGATATGGACTAGGGCTCCACTGCTCACCACCTACTAGCCCTTGCTCCAAGGGTGAAATGAGGTGTGTGCATATGATAGGCTCTAAGGTTCCTTCCAGCCTTGCTCTTGCTTCACTTCTATCTCAGTGACTTATTATACCTTTTCTTTAGAGACAGAGTCTCACTCTGTTGCCCAGGCTGGAGTGCAGTGGCACAATCATCACTCACTGCACCCTTTTATTCCTGGGCTCAAGGGATCCTTCCACCTCAGCCTCCTGACTAGCTGGGACTACAGGAGCATGTCACTGCACCTAGATAATTTTTTTTTAAATTTTTTGTAGAGACGAGGTTTCACTGTGTTGCTCAGGATGGTACCAAACTCCTGCTTCACACATTCCTTCCACCTCTGCCTCCCAAAGTGCTGGGATTACAGGTGTGAGCCACTGTGTCCAACCTATTATACCATTTTTCATATTAGCGCTGTATGATTATTTATTGGAAGAATATCAAAAGGGATATAAACAACCTTTCTATCAGAAAACGCTGCACATTTTCAACAAAACTACAGCAGAATCCCAGTGGAGAAGACACTTACAGAGTGAGCATCTGTTGAGAGTTTGCTTTGTGCCAGGCACTAGGCCTTCTTACAACCCTCACACCATCCCTTGAGGGAGGTACTGTTATTCATGATTGTGTGAATAAGGAAAGAGAGGCAGAAACTTTTAGGAAACACTTAGCTTAGGGAGTGGTGGACCTGGAATTAAACATACTCTTTTAACCACTGTACAGTAAGAATTTTCTCTTAACTAAAGTATCCAGTTCACCCATGTTTCATTTTCTCAGTCATAGGCCAAGGAGAGTCATATGCTTTAATGATAACTGTACTACTAAGAATGAATTAAAAGGGTTTCTGGTTCCAGATGGTGGATTGAACACACCCATTTACATTCTCTTCCTCGAAATCTTCCATTGAAAATACAGTATAGATGTAGGGAAGGAAATTTATCCAAGACTGTTAAGAGTGGGCCAGGTGTGGTGGCTCATGCCTATAATCCTAGCACTTTGGTAGGCTGAGGAGTTCGATATCAGCCTGGCCCACACGGTGAAACCCCATCTCTACTAAAAATATAAAAAATTAGCTAGGTGTGGTGGTGCATGCTTGTAATCCCAGCTACTTGGGAGGCTGAGGCAGGAGAATCTTTGAACCCAGGAGGCAGATGTTAAAGTGAGCCGAGATCGTGCCATTGCACCACTCCAGCCTGGGTGACAAGAGCAAAACTCAGTCTAAAAAAAAAAAAAGAAGAAGAAAAGAAAAAGAAAATAAGGGTGGAACAATAGGGAGGTCAGCATAACATAAATAAGTTAAGTTTTTTAAAAATCTGGAGAACAGAAATTAAATTAATTAAATTAGATATTGATAAAACAAAATTTACAGTGGAAAATGCTGTTGTCCTAATTGGCACATGGAAAGACTAGAGGAGAGGTTAAAGCCACTTTTCCTGGAATGGAAACTCAAGGAACAGGAGAGAAAAGGGGCACATGGGCAGGGGCTGGTGGTTCAGTGCCCCCCTCAAACACTGAGACTTTCCTGCTCAATTTCTGGGCCACTGGAATCAGGGTTCATGACTTCCAGACTAATACCAGGGGACTGTACCCTAATAGCAAGTGAGTGAGTGACCAGGAGAGAATGATTGTTCCTGGGATGGGCGATGCGTCTCTGCTGCAAAGCTCCCCATTTTGCAGCATGGAGGGTGTTTGGAAGAATGTGTCTCCTCCTTCAACCCCACATACCCCAAGAGAAGCTGTTCTTTTGTCATATTGACCTGTTGCTATGACCCGAATGTTTGTATCCTCCCAACATTCCTATAATGAAACCTAATCTTCAATGCAATAGTATTAAGAGGTAATGCCTTTGGGAGGTGATTAGGCCATGAGAGCCCTGTCCTATGAAAGAGGCTGAGGAAGCCTGTTCACTCCTTCCACTATCTGAAGACACAGCAAGAAGGTGCCATCTATGATGAACAAGCCTTCACCAGACACCAAATCAGCTGACTTTGATCTTAGACTTCCCAGCCTCTAGAACTGTGAGCAATATATCCTGTTGTTTATAAATTACCCAGTGTAGGGCATTTTTTAAAGGCAGCCTGAACAGAAAAAGACACCTGTGTACAGGAATAGAAATGTTCAGTATCACAGGAAAGCCAAGCCAGAGGACTGTGCTCACCAGCATGTTTTTTTATTTATAAATTTGAACGGATGGCCAAGAATCAGAGGGTCTATAAACAAAGCAATTAGCGTGAAAGAGAAGAGCTAAGATGAACAAATGTCCAGCATTTAACCCCAAGGGGAAGATTTCAGGAAACAGAAGAGAGCTGTTAGTATCCCCAGGGAAAAACAACCAAACTTCTTGAATCTATGAAACAAAAGCAGAAACATTCAGGGATTAAGTGAGTTCTTGAAAATTAAAAATATCATGACTGAATATAACAAAATAAATGTAGGATTAGAATATAAACTCTAAGAAATCTTCATAAAATGGGTCCAAAGATAAAGAAAAGGAAAAGAAACAAAATAGAAGATCCATCCATGAAGATTAATAGCCACCTCTTTTAAAGTTAGAGAGAAAAAATTCATCAAAACCTACAAAATTATCAAAGAAACTTGAACTTTCTAATTGGAAGAGTCCATCTAATGCTAAGCAGGATAAATGAAAAAGTGTAAAGAAATCTAGAATCCCAGAATAAAGAAACTGTCTTCAATATATAAGAGAGATGGAAACATATATTTATAAAGACACTAGAATCAGATTGGCATCAGATTTATCGGAAAATTAACTGCTATAAAATAATGAAGTCATGTCTTAACAGTTATGAAAGAACGTTAGTTTAAACCAGAATTCTATATCTATTCAAACTATCAGTCAGGAATGAGTGAAATAAAATTTTTAGGCATGCAGAAAACACAAAAGCTTTTAAAATTACTTGAAAATATAGTATACTCAAAGAAAATAAAACATTCCCAGAGAGAATGAAAGAAAACATAGAATCCAAAACATAGAGAAACTAACTTAGAATAAAATAAAATAAGTACTTGGCATCAATGCTATGTAACAAGCCAGGAATTGATCCAAAGAGAAGGGAAGTTAAAGCACGCTTAGAAAAATATTTAGAAAAAAGTTATTCCATTCAACAGTATGATTTAGCAGCTGAAAATTCATAGAAATGTCATAGGAAGGGCATATGTTTCTTTTCTCAGAAAAAAAGAAAAATACAAACTAAATAGCATCCATGAAAGTGTTCAAATACAAAATATTTTGAGAGCACATGTCATAGATAAGCAAGAGTCATTTTCAATGATTAATCTATAAAACCACTGCCTAAAAAGACAAATTCAAATGCAAGCCTGTTGACATTTTTGTCTGTTACTAGTTCTAGTCGTACTGAGGCCCCGGCAGATAATGAAAAGTGTGCTACCTTGTTCCTAATGAAAGGTGAAGGGAGCCCAGAGGCATTGAAACACTCAGGCACCCGGTATTCCAATTTAACATATGTTCCTGACACTACCAAGACTGCAAGCTAAATATTACAGCTAAGGTCCCTTCCAACTTTAAAATACTATGTGCATAAGCTGAGGTTTTCAGTAGTCTGTTCTTGTAGCATGAGAGTGCTCATTTCTTATTTCCCTTTAATTTTGTTAGACAACAGTTGAGATTCCAGTTTTATTATTGTTTTTGTTATAAAGTTGTTGTAAGTTGTGTTTATTCAAATGAATGTTTAAATTATTCTATAAAGCATTATTTGTAAAGGGCTTATGCAATGCAGAATTAGAAAACTTCTGGCCACTGGAACAACAACCCTCAGCTTCATGGCCAGTAAGGATTTTGACTACAGCTATGAAATGTCATGGAGCGGCTGGGTGTGGTGGCTCACGCCTATAATCCCAGTACTTTGTGAAGCCAAAGCAGGTGGACCACTTGAGGCCAGGAGTTTGAGACCAGCCTGGCCAACATGGTGAAACCCCATCTCTACTAAAAATACAAAAATTAGCCAGGTGTGGTGGCGCATGCCTGTAATCCCAGCTACTCAGGAGACTGAGGGAGGAAAATCGCTTGAGCCTGGGAGGTGGAGGTTGCAGTGAGCCGAGATCGCACCACTGCATTCCAGCCTGGGTGATAGAGGGAGACTCTGTCTAAAAAAAAAATTAAAAAAAAAATAACCTCAGTGGGAACCTGGGCTTGAGTAGCACGAACAGAGTAGACACAAAATGGAAATAATGCTGCCTCCACATTGCATTTTCTATAGCTTTTTATGTTACTCTTTTACATGTTGGAATCGGTGTCTGAGCCCGTGTCCAATGCCTGTTTAGATTTTGCATTTGTGATTGGCATATCTCTTTCCCTCTGTGCCCCTGAATTGGTCTCAGTCTCATACTCCTGTCTTCTCTATAAGACCTTTGACTTCCCTTTCATTTTACACATCCCCCTTGCTGCCATCTCTTCCCCTGGACTGTCAACAGAATATAATCAAGGGCTATATATTAAATTCTTTATTTCCCAATAGTTTTATATTCATAATTATAGCTTTTAATTTGAGTCTTGAAAATAAATTAATAAAGCAAGCCTCTAGGCTCAATTGCCTTTTTAAAAATATATTTTTAATTATAAAATAGCTTTAATTTAAAGAAAAACTTCAGATAGTACGAAGAGTTCCCATGCACCCTATCCACAGTTACCCCTATTGTTAATGTTTTCTGTTGGTAGGGCACAGTTGTCATCATTAATTAACCAATATGGATACATAATGATCAATTAAGGTCAATCCTTCATGCTAATTTCCTTCATTTTTACCTAGTGTCTATTTTCTGGTCTAGGATCCCATCCAGGACACCACATTTCATTTAGCTGTTATGTCTCCTTCAGGTCCTCTGGGCTATGACAGTGTCTCAAGACTTTCCTTATTTCTTATGACTTTGACAGTTTTGAAGAGTACTGGTCAGGGGTGTTGTAGAATGTCCCTCTGTTGGAATGCTTCTGCTATTTTCCTCACGATTAGATAGAGGTTATTTGTTTTGTGGAAGAAGAGCACAGAGGTAAAATCCCATTCTCATGACATCATATCAAGGGTACGCACTATCAGCATGGCTTATCACCATGGATGCTGGCCTTGAGGCAGAGTTTTCAGGTTTCCCCACTCTCATTTTTTCCCTCTTTTCATAACATATTCTTTGGAAGGGAGCCACTATGTGTAGCTTGAATTGCCTTTTTTCTTTTTTTTTTTTGAAACAGGGTCTTACTCTGTTGCCCAGGCTGGAGTTCAGTCGTACAATCGTAGCTCACTGTAGCCTCGACCTCCTGGGCTCAAGCAATGCTCCCACCTCTCAAGTAGCTGGGACCACAGGTACATGACACCATGCCTGGCTTTTTTTTTTTTTTTTTAATTTTTTGTAGAGACAGAATCTCCCTAGGTTGCCCAGGCTGGTCTCAAACTCCCGGACTCAAGCAATCCTCCCACCTTGGCCTCCCAAAGTGCTGGGATTATAGGGATGAGCCACTGTACCCAGCCAAGTTACCTTTTATTAGGCCTTCAGTTAATTTGCTTTTTCTGTGGATCAGCAGATAACAATACAAACTTCATCATGTATTGGAATTATAAATGAGATCACCCCACAACTGTAGATTGTGAACCATGCGGGACAGTTGGAAGAAAAGTACAATTCAAAGGAAAAGCAACATTATCTGATTCTCTGCCACCAGCTATAACTATCAATTGACCTTGTGAGGCAACTTGCACTTGTTTTACCTCCTAAACACTCTCAGACAACAATCCACGTCTGAAAAATGTGGTAACTCTCTTGATGAGCTTCTGCTTTGGTTCCTAGAAGAGTTTAGCTTATGCAATCTCTGTTCTGTGGCAATCCCAGCTTCTGGAGCAGCACAGGTAAGTCCTGGACATGAACAGAGGGTGGCAGAAAGAGGACTAAGTAAAGAATCCTAGCGTCATACTTCAATACCACGCAGGGAGCACCTTGATTTACTGGATGGAAATAAATCAGACCATTCTCTATGTCACAGGATTACTGTAAGCATCAATTCGGATGATATAATTTGTTTCACAAACATGAATATTTAGGTTAATGACAATGTACCTAAGCACAGCTAACCAGGAAAATATCATGAGGCACCTAGGGTTAGGAGGCATTGCCAATTCAGCAATTAGGACTTTCTGTGTACTGAGTGATTTGAACACATGCTGTCATTTAAGCTTCATAATTGCTCAGGGAGCTTATTATATTATTACTATGATTATACCCACATTATAGATAAGCACATTGAGGTTGGTCAGGCAAGTGGTCAGAGTACCAGGTATTGAATTCAAGAGTGTCTTACTCCAAATTGCATGCTCTGATAACCCCTAGTACATTGAACACTCCCAAGCATTTTTGCCCCTCCTGACAGTGTGCATGAAAGTGAATGAGGACAAGCAGCAATTCTACGTGGGGATTTCCACAGTTTTAATGATACCCATATAATTGCCAGCATGTATCCAAACTGATGGAATTTGGTTGATTTTTTTTTAACACACCTATTCAAATTCAGCAAAGCTACTGTTGGCTTCCTATGTGATATTCTTTAAAACTCTGATTTAACTTATTTTTTTCTTTGCATTTCAACCCCTGGTGCAGAGTTTAGGAAGCTTTCCTTACTAAATGTTTAGCTGTTAATTCTGAGGTCTGAGGCACCATATCTGCTGTGTCTGGGTAACAGAAGCAGAATTAAATATTACCAAAATAATGCTCCATGGCTGGGAGGATAAAGAACTTAGACACACTGATCCAACCTGCTGGAAGGATGGCTTGATGTAGCCACGGAATTTGGATGTAGATCATCTGAATTCCTAGAGTGCACCCAACTGTGGTCACCATCATTGCAGCAGCACCACCTTATGAGCCCTGAAAAGGCAAAGATTCGCCAGAGGTGTGCTGGAGGACAGCCCATATCACATGTATCCGCTCCGGACTCTAAGGCCAGTGACATCACATTGGTAGCATGAAATCAACCATGGAGGGTATATTTACACCACAGGAATCAGCAAATGCTACAAATCAGGCCCTTTTTTTCAGAAAGCTGATTATTAAACACTTACCAGCATACTACTGGTTTAAGTTCATAGACTTGGCAACTTTTAATGTGGCCTGATAAAACCTAAACCAGTCTGCTGTGCCTCATTCAGGCTCACTCTGAGATACTGGTTTCTTGTACATTTTATCCACCAAGTTGGTCACTCAGCCCAAGTTTGCTGAGCACTTAGTACGTGCCTTCTTGTGCACCAGATGTAGTTCCACTGAGCAGCAGCCAGATTGACCAGAATCATTACAGAAGGGCCGAATGTCCTAGGCAGGGATTCAAAGCTAAAGTCTACAGTGCATGCATCATCCTCGTCACCGTGAAGCAAAGACTGGGTACTGAGATTTGTGTGGTTTTCAGTACTGCTCATCAATTTATTTCAGGCAGCCCCACAATACTATATGATGAAATGCTTTCCAGTTATACTTTTTAAAGCCGCTACTGCATGGACATACTGTACCGTGGGAGATTCAAGGGTAAATCAATCAAAGACACATCCTCGAGGGGTTCATCCTCTACAATGGGAAATGTAGCATGGACACAGTCACCTATCATGCAGAATAAAAAGTGACAGGCTCCCAAAGGGACACCCTGCTGGATAAATGCCATGGATAAAATGCCATGTGGGTTCTGAGAGTAAGACACTGCTTCCACTTGGTGGCTGAGGGAAGTCAGGGAAGGCTCTTACCTGAAGCTTGTGGCCCATTCCTACAGGAAGAAGAAGGTGTCCTTCCATAAGGCCGTTTTAAAAAGGGAGCGGGAAACAAATGGACAACACAGGAACCTAGAGACATTTGCTCTTGCCCTTTGATGATGAGGACATCAGTCTAGATGGTGACAACTTCTACATCAAATATATTCAATTGTTACAGAGTTGGTTTCAAAAAACACTCAAAATGAATTTTTCTTGCTTCTGCCATTTGATCCAAATCCCAGATCTAAAATTTCTGTAAATCTGAATGGAACAAGACAGCCTGGAGCTAATGAAATTGCAAAGGTGACCTAGTGGGGCCGGAGGTGATCTTAGGAGGGTGCTGTCTCTCTTGTGCCACCATCTCCTGAGGGGAAGGTATTTGGAGTCTCTTCATTTCTGACCCCACAACCAGACGGAAGGAAGGCTGACCAGCCCAGAGTCCACCCCATTGGAAGTCACTCTCCAGTCTCCTATGAAAACTGACTCCAGGGTCTTCATCCCACTTCAGAAGGAACATTAAAAATTGAAAGAATTTCATTTGATGCCTAACTCACTATTTCCAAATTTAAATATTTGTGACCTCTCTGATCTTCAGTCCCCCTGATCCAGGAAATGAGAGGTTTGGACTCACCAATGCATAAGGTATCGTGCTGTGCTAACGATATAAAGTAAGTTAATTCATTGAACTGAGTTGGTATCTTCTGTTTTTTCCAAAGTGGTAATTCTGAGTAGCTCTCCAGATTCATTATCCAATTAACTAGTAGAGTTGTAAAACCTTGCATTGGTTCAACAAAGCATTTTTCTGAAGGGAAGTACTATTTAAATCAAAAAAGTTCAGAGATATTTGCCCCCTTCATCTCTGGTATTCTCTTGATGCCACTGTTGTTTCTGCTTATCCACTGTTCTTGAATGCCTGGAGTCATTCTGCAAATAGCCATTGCTTTACTAGATCATCATCACTCACAGAGAATAACCAGATGTCCTCTGAGCCATTTGTCCAAAATGACAGTAATATTTTATGAAGGGCAATGACAAGCAACATGTTTCTGAATTTCATTTAGCATATTGAGCTTAAACAGTGCAAACTAGAGGTCCAGTTCTCCTCCAAGATTACCCAAGGGGAGGAGAGAGGAGCCACCGTGTGTTGAGGACTTACTGAGTGCTGGATACTGTGATAGTTACTTTGTATATATTGCCAGTTCATTCATTTGGAAAGGTGGGGATGAATACAGTGGCATTCAAAAATCATTCCAAGGTACTTAAAGTTGTAAAGAATAATTCAAAGTAAGCAAAGGATAGGGAGGAGGAGGCATTCCAGAAAACAAATAGGAAGTAGAGAAAAAATAAAAATCCATCTATTTTTAAATAATAAATGTCTGATATGATTGAACAATTTATAAATATTCATCTATGACACTGGACTTCCAAGACTTTCCATAGCCACTTTGGTCCAAATATTGGCATGTTTTTTAATTGTGCACATAGTCACTAAACATTTTTGCCATCTACAACAAGTAGAGCAATAATTGAATCCATACATACGTGCTAATTTATAAACATTTTCACATTCAACCTTACAGAAGCCTATGCGGGAGAAAAAGCAGAGGCACAAACCTTTGTTTTCAATTATGTGCCAACCATGTAGAGTCTCAACAGACTTCATTGCATTTCACTTGATGCTCAATTTAACTTTGAACAAAGGAAGTATTCTTTCCATTTTACCGATAGGGAAACAGACTTAGCAAGGCGAGCGTCATAGCCAGCGTCAGACAGCCAGAGGACAGAGGATGAGACCAAGCTCCAGACATACAGGTTCTATGGGACTTTTTTATACAAAGGCTGTCTAAAAACACCATGGCCACCTTGAGAAGTAGTCAAGGTCCCTCTCACCAGGAATGTTGTAGCAGAGGTTGAGCATGGACAGTGGTCAGTGTATTGTAGAAAAGATATCTCCCAGCCGGGAGCAGTGGCTCATGCCTATAATCCCAGCACTTTGGGAGGCTGAGGCAGGCGGATCACCTGAGGTCGGGAGTTTGAGACTAGCCTGACCAAGAGGGCAAAACCACGTCTCTACTAAAAATACAAAATTAGCTGGGCGTGGTGGCGCATGTCTGTACTCCCAGCTACTCAGGAGGCTGAGGCAGGAGAATCGCTTGAACCTGGGAGGCAGAGGTTGCAGTGAGCCAAGATCACACCACTGCACTCCACTCTGGGCAACAAGAGTGAAACTCTGTCCTCACCCCTCAAAAAGAAAAGATAGGCCGGGAGCGGTGGCTCACGCCTGTAATCCCAGCACTTTGGGAGGCTGAGGCGGGTGGATCATGAGGTCAGGAGATCGAGACCATCCTGGCTAACAAGGTGAAACCCCGTCTCTACTAAAAATACAAAAAATTAGCCGGGCGCGGTGGCGGGCGCCTGTAGTCCCAGCTACTCGGGAGGCTGAGGCAGGAGAATGGCGTGAACCCGGGAAGCGGAGCTTGCAGTGAGCCGAGATTGCGCCACTGCAGTCCGCAGTCCGGCCTGGGCGACAGAGCGAGACTCCGTCTCAAAAAAAAAAAAAAAAAAAGGAAAAGATATCTTCATTAGGATGAAGTCCAGAGGAAATAGCCTCTCAGGTCTTTTCAAACTTCCCAGTTCATCAAATGAACAGTCACAGTGGTCATTAAGACTGTTCACAAACATTCTGGTTCTGCTCTTCTTCTGGGCACGCAGAAAGTAGATATGTCACACATCTTGTTTTGGCCAATGAAATGTAAGCAGAAGTGGCACATGTCACTTAAGAACTAAGCTTAAAGAGTGAGGCACAACTCATCTTGCTTTATCTCCACTGCTTTGGTGGTCATGAGGCAGGTGTCAAGTTGAGGTCTCCTTTGCTTGGGTCTCTGAATAATCCCAGTGATGATCTGAGGCCCCTGCTGAGCAGCAGTGAACATGCAGCATGAGCAGGAATGAAACTTTGGTGGTTTTTAAATAACTGAGACGAGGTTTTTGTTACCTCAGCAGATCCTGGCTTATCCTGACTGATATAGTGGCATTTTAGATCTGAATTCTTCAGAGACAACCCCTAGATCTGACTTCCTACATTATTGAGTTTAGCGGGTAAGGCAGTCAGTCCTTGCTGAGCAGTTCTGTAAGGTTAAGCTAGTGACAGAGACCAAATGAAACCCTTTCTTTCCTTTTCTTATTTCTTTTTTTTAGACAGATCTCACTCTGTTGCCCAGGCTGGAGTGCAGTGGCATGATCTTGGCTCACTGCAGCCTCTACTTCCCGGGTTCAAGCAATTCTCCTGCCTAAGCCTCTCGAGTAGCTGAGATTATAGGCACCTGCCACTACGCCTGGCTAATTTTTGTATTTTTAGTGGAGATGGGGTTTTACCATGTTGGCCAGGCTGGTCTCAAATTCCTGACATCAGGTGATCCGCCTGCCTCGGCCTCCCAAAGTGCTGGGATTACAGGTGTGAGCCATCGCGCCTGACCACGAAATCCTTTCTAAGTCGAGAGTGAGAGAGGTGAGAAGAAAGAACCATAGCAGAGGAGGGGTGTTTCCGTTCAAGGAGTGGAATTATCCCTCGCAATCACCTGGGCACAAAATCCAGTAATTTACCACTGCTGCATTCTCTTGACTCCCAAGAGAAAAGCAGAGCGCGTTCTTTCTAGAAAAATATTGACCTTTTCTCTCACACAGACAGACTAGCAGCAATTTAACTATGATTCCTGTAGCTCATCCCCCAGGACATCAGCTGTGCAAGGGAGAATATTGATTTTTATCTTCTTAAAAAATAAACTTGCTAAAATAAGCACGGTGGTGATGGTTTTGTTTTTGCTTTGTTTTTAATGTAGAGGCAGGTTGAATTTTTAAAAAATAGACAATGAATTACAGGATCAAGATTATATGAAAGGGATGGAAATGTTTGAGCTTTCAGACAGCAAATCCAGCAAGAATAACCTCCACTACTTTACTTTTGTATCCTGGGACAGCAGCTGCTTTAAATATAGATGCAGTTCAGTCTCTCTTAATGAGCTTCAGATCTGCATCTCTGGGCAGTTCCAGCAGGGCATAACCCTCACTGGGAAAAGAGGTTGTCTAGAGGCTTGGGTGGACCCAATTGCTCTTTCCAAGTGTCTAGTCCGACAGTCCTGCTTCATTTGTGTGTGTTCCAGTGCACAGTCAGCTACAAGGGCCACAGAGTCAGAAATTGCCGCTGCCTAGGAAGAGTTCAAGCAAAAAAGTTGCGTGGAGTTGACAAAGTTCACAACCAGGGATTCCAAATGTGACCACCCCCTTCCTTTAATCCATGCATACAACTTCCAGTAAAATGGGCTCCGAAACAGCAGAAGTTCATTTCTGGCGTTACTCCATTCTTATGCCTCACTAGATTTTACTCTGGTTCATCCCACAAACAAGGAACCACTTGGCAGGCCACGATAACATTAATTGGAACCTTTTAGACCATTTAAGTCATTGCTCACCCTTAATATCTAACATCTATTCCCCGAAAAGGGCCTGCCAGCCTTGCATGGAGGCTCCATTTTTTAACATAGGCACCCTTACTCGTTAAGTGGATTTCAAAAAACATGAGCAAGGAGTTTCTGGTCACCCCTCATTTTTTGGGATATTTTCCTTCATAGGTAACTTCAACATGACCCTCTAAATGAGGTCCATGGGGGTTACCTTTAACACATCATTCCCTCACCAGGCTAGAAATACTGTATATAATTTTTATTATAGCGTATGCTCACTTGTGCTGATGCAGAATTCCTACTTCTACTCTCACCTGAAAACCAAAAAACCGCCCGCTACATAGCTGGAGACGTTGAAGATGGGGAAAAAAGGACAGCCACACAAAGACTGTGTAAATGCTTCATTGCAGCAAAACAGAATTTGTCATTCCATGAGCCTTCCCTGTGTAATATAATTTTTCTTAAAATGTTGTCATGATCCAGTTGTCAGGCCCTGGCTGGGGGCTGGTCAACTTCTTTCCTAGAGTAGCTGATTAAGTCCACATCATGACCATTCCCCTTAAAGGGCTCCCATACTCCAGGGTCATTATGCACCTTTCCTATGTACCCCAGGGTCAGGTACCAGACAATAGCAACAGCCACTGGACCCTAGAGCCCACAAAATTGTTTAGATAAGCCCATGAGACCTGGCTGACCCACCCTCCCCTTGCCAACAAAAACAGACCCTATAGCTCCAGCTCTGTTATCCTGTCCCTAGGGGCAACCCCCTGTGTCATTCTGCCTGGAAGCCTCTTATTCAGAGCTGTAAGTGGCAAAGACTTCTACTTCTCAACTCTCTGAGTGTCAGTGTGATGTGTCCCACCATCAAAAGAACCTTTTAAATTGTATAAAACACCCTGAAGAACTCAGTAGATCCACCTCTTCACATAGTCCTCTCCCAGATCAAGAAGATCAAACACACAGGCCTGTTCTAGCCCCAGCCCCACAGCCATTTGGGCTTCCTTGACCAATCAGAACATTCAAACAGCTTGCTGGGAACCAGTTAAGACAGCTAAGTGAGCACTACCCTAGACAGCCACGGTTCACACACTTCACATTAGTAGCTTCATCTACTGGTCTTTGGACAAATAGAAATTGTGTCTATTTTCATTCCCCCTTTAACTTGGTGTATAGCAGAGTTCCTGTCATATAGCAGGTCCTCAATAAATGCATGTTGAATGAATGAAATGCAGGGCAAAAAAAAAAAAAGCCACAGAAAAACTAGCCATTCATTCAGAAATTCAACACGTATCTAATGGCTGTCTACTATGTTCCAGGCACCTGGGTTTCGGAAGTGATGATAACACTGTGCACTTTTATATCCAAGAGGCTACTAGCAACATGCCGGCATTGATTAGTTCTTGCTAGGGGGCATGTCATTCAGTGATTTAGTTCAACACTTATTTGAGTGCAAGGCTCACCTCCTGAATGGACCATTCCCTGACCTCCCCAGGAGAGGCATCTATCACCCTGTATTATATCCATTTGCTGACCTTGAGCCCCCTGAGAGCAAGGACCATCTCTAATGCATCTTCATATCCCCATATCCCTTTAGCAGAGTGAAGCTCAGGACATAGAAAGTGCCCAACAAGTGCTGGTGGAATGAGTGGATGATAAATAAATAAATTCCCTACAAAGTGCCTCCTGCTGTGTGCAGGCTGAGAGGTCATGGAGGTGGAGATGATGCTAAGGCACTGGTCCTCAGACTTGAGTGGACATCAGAATTCCCTGGAGAATTTGCTAAAACACAGAGTGCTGTGTTCCAAACCCCAACTCTGATTCTGTAGCTCTGGGAGGAAGCCCAGAGTGGGAATTTCACACAAGTTCTCAGGTGATGCTGCAGAGCAAGGACCACACTGTGAGAGCTGCTGGTCTAAAGGAAGAAGCTGATGTGGCTCCCCTGATGTCAGGGAGCCTACTATGAACGTATGCTTCCATAGAGGAAACAAGGAGGAAAAAAAACTGTCAGGCTGCTGACGATAGCAAGTTCATTTAAAAATATTCCACAAACAGTGCAGTGGACACAATAAATAGGAGAAATACCACAGCGGACTCCATTAACATTTTTCAAAGAAAGGGAAACAAATCCTAAGAAGCTGAATGATGTCAGAGGGCAAATCACAAGCAGGCTGGACAGGTGCAAGAGAAACGCTTGCCCGTGTGCACCACGTGGCATGTGCAAAAGTGTCCATGTTTTTATTCATAATCAGCTCAAACTGACTACCATCAAATTTCCATCAACAGTAAAATGAATAAATAAAGTGGGGGTATATATACAAAGGAACGTCACACAGCAATTTTTTAAACAACTACAGCTAAATGCAGCAACATCGATGAATCTCACCAATGCTGGGTGAAAGAAGTCAGACGCAGAAGAGTACATTCTGTTTTAATTCTATTTATACAAACTTCAAAGAGAGGCAACACTAATCCATCTTGGAGATCAGGGTGGTCACTTTGGGGGAACACAGGAGGAAAATACCTGGGAGGGGAAATGAGGACATTTCTGGGGTGCTGTGATGTTTTAACCCTTGCTGTGAATATGCTCACAAAGTGTGCTCCCTTTGATATTTTTTTCCATTTTTCTTCCTGCATGTTATACTTCAAAATACAGATTTTTTTTTGTATTTAAAGAGGCAAAAGAAAAAAAAAGTGGTTGAAAGGAAGAAAACAGAAGTGGAGCTGAATCTGTGAGTCAACTCCCCGTGCAAGGATCTGGCACAGAATCCCCTCTCAGAGCAGCGAGGAAAGTGGTGGTGAGCTTTTCCAAAGAGGCAGAGAGGAATAGGGATCACTCCAGAAAGCTTATTCCAGGCCAATTCCACAGGCCCAGCAAGAGAGGCGGTCATATCACCTTAAAAGTGTAATAATCTAAGTTAATCTTACTTAGATATGAGAATCATAGAGCTGGAACATACCTAGAAAATCATGAAAGTTCAGAAGATTTTCTAACAAAATTTCTTAGCAACTTTCACATAAACCAACTCAGTATTTCTCTCGGCTGGGAGCTTGGTGAGGTGGGCCAGGGGCAGATGCCTTTCTTGGCTCAACTTCCTCCCGTATAAACATGTTTTCTTATTGGATCCTGTAACCTTTCTCACCGTTGAGGAAGACAAGGCTTTATGTAGGTCTCGATCGAGAAGACAATGCATTCTTTTTTCTAAAGCCCATTGTTCAGATACATTTTTACCAACTACAAAGAAACCAGAGTGCTCCAGAAGTATTGAGACAAAATCTTTCTTGGGAGATCAGACTGTGTTTGTCCCAACATTTCCGTAAGCCAAGCAGCCCACCAGCTCTGCAGGCTGTTGTGAACATCTGGCTGGTTCAGAAATACAGCCTCCTAACTGAGCTATTACAGTAAATGGTCTAGGCTGTGCGACTAGAACTCTTCACTTTTTTACACTTCATAAACCTGTATGTAAGTGTAGGTGAAGGCAGTCGTAAATATAAAAACCACCAGAGCAGAATGGCCTTTGATTCTTTGTTTATCCCAGGCTAATTAAAACACAAGCTGAACATAACTCAGTTCTTTAATGGAGGTTACCAGATGTGTTATAACTTGACCCTGCTTGGTATGAAGTCCGTGTATAATAACTATAATTTTTTATTTAGCATAGCAGCCCTGCTATAGTCAAGGGTGTGTCTTTCTTTTGATTACAAGGTCCACATTTTAAGGAGGGGGGAAGAGGATGGTTAACTACTGAGAACATGTTCTCTGGGTATTGAAACTGTGATTAATATAAGCCCTGTCCAGGAGTGAATTCCTGTATGCCCTGCGTACTATAGTTATGCACTATGCCAGAGACACATTTTCACTGGAAGTATAATTACTGACTTTTAAAAGTCACCTTTCATCCCAAAGAACCCCAGCTCTCTCTAAAGCGTTAGAGAGCCATTACAAATTACAGTTAGAGTAATAGCTTCGACTATTCAGCCGTCACTTAAGAAACACTTCAGCTGCCTAGAGCAGGAAAGGTCAACCTTGCAGGGGCTGTTTCTGCTTAGTCGGGAAACCATGTGCATCTTTTTTCCAGTGGGATGGCCCTGGTGAATGGCCAAGGAACTCTGAGCATTTAGAACCCGCCACATATTACTCTGCATAGTGCCACAAGCATTTGGGCATCCAAGACACACAATTCCATAATGCTACTAGTGGGGCCAGAAGGGGCACTATTTCCACTGCCAGCTGTAAGACGGCAGCCCTCAAATGCCAACCACTGACTCCGAATCTGTGGGAGACTCACCTGAACCCTAGACTCATTCCCAGTGGATATCAGCACCTGGACGCCTCCCTAGGCACTTCAAACTCAACATTTCCAAAACGGAATGTGTCATGTTATCGGGAAACCACTCTTGTGCCCCACTCACTTTGCTAAATTCCAAAACCTCAGCTTTATCCTTGATTTTGCCCTCCTTCTTCATACTCTATCTATATCCCAAATCTATCCATTCTACGGGTTACCCTCTGACTCATACTTCTGCCTTTATCCTCCATCCAGTTCAGATTACCATTTTATCTCATTCCCTAAAACAAAGACTCTAAATCAGGGACAATTTCACACACTCTTTACCCTACCAGGGGATACGCGGCAATGTCTGAGGACATTTTTGGATGTCACAACTGGGTGATGCGGAGGTGCTACTGTCAACTAGTGATTAGAGGCCTGGATGCTGCCAAAAATCCTACAATGCACAAAACGGCCCCCATGACAAAGAATTGTGACTAAAAATGTCAGCAGCACCAAGATTAAGAAACCTTGACCTAAGACATCTCCCTGCCCAGGTGCCAGGGCAAGCTTAATAAAATGCAAATCTTAACATGTAACTGCTACTCAAAACCCTTCAAATATTATTGCTCTTACAATAAAGCCCCCAATCTTTGACATGCTCCCCAAGGCCTTGACCATCTCTGCCCACCCTGCCTTCTCATCCTAATCTGGTATTGCTCTCACCAGCCTATTCCACAGGCTCCACACTCTAAATGTCCACCCCAAGATCCTTTCACTTCCTTGAACTTCCTAGGTCTTTGCCTGAAATTCTCTACCCACACTTACCAAGGAGTTCACTCATTAACCTTCAGATTTCAGCCTAGCCTAATCTCCTATATGGAGTGTGACCTAGACCCTCCCATAGTACAGGCCTTTGTACTGTCCCTCACCTTGACTGTACCTTACCATTGAGCCTCATGTGTGCACCCTGTGTCAGGGGACCTTGTCTGTCTGTGGCTGTATCTTGTCAGGGCACTTGAGGCATGTTCACAGAAATAATGAATACACGATACCATATTACACAGGAGTTGATCTCTGGAGTATTTAGATTTGGGCAATTCATTTAAACAAAACCTGGTATCTTAAACAAATAGTTATTTACATTTTGACTTATTCATTAAATTGTTGTCTCATACACTTGGAAAGGGCTTTAAGGTAATCTACTGTAACTTCCCCTCAGATGCCCATGCCTCCTTTATAGAACTGTCCTGTACATGTTCACATACACACAGGACACATGCACATGTGTGTGCATTCATATGCACACAAGCACTATCATGAGCACAAACATGCATGTGTGCATACCTGTGCACATATGCACACACAAACATACATGCACATACCCACAGAGCCTATGACAACCAACCCTCCTAGTGACAAGAGACTCACCTGCTTTGAAATAATCAGTTCCATATTTGGTAAACACTTTTAAAAAGTATTTCTTAATACTGAGCCCTCATGTGTCTCCCTTGTGTGTTAACTCCACTCATTATTTCTAGCGCATTTTAGTGTTTCAAGACAAGCCAAACCCCTCTCTCTTCTACTTAACAGACAGACCTTCAGCTGCTCCTTTTCTTCCTCCTTCTATAGCCTCTTGCTCAGTGTTTCTGTCTTTCTTGTCTGAACCAGCTCCACCTAGTCAAGTTCTGTCTTCAGGATAACTTTGGGACAGTTGTTAGCATCCCATGGCTGATTAGCCTCCCAAATTACCACCAAATCTGTAAGAAGTAATGTGGCAATATCCACCCAAATTTACAATGCACATGGCCTTTGGCTCAATAATGAACATTTCCAAAAATGTACCCTCATGTACTCAAGGGCACATAAACAAAGACGTTAACATCATAGCACTATTTTCAAAGGCAAAAGATTGAAATGTTCTTAAGTAACCATCTTTGGAGGACAAGTTCATAAGCGATGGTCCATCCACACAATAGAAAGCCAGGCCACCACCAGAAAGAATGAGGTGACCCTCAATATGTTGAAGTGGCACAGGCTGTAAGACATGTCATTACATTCAAAACCCAAGTTCAGAACAATCTGCCTCATTATACACCCTAGGGTTAGAAGAGTGATGGAGAGGAGAAAAAGTATCAATCCTTCCCATGAGTTGCCTTGCCAAAGATAATTAAGGATTACAACTGATTAAGAGTCAACCACCAATGCACAGCAAACCAAAAACTTCTATTCAATTGACTGCTTACAACTCTCTATCTTAGGTTATTCAGAAAAGCCAGACTCTGCTAATTTTCACTAGTTTCTTAGTAAGGTTTTTAACAATTAAATGAATATTCTGTGTGCTATTATTATTTATTTCTACATAGCATTTGCTAGAAATGCAAGTTTCCTAACACCAACTCACCTTTGAAAATGGACCATTACCTAAATTTTAAGTATTATCCTTGAGGCAAAAACAACACTGACAAAAGCCGAACTCTCTGCCCAAGAAATCATAAGGAGAATTCAGATGGATTTTGAGTCTCAGAAGGTGACTTATTACTATTAATTCATATATTAAGTAATTTTTGTTAAAGATATTTTCAAATTTGGATCGCCAGATACCTTTGTGTACAGCAGAAAAATTATACCAAATCCCAACCATGAGCAGAATTCCCAGCAGTTCATATTTGGAAAGACAGATTGACATCAAGGCACATCTATCAGCATCAATACTCAGGGAAAAAACATCAAAGGCATCTGAAGCTGAAGATAGTTCCTGAAATGTGTTGAGCTTATTGAATTTTGACCCTAGTTGGGCCCATACATTTGGGGAACTTAAAAAAACAAAGAGGTGAGGTGTTGAAAAGGACTTTTCCCAAGGTAAATGACGAGATTCTGTGAGATGTCACTCTTTTCCTGTGTAAGAATTGTTTTTGCTGGTATTTTTTTCATTTAGTTTATTACTACCTACAGCAAAACACCATTTGCTGAGAAGATGGTTCAATTTAGCTTTTACAGTCTGAAATATCCTTGTTCTCTCTATCCACTCCAGGTCTCAGTTTCTTTGTCTGCCTGTAACTAATATTCCCACATAAGTAGTTTAAGAAATAAAATAAAGGGATCTTTAAAAAAAACAAAAAACTTTGATTTTAGGTTTGGGGACACATATGCAGGTTTGTTACATGGGTAAACGTGTGTCACAAGGGTTTGTTGTACAGATTATTTGATCACCCAGGTATAAAGCCCAGTACCCAATAGTTATCTTTTCTGCTCCTCTCCCTCCTCCCACCCTCCCTTTCAAGTAGACCCAGTGTCTGTTGTTTGCTTTTTTGTGTTCATAAGTTCTTACCATTTAGCTCCCATTTATAAGTGAGAACATGCAGTATTTGGTTTCCTCTTCCTGCATTAGTTTGCTAAAGGTAATAGCCTCCAGCTCCATCCATGTTCCCACAAAGACATGATCTCATTCTTTTTATGGCTGCATGGTATTCCATGGTGTATAAGTACCACATTTTCTTTATCCTACCTGTCATTGATAGGCATATAGGTTGATTCCATGTCTTTGCTATTATGAATATGCTGCAATGAACATTCATGTGCATGTGTCTTTAGAGTAGAATGATTTATATTCCTCTGGGTATGTACCCAGTAATGGGTCGAACGATAATTCTGCTTTTAGCTCTTTGAAGAATCGCCAGGCTGCTTTCCACAATGGTTGAACTAATTTTACACTCCCACCAACAGTGTATAAGTGTTCCTAAAGAGATCCTTTTAATATTCAAATTAATTGACCCCCAGACCCTACCACCTAGCAGGAAAATATTGTCTTTCTCCGCTTCCCAGAATCTCCCTCCTTTGTTAAATCTCAAAAATCCAGGAATGTTTTCTTGGTTTGCCAGGTCAGTTCTAGCCACATTCCTTCAGAAGAGAGAGCTCGGACTATAAGGACTCTTGTTCTCTCTGGAGAGCGCTGCTCTCTCGAGGCTCTGTGCTGACCTGCTAATGTGCTACCACCAAACTCTGTGGGTGCTCCCTATGACTCAGAGAGACCATGTGGGGGACCATGATCACCATTATTCACGAGCAAGAGGTGAAATCAGGGTAGAAGAAGACCGCTCTCCTCCCCAGGAGTAAGCTTGGTTCTAATTTGCTCTATCCTTGTACAGGTCTGGAATTATGCAACACTGTTGGTGCACACACACATACACATACACACACACACACACACACACACACAGAAGTTTCCCATGGCGTGTCCTTGCTGCCAGGTAGGTGAGGCTGGGGAGCTTTACAGTCTCAGCCCTCTTATTTTTCCATCTTTGTGTTGCACCCCTGAGCCACATTGCTCCTAATCTAGATCTCAATATCCCAAGGTCCCAGGGGCAAATCCATCCTCTTACACATAAAAAAAGAGATTCAATATTGAGTTCTTCATGAATCCAACAGT
Organism: Homo sapiens; assembly: GCF_000001405.40. Taxonomy (NCBI): domain Eukaryota; kingdom Metazoa; phylum Chordata; class Mammalia; order Primates; family Hominidae; genus Homo; species Homo sapiens. Next base: position 98,201,275 of record NC_000015.10, read on the forward strand.
CTTAAATGCTGTGGTCCCTTATATTATTATCTTTGTAATCTCAAACGTTATAGTGTGTCATTACAAGAATAAGAGGAGACAAATGAAACTGACAAATAAGCAACTATTTACATGCTAGAATTTGGTTTTCAAATATTACTTCTGGGACTTTACAGTATGACTTCATTTGTCAGACAATCTGAGTTTCCAAAATCTGACCTTTGGTTAAATTACCCATCATTTTTCTTTTTTTTTTTTCTCCAGTCCAAAACTATTCCTTTCTTCAGTTATTCTCTTAGACGTGTCCATTTCTTCAAATGTACCTCTCCCTGTGCTGAGGGTGTGGGGAAAGAAGGAAAATGAGGTACGGCTCTAGACTTTCTCAAGCTCACATTCTGACAATGAGGACAAAACTCTTCCAAAAATTGCCTTTACGTTACACGTACATGAGCCCCACAAGTCTTCTGTCTCTAACCGGGAATCAGAATGTTGTTTAAACACCCAGCCAATGACATCTGTATCCATGACACCCAGCACACAGAGGCATTCAAGATATGTTGGCAAATGAGTCAATGAATGAATGAAGTATATTGCAAAATGCCAGCACAGTCTTTACAACTCACGATGATCATGAAAACGCCTTCATCAATTGAGTCAACCACTAGTTTGCCAGGAAGAATGCAATGAGAATGAAATATTCACCTTGAATCTTCTATTTTGATTCATATGTTAATGGTGGAAAATAGGGATTGAACAACTACACATCCCATAACCAGAGAGTCTCATAATTGTAAAAATTAGCTTCACCTTTAAAATTTATCTTAAAGTTTAACTGGAATCTAGCCCACCCCCAGGTGCTTCAGTTGGTGTGGATTTAAAGACTGAATTTTTCTTAAATATAACTAACACTTCTCTAATACTTCTTCTCAGCTTGCAGAGGTCATCTGATGAATCCAGCTACTGGAAAGGAATTATTTAACCCATAGGCTTTGAAAACCAGCCAACGATGTCATCTTATGTATTCATTTGTCTCTTTGGAAAAAATCCTGCCAGCAGTCTGAGGGTTAAGCAGTATTCCTGTCATGTTTGCCCTGAACTTGCCCAGTTAAATTGCAACAGCATGGGTCTCCGTAATTATCTAATTGTTAGTGTTGTGCCTTTACGTAATTTATGATGTAGCATTAAAGTCTGACCCTGGGTTTGAAATGAAGTGCAGTACTGCTGACATCCAAGCTCAAATTAGTAGGTAAGCACCCAATTAACGATTATGCTTCTGAGCTTTCATTTCCATCTGACCACACTGCTACGCTAATCAGTTTTCTAAGCCTTTCACCTTCCCCATAACTAACAAGCATTTCTCCTGCTTTTTATGTCTATAGATGCCCTACATCCTCATAAAAATCTCTCCAAGACTGCTGTCTTTAAGATTGCAGCCAAAAATGTCCACAAGTAAACTGACCAGCTCTGATACTCTTTGTTGGCAAAACCAAAGGTCCCATTTCCCTCTTCTGAAAAGAGATAATTGCATCGGAATACTTAGATTCTGCTGACGGTTTTCCTTGGCTTCTGGAATCATTTGAAGTAAAGGATGGAGCCCTTTGGATGTTTAGACCATGGACTTGGTGAATCCTCTCAAACAAGGGACCTCACCAAAATCCTCACCATCTATCTGACCACTGGGGAAAGATGAGCAAAAGCAGCCGTAGGAGAGGAAATATCAGGCATTAGTCCCTTTACCAACTACACACTTCCTTCACTCTGCTCTCCCAAACAACTGAGCATAAAATATTAGGATAATTTCAGAGACCTGAGATATCATTATACTGACCTCCGTACCTACACAAGGAAGATACTTAATATATATATGTGAATGCTCAGATAAATACCTTGTCAGGGAAGTGGCCCATTAATAACCATGCATGGGTGCAATTATTGCACTAGACTGTGTCTCACATCTTCTCACCCATGAGTCCTTTCTAGGGCATATATCACTTGCATTTTGATTCCTAGTTAGCTGAGCCACTCCTAGGCCCATATCCTAAAGCCAGATAAGAGCTGCATATTCATTTGCAGCCCCCTGCCAAATACTCAAAATCTGAATTTGGAATCCCTATAACTACTTTTCCTAACCTATACCCTAAAATATGTCAATATGATTGCCTTCTACTCCAGCTTTATGAACTTTTGTACCTGACACAGATATCGTCCTGTCCACATTGTGTGTTCTAATCATCATAATGCCATCAAGAACCTTAGCCAGCATCGGTGACCTTCAAGGCTTAGTACCAGAAGCTCATTTTTGTTTTTTATCCCCAATCGAACTTACTCATTACTATCACTCCAATATAAAAATGTCATTGTGAAAAAATGGATAAATATAGAGCTCTTCTGGTAAGAGTAGAGCTGAACCCCCTACCACCATGCTGCCATCTGAAGACACCCTATACACACAGTTTTAACACCACTGTTCTAAGAGAGGCCATGAAAGAGCAGGGATCAGATCAAAGTAAAGCTTTAATCTTTTTTAGTTGTCCAAAACAATTTCATACTCCTTGAGTGCAAAGTTTGTTTTTGTTAATCTTTAGCAATAAGAAAGAGGAAAGCATCCTTGTCTCCAGTTTGTGGGTGCTCCAGAACACAGACCCGGCAGAGTTGGGAAGTTGGATTCCCTGACTCTTGGCCATTTCTCTTTCCAGTGGCCCACACTGTCTCACTTTCAATGTCTCATGTCACATAGATATGCCTCATAATCACTCACAGATACTTGTTAAGTACTTTTGGTGGTGATAGAATGACAGTAAGAGTGAGACAAATTGAGTCGAATGCGAACTGAAAAGAAAATGCTAATAATGCAATATTTGAGAAGCGTATTACAAAACTAGCTTATTGTGGAATAAGTAGTCTCAGTGTTGTAGACTTTTCATTTAACTTAACTCTTCATTATGTAAATCAACAAGGAGAGGCACTTATCAAGCCCAATTAGATGAGCGATGAGGCTACATTAGCATATCTTCATCTTTTATCCATATTTGATCAGAATTGTTTATGTCATGCAGATATTTGAAAGTGTAAAATAAGCATATAAGTCAAGTTTCTTCCAAACTTAGTGGCCAAGGGATTAGATAACACACAGTCCTGGAAAAGTAATTGCATGGTAGTGACAGCTGTCTCTGGCTCTTGCTAAAAAAAGATGGTAGCAAGCTATACAAGGGAACCACAAAACCACTTATGAGAAGGAGCAACATTTTCCTCCAGGAGCCAGGAGTTAGCAGGAAGACCCTGATAAAAGAGGAAGTGGGGAGCAGCTGTGAGTGCATCTCCCATGGAAATTTCCACTGGAAATTTCATCATCTCACTAGCTCTACCTGAGTTGCATACATAATACACACTTCCGATTATTTAAAGAAAAATGTGTTTACCTTACATGCTCAGTAAATATTTCTGGAAGAAACAAGCAAACTGAAATTCCCTACAAGTCATTATTATGAAATTAAAAGCTTTTGAACTAGAAAGATTTGGATTCCAGTCTCAACTACTTATGTAACACCTGAACCTAGACAAGGCATTTAACCTCTCCCCAACCTTCCATGTTCTCATCTGTGAGGTGGGAATAATGATGCCCATTTCACTGCATCATTTGAGGATTAAATAGGATAATGCAGATAATGGACATAATGTACAGGGTACTTAACAAGTACTCAACAGATACTAGTTCCTTTCCTTTGACCCATAAGATCTCTCATGCAATGGCATATGGCTCTCAGTCCCACAATTCAAAAACACTTATTAAAAGATAATTTCAAGAAGGCACAAATAAATGGAAAGACATCCTGTTTTTATGGATCACAAAAAATTGTTAAAATTTCCATTCTGGCCAAAGCAATGTACAGATTCAATGCAATCACTATCAAAATTCCAATGACATTTTTCACAGAGATAGAAAAAAAACCCTAAAATTAATCTGGAACCATGAAAGACCCTGAAGAGCCAAAGATATTTTGAGCAAAGAGAAGAAAGCTGGAGGCATCACACTACCTGACCTAAAAATATAATACAAAGCTATGGTAACAAAAACAACATAGTACTGGCATAAAAACAGACACATGGACCAATGCAAAAGAATAGAGAGCCTGGAAATAACTCCACACATTTACAGTCCATTGAGTTTTGACCAAGGTGCCAAGAACACACTATTGAAAAAGGACAGTCTCTTCAATAAATGATGTTGGGGAAACTGGATATCCACATGCTCAAGAATGAAATTAGACCCTTATACCACATACAAAATCAATTCAAATGAACTAATGTGGGACTCAAAAATGTAAAACAACTAGAAAACAACACAGAAGGAAGCTCTATGACATTGGTCTGGAAAATAATTTTTTGGAAATGACCCCAAAACACAGATAACACAAGCAAAAATTGACCAGCAGGATTATATCAAAATAAAAATCTTCTGTACAGCAAAGAAAACAATCAACAGAGTGAAGAGACAACCTACAGATGTGAGAAAACATTTGCAAATCATACATCTGACAAGCAGTTAATACCTAAACTATATAAGGAATTCAAATAATTCAAGTGTAAGACAACAAACAATCTTGATATAATTTGGATGTGTGTTCCCTCCAAATCTGATGTTGAAATGTGACCTCCAGTGTTGGTGGTGGGACCTGGTGAGAGGTGTTGGGGTCCTGGGGGCAGATCCCTCATGAATGGCTCAGTGCCCCCCTTGCAATAATGAGGGAATTCTCACTCTGAGCACACACGAGATCTGGTTGTTTAAAAGAGTCTGGGACCTCTGCCTCTCTCTCTTGCCTCCTTGCTTGCCATGAGACTGCAGGCTCTGACTCTGTCTTCCCATGAGTAGAAGCTCCCTGAGGCTCCACCAGAAGCCAAGCAGATAACAGTGCCATACTTCCTGTGCAGCCTGCACAACCATGAGCCAATTAAATCTCTTTTCTTTATAAATTACTCAGCCTGAGCTATTCATTTATAGCAAAGCAAAAACAGCCTAATACAAAGCCATTTTTTTAAGTGGCCAAAGGGTCTGAACAGACATTTCTCAATAGAGGACATACAAAAGGCCAATATATATATGAAAAAATGTTCAATGTCACTAATCATCAGAGACATGCAAACAAAAATCATCATGTGATATCATCTCATATCTCTCAGAATGGCTATGATCAAAAATATGAAAGTGTTGGTGAAGATTGGAGAAAAGAGAAACCTTGCACACTATTGGGAATGTACAGCCATTATGGAAGACAGTACGGAAGTTCCTCAAAAAATTAAAAATAGAATCACCATGGGACCTAGCAATCCTACTACTGAGGATATATTCAAAGTAAATGAAATCTGTATGTCAAAAAAAACTGTACCCCGTATTCACTGCAGTATTATTTATAAAATCCAAGATGTGGAATCACTCTAAATGTCCATCCGTGTAGGAATGAATAATGAAAATGTGTCATATATACACAAAGGAGTAATATTCAGTCTTTAAAAGAGAAGGAAATCCTGTTATTTGTAGCAACATGGATGAACCTTGAGGACATCAAAACATACAAAATTTCAGTTAGATGGGAGGAATAAATTTGAGAGATCTACTGTACAATATGGTGACTATATGATAATATAATAAGAATATATTGTATTTCAAGATTGGTAACAGAGTAGATTTTAAACGTTGTCTCACAAAAAAAGTACGTGAGGTAATAGATATGTTGATTAGCCCAATTGAGCCATTTCACAATGTATAGATACTTCAAAACATCATGTTGTCTACTATAAATATATACAATTTTGTCAATTTTCAAAAATAAAATAAAAAAATACTTCGAGCTTTGTGCTTATTGAGTTTCCAATCTAGGCATTATAGCTAATTTTTAATAAAATTGGAAAAGTAACCTCTGTTTTCCTGGATAAGCAAAGGTGTTACTCTATTAACTCTTAATGGCAGAGGAGAAAAAAACAAAAACTAAACCCACCAAATTTCAATGTTATGGGATTAAAGAGGCTGTAATTGTGTTTAATCCAAAGGATGTATGCCAAATGCCGCAACAGAAGAGACATAACAGGCAGGTTGTATTCCATTTCTGTAGGACAGCTTTACTGAATCTTTCTATTTCCGCAGCCTTCATCACTGTATAGGGGATAAACACAGCTCACCGTAGGTAAACCTAGATTTTCCTAGAGCCTGAAACTAAAAGGAAGCCAGCACTTATGAAGACAGGGACCCCTAACAGCAGCTTTGCGGAAATGTCTCCAGGAGTCCATCCACCATACAACACCTGCAGGGTCATCAGTCGGGATTTTACCCAAGAAGCAGAACCACTATGAATGATTTGGGATAAGAGATGTGTTTCCCACGTTAGACCTGGAAACTGGGGGAAAGTCTATGCAAGGCTGCTGCCTCTGCACTGGGTGTTGTGCATGCGGTCACTACTATTAGATCATCTGAATGGGCAGTCAGGAAGGAAAGCTGGATGTGAGGTCAGGGAGAGCAATGATGAACTGGACCCCACATGCATAAGCTAGAACTCACAAACACAATCTGGACCTTGCATTTGTCTTTAACCCCTGTAACCTAAAATACATGATGACATGAAAAAGCTGACATCCTCTGCCAGAGTTGCACACAGCAGAAAACCTATGGAAACCTGAGTTGCTGTGGGTGCAGGTGCTGTCATGCCGGGAAGGTGAGCCAGCACATCAATGACAACCTGCCTGGACTGCCACATTGCTTGGTATCCCACCTATTGAAACTGTAGGAACATAAACTTGGCTGCTGCTTTACTTTCAGCTTCTAAATCTTGCACAAATTTCTCCCATGGCCAACCCTAACATGAGACCGGATACTGAAGGGAATTCTGGGAAATGTAGTTCCAGCTTAGCTAAATGCACATGGTGCAAGACCACCACAGAGTGCAAATAACAGAACTTAATGGTGAAAATACCCTTCACTAGTATGCCGGCCAGCTGACACCTGGCAGGCTCCTTCATTTCTCTCCATCCATGCTCCTCATGATTTCAAACAGCTGCTTATCCCAAATCCAACGTCCCTTACTCCTGTCTCCTATTGACCTGTGTTCAATTAACCTGCCAGAATATAAAAGCTGAATGTGGCCCTTATTTCTATAGTCACAAAGTTCACTTTAAACGAATGACCTCTGGTGATCATGGCAACTCTTCATCCCCCTTCTCTGGCTCACAAATTATCAAGGAAAGGACATCCTAATGGAGAGGGTAATTTAATCTGAATTGCTCTTTAGTCCCTGGACATCTCTTGACTGCCTGGCTGTCAGAAGAAAGTGTGTTTTTTTCAGCTGCATGGTCTATCGGGCTTTCATTAATCTAACTTGTTTTAATATCCATTAGTGAGCATTAATCTAAAAGGATGGGTTTGGGGCAGAGATCCCATTCCTCTTGTCTTCTATAATTTTCTAGTATCAGAGAAACTTTACTTTTTTTTTCCACTATGAAGCTCCAAAGTGAATAAAATCAGCCAAAGAGTGTTTGGACGGACGCCTGTCCACATTGGTAGATTGCTATTGGTGCCACCCCAGCTGGATCTGAAGTTTCTTCTTAGATTCCTCCTGCAAAGTGCACAGCACAAGTTCACCCTCTTCTCACACTGGGTTGTGAATCCCACCCTTCACCATTGACCACCAGCATATTCCTTCTTGGGGATACATTTTCCTTCTCCATGTATTCTTTTTGTTCCTACACTTTCCCCCAGCACAACAGAGCTGGTATCTGGACAGGGCCATGGAATCCAGCCTGCAGAGGTGAAGCGTTTGAGTCTAAAGCCATCCTGGAGTCACTGAACTTCAAAGTAACAATCCCAAAACAGAGTGATTCCAAGAAGGCAAAAAGACAAAAGCATTTCCCAGCATGTTTGACCAGCCTTACTACATGATTCACTGGCATTTCATCTGTGTCTTTTCCAGGACAATCTGGAGCCCTCCCTCTCTGAAAAGATTGTGTTCTTGAGCCATTCCTTTATGCCATTTATTCTGTCGTGGAGTCTCCATCTAAAAATTCAAGAGGCTTTTTGGTTTTTTTCACTATGACAGAGTTCTCCATATTCATAGTCTCTTCAGAGAACATTCAAATTGGCCTTAAAGAGGCACAAACATAGGGCATTCTGAACCTCCTATCTAACCCCAAATTTACAGAGTTTCTAAATTTTCAAGAGAAACCAGAAATCTATAATTTTATGTGAAATATTCCAAATCCAAAAATAAGCTTAAAATACATTAGACCCTGTGGTGTAAGTCAGAAAATATGTCTTCAGGCAGAAGCCAGCCCTCGGGCTCCTCATCTAATGATGTCATGCCCATTGCTCTGGCAGAAAGGCCGAGCTCCTACAAATGACTTGTCATCAGCTGTACAAGTGCAGTCATCACTAGTATCTTTAATCCACAATTTATTCCTATTAGAAGGCACTAGAGAGAGGGAAAAGCAGGTGAAAACTACAGTCACACTGAGTGAAATCCACATATATGCAGGTTTCTTTATAAGAAATGCCAAAGAAGTTCCTCAGGCCAGGATGGAATGACACTAAGTGAAAACATAGATCCGCAAAGAAGAATGAAGAGCACTGGAAATGTTAAATGCAGAAAAGCACCAAAGACCACAGTTGTCTCTTATTAATTTCTTTAAAAGGCAACTGACCATTTAAAGCCAATATATATGTTTATATGTTTAATATATGAAACATTAATTCAAATATAATTTACATCTTATTTATGTATTTTTAAACATATTAATATGTATTTAAAATACATGCTTATATTTAAATACATTATATATTTATTTCTATGTTAGTACAGAATATAAACATAATGTATGTAGATGTAGAAAGATATGATAACAGTAGCACATATGGTGAGGGAGAAAGATAAATAAAGTCATACTTTGGGAGGCCGAGACGAGCGGATCACAAGGTCAGGAGATCGAGACCATCCTGGCTAACATGGTGAAACCCTGTCTCTACTAAAAATACAAAAAGTAGCTGGGCATGGTGCACATGCCTGTAATCCCAGGTACTTGGGAGGCTGAGGCAGGAGAATCGCTTGAACCTGGGAGGCGGAGGTTGCAGTGAGCCGAGTTCACACCATTGCACTCCAGGCTGGGCAACAGAGTGAGACTCCGTCTCAAAGAAAAAAAAAAAAAAAGTCATACTATTTCAAGGCTCTTATATTTTAGATAAAGTGGTACAATAATAACACTAAATAGATTGTGATAAGCTAATGATGATCCATATTATAATCCCTAGAGCAACAACTAAAAAATAATAACAGGCATAGCTACAATCCAATAGGGGAATTAAAATAAAATGCTAAGAAATCATTGATAACCTGAAGAAGGAGAAAAAGAAGGAACAAGGAATGAAAAACAGATGTAGGGGCTGGGCACGGTGACTCACACCTGTAACCTTAGCACTTTGGGAGGCCGAGGCAGGAGGATCACCTGAGGTTGGGAGTTTGGGACCAGCCTGACCAACCTGGAGAAACCCCGTCTCTACTAAAAATACAAAAAAAATAAAAAAAAAAAAGGAAAGAAAAGAAAAACAGATGTACAAGTAAAAAGCAAAAAATGCCAGACTAAACCCAACCACATAAAAAATTACATTAAATACATATAGACTAACAGTTCCTATTAAAAAGCAGAGATTGTCTAACTGGATTTAAAAAAACAAATCAAGAGTCACCTATGCTATCTTCAAGAGAAGAAGTTTAAATGTAAGATACAGATAGTTTTAAAGTAAGAAGATGTAAAAAAACATCTCATGCAAACTTGGTAGAAGAAAGCAGGTATGACAATACTAGTATCAGTTAAAATAAACTTCAAGATAAGCAGTGTTACCAAGAGGAAGCTTTCATAATGATAAATGAGTCCATTCATCGGGAAGATATAATAATTCTAAATGAGTATGCACCTAATAATAGAGTCTCAAAACATATCAAACAAAAACTGATAGAACTAAAGAAAGTCAGAAACACCTCCACAACTCTAGCTGGAGAGCGTAACAGCAAAGATATGATATTAGGCATGATTTTCCAGAGAAACAGAACCAATACAGAGAGAGACAGAGAGACAGAGAGAGAGAGATTCATTATGAGGATTGGCTCATGCAGTTAAGGAGGCTGAGAAGTCCTGTAATCAGCTGTCTGCAAGCTGGAGTCCCAGGAAAGCCAATGGGGTAACGCCAGTCCAAACTCTAAGGCCACCAGGAAATTAATGTTGTAAGTCCAAGAACCAGGATCAGCTATGTACATTGGAGGAGAAGATGGCTATCCCAGCTCAAGCAGAAAGAGTGAATTCACCCTTCCTTTGCCTTTCTGTTCTATTCAGTCCCTCAATGGATTGAGTGGTGCTCACCTACCTTGGTGAGGATGAATCTTCTTTTCTCCCTCTACTGATTCAAATGCTATTATCTTTCAGAAACACCCTCACAGACACATCAAGCAATAATGTTTAACCAACTATCTGGTCACCCCGTAGCCCAGTCAAGTGGACATATAAAATTCACCATCACAGATATAGATTATCTGAATATAACCAGCACAGCATCACTCCATTCAGGAAAGATGAAACCTCATCAACAGTGGACGGATGGGCTCTGAGCAGTCAGATTGGACACTGGCTATAGTGCTGGAGGAAAGTTTCAGAATCCCTTGCTTTGTCAAGCATTACTGCTTTAGTGCCTGGACCATAAGGGAGGGATGAGATAGGCCAGGTGTGGGTGGCTTAGGGCAATGTGTGTATTTACAACAGATAGGAAAGTATTTTAATATTTTAATAATCAATATTATCCCACAGGTATAGCATCAGAAAACTATCCCTGGCTCCTTTAATAAGAAGAATGCCACAACCAGCTTTATCAAGAAGGTATCAGACTGTACATACCTTGAAAACAAGGTCTGGGATTGAGTTATCCATGTAGTTCTCACTAAGCTTAATACAGAATTTTCCCCGTAATAGAAATATCATAGAAACTAATTCAATGGAAGAAAGAATAAATAATTCCTTTATTTTTTCTTTGTTCAAGAGGCACCTTTCAGCAACATCTCCATCCACGTTTAAAAAGATGACATCCTTGCACTTGAATGCTTTCATCACAATAGTTAAAGCCAAAACTAAGCAAAACATATTGGGATGCTGGCACCTTCTGTTGAAAAAGTTGTATATAAAATTCTGCTGAAAAGCAGCATATGTTTTTGATAACTGTAAAACACATCATATTTAAGAATCAAGAAGGAAGGTAAATGCTGAATATTAATGAACTTGAAGCCTTATTCAAACTAAAAGTTGGTCTTTGGTGTGATTTAATTCTTCCCCAAACATGGCAACCCCTTTCAGGGTCTCTTCTGCAGAAGCTGCAAGGGTGAAAAGTCAGCTTTTCTCCTTAGTGTCCCTGTATCCCGTCTGGAGCCCAGAGGCAAGGATGAAGATGCCAACATTTTGTTTTGAAAGTGGGGTGGGTTAAAAAAGAAGTAGGGTCGAATGTAGGGCAATGCAAAGCAGTATATTACTGACTGCCCACTGATTTCTTGAGAGCCACAGAGACACAGGCTGGTGCTCAGCAGATGTGCTCACTTAGCATGTGGGACCTCTCTGCCAGGGAAACAAGGAGAAGCCACAGCTCAGGGTAGCCCATGAATGCAGGAAGGGAGGGGGTCCGTATCAGCTTGGTTTCCTACACTCTCCTGTCTCCTGTCTCCCATCGGTCAAGGTTTTCCAACTGTGCAACATTGCTGAGGTTCAGCATCTGACCCTCCAGTGGCCACTTGGGGATCCAGTCTCCATACCTTCAGGTGGTGGTGGTGTTTCATCCAAAGCTGAGTATGGTGCCCGGCACGGTGGCTCATGTCTGTAATCCCAGCACTTCGGGAGGCCTAGGTGGGCTGATCACCTGAGGTTGGGAGTTCGAGACCAGCCTGGCCAACATGATGAAACTCTGTCTCTACTAAAAATACAAAAATCACCCGAGCCTGGTGGCATGCATCTGTAATCCCAGCTACTCAGGAGGCTGAGACAGGAGAATCACTGGAACTGGGAGGCAGAGGTTGCAGTGAGTTGAGATCATGCCACCGCACTCCAGCCTGAGCAACAGAGCAAGACTCCGTCTCAAAAAAAAAACAAAACAAAAAAAAACACAGAGCTGAGGATAGAGAAGTGACAGATGATACAGGAAGGAGACTCTCAGAGAGATAGAGAAAGAAGGAAGCAGTCAAGGCAATCTGGGAACAGGCCCAGCTTCAGCCCCAGTACGCCCCCGTGCTGCATGGTACAGGGAGATGCAGGCACAGCCAGCAACCTCCAGCATCAAAGAGCTCTGCCACCCTGCAAACCTGGTCCACATAGCAAGGTACTGCAGGCTCTTACTCCCACTGTAGTTTGCAGGTTACCATGTGGGTGGGAGGAGGAAATGGTAAAGGTTGTAGGCCAGGATGGAGTGCGGACAGAGGAAGAAGAAGAAACAGGTACCTGAGAGAACTATTAGGTTGGTGCAAAAGTAATTGCGGTTTTTGCCATTATTTTAATGGCAATAGCTTCCTGGAAAGAGCTCAAAACTTACAATGAGATAAATCCCATTTCCACAGCTCATTAGTTGTGCAACTTTGAGCAAGTCATTTAACTTCTCCAAGTTAAGTTTTCCCACCCTAAATGGGGATAATAACAATAGGTCTACAGAGATGTTATGCCAACATACCACTTGTCATAGCATGTGACTTAAGTCACTCAAGCAAACTTTAGTTCATGCATGCACCGGAGAATGATATCAAAATTCAGTGGGCCTCACATTGCCCCATAAGTAACGTTCATTAGCAGATCATTGCCTAATCAACTGAAAGCATGAAAGCAAAGTCGCCACAGTCAGAAGATAGTGGCACGCCCTATAAACAACATAAAAACATATAGCTACAAGCATATACAGATATGTTCATAAATGCCTGGGGTACACCTCACTACTACCTATGTTTTTCCCCTATAACACACATCAGCCTCTAAAGAGCTCAAAAACTCAGCTCAGGACAAGTTGCCTTTGTTTTCTTCCATTTTGCAAGGACAAACCTGACAGAAATGTAGGACCCGCATAGATATTTAAACAGCCCATGTGACGGGGAAAGCTTTCAGCCCAGCTATGAAGGATCGACTTTGCAACAACATCCCCTACACAGATGAGCCTTTCAATTAGTACAGGAGCTTTGAGTCCTCAGACTCGGAGAAAAGACACGTCCAGGGCTCTGCCTGTGCCACCGGCCGTGCCGCGGGGGCATCCATCACCGTAAGTACCATAAGAAACACCACCTCTGATACCTCTTCATTGGGCTGCCGGCAAATGAGGCACTAGATTAGGCCTGACATGGGCATAACACAAGCCGAGGTTTGCTGGGTGTAATTAATTGGAACTTCGCCAGCTTGACAAATTGGGATGATGAATCTATCTTGTATGAATAGGGAAAAAATGCATAATCAGTCAAAGATTTAGTTAAGACAGCTTTTCTCTGACTCTCTGCCATAACCAAATCCATTAAGTCAAGGAAACATCACTTAAAAAAAGGCAATGTCCTTCATATGCTCAATTTATAACTTTTTGTTCTTGAATTTACGGGAGAAGTCAACTCAGATTTGCTTGACTGGAAAGGGAAAGGAGGTTTCTCTTGGGAGTTTAAAAAATAATGTCTCCCGTGTCCTTTAGTTCACTTGGAAATATGTGTAAATAGACTTTGGGGGGATTTTATTATCAGTTCGTTAAGGTATTTTAACACTGTTTGAACCAAACAAGCCACTTGGCCTCTGTGGAGATGGTTTTGGGCTCAATGAAAAAAGAACACAAAAAGTTTCCCATTGAATTTGTCCATCACTGCTTGTTTTCTAAAACATCATTTATAGACCGTAAGAGATTCAGCAGAAGACGGGTAAGGACTGCTTTATTTTCTAACTGGCAGGGGAAGACCGTCTTAATTTGTTCTACAATCAAGTTGGATCTACTTGTGAAATGATAAGTATCAATTACATGAATGTCCAGCTAATTTCACAAATGAAAAAAATCAAACAAGATTAATCAGCCCTCACATTAAAAAATCTTTTTGAATTATTGACCAGATTGATAAGAGTTATGCCCTGGGCAAGAAGACATTGCATCCAAGAAGAAAGGAAGGGTCACTTCACAAGTTTTCACTCACGACTTGCAGTTATTAATTAGTTCATAGTCCTTACAACTGTGGGATTTTTTTTTAACTTATTTAATCTGTGCATCAATAACATTGCTTACCGATTCTGCTAAATAATAAGGCAATTTTGTTTGCTTTATTGTGTGTTCTCATCCTTTGGAAAACAGAAGCTATCTGGAGCATTCATAACCAAATGCTTTGCAAGCATTGATGGCAATGACAGTGGTCTATGTTTCAATGTGCACGCACTTCCTCTTCACTCAACTTTGCAAACTGCTAAAACAATGCTCAGATTAAAATTATGTACGTGATCTCACCTGTGGCCACATAGACAGTTGAACACAAACATCATATTCTGGCGAGGTGGGCAGATCACTTGAAGTCAGGAGTTCGAGACCAGCGTGGCCAATATGGTGAAACCCCGCCTCTACTAAAAATACAAAAATTAGCTGGGCGTGGTGCTGCTTGCCTGTAGTACGAGCTACTCGGGAGGCTGAAGCAGGAGAATCCCTTGAACCTGGGAGGCAGAGGTTGCAGTGAGCCGAGATATGTCAATGCATTCCAGCCTGGGCGACAGAGTAGGACTCCGTCTTAAAAAAAAAAAAAAAAAAAACAAAACAAAAAACAAAACTCATATGCTGGGCACCCACCAATCCTCATCACCTGTCCATGTGTCTTGGAGCCCATTCACAGAAAAGTGTTCTGCCATTGCCCAGGGAAGCATGGAGGAAAAGGAATCAAAGGAAAGAACGGCCCAGGCTGCACCTTAAGCAGAGAGGGGCCACAGGGCAGTTACAGAGAGTTTCTAAGTCTGTGGCTTTTTCTGCCTCTCTGCACCAATAAAAATGTCCTGTAAAAAAAGATATCTGTGAAACTCGTTAAATATCACTTTAGGAATTGACTCTGCCATCCTGTAATTTGAATCACACCTTAACTTCAAGTGGCAAAATGCTTTTCCTTGATAGCCATAAAAACTTTTAATGTCCAATGAAACTTTAAAAGTAGAAAGGGGAAAAAAGTGGAAGGTGCTCGATTTTCCTTTTGTGGGTGTTTTTTACAGTCTTTTTCAAAGGATTTAGAGACAGCCACAGGCATACACGCTGTTTTATGGGGTGCAGGAGAGGAGCGGCCCCTTGGGAGACCACTGAAGTTGCAATTAACAAAGGGTACCATGTTTCGCTGGAGGCAACAGAACTTATATTTATGAAGATGGTCGCTGAGCAAACTAGGAGGATTGTTAACCATACTTTTACTTCGTCTCATTTTCAAAATCTCCAGTTCTTTAAAATGTAATAATGTTGCTGAAGGGTTGCAATCTTTTGATTCTTCAATTATCTTTCCTCTGAAATTTTTGCCTACACTAGTTCCATCTCCTCAGCCATTATAGAAGAGGAAAAACTTACCCTGGAATAGTGCTTTTCACTTCTAATCAACATATTATCATGCGTTATCTCATATAATCCTTTCCATCACCATGTAGCAAGAACTGACTTTTTAAATGGGATCCAGAGAAGTTACAAGATACGCAGGTCGTTACAGCTGTCAGTATGTAGCTGGGATCCAGAGCCAAGGTTTTCAGATTCCAAATGTCATGGCCTTTTCATGACACTATAATGTGCTGCCTTATAATAATGATAATAATTTTACAGGTTTGCAGTTTTTTAGTTTAGTGATAAAATAATACAAATAGCTCTGTGTGTGCCAGGTGCCATGCTTGGCATTATCTTGGTTAATCCCCACAACGTCTCTGTCAAGCAGGTCTGATTACCTCCCGTTTCAGACAGGACATTCACACTGGGAGAGGAAAAGCAACACGGCAGGACCTAGACCAAGTCTACCCAAGGTCAGAGTCTAGCCTCTTGACCAGCAGGCTATACCAGGTTCAGGTCAGAGATGGCAACACATTTCCACAGCACATTCTCCATGATCTTTTTACTTCCTATATTTTTGTCTACATACAAGCATCACTCTCTTGACTTTCCCCCAACCAGGGACAAAATCTGCCTGCTGGCCAAGTGCCGCATTCCTTAATCAGCTGCCCCAGTCCACGATCCAAGAGGTGCTGCCCTTCAGCCCAGGCTTCCACACCCTCGATGACTATTAACTGAATGTTTATTCGATGACTATTAACTGTTTACTCGATGACTATTAACTGAATGTTTACTGCATGCAGGGCACACAGTCGGTCCTGGGAGCACCCACAGGTCCAATCCTGCCCTCAGTGGGCTTGTAAAAAGTAAACACATCAACAATTAAATATCAGATTAAACCTGTGATGAGTTCTATGAAAGAAAAGAGCAGGGTAAACCAATAGAAAAGAAATGGCAGCCAGGCACAGTGGCTCATGCCTGTAATCCCAACACTTTGGGAGGCCAAGGCAGTCAGATCACTTGAGGTCAGGAGTTCGAGGCCAACCTGGCCAATATGGTGAAACCCCGTTTCTACTAAAAATGCAAAAATTAGCCAGGCGTGGTGGTAGGCACCTATAATCCCAGCTACTCAGGAGGCTGGGGCAGGAGAATCGCTTGAACCCAGGAGTCAGAGGTTGCAGTCAGCTGAGATTGCAACCACCGCACTCCAGCCTGGGCATTACAGTGAGATTCCATCTCAAAAAAAAAAAAGAGAAAGAAAGAAAGAAAAGAAAAAAGAAAAAAAAAATAAATGTCCTGGGTAGGGAAACCAAGGCTGGAAGACCATGTCCCAAGACTAGCCCTCTTAGGAGAAGTTCCTGTTGTCCATGCCCTGGGCCAGGCTGAGAGAGGGAGACCATCTCTTGGAAGACTATGTTCCACGTACTACGAACACCACAAGAAAGTCTGTCTCCCCATGGCCACATGTGTCTAACTTTGACCATGAGCCCTGCTAGGCTGACTCTACACCTGGCCTGCCCATCACATGATGCCTGTCCCAGGCTGGAGTTGACTGTCTCCTGTCAGAGTCACAGACCGTGTGGCTCTCATACCCAGGCTGCATATCAATCTCCCATCAGCAGCCTACCCCTGTCTCCTCCCCGTGTCCTTCACACCCCACCCCAGGGAAGGCTCGCTGCTCTCCCGACAGGTGACAGCATCACTATTCTGCTCCAGTCAACAAATAAAATACCATCGACTTGGAGGTGGAGCATTTGGTTTTCAGGTATGGATCATGAAAGAGCCATGAGGCTGACAGCATGCTCCTGGGTCAGGAAGACCTCAGGCCACATTTTCCGTGCAGGGAAGAGTGGCTTTGGAACTATTTCATTTTTTTATCTCCCACCCAGCTTCCCTATTTTGTCGCTGAAAGGCAAATGTAACTATATCCAGAACTAGATGTCCTAACCAGACAGCAGGAAGCCAATGGGGAGGGCAGGCATACTGACTGACCCTTCGGAGTGGAACATATACTGGGGACTCGGGCAGGGCACCAGAGGGAATCCAGAAGTCCCAAACAAGCCAGGTCTGTTATTGCATGGCTGACAGGCAACTTCGCCCCCCTCCAATCCCACAGAAATACAGTGAAGATACTAGACACAGCAGCAGGCCAGGAGGCCTGATGGGCCTAAGATTTGCCCTCAGCCTGGAGAGGCCCAGGCCAGGGGATGGTGCAGAACAAAGCAGATCACAGTCCCTGAGAGAGAGCAGAGGGAGGCATCCTGGTGTGACCTGAAGGCCATCAAGAGCTGATGCTTGGTGCCCTTGTGGAAGCTGTGACTTTATGGGTAGACCAGCCTAGGACTGGGCTCCCGAAAATGATTAACCTTCAGGACTGGCTGTGCAACTGACACTGCAGGGTGGACATACGATGAATTCGATGTGAGGAGCCTGAGAGAAGGGGCCACCATCTCCGTCCCAGTTGCAATTCTCCTGAGGACACAAGTACTCAAACAAGGGAGACTTCTTAAGGCTCGGAGGGGTGGAGAGGAGATAGGTTGTAGGAGTCTCTTCTTGGACCCCATCAAATCACAAAGAGACGTGTAACTGAATGGGAAGTTCCTGGACTGGGACATGAGAAAGATGTGGGTGTGAATCCCTGTTCACCCACTTACTGGCTATGCATGCTAGGAAATCTCTGAGCCTTCCCACTCAGGCCGCCTTTGGGGCCCTCAGTTCTGGCAGCCTCTGGGTTATATCATCCTGCCTACACCCCTCTCTGGCATTGAACCCAGGCCGGACCCTGACTGAATCTAAGCTGATGGGCACCTGGGAATTTGGAACTGAGACTTCAGTCCATTAGCTGTAAGTGAATGAGCTTCTAGGTGATGTAGACAGGTTGCTAAGGCCAGCACTAGTTGGCAGCCTTGAGGGGCTGTGTGCGAGCAGTTGAATGAGAACATGTGCAGCAGGGAGCAAAGAGAGAAGAATTGCTTTTTCTAGGTCTAGTCCCTATGGGGCTGTAATTAAGTCCTAAGGGTTTTGTTTATATCTTATAAATTTTGTTTTTCATCAGAGCCTCTTTGATTGAGTTTCTGATGCTTGCCAATATGTTGCTGTGGTTGAGATTCTCAACAAAGAGTAGCAATGATGACTCCAAGATGACTCCAGTGACAATGACAATGACTTCCATGACATCAAATGCTCTTGCGTAAGATCAGCACTACCCCCAGATAAAGCTACTGATAAATCACCGACCTAATCAAGATATCACTACAACAATAAGATAAACACTAGGACCTTGCTATTCAAGATGTGGTCCTTGGACTGGCAACATCAGCTGCACCTGGAAACTTGTTACAAATGAAGAATTTCAAACCCCATCCTCAACTTAGTTCATCAATATCTGCATTTTTACAAGATCTCCAGGTGATTCATATGCACATTAAGTTCAAGAAGCACTACTCTGGTGATAATATCTGCCTGGCAAACAAAGGTGCCCATTAGTCTTCCTCCCGTCCACCAGGACTGGCTCAGCAGGTGTGGTTGGCTGAGCAGGTCTCCCGTTCGTCCCTCACAGCTTCGTGGATGCCCTCCTAAATCTGAATGCTTATGTAAGAGGACAGCCTCCCTGCCAAATGTGGACCAGTCTTTTGTCAGGAAAAAAGCTGTCGTTCATTGGCTCAAGTGCCATTAGATTGGCTCCTTGGTCATGGATGAGTTGAATGGCTCCATTAATTTATAGAATTTAATGTCTTTCAGATTATGAACCCTCAAAAGATTCTGTTCAGCACACCAAATAAAAATGTCTATTAGGCCAGGTGCAGTGACTCACACCTGTAATCCCAGCACTTTGGGAGGCCAAGGTGGGTGAATCATCTGAGGTCAGGAGTTAGAGGCCAGCCTGACCAAAATGGTGAAACCCCGTCTCTACTAAAAATACAAAAAGAAATTAGCTGGGCATGGTGGCAGGCACCTGTAATCCCAGCTACTCAGGAGGTTTAGGCAAGAGAATCGCTTGAACCCAGGAGGCGGAGGTTGCAGTGAGCTGAGATCGTGCCATTGCACTCCAGCCTGGGCAACATGAGTGAAACCCCGTCTTAAAAAAAAAAAAAGAAAGAAAAAAAGAAAAAAAAATTTATTAAATACTTGCTGCAGGCTTTTTCAGCCCCACCATCTGAAAAGCTCTTGGAGGCAACTTCCAAAACACAAGGAAAACTAAATTGAAATCATGCAGCTTTCATCTTCCAACAACCTTATTTTTAGTAAAATAAGGGCAACCACTGACTCTGGGGCTTTAATGACATGATAAAAAAAAATTTAAATGATGGATTTCAAAGTCAGAATGAGCATGTATATGCTTACTTATTTACTCATTCATTCATTTGTCCATTCACTGGTTCATTCACTTTTGCCACTCAAACAGTTCTGACAGAATGCAGAAAGAGGTGAGAGGCTTTGAATCTACCTGCACGCATGAGGAGACAGGGATAGCCAAAGAGGTAACATTCTGGATCCATGATGATTCATGGTTCAACTTGCTAGGCTTCTTTTCAAGGGTTTAACTGATTTGAGGTGGATTAGAAAGTGAGAAATGAATTAAAGAGAAGAAGGAAGGTGTTATGGTCAGTCCAACGTGGCTGCCAATTCACGCCAGCTTGCATGATCCACATGTCTGTCACAACCTGAATTATGCCATCTGTAGAGGAGGAACAGCAGCCACCTGGTGAGCTCATTCTACAGACTGGGGAACATGCCAAGTGTAGTCATTATTATCCCACAGAAGAAGACCTCTCATGACTGTTAGCACCCACCAGGAGGCTTCTAAAGATGGATCAGGCACCCCACACTTGGCACCTTCCAGGGAAACTGGATTGCAGGTCAGGGACTAGACACCCACATGAGACAGTGTCACTCTGCTCTCCACAGACAGCTTCAGGGACCAGTGAAACATTCGTTGGGAAAGGCATAAAATGGTGACGTAATTAAGATCTCAGACTCTTGGATTTGAATTCTGGCCCCATTATGGTATTACCTGGTGAGATACTTAGCTTCTTTCAGACTCCATTCCTCATAAGGAAAAGTTAAGAGGACAATGCTGCTCATTCTCCAGAGCTGCTGTGAGGATTAAATGAGGTGATGATTGAGAATGTCTCACCACAGCGCCTGAACAACTTCCGCACCACATCGTGTAAAGGACTGTCGTTCCCTGCGGGACCAAACAAACGTGTTCAGATCCCAGTTACGCACTAGCACCGTGACCATGAGCAAGTTGACTGACCGATAAGCTGCCTTATTTTGGAAAGGATTCAAAGCAGCTTGTGAAGTTACCTCGGTTTTCTCAGTAATAAAATGGGACTGTTTTGTATATTAGACAAGAAGACATGCAGGAAAATCGTTGCTGACATGTTTCCTTTTACTCCCCAATCCATGCCCTGTTCTGCTCTGTTGCGCAGAAAGGCTGAGCCTCACAAACCACAGCCAGCTCTTTGGTTGGTTTTCCTTCAATGGGAGGCTGGCAGGAAATGGAGAATGGTAAGAAAGAAAGGCAGGAGAGGAGTAGTTCTTTTTTCTCTTGCCCTCCTTGCTTCATTCAGCACAGCATCCCTAGCACTGTCAGCATCCTCCCTTGATACAGCATTGTCAACTCCCCCACCCCTAATCAGCGTTCCGGCTCCCACCAGGCTCTATAATAGCTAAGATTTGCTTTTAAGATGTTGACCTCCCAATGGTCACACTTTGGCTTTTTACTTCCATTTTATTTATCTAGGTTGAGAATAAGTTTTATGTTTCAAAATGTTGGTTTGGAGGGAAATGCTAATGGAATTCTTTTATAGAGAGACAATGACCCATATATAAGGAATATTTGTTTAATTACTAATTCAGTCATTGACTCAATTTAGGAAAATGAAGGCTTTTGGGGCCTCTGTCTTTCTTTTTTCTTTACCCCTTGTTTAGAGATGAAAGTATGTTATGCCATTTTCTGTCTCAGCCCCAAATGGCAACAGCTCCCCATTGTTGCTGGTCTCAGGATGCCTCAACATTCCTTGTCTGGTCCCTTAACACTCTCATTCCTCTGCAAGTAGTTCTTTCTTGGCAGTCTCTTCATGGAAACATCTAACCCAATCCTGTTTCCTGCCAGGATGCTGTATGTTTCAAAATACAGGGCACAAAAGTGATGCTCAGTGATGCCCTCTATCTAGACTACCTGTCTAGACAACTGCCCCTTCTTTGGAACTACTCTTCAACTCCTTTGAAAGGGACCAGCATACAAATCGAAAGAGAAAAAAATATGTAGTGGGCTCCACACAGCCACTAAAAAAAAATTTAGTGACTGTATGGAACCCGCTAAATATTTTCTGGAGAATATGAGCTTAGAGGAACAGAGACTGAGTGGATGAATGAAGGTAGGGGTCCAACCTTGATAGGACACAGGAAGGTAATTTGAGAGCAGTCCTACCATGTTGTTCAGTATTAGTAGCTCATATGCTTGGTGCTGCCTGGAGTGGAGACTCCTTCAGCTGGTTCCCAGAAACAAGTTATGGGTAACACAGGACAAAGAGGGACAGGGACAGAGGCTGCCACCAGGAAGACCACGTTGTCAGCGACGTGGCAGTGAGATAAAGTAATGGCACACTGCATTCAAAAAAGCTGAATTATAGTCCTGGTGCCAGGACAATCCATCCATTTAATTTTGGACCAGCCATGGAGCCTTGGATTCTTTATTTGCAAGATGAAGGGGTTATTTTATAGATTCATCTCAAGGCACTGTTCATCTCCAGTGTTACCTTTTTTTAGGAGTTAGATTTCCCCTGGTCTTCCGGCTAGTTGAGACTTCACCTCTGTGATGCACCAAATGCCTTCTTTTCATTTGCTTCCTGTTTCCACATCTACCCCCAGAAACTCCTTCTTTTAAAAGGTAGTTTGGGGCTGGACACAGTGGCTCACACCTGTAATCCCAGCACTTTGGGAGGCCGAAGCGGACAGATCGCCTGAGCTCAGGAGTTCAAGACCACCCTGGGCAACATGATGAAACCCCATCTCTACTAAAATACAAAAAAACAGCTGGGCACCTGTTAGTCCCAGCTACTCAGCAGGCTGAGGCACAAGAGTCGCTAGAGCCCGGGAGGCGGAGCTTGCAGTGAGCTGAGATTGCGCCACTGCACTCCAGCCTGGGTCACAGAAGTAGACTCCATCTCAAAAAAAAAAAGGTAGTTTGGGGTTTAAAGTTGTTGACCTAATGCTGTGTCAGATGAAAGTATTTCTGCTAATGAATGTAACCAGAATAAAATTTGCTTTTAAGATCTTTACCTCCCAATGGTCACATTTTGGCTTTTTACCTCAATTTTATTTATCTGGATTGAGAGTGAGTTTCATGTTTCAAAATGTTGGCTTTGGGGGAAATGTTGATAGAATCGTTTTATTCAGAGACAATGACCCATGTATAAGAAACGTCTGTTTAATCACTAGTTCGGTCATTGACTCAATTTGGGAAAAATAAGCCTCTTGGGGCCTCAGGTCCTTCTTTTGCCATTACTATTTTTTTAAAGATGGCCTTAAATGTCTCAGTGAAAATGCATCACAGAAATGTGAAGTATGGCTTTGAATTTTCATTGGCATCTGTTTAATTCCTGAGTGGTCTAGAAGGTGCTGGGCATGGTTAAACATATCCACAATTGAAACAGAAGATTGTAGTTCTTTTTTAGAGGTATGATATTAATTTTTTAAAAAATAATGTTTTAGTGTCAAATACTTGCTATGTATATAGTGGGTTCCGATTTAAATTTGCAACTGACATGACTATTGGGTTATCATCAGAAGTGTCAAAAATATTCTCTTGGTTAAAAAAAATTCATAAAGTATAATTGTTCCTCTGGTTTGCAAAATAAACTGCAGAGAGAAAAAGTAGTTGGTGTAACCACAGGGCTCTATTGCAAGTGAAAAGAAAATAATCTATCTGTGGCTCAATTTTGAAAATGAACAATCTCATAAATAAATCAAATTTTAAAGATGAATACTTCCCCCACTGCCATTTAAATTTGAAATAAGGTGTCCTATATGTAAGAATTATTTTGGCTCCAATTTCTTTGTTTTCCCCTGTAAAATCTAAATGCTGTTGAAAAATTATATGGCAATACAAATTATACACTAAGAAAGACAACAGTGGACTTGGCTCAGAAATCAGACTTCTGGGACCATAATTTAAAGAAATAACTGAAGAAACAAGATTCATGGAAATAAACATATTCATTTTCACATTATTATATGAAAAAATTGAAGACAATTTATAAGTCACCTAAAAATAATAAAATTTATAAGTAAAATATGGGACAAAAAACTCAACAAACAGCCTACAGCCATAACGTGTAACAACATGGAAAATCTTTGGTGTGCAAAGTTCACCAAAAAAGCAGAATACAAAATTGTGCTCACTGTGACTATGTAAAACTATGATCAGAGCTTATAAAAGAACATGTAAAACTGAAACTACTGTGTTATATTGATGGAATTGGAAGTAATATATTTAAAAAGAAAACCCTATATTATTGCTATAAATTTTAGCCTTATAATTTGACACAGAAGGCTGAATCTAGAAGAAAAGATTTTGTGATTCTCTGAAAGGGCTCTGTGAAGTTGGAAGATAAATAAATAAATATTTATTTCTGTTTTAGTTGGTCACCAGCAACAGAACCCCACTCAGCTCAGCTTCAGTGAAATAGAATTTATTGTAAAGATACCATATGAATTCCGCAAGAGAAGCTTACTGCATGCAGCACGGGGTTGGGGCTACAGCTGGAGAGGCAGACACTGGCCCATCATGATCTCACCAGCCCCAACACCAAATGAACAAACTATCACAATTTTAACTAAAGACCAGGTCCAACTCGGCCCTTGTAGGACCCTGAGAGTGAGAGCCTCACTCTCCTAACCCTAATCATGGCCCATGGATTCTGTATTTAAAATTTTGACATTTTGTTCATCATGGATTTTTTGCATTAATATTTATTTATTCATTTATTTCTTTATTTATTGAGACAGAGCCTTGCTCTGTCGCCAGGCTGGAGTGCAGTGGCGCGATCTGGCTCACTGCAACCTCCACCTCCCGGGTTCAAGTGATTCTCCTGATTCAAGCAATTCTCCTGCCTCAGCCTCCCAAGTAGCTGGGACTACAGGAGTGTGCCACCACTCCCAGCTACTTTTTGTATTTTTAGTAGAGATGAGGTTTCATTTCACCATGTTGGCCAGGATGGTCTTGATTTCTTGACCTCGTGATCTGCCCACCTCAGCCTCCCAAAGTGCTGGGATTACAGGCATGAGCCACCATGCCCGGCCTAATTTTTATTTCTTTAAATACCATAATAAAATATTATTTACCTCAATCATTGAGGTGTTCATTTCTACTCCCTCTTAACTTTTGTGCCTCACTCACCTCCCTGTCATTCCTGCCTTGCCTACAATGGTGGCTGAAATTGCTCCATCCCTTGGTCAGGGTACTGTTTCCCAATAGACTCTGTTGAAGTCTTAGCCTCTTACCTGGTAACCACAGGCGAACCCATTGGTAGGCATTCTCATGCCAGAGTGGTCGAGGTCATCAGATGAGCTGAGAGTGAGAAACAGGGCATAACTCTTTTGATAAGGGAGAGGACAGAGGTAGTAAAAGCTCTGGGCCCTGGAGGGAAAGAATGGGCCCGGGCATATGTACACCACTTTTACAGCCTTTGGAAGGAAAAGTCAAGTCCCTGCTCTCCTTCTGCCTTCCTTTGTACCAGCTCCCTGTTAGGGTGAAAACAATTTATCAGCAATAGGCATGCCTTTGATAGAGATGGATTGTCCCTGGAAGCACTAGTCCACCACGGAGACCATTGGTGGTGCATTGTAGCATTGCCTTGACTGCACCATTGGCCATGTTGTCACTGTGTTACAGCTCTTTGCTCCCAGAGCTCAGACAAGCCCTGCTTCCTGACTTAACTCTCACTCACAATCCCCACATGAGTCAGAGATGCCCTGATGCACGTTGTCAAGGCATGTGCATGTCAGGAGGAAAGATGATGGATGATGCTGACTTGATTTTATTCAAAATATGCTGCCCACTAAAGATAAATGTCACTTGTGCCTCAAGCCATCTGAAGTGCATTTGTTTTCCTGTTAATGGAAGTATATTTGTCATTCTCTCCCCTTTTCCCTCTGCCCTTTCAAGTCTGCTCCTCCATGCTTCTCCACGGGCACCTCTCCTCACCCCCAACCCCCACCCTAACCCCAATATTTCTTTCTAAAATATGGCTGAGCAGCTAAGGGAGTTTTCATCTTTAGAATGCTCTTGTCACAAATAGACATGAAGAAGAATCTCTGTAATTGAGAAGCCCAACTTTTCCCTGCAACATGAACCACTCCACACTGACCCCAGGGAGATTCATTCGCCTTTTCTCTGTGCACATTTCTGAGTCTTCCTCCTCCTGGGTTATTGGGTTAATCACATCTCTGTCTTTCTCTAGAAAGGAACTGAGGCTGCTCTTACATTTCTCGTACCACCTGATGGCAGATGGGAACACTAAGTCACTGATAGGTCGGTCCTTCCTAGCACGAGATGCCAAGAAAAGAAAGCACCTGTGTTTAATTACCAAGCCCATGGAGAGTTTTGAGAGTGCCCAATCTCAGTGCCATCTTCAGGCAGTCTCCTTTATTTGGTGGTTTGATTAACATATCTGTCAAATACATTTTTTAAACCAGTCATCGCAGTCCTGGATGCTCTTGGCTATTCTTTTGAAGCATTAAACTCTGCAGCCAAGACAATAGCATTCACCTCCCAATTTTCATTCTATATTTCATCTGCAAATAATTTGCCTTTGAAGAAGGTCACTGAGGAGTTCAAAATTTCTGATTCATCTGTTATTCGCAGACTTTGGAGAGCCGCGATAGAATGATTCTACAAATCCTCCCAAACCCTCCCTCCTACACATGCACAACTGAACACAGTGCCTAGTTTACAAGATAATTCCAGAATTTGTAAAAGAACTAGAAAAACAAAAACAAAGACTACAACTACAGAGGTTTCCAACCTTAATTTGTCTCCTTCGTAATGGGGTAAAATCAGACACGTTGAAATGTTAAAGAAAGGATATATCACTGTATCTAGTGATTTTTCTGGGTTTAAGCCCACTATGTTATACTTAAGTATACAATGACTGCGTTTCTTTCCTGGTAGAAACTCTATAAACATATTTCTCTTGAACAAACGCTAGAGGTGATAGCATGTTGGCTAAGTGACACATCAGGCCCACCCATAAGAAATAATGGCAGGAGTTGAAACAAATGTCCCTCCCAAATGCCTCCTCCCTGCCTCATTTCCATCTACCTTTACGCAGCCTCCAAGACTAGAAGACTGACCTTCTAAGCACTTCCAGCACTATTCCGGGAAATGTTGCATGCTTAGAATATAACATGGTTTCATTCAATGCAGCAACCTTATTTTCACTGCCCCTAGCTACACAAGCTTCTAATATCCCAAATTAAGCTCAGAACAAACTCATGAACGTTTTGTCTTTGTTGTTGCTGTTTCTTCAGATGGTACTCCATAAACCAGAAGTAAAATGTATGTGTATATATAAGCCAAGTCACACATTTTACATAAATATAAATATATATAGTGGAATCACTTGAGTGTGGAGTCAGACAGATTCAAGCTTGAATGCTGGCTGTCCTGCTTATAGCCATGACCTTAGGTAATTCCCTTACTTTCTAAGCTTCAGTTTTCCCATAGCTAACCTTGAATTGACAATACATACCTTAGTGGCCTCTAGCGCATATAAATCACAAAGACTATTCTTGGAATATTTTAGGGGGTCAACAAATATTAATCTGCTCCAGGTCATACACTTTTCCCTTCTTTTGCAAATCCTCTATTCTGAATAAGGATGGCCAAGTATGTGCCATACTGCAGCCATGATCTAGGTATAAAGGCAACTGCTCGGTGTTACTATTGCCAAGTGCATTGAACATGAATGATTACAGCTATCGTGGGGTCCCTGGAGCTTGACATGCCTTTTCCATTTGGGGGGATTGCCTAGCTTCCATGCTTACCGTAGAAGGGGACCTCAAGCATCATATAAGCTTGGCACAAAACAAACAGCAGAGATTTCAATGACTTCACATCCCGAGGGAAAGACCAACCAACTTAAGGTAACCTGCTCAAGTACTTCCTACACAATTTAACATCTGACAGTTTGCAGTGTCTAGCCAGGCATGGTGCTGTGTTTTATTACCGGCCATTGAAAATAATTAGTTGGTGACCCAGAAAACTGATATATAAAATCCTTTTAATCACCAATATGGCTTTCAATTACACAGCGTAAACTTATTAACCTTTTTACTGCTGAGATTTGATTTATGGAATTTATCTACATTACCATTAGGAGCAGAGATAAAAAGCATATTATCTGAGGTGTTGGCATTAACAATAACGAGCTGCTTTTTCCCATCGTGGAGACTTAAGTAGCAGTAGCAGCCTCCTGCTAAGTCTCTAAGGATTCATTTGTTTGCTGCATCCATTCATGGTTAGCTGGGGACCTACTGTGTGTCTATGGAACTTTGTCACTTAAAAGGGTGAAGTCCAAATACCTTTGCATGGCTCCAACCCAATTGGACCCCATCCAAATTTTTTAGCTCCCTCTCCTAAAAATTCAGCTGAGAGTTGAATCAAATAATCATACAAGTTCACAATCATAAGCTATACCAAGAGCAATAAAGGGAGAGTAGAAATTCAGTGAGCATGGCTACAGGGGTGCTGATGTGTATAAGGATAAGAGCCACTAGAGCAGCTTCCCTGAGAACGTGACATTTGAGATCCAAGCTTCAAAATTTGTTGGAATTAACCACACATTTTGTGTGTGGAATTAGAGAGATTTGGGGGACATTTTATTAGTTGGTTGGTTTCCTAATCTACTTTGCAAAAAAAAAAAAAAAAACCTTAAAGTGGCTTGCAGAATTATGTAAAACACACAATTGCATTCATTAGAAATAAGGGAGAAACAAAAATTCATTGGTGGGAGCATAAGATGTGGTCAACCCAAAACCCATGCCTTAGCGTCTCATACCTTTGCTCTACGTAAACCATCAGTCTCAGAGACCCATGGCAAGGGAAATCTGATCAATGACTCAATTTCCAGTGCTCACAAAATTAAAAACAATCTATATCGGAATATAGTGAGTATGGAAGTGTGAGTTACCAGGAACCTGAGGAGGCAGCTAGATCAGAGGTTTTCTAGACTTGCCGTCACACATCTAACAGGGTATCAGGGGATCTGGGCCAGGACGAGGAGGCTCAAGATTTCCAGCCTAGGATGGAAAGGGGGGCAGTGTGTAATTCAACAAGAAATTTTCTGCTTTCAGCTGTTCCACATATTAGAATTCTCCATTCTCTTTATTTGGAAGAAAGACTTACAATGCCAATCTATATAGGTTTGAAAGTCTTGAATTCAACTCAATCCCTTCATTTTGCAGATAAGAGAAGGCAAGAAGCATCGGTGGGGCCACCAGCTGGTTAATGTCAGCACTGGGACAGGCCTTCCTGCATAACCTCCCAGAATTTCAGCATGGGCA
Organism: Homo sapiens; assembly: GCF_000001405.40. Lineage (NCBI taxonomy): Eukaryota > Metazoa > Chordata > Mammalia > Primates > Hominidae > Homo > Homo sapiens. The sequence goes on from NC_000015.10 coordinate 98,230,391, forward strand.
GCATGAGGAGGGTGAGCCATACAGAGCTCTCAACCTCAGCTCTGATAGCCACATGCTCTAACCACAGGGTTAACTAGTCACAATTGCATGTCTAGTTTGCTTCCATGCAAACAAATGCACTCTGTGCAATTTGCTCGTTTTACTGCACAGAATCATTGTGTGTCTCATTTTCAAACAGATATTCTCCTTAAACATCAGCTCCCCATCATCCCTGGGCTTCAGGAGGGAAAAAAAAAAGCTATCTCTTAACTTCTTAGGTTATCTTAACAAGTCTCTCCTGCTTGTGATAAAGAAATGTGGGAAACTCTCATCAGTCTGGGAATTTAAAGTTTGCTTCGTCTACTTGTAGGAAATTCCATGTCTACTAACCACGCACAAGTCATCTGGTGCTATGGCTAAAAGCAGACTTTGAAGCCTGAAGCCATGTTCATATGAATTCAAACCCCAACTCCACCTCTTTCTAGCTATATGACCTCATACAAATTCCTAAACCCCTGATATCCAACTTACCCAACTACAATACAAATGATAATCAAACCTACTGTGTTTCATGAGGTTCCAATGAGATCATGAATGCATTCACCTTAATAGGGTGTTTAGTATAGAGTAAGCACTCAACAAATTTTGCTATCACTGTTACTATACAAATAATTCTACGGCCATTAAAATGACACCAGTAGAGATGATTCAAGTGATTTTAAAAGATATTTTGCGAAACAAGAGCAATAAAAAAAATCAATGGCACCACATAATCCAGTCAGTGTCTTACTCCACACACAAATCATCATTTGTTCAGCTGGGAAAATTATGAACTGTCTGGAAATAATACAGTAAAGACCGTCAATGACAATTAGAGCCTAAAGAGTCTAATATAGACTCGGCGATGAATCTGGGATCTTCTATTGTACTAAAAGCCATTTATTACAAAAAAATTCTGGAACCACTTTACCATAAGGGGACATCATTTAGTGCTCAATTACAATGCAATTCCACTGGAAGTATATACTAAATGCAGAACATCTACATTAACACCAGGAGAATTTGGTAAGATTGATGTTATTGCAATGAATACCAGATGAATATTAAGTACCTCACTTAAACCTTCTTGGGCCCAGGCACCACCGTTCTTTTGTTCCTGTCATCTCTATTTCAGAGGATTTTTTATGGAGGCAGGAGTTAGGCACAAAGTCCATTTTTATTTACTTGTAATCTAGCTTGGAGCTAGATGGCTCTCAAACATTGATTAATCGAGACATATTGTATAATAATATTAAAATCACAGACATCCACCACCACCACCAAAAGCAATTCATTTTCCAAAGGGCGCTAGGTCTATGTAACGGGAAAATTTGTAAAAGTGGGTAATTTCAGACAAAGCACTGAAAGGACGTTTTAATGGTCCCAGCATGGATTGAACTTAGTGGAGCAAAGAAATCTCAACTGAAGAATTAGGACCTGCCCCGTTCAAACCCTGGGATGTTAATGACTCAGGCGTGGGCTATGAGGTTTTCGTTAACATCCTGTTTCAACACAATGTTCCTTGAGCTGGGAATGAACTTCTCCTGGGGTCATTTTTTATGCTAATCAAAAAATCAAGCTCTGGCTACACAGGAATATGAGCAAATGTGAGGCCAAATTCCCATTATAAAATTTGGGGTCATAAAAAGTAAGTGAAAGCTATGGTTTTCTCACTATTTTTCATGCTACATTCCCAGGCAAGGAGGCAGGGATGCATTACCCAGAGTCCGGGGTAGTGGGTTCCTTGCCTTCCTATCAGATGACCTTTGTTCAGGTCACAGCTCAACCACTTACTAACAGCAAAAACCCTCAGACCTTCAGTTTCCTCTTCAGCAAAATGGCAATAATAAGCTCATTGTGTTGCCCTGTGGATGAAATGAGATGCCACATGTCAAAGCTCCTAGGATGAGTGTTCTCCTCAAAGGGGATCCGATCAGGTTTCCCAGGCCTTGCTCCTCTTCTGCCTTGGATTGAAGCACTTGCTTCATAGAAACCACTGCTGCCCCAACATAAGCACAGATGTTGCTCCAGGCCCGTCCACCACCTTGGGCCAGAATCCTTGTCTCTAGTCCAAAAGAGTCAGATCCCCCCCATGCAGTTGCAACATGGCCCACTTCTAGTTGTCCACTAGGGTGTTGACCCAGCATGTCCCCAGCAGGCCAGTCCCTGCCTTAACTTTCACCACATAGACCCAAACAGGGTCTCAAGACCCAAGACCCCCATTGGATGGGGATGGACAAACGGCAAAGTTGGAAGAAATGCTAAAGAAAGTCCATGCATGGGCAATAAGACTGTGTACCCTCTGGGGAAAAAAAAATGGTGAGTAGGTTAGTTTAAACTGAAAATTGCAAACTGGCAAGCCGAGGGCCAACTGTAGCTTTCACCCCTACAGTGGTTTGCCCCATTTGCAAATAGGGAAATTTCACATTTTAAAAATCTGGATTTGGGCCTCATCCTGTAAAACTAGAAGTTCTAGTTCCTGCACACCAACAATCTCCTGGAGCCCAGGTGACGCTGCCCTTTGGATGCGGCCTGAGCTCTCCTATTCCCTGCTGTCCTGACATGCCTGACTGCCTGTGCCTTCTGGCCCACATCATTCCCTTGGATGATTTACCATATCCATCTGGCCCTGAAAGCTCTGGGATTGTAACCAGTTATTTAATCACACAAAGTTATATTTGACCTTGGCTTGTACTTTCATTCAAGAAATACTCACTCATCTGGCAAAAGGGTTAAATTGGTATCCTAGCTTGAAAGCAGTGGTTCTCAAAGTATGGTCCCCAGAGCACCAGCATTAGCTTCACCTGGAATTAGACAGGACCCATCCCAGTCCTACTGAAGCAGTAACTCTGGAGGTGAGAGCCCAGCTGTGTGTGTGTGTGTGTGTGTGTGTGTTTTGTTTGTTTGTTTTTTTGAGACGGAGTCTCACTCTGTCTCCCAGGCTGGACTGCAGTGGCACCATCTTGGCTCACTGCAAGCTCCGCCTCCCGGGTTCCTGCCATTCTCCTGCCTCAGCCTCCCGAGTAGCTGGGACTACAGGCACCCACCACCGCGCCCGGTTAAATTTTTTTGTACTTTTTAGTAGAGATGGGGTTTCACCGTATTAGCCAGAATGGTCTTGATCTCCTGACCTCGTGATCCGCCCACCTCGGCCTCCCAAAGTGCTGGGATTACAGGCGTGAGCCACCGTGCCCGGCCCAGCTGGGTGTTCTAACAAGCCCACCAGGTCTTTCTGATACATGTCAGGGCTTGAGAACCACTGGAATAGAAGGAAACTAAAGCACGCAAAGCTCCCAGCATGCCCTTCCAAGGACACGTGTCACTTGGGCCAGATCTACCCCTGAACCCTCCAGCCTGTCCCTGAGGTCTCAGATGCTGGCCCAATAATTTCACTGTGCCTCTGTCCAAATCTCATTATTATAGATACAAACTCAGTTACTTCACAAATACTAATCCCTGCATAATCCTCCTAGTGCAATGAAGCAAAATGAAGCCACATCCACAGAAATGTGACAAGGGAATACCAACGGTGCTAAAAAATGAAATATGTGTCAAGTCCCCAAAGAAGTTCATTACCTGAAGGACACATTATCCCCTTCTCTTCCCATGAGTCAGCACAGTCAGTAGTCATTCCTAATTGGTTCACAGCTTAGTATGACATATTAGGATGCCACGGGATGTGATGACACAGCTGTATTCCTGAGGGGATGGCTGAGATGAATCTGTGTACAGCAGAGACAGGTGGAGACAAAGGGAGCAGGTGGAAATGGGTTGTAAATATACTATAACTTAAAAAATAATGGGGTGTTTTTTTCTCTACAGCTTTCTGATGTTTCATCACTAATTAAATATTGAAACCACAAAAGGAGAAATAAAGTTTTGTGGCTGTTTAGATTTGGGGCATAAATGTAAATATTTCGTACCATTAACATGCCTGGTCTCAGAGCATTGAGTTGTAGGCTTATGAGCTGAGAAGGAGGTGGATTAAAGAACATATTAGCAGCTAATGGTGACATCTATTTCTCTTTAGGCCATTAGGAGTTCTGGGGTTGTGCATTCCAGGAAAAGTATTTTTCAAGTTAGAAAATTGATAAGTCTTTTAAACAAAATACAATAGTAGATTCTGTGTTATTAGGATTTTAGTCAAAATCACATTGTGCAGAGCAGAAAGGCTATTGTCAAATGCAGAAAATCAATAGACAAATCTCTTGGAATTCTTGGGTGATTCATACCAGAGAGCAGTATTTGAATAATTTATGGTCTCATCCTCCAAGCTTGCAATGGTGAGGCACTTGGAACCCTCAGACATGGATTCTGCATCTTGGCTTTCGTGTAAGATGATCTATAACAGTGGAAAGAAGCAAGAAGCCTCTGGAACCATATAGTCATAGGCACTTAGAGTTGGGTGGGCCCTCAAAGTTCGACTTAGCCAACTTCCCCCATTATCAGCAGTGCCCAGCCTCTCCACTTATCTCCCTCATCCTGTATCTCAGGATCAGGTGGTGGCAGACACCATAAAACAATTCCTACTAGGAGTTCATTGTTACCCAAAACTCCACCTCCCTACCATTTTTCTCGGGGTTCTATTCTGCTTGAAGGATAACACAAGGAAGTGTCTTCCTCTTCCGCTCCATGTGACACTCTGGTGGCTGGACCTGGAGTCTTTCAACCCACCTTCCTGGTTCAGTTTTCCCATTCACAGCCAAGGAACCACAACTTCCTCATCTGTGAAATGCCTTCCATGATGCCCTCCTGAGGTTCTGGTGCAGAGCAACATCCAAGTAGGATAACCTATGTGAATATTTTGTCAAACAGAGGATAGTGTTGGCTAGTGGGCAGACCCTGTGCCTTGCAGCCAGATGTCTTTGAAGGTGAACACAGAGCCTCAATGTGTGATCTGCAGGAGACAACTTGAAATAAGGACAGAGCAGTTCCCATGAGGGCTTTTGTGAGAACTAAGGAAGATAACACACAAAATCCCTGGTATGCATTAGTGCTTAACAAGCATGGGTCCTTCCCTTTGCCAAGCATTATTACTAAATAAATAAAGTGAGTCTCGCTGAATAGGCTGCTCTGCGAACAAGGCTGTGAAAATCACAGCATCCTCTGGCACCTGTGGCTGGCATTTGTGCCCCTGGTCCCAGCCTCCCCTCTCTAGGCTCAGCTCCCAGGGAGACACCAACAGCAAAGAACCACATGGGCAGGAGGTGTCGAGGATACACCAGACCCCTCCCTCTCTCTTCTTCGAGGAAGACAACACAGACTTGGTGCTGGAAGATACTGCTGAGAGGAATGAAGGGCAAAGGGAGCCATTTGGGGTCCTTTGGAGAGTAGTGGCATTTGGACTACCAAGACTCTTGGAGTTGGGCTATTTTCTGGATAGGAAGAGCTTTGTCCTTGAAAGCGTCAAAAAAACAAAAAAGTCAGAGCAGAACATAAAGAAAAAGAATCTGAGTGATTGTCACTGATGCCCCAACTCCAGCTTAAATGAAAGACTGACAGAAAACCTTGGAACTTTGTCTTATGCTTTCCAGACCAGGGCTGTAGAGGAGGAAAGGACTAGGTACTGGAGCCCCATTCAGGAAAAGCATGTGAGTGGTGTCACTTCCCTAGAGCAAGATAAGCAGGGCATTAGGGTGGAAATCCCTGGAGTGGGTGGGGAGCAAGAATCTTTGCCATTGCACAGAATTGCTGAGCCATTGTGCTGACATTAGTACCTCTCAAGAGGAAGCGATCATCATGACATGCCCCAGATGACAGACACTTATCAATAGTGATTATTGTAATTGCTGTGAAGAAAGCTCAGGTCCTTTGGTCTGAACTTCACTGGGGTTGAAGGTAACAGAGAGTGGGTGATGCAATGTGCAGTCTGCCAAAATTGGACCCCATCTCAAATGAAGAAAGCCAAATGCAATGGTCAAGTGTATAGGGAAATATTAAAAGGCAAGATTAACACACCAAGATCAGGAGGCAGTGAAAAGAATGTGTATGGTTATTTCACTTTTCAGAGAGGTAAGAAACTTGTCTGAGGTCACACAGCCCTAAACTGCAGAACCAGGACTTAGCGACAGGTGTGCCTGGCACCAGTGCCTATGTCCTTTTTACCACTGCTTCCAAAAGTAGAGAGAAGTGGTGCCCCTCAATTGTCCACTGTCTGAAAACAAAACTCTTGCACACTTAATCTGCCCCTAACAATGGACTCAACACCCTCTCACCTTCCTTTTTAGCTTGGCATCACTGTTGGGAAAGAACAATCAAACATGGTAGAATGCACAGAACAAATACGTTGTGAAATTAACATTCCATCTGCAAACCATACACACCACTTGCATTAAACAGAGAGAGACAGTCCTTAGCTCAACTAAAGGGCAGGCATCAGAAAAAAATAGTTATTTTTATTTATATTAGGGTACATTAGCCATCCACCCTTACCTCTTTTAGAGGGTAACGTCCACTCTCTCCAAATACTGCTTTCAAATTGTTTGTTCACATTTAGACATGTTCACGGTAGTCATGCTCTTTTATAGACAGCATGTCTGACATGCTGTCTAAAAAACATTCATAACATTACATAACATTCAGAATGTGGCTCTTCTCTGCATCTCATCATTGGTCCTTCCCAGTTCAGATTCCAGCTGCCTGCAGTTTGTGAGCACAAGAACATGGGGAGGTGGGGGCTGGAGTCCCTACATACAGATGGGCCTTGGGAACATCAGAGTAGTTGAGGAACTTGTCCAAGTCACACAGCTAGTAATTGCAGAGCCAGAATTTAGACCTCAACATTTGCATCACCAAGACATGCTCTCTCCAATATCCCATTCTCTCTTTCTTTCCCTCTCCGTCCCTTTCCCTCTGCCTTCTTTTTCCATCCTTCTTTCTATCACCTTTATTTGTTATAGGTAATTCTCCTTGCTCCTTACCTAACTATAATTCCTTTCAGGGAAATGTCAGGCTATGCAAAAATCCAGTTCTAAAATTCTAACAGGAATACAAATTCAAACTATTCCCATATGAGTGAAAAACTTCCATATGATTTAAAAATCATGTTGTCAATACCTAATGCTGACTTTTATTCTCCAATCAAACAGCTATGGCTGAAAAAAAAAAAAAAGAAAAGACAAATCTTTTGAAGCCCCACTGGGGTAACTATTCCATGATCTAATGTAGTATCTATGAGGTGGAAAGGAAACATTGCTGTAAATATTCAAAATAAATTTCTTAAACCACCCTCCCCCCGTTTTGTATACGTAATCCAAATTTCCATTTGGTCAGGCATAGCATAAAGGTATGTCCTTCCTTTGTTGTTTTCTTCATGTCTTTTACAGTTTGGTAACTTATTAAATGTTCCATTAGGTACTTGACCAAGCTAAACTTTTCATGTATCCTAATACATAACAATAATTGCCTATAAATCACGTTTTTACTCTTAAATTTCCTTTGGTACATGCAGATTAATGAGATTAATGTCTACTGAATTTAGTATTTTTGATTTAACTAGTTTGGAAAAACTCATAGTGAACATACGTTTTGTGTTTACATGCTTCTATTACTTAATATTTCAGAATATAAAATAATAGATGTAACATATATACACATGTATGTCACGTGTGGACGTTACGACGCACAGTTTTAAAATACCTGAAAACACCAGTACCATTACCCAGCAACTTGAACTACCCCTGAGGTAGTATTTTTAATTTCATATTTGAATTTAATTAAAAATGCATAGTATTTTTAATTTCATATTTTAAATAATTAAAAATGCATAGTATTTTTAATTTCATATTTATGCTCCTCTTGTTTTTGTTATTCAACAAAACAATGTTATTTCATTTTTCTTATTTCGAGTTTTCTACACATTGTACCATACTGTAGTTAGTCTTTTGAAACTTGATTTGTCACTTAACACTATATTTCTAAGCTTAATTGATATTAGTTCACGCTGCTGCTGTTTGTTTTCACTGGATAAGGTACTGCAGCATATGATTACTTTAAAATGTATTTATTTGTCTTCCTGCTGATGGACATTTAAGTTGCTTATAATTTTACTGCTACTAGGGATAAGTTGGTTATGATCGTCCTTGCATACAGCTCCTGCACACCATGTGCACACCATACACAAAGTTTCTAGGATATATTTAGGAGTAGAATTGCTAGATCATGGCATACATGAATGTTCAACCTTCATGATAATAGCAAATTATTTTCCAAAGTAGTTATAACAGATCATGCTTTAACCAGTGTATCAGAGAGATCATTGTTCTAGCCTCTCCAAATCTGTATTATCTGACTTTTAAATTTTTCCCACCTAGTTGGTATACTATATCTCATATGCTTTTTAATTTCCTTATTAATGAAGTAGAGTATGTTTTCATATGTTTACTCACTATTTATTTTTCATCTTCTCTGAAAGTCCTGATCTCATCGTTTGCAAAAGACAAGTGGAGTTCACTTCCACCCAACAAGCCTACTTTTAGAGTTCCCCTCCTCTCACCCCTGGGCCTCAGCTAAATGGACAACTCCAGGATCCTGTCCTTACTGCATTCTGTACTGCAGGAGTCAGCATAGTAAGCAGATCACCCAATCAAGGAAGCCCATCTCACATGTGATAGATGTCACTCCCAGCAGCCATCCAAACAGGGCTGTCCCAAGTAAATCTCCCTGGAACTGATGTGTGGACACTGGGGGAAAGAAGCTCTATTTCTGTTAAGTTTCAGGGCAATGTCAACATCCCTTCTTCCTGTGGAGGAAACTTAAGCCCAAAGGAAAGGATCTGGCCCACAAAAAGAGGGAAGCAGACTGAGAGTGAGAGAGAGCCTTGACAACATTATTTGAGCCCCTGGATCTCGCTATACCTGAAGACAGACCTGACTTCCCAGTAAGATGAGACAACAAGCTCTCTTTTTTGCTTAAGTTATTTTGAGTTGGATTCCTATCACTCATAACTAAAATAAAGCAAAACTGTTTGAGGACAAAAAATGAAACTGTAAAAAAAATTAAATGTTAAAAACTTTTCATTACTTTGAGCCAAGAAGAACTAGGAAAACATTGGCATAAAGGTTGTAATAACAGCTGACATTTCTATGGTATTTATAGTCTACAAAGCACTCTAACATTAACTAAGTTCTTTCTTCTCGTAATTCTGGGAGATGAATGGGGTAAGTATATTATCATTACCCACATTTCACAAACGCATTTCAAGATTTGAGTCTTGAATACGGGATTTCTGTCCTAAGCTTTTTGTTTTTGTTTTTGTTTTTTGGCTATCTAGACTGTTCTTTAATTATTATCATTCCCAGTACTCTCAGAACTGTTTAGATAAAGAATAACAAATTTACTTTACAGTTACAGAGAACAGAGAATGTTGAGGGAAGTTGAAGTAGATGAGCAAACATACATTGATCATGCATGGTGTCCCATAGTCAGCAAATGTCTGATGTAAGTATTCCTCAATTTAACTTTTTTTTTCTCCAAGTCCACCTACGTAGAAAACTTTTTTAAAAAAGTAAAACATTTGGCTCCCCAGCTTGAGAAAAAAGTGCTTCAAGATGTTCTTAGATTTGCTTTGGAAGACCAAATTACAAGATTATTCCAGAATCATTATTATCAACCAGATTATGGACTTCCCATGGTAGAAACATGTTTTATATGCATGATAACTACTTAATAACTGAACCTTTGATTACCAACACTAGGCTTAGTGGTGAGAAGAGACAGCATAGAACCTGCAGCAAACAGGCAATGCTCCCAGAAGCTAATATATGGCAGCCTGATTTTGAAGGAGAGAAAGCCTTACTAAATTTCAGCATTGCATGGACCTGTACACCCTTGGAGCTAAAAAATATAACTGATAATCACTTTAGGGGAACAGAATATGAGTCACAGCTTATAGCAATTCTGAGAAATCGTAATCAAAGAAGCAAATTCTAAAGCAAAGGCAAAGGACATGAACAAACTAGACACAAAGAAGAGAAATACCTGAGTAATAAAGAAGAGGACCTGAACTGGATGGGACAAAGAGAGTTTCCTTAGTCACACATGACCAAGAATTCCAGTAATGTCTTCATGAAGAAGGATTACCCATAATATATGCATGTGAATGCATATGTCTTTGTTAGATTTAACTCTGTAGTAAACTTTGCATTTGTTTTCACTTTTTAACCCTTTTGTTGACTCTTTTAGATCCATGCTAAATATTCCTTTCAGATTTTTCTGTAATTAGATCTCTGGGCCTGGTGAATTTCAAGGAGACACTGCAGTCAGGATTCTGGTGACCAGATGGGTAGGACAGATAAGCTGCATGAATTTCCATCTGACGTTTTGCCCAAGCCTGCTCCCTTTTAGTGGGTCATGTGCCATGAGATCATATACAAATTCCTAACAAAGCAATGTGTCCTCAAAGGCAAGCTAGCACATAGAAATAAAAGATTACCCAACCACTTACCAGTGAAAGGTTTGGGCACCCCAAAGGGGATTGGACTAGAGTTGAGTTAAAAAGCTCAGAACTCACTGGAGCCATTTGTGCTCGTTCCAGCAAGTCTCCTGCGGATGTATATACTGTTCTGTAGCAGTGATGAGTGTCCAACATTTGTTTCTCTATTATTTTTATATGCATCATTATCCAACAGTATGGACATAGAATTAAAAATTCCAAAGAGTTCATGTATACCAAGTTTTATGTTGAAGGTATTCAAAAGTGTGAAAGAAACTTCAAGTTGACTTCCAATGATGCATTTTCTCTGTCCTCTTTATCCACACAGCTCCACAGGGTTAACTCAGTAAAAGACTACATTTCCCAGCCTCTCCTGCAGAGAGGTGTGGTCATGTGACCAACATCTGCCAACTGAGTAGTAAGTGGAAGTGTTGTGTGATTCTTCCAGGGAGTTTCACTTAAAAGGAGAGGTTTGAGTTTCTTTCCTCCTACTGCTGTAATGTGGCATTAATATGATGTGATTAGATGGTAACGTGATATTACATGATGTAATGTGATGTGATAAGTGAAAATCCAGCTTCCATCTTAGAATAGGAGGATGAGGGCTCCAATCCCGGGAATGTAGAATAAAGAGCTGGAAGTCACTGGGATGCCTGAAAACCCGAGTGGTTACACACCATCCCTGGACTGCCCATTTCTGAACTTCATTACATGAGATAAACTTCTAACTTTCTCTTATTTTCTATTACATTAGAAGTTATAAATAAGCTTCTAACTTTCTTCTATTTTCTATTAAATGGCAGAGGCAGAGGTTGCAGTGATCTGAGATCGCACCACTGCCCTCCAGCCTGGGCAACAGAGTGAGACTAAAACCATAAAACTCTTAGAAGAGAGCATAGGGGAAAAGCTTCATGACATTGGACTTAGTGATGACTTGATGGGTATGACACCAAAAGCACAGACAACAAAAGAAAAACAGATAGATGGAACTTTATCGAAGTTTAAAACTTTTCTGCTTCAAACACTATCGGCAGAATGAAAAGGCTACCCACAAAATGGAAGAAAATTTTTGCAAATCACATATGGGATAAGGAATTAATATCCATATTATTTAAAGAATTCTTACAATTCAAAAAAACCCCTTAACAGCCTGATGCTAAAATGAGAAAAGGAGAATTGTCTCCTGAGAAAATATACACATGGTCAATAAACACAGGACAAGATATTCAATATCAGTAATCAACAGGGAAATGCAAATCAAAACCACAATGGGATAACATGTCACACCCATTAGAATGGCTATTATCAAAAAACAGAAAATAAGTTTGTGGAGAGTATCTTAGTCCATTTTCTGTTGCTATAAATGAATACATGAAATTAGGTAATTTACTTTTTAAAAATATATATATGTATGTATATATATATATTTCTTACAGTTCTGGAACTGGGAAGTTCAAGGTCAAGCAGTTGCATCTTATGAGGACCTTCTTGCTGGTGGGACTCTGGAGAGTTTCAAGGTGCCACAGGGCATCACATGATGAGGGGACAGAGTGTACTAGCTCAGGTCTTTCTCCCTCTTCCTTTAAGGCCACCAGTCCCACTTCTTGATAACCCATTAATCCATTAATCCGTTAGTCCACGGGTGAATTAATTCATTCCTGAGGGCAGAGCCCTCATGACCCAATCACCTCTTGAAGTCCCCATCTCTCAGTACTGCTACATTGGTTCAACATGAGTTTCAGAAGGGACAAACATTGAAACCATAGCAGAAAGGATGGAGAGAAAGTAGAGTCATGTTATATCACTGGTAATAATGTAAAATAGTAGAGCCACTGTCAAAAACAGTACAGCAATTCTTCAAAAAATAGGTAAAATTATTTTATGATCCAGCAATTCCACTTCCAGACATATACCCAAAAGTAAAGATATTGTAAAAGTGAGGGCATTGGAAAAAAAGTAAGAAAAATAAGAATTCCAACAGATATTTGTATATTCATGTTTATAGCACCATTATTGACAATAGCCAAATGTAAAAACAACACAAATGTCCACCAACAGATGAATTACTAAACAAAAATGTGGTATATACTACAATGGAAGAATGAATTCTGACACAAGCTTACAACATAAATGAACCTTGATGACATTATTTTAAGTAAAATAAGTCAGTCATAAAAGGGCAAATACTACAGATTTCACCTATATGATGTACCTGGAGTAGTCAAATTCATAGAAACAGAAAGTAGAATGGTGGATGGCATCCGGGTCAGGGGCGGGTGGGGTCAGAGGGCGGGATAAGGACTTAGTGTTAAACATGTACTGAGTTTCAGTTGGGGAAGAAGAAAAAGTTCCAGAGACGGGTGGTGGTGATGGTTGCACAGTAATGTGAAGGTACTTAATGTCACAGAACTGTACACTTAAAAATGGTTAAAATGGTAAATTTTATGTCTATGTATATTTTACCTCAATAAAAAAAATCAAACTGTATTAAGCTTAAAAATTAGCACCCAAAGTTCCCTACATCCTAATCCCTGGAACTTGTTAATATGTTATATAATCACAAAGTCTCCTTTTTAAACTTTTATTTTAGGCTCAGAGGATACACGTGCAGGTTCATTACATAGGTAAATCATGTATCACCGGGGTTTGGTGTACAAATGATTTAATCACCCAGATAGTAGAATAGTACCTGATAGGTAGTTTTTATACCCTATCTGTCTCCCACTCTCCACCCTCAAGTAAGCCTCAGTGTCTCTTGTTCCTCTCTTTGTATCCATGTGTACTTAAAGTTTAGCCCAGTATGAGTGAGCATGCCCACTTGGTTTTCTGTTCCTGCATTAATTCACTTAGCATAACGGCCTCCAGTTGCAACCCTGTTGTTGCAAAGGACATGGTTTTCTTCTTTTTATGGCTGCATGTTATTCCATGGTGTATATGTACCACAGTTTAGTTATTCAGTCCACCATTGATAGGCATTTAGGTTGATTCTTCGTCTTTGCTATTGTGAATAGTGCCGCGATGAACATAAGAGTACATGTGTCTTTTTGGTAGAATGACATATTTCTTTGGGTATATATAAGCAGTAATGGGATCGCTGGGTCAAATGGTGGTTGTCTTTTAAGCTCTTTGAGAAATCTCCAACCTGCTTCCCACAGTGGCTGAACTAATTGTAATGTTGTACATTCCCAACAGCAGTGTACAAGCATTCCCTTCACTCTGCAATGCCACTAACATCTTTTATTTTCTGACTTCTTAATAATAGTCGTTCTTACTAGTGTAAGATGGTATCTCATTGTGGCTTTGATTTGAATTTCTCTGATGATTAGTGATAGTGAGCAACTTTTCATATGCTTGTTGACTGTGTGTATGTCTTCTTTTGAGAAGTGTCTGTTCATATTTTTTGCCTTTTTTTTTTTTTTTTTTTTGAGACACAGTCTCGCTCTGTCGCCCAGGCTGGAGTGCAGTGGCATGATCTCAGCTCACTGCAAGCTCTGCCTCCTGGATTCATGCCATTCTCCTGCCTCAGCCTCCCCAGCAGCTGGGACTACAGGCGCCCACCACCACGCCCGGCTAATTTTTTGTATTTTTAGTAGAAACGGGGTTTCACTGTGCTAGCCAGGATGGTCTCGATCTCCTGACCTCGTGATCCGCCTGCCTTGGCCTCCCAAAGTGCTGGGATTACAGACGTGAGCCACCGCACTCGGGTCTCTTTGCCTATTTTTTAACAGGGCTGTTTGCTTTTTGCTTGTTGATTTAAGTTTCTTATAGATTCTGAATATTGGACCCTTGTTGTATGCATAGTTTGCAAATATTTTCTCCCATTCTGTGGGTTGTCTATTTGCTCTGCTGTAGTTTCTTCCGCTTTCAGAAGCTCTTTAGTTTAATTAGGTCCCTCTTGTCTATATTTGTTTTATTGCGATTGCATATGGAGATGTCAACATGAAATCTTTACCAAGACCTGTGTCCAAAATGATATTTCCTATGTTTCCTTCTAGGGTTTTTATAGTTTTAGGTCTCACATTTAAGTCTTTAAGTTGATTTTTATATATGGTGCAAGGAAGGGGTCCAGTTTCAATCTTCTGCATATGGCTGGCCAGTTATCCTAGCACCATTTATTGAACAGGGAGTCCTTTCCCCATTGCTTGTTACTGTCAACTTTGTCAAAGATCAGATGGTTATAGTTATGCAGTTTTATTTCTGGGTACTCTGGCCTGTTCCATTGATCTACGTGTCTGTTTTTGTACCAGTACCATTCTGTTTTGTTTACTGTAGTGTATTATCGTTTGAAGTGAGGTAGTGTGATGTCTCTGACTTCCTTCTTTTTGCTTAGGATTGCTTTGGCTATTTGGGCTTTTATTTTTGGTTTCATCTTCATTTTCAAATAGTTTATTTTTTCTAATTCTGTGGAAAAAAATGATGCTGATAGTTTGACAGAAATAGCATTGAATCTGTAAATTGCTTTGGGTAGTATGGCCATTTTAACAATACTGATTCTTCCAATCCATGAGCACGGAATGCTTTTCCATTTGTTTGTGTCATCTCTGATTTGTTTTAGCAGTGTTTTGTAATTCTCATTGTAGGGATCTTTCACCTCCCTGGCTAGCTGTATTCCTAAGTATTTCATTCTTTTTATGGCTATTATGAATGGGATTGCATTCTTGATTTAGCTCTCAACTTGGACAGTATTGATGCATAGAAATGCTACGGATTTTGGTACATTGAGTTTGTATCCTAAAACTTCACTGAAGTTGTTTATCAGTTCTAGGAGCCTTTGGGTAGGAACTACAGGGTTTTCTAGGTATAGAACCATATCATCTGCAAAGAGAGAAAATTCGAATTCCTCACTTCCTATCTGGAAGCCTTTTATTTATTTCTCCTGCCTGATTGTTCTGGCTAGGACTTCCAGTACTATGTTGAATAGGAGTGGTGACAGTAGGTATCCTTGTTGTGTCCCAGTTCTCAGGGGGAATGCTTCCAGCTTTTGCCCATTCATTATGATGTTGGCTGTAAGTCTGTCATAGATGGATCTTATTTTGAGGTATATCCCTTTGATGCCTAGTTTGTAGAGGGTTTTCAACATGAAGGGATGTTGAATTTTATCAAAAGATTTTTCTGCATAAATTGAGATGATCATGTGGTTTAAGTTCTGTTTATGTAATGAATCACATGTATATATTTGTGTATATTGAACCAACCTTGCATCCCAGGAATAAAGCCTACTTGATTATGATGGATTCACTTTTTGATGTGCTGCTACATTTGATTTCTAATATTTTGTTGAGGATTTTTTCATCTATGTTCATCAGCGATATCAGCCTGATGTTTTCCTTTGTTGTTGTACCTCTGCCAGGTTTTGGTATCAGAATAATGCTGGCCTCATAGAATGAGTTAGGGAGGAGTTCATCCTCCTCAATTTTTTGAGATGATTTTAGTAGGATTGGTACCAGCTCTTCTTTACATGTCTGGTAGGATTCAGCTGTGAATCTGTCTTGTTTAGAGTTTTTTCTGGTTGGTAGGTTCTTAATTACTAATTCAGTTTCAGAACTTGTCATTGGTCTGTTCAGGATTTCAATTTCTTCCTGATTCAATCTTGATAGATTGCATGTTTCCAGGAATTTATCCATTTCTTCTAGGTTTTCTAGTTTGTGTGCATAGAGGTGTTTGTAATGCTCTCAGAGCTTCTTTGTATTTCTGTGGGGTCAGTGGTAATGTTACCTTTGTCATTTCTGATTGTGTTTATTGGGATCTTTTCTCTTGTTTTCTTTATTAATCTAGCTAGTGGTCTAGCAATGTTATTTATTCTTTCCAAGAACCAATTTTTGGTCCATCAATCTTTTGAATGAATTTTTGCATCTCAATTTCTTTCAGTTCAGCTCTGAGTTTGGTCATTTTTCTTCTGCTGCTAGCTTTGCAGTTGGTTTGCTCTTGTTTTTCTAGTTCCTCTAGGTGTGATGTTAGGTTGTTAATTTGACATCTTTCTGACTTTTTGAGATAGGCATTTAGCACTATAAACTTTCTTCTTAACACCTCATTAGCTATGTCCCAGAGATTCTGGTGTGTTGTATCTTTATTTTCATTAGTTTCAATATTTTCTTTTATTTCCGCCTTAATTTCATTCATGAGCAAGTTGTTTAATTTCTATGTAATTATATGGTTTTGAGTGATATTCTTGGCATTGATTTCTACTTTTATTACCCTATGGTCTGGGAGGTGTGGTTGGTATGATTTCCGATATTTTTAATTTTTTAAGAGTTTTTTTATGACTGAGAGTATGAATGATCAATCTTGGAGTATATGCTGTGTACAGATAAGAGGAGTGTACATTCTGTTGTCATTGGGTAGAATATTCTGTAGATGTCTATCTGGTCCATTTGGTCAAGTGTATCTGTACAGATACATACATATCTATGTATGTATATATTTATATATGTATACATAAATATGTATATATTTATGTATACATACATAAATATGTATATATTTATGTATACATACATATATACATATTTATGTATGTATATGTATATATACACATCTCATGCAATACCCTTCTTTGTCCTTTTTGATCATTGCTGGTTTAAAGTCAGTTTTGTCTGAAATAACAATAGCAACTCCAGCCCTTTTTTGTTTTCTGTTTGCTTGCTATACCTTTTTCCATCCCTTTACCTTGAGCCTGTGAGTGTCCTTGCATGTGAGATGGGTCTTTTGAAGACAGCACACAGTTGGGTTTTGCTTCTTTATCCAACTTTCGATTTTCTGTCTTTTAAGTGGGACATTCAGCCCATTTACATTCAAGGTTAATATGCATATGTCAGGATTTGACTCTGTCATCATGTTGTTATTAATAGCTCATTGTTATGTACACTTGATTATGGGGTTGCTTTAGAGTTTCAGTGGGATATGTACATGTGTGTGTTTTTGGAGAGGCAGGTAATGGTCTTTTGTTTGCATATTTAGCATTTCCTTAAGGACCTCTTGTAAGGCATGTCTGGTGGTAATGAACTCCCTCAGCATTTGCTTATCTGAAAAAAAGATTTTATTTCTCCTTTCTTTATGAAGCTTTGTTTGGCTGGATATAAAATCCTTAGTTGAAATTTCTTTTTTTAAAAAAATGTTGAAGATGGGCCCCCACTCTCTTCTGGCTTGTAAAGTTTCTGCTGAAAGTTTCAATATTAGCCTGATGGGGTTCCCTTTGTATGTGACCTACCCCTTCTCTCTAGCTGCCTTTAAGAATTTTTTTTTCACATTGACTTTGGAGAATCTGATGACTATGTGTCTTGGCAATGGTTGTCTTGTATAGCATCTTACAGGGGTTCTTCAAATTTCCTGAATTTGTATGTCAATCTCTCTAGCAAAGCTGGGGAAATATTCGTCCACAATATCCTCAAATATGTTTTCCAGGTTGTTTGCTCTCTCTCCATCTCTTTCAGGAATACCAATGTGCCATAGGTTTGGTCTCTTTACATAATCCCATATTTCTCAGAGGTTTTGTTCATTTTTGTATTCTTTTTCCTTTATTTTTGTCTGCCTGCATTGATGTGAAGGAACAGTCTTTGAGCTCTGATATTCTTTCCTCAGCTTTGTCTCTGCTGTTATTAATGCTTCCCATTGTATTCTGAAATTCCTGAAGTGAATTTTTCATTTCCAGAAGTTTGGTTTGGTTCTTTCTTAAAATGGCTACATTGTCTTTCAGCTCTTGGACCATTTTGCTGTGTTCCTTGGATTGGGTTTCAACCTTTTCCTGTATCTTAATGAGTTATTTGCCATTCAGATTCTGAATTCCATACCTGTCATTTCAGTCATTTAAGTCTGGTTAAGAACCATTGCTGGGAAGCTAGTGCTGTTGTTTGGAGATAAGAAGACATTCTGGCTTTTAAAATTGCCAGAGTTCTTGCATTGGTTCTTTCTCATCTGTGTTGGCTGATGTCCCTTTAATGTTTGAAGTTGCCATCTTTGTATAGGGTTTTTTGCTTTCATATTCTTTGATGTCCTTGACACCTCTACTGTGTTATAAGTTGGGTTAACTTGAATGGCTTTGCTTCTGCATGCTTCCAGGGGGGCAAGGCTAAGCTCAGCACTCCTGGACTGCATGTTCTAACCCTGGGGTACTGGAACTAGGCTCACAGATATGTTCTCTGGCCCCTCAAGGTTAACCATCTACTACGCTGGGGGCCTAGGCATTCCCAGTCTGCTGGCAGCAACACTCGGACAGGGGTTGCCAGCAGCAAAAGTGCTCCAGCAGGGTGACTGTGGGTCCCTGTTGTATGCATGCTGGCAGAAGCACTGGCAGGCGTCCATCTGCAAAAGTGGGTAGGCAGGGTCTTCCAACAGCCACATTTTAAATTAAGCTTTCCCAGATTACTTCCAGAATTTTTGAACTGATCTTCAGTGTTCTGGTCTTCCCATCTGTTTCCATGTCCTGGCATCTGCCCTACAAATTTCCCAGTACCTACAGGTCACAGAGGCACAGAGGCTGCCACAGAGCCAGCTGGGGCCTCTAGGAATAGAGGAGACAGACCAATGGAGACAGGACCTGGAACTGAGATGGCAGTTGCTGGAGAGAAAGGCTCTGCCAGACGCCATTCCCACTTTCTTTTTTGTTTGTTTTGTGTTTTTTTTTGGGGGGGGGGGTTGTTTTTTTGTTTTGTTTTGTTTTGGTTTTTTGACAGAGTCTCGCTCTGTTGCCCAGGCTGGAGTGCAGTGGCGTGATCTCTGCTCACTGCAAGCTCTGCCTCCCAGGTTCACGCCATTCTCCTGCCTCAGCCTCCCAAGTAGCTGGGACTACAGGAGCCCACAACTACCCCCGGCTAATTTTTTGTATTCTTAGTAGAGACGGAGTTTCACTGTGTTAGCCAGGATGGTCTCGATCTCCTGATCTTGTGATCCGCCTGCCTCAGTCTCTCAATGTTTTGGGTTTTTGTTTGAGATGGAGTCTCACTCTATCACCCAGGCTGGAGTGCAGTGGTGTGATCTCAGCTCACTGCAACCTCTGCCTCCCAGGTTCCAGTGATTCTCTGGCCTCAGCCTCCCAGGTAACTGGGATTACAGATGCATGCCACCACACCCGGCTAATTTTTGTATTTTTGGTAAAGATGGGGTTTCACCATGTTAGCCAGGCTGGTCTGAAACTCCTGACCTCGGGTAATCCGCCTCCTCGGCCTCTCAAAGTGCTGGGATTACAGGTGTGAGCCACAACGCCCAGCCTTCCACTTTCCAAATAAAAGAAACTGAGCCCCAAGCTTGCACAAAGAGTAATGGACAGAGATAGTATTTAAGATTCAGTTAAGTCAGACCTGAAATTAGTTTTCCTTTGTCCAGACTTCTCTGAACTGAAGGACTCCAAAAAAGATACCACATCTACCTAATACAGCCCCTGGCCTGGTGAATATCCATTTGTCTATAAACCCATACTCTAACTATACACAGTTGGATAAGATGGGATGGGGGATGGGAGCTAATGCCCCCTACCAACATTTCTATCAGGGTGTCACATGGAATTCTCCACAGAGAAACAGAAATGCACTCAATCACTATCTAAGCATCAGAGGTGAAGACAAGAATGAGAGAGAATTTGGTTATCAAAGAGACTATCTTATGGAACTTATGTGTTTTCATCTCAGCCAACCAGATGGTCCATGAGGTGGCTAAGAAAACCTTCAAGAAAAAAAGAAAATAATCATGAAGATGAGACAGAGTGTTTGGGGGGATGGGAAGTGATTGGTTGGTTTGCTTTATTTCTTGAGGGTTTTGACTTCCAAAATACTCATTTAATCAATCCACTTCTCTTCATCTCCATCATCATCACTCTAGTGTAAACCACAATCACCTCTTAGAAGAAACTATAATACTCTATAAACCTACTAATTTTTCTTCCTGTATCCTCTGTAGCCAACTCTAACTCCAAAATCCATTCTCTTTTCTGGAGGCAAAAGAGCTCTTCTTAGTACTTTGAAGATATTCTTCTGCTGTCTTCTGGCTTCCATTGTTTCTGTTGAGAATTCAGGTATCAAAACTATTGTTCCTTTGAAGATAATGTGCATTTTTTTTTTTTTGAGACAGAGTCTCTCCCTGTGGCCCAGGCTGGAGTGCAGTGGCACCATCTCGGCTCACTGCAAGCTTTGCCTCCTGGGTTCACGCCATTCTCCTGCCTCAGCCTCCTGAGTAGCTGGGACTATGCCCACCACCACACCTGGCTAATTTTTTTGTATTTTTAGTAGAGACAGGGTTTCACCGTGTTAGCCAGGATGGTGATAATGTGCATTATATTTTTGTCTGTGGTTATTTGCAGTTGTACTCAATATTTACTTCTAATAAAATATGGTGATATCATATTTACACTTCTTGACATCACAGAGCTTCCCTAAACCTGTAAATTAATATCATTCATCAGTTATGGAAAATATTCAGGAATTATCTCTTTAAATATTGCTTCTGCTTCATTCACTATTATTTCCTTCTGGAATTCCATTTTATGTTAGATCTATTGAGTGAGCCTCATATTTCTTAGTGTTCCTTTCTGTATTACTTACTGTTTGCTCTCTGTGCTTAAGCACAGAGACATTCAGTTGACTTTTCTGCTAGCTCACTAATTCTGCTTACTCTTATGTACAAATTTCTGTTACCGATACTGTATTATTTAGTTCTAGAATTACTCGTGTGCTTTATAAATTGGGAACTCTACTCATCCTCTCTGTTTTTGGCTTTTTTCTCCATGTCCTTAAACATATATATCAAGCTATTTAAAAGTTTTGTTAACAAACTTCTATATCTGGATCCTCTGTGGGCCTATTCCTTTTGATTGTTTTTCTCTTGATTTTCAATCATGTGAGCCTCTGTTTTGGCATGTCTAAAAATTATTAATGTAATGGATACTGTTTCTATAGCTTGAAGACTCCAGGTGACATTATTTTCCTCCAAGGACCATATACCTCTCCCTCCTTTAGGCAAAGAGAGTAATAGCTGCTCACACAAATCTAATCACACACTATGCTATATTGATTCTGTGTTGTAGTCAAGGTAAGGCTCAATCTACTTTCTGTTTGCCTTTATTTAAGGTATAAGCCTCCAAGATTTTCACCTAAGTCTGGTGTGTTCACTGGATCTCTTCCCCATAGTGAGCTCTGAACTCTAATCTTTATCTTTTGACACTATGAAGACTGGTGAACTCTGTTGTGTATTTTTCAGAGGACTTCTGTTAAGGTTTTTTGCCTCCCCACTCCATATAGTCTCAGAATTCAGTTTCCCTAGGGGAAACATTAGCCTCATGTTAAAGGACTACCAAGTTTCTTCCAGAAGTTCTACTTGTTTCTTTACTGTCTAGTAGCTGCCTACCACTAGTGAAAATTCTGAATTTTTAGCTTCTTGCAGTACCTAAAACCAGCAATGGAACCTAGTTTAAAAGAGGCTGCAGAGGTCAACTCACTTTTTCACAGTCCTCTCCATTCTCCTCTGTGCCTCAGCAGCCCTCTACTACCTTCTTACTGATGATTTCTATATTTTATCTGGTTTTTTTAGTTGTTCTCTATAGAAGCTTAATATGCCACCAACTACTTCATCCAAACAGGAAGTGGTGGTCTTTCATGTAACCTTTCTAACAAATCTGAGTATCTCCTGCCTCAACCCTCCAAATATCTCACACTGCTCCTAGAATAAAAATCAAATACTAGCCTACTTAACCCTGCATGTCTGCCTGCTACCTTTCCACTCTACTTTTCATTCCCTTCACACCTCCAAGCCCACTGCACTGCAACCAAGCTGATCTAGTTCCCATCCCTCAGTCAAGGTCTTGGCTATTCCCTCCTTTGGATGTGTTGCTCAAAAAGCCTCCTAGAAGAAGAGTCTAGCATGGCAGTGGTGGCCTTCAATCTGATCCCTTGGTTTTGGATAGGGGTGGGGGGACTCCTTTATTTTCTAGTACTCCTCGGGCAATTACTAGATGTACAAACCTCAGAAAATGTATTAGTCTGAGTCTCAATACCTGTATCTGTAAATTGAGGAAATAATTTAACGTTTTTTTTGAGGATTAAAATAGGTACTGCATTTTTAAATGTCTGCCTTTACATGATTGTGGCCTTCCCTCTTTATCCAAAAGAAAATCAGCCAAAAAGGAGCATTCCCATTAGGAAGACTGGCTTTATTTCTATGGCAATATTCCATGTCCCTTTTCCCACTCCTCAGCAAGGTTTGGCCTCAGCAGTCAGATATGTTTTGAGACATTGCTGTGACACACAAACATTTCCATCTTAACAAGAACCATGCCCCCACTTAAGGCCAAGAAAATGGTCTTGTTACAAGCCATTATTACTTGGATGAAGAAGAAGAAAAAATCCCTAGAAGCAAGTATATCTCATATTTTTTAAATATCCTAATCCTTGACTAACTGTAGTATGCCTCTAATTGCTTTTGCTTCTCATGTTTTATGTCCACTCTGTGGTTCTATTGTTCAAACATCACTTCAAGTGAAATTGTGCCAGCAAAAAAACGTAGCATCTCTGGATCCTTTTAGTCCAGCTGTGAACTTTAGACTTAATCTTTTAGGGCACTCTTGTCTGGTAAGGTTTAATTTACATTAAATTTTCTAAAAGGAAGGGCAGAATGGTCAAAGCGAGATAGCAAGACAGACAAGAGGCTGTCTTTCATAAATTAATAAGCATCACCGACCGCCTTTCTTGACCCTTTAAACTCTGTGAAATTAATATAAGTAGACAACTAAGGCCCGCTTGGCCCCCCTAGAGCCTTGCAAGTTCACTTAAGCAATCCAAGTTTCCTTAAAGTTTTATAAGCCAGCTTTCAGAGCAAGTCCTTTGTACTTATTACTGGTGACAGTGAGCATTACAGGAGCCAATGAACCTTACTGACTTACGACCCCAATATGGTCGAGCACTGTTATCAGGGGAAATATCAGAATCAATGCTTGTATATTACATTGAGGTCCTGACTTCTGAAAGAGTCCCCTATAGACCCTTCAGAATATGTCAGTGAAATAAACAGCTAATACTCCAAGACAGTCTACTGACAATGGCCAGACGGTGCTGTTTATTTAACCACTTTTCAACCATCCTAACCCTTCCAAAGAATACGTTTCCAAAAGAGAGAAAAAGGAAACAAAATGTTTCATGTTCCCGATTCTTTTGCAATGGAACCACATTTATGCCTTTTTTTTCCTTACACACACACACACATATATATATATGATACTTTAAGTTCTAGGGTACATGTGCACAATGTGCAGGTTTGTTACATATGCATACATGTGCCATGTTGGTGTGCTGCACCCATTAACTCATCATTTACATTAGGTATATCTCCTAATGCTATCCCTCCCCACTCCCTCCACCCCACAACAGGCCCTGGTGTGTGATGTTCCCCTTCCTGTGTCCAAGTGTTCTCATTGTTCAATTCCCACCTACGAGTGAGAACATGCAGTGTTTGGTTTTTTGTCCTTTTGATAGTTTGCTGAGAATGATGGTTTCCAGCTTCATCCATGTCCCTACAAAGGACATGAACTCATCATTATGCCCACTTTTTGAAGTAACAGCATGTGTGGTTTTGCTGTGGGGAGCAGGGAACACCGTGCCATCTTCCTCCATGATTAATGGGCTTGCATTATTAAACAGCTACTGGTGGAAGGGGCCACAGGTACAACACCTTTTCTACTGAGGCACCCAACGTGTGAACTTTCATTTGCAGCCAACATTTGCTGGAGGAAGGCTGAGCTCACCACCACATTTTACTTACTGAAATTAATCATGTCACCACTTCAATAGTAACCTCTATTACATATCTAATTACCAACCCTGTGCACGGACTTTTTATGTAACTTTTAAAAATTTCTATTTCAGTCATGCTTAGATTTTTTAATACTTAAATGCTCTACCAGGCAAAGGACGATAATCTGTAACTATTGTGGTTATCAGAGTATACATTTTTATGGGTTTTTCCCCACAATAGGTAGTCAAAGAACTAAGAAATTTTACTGGAATATCAAAAATAAATATGTAAGATCCTTTATATATGAAGCATACACTTTCCAGGTGATAGATGGATAGACTTGAAGACTTCTGCAGTCCTCTAACACTGGGATCCTCTCTCCTATTATTTTTTTATATTATATTCCCTATGATCACTATGCATTGAGCCATTCAAACATTTCCATCTGGTAGAGTGCCAGTTTCTGAGGATTGGCAGGCAGAATGCACGAACACCACTTGTAACCTTCAGGCCCTTGGCGTTGTACTCAAACAATCTGAGTAAACCTCCCCAGAACCCCAGAATTCACTCCAAAAGTCAGAATTGCCAAGGGGTACTCAGCAGAGGATCAAAAGGTCTAGCCTCCCCTCTGTGATTCCAATAATCTTATTTTTGGCAAAAAAAAAAGTAATTCATATCAATTTAACTTTTTATTGGGCAGCAGGCATTATTTAATACTTCTCAAAGGAACTTTTTACAGCAAAT
This sequence comes from Homo sapiens, assembly GCF_000001405.40. Lineage (NCBI taxonomy): Eukaryota > Metazoa > Chordata > Mammalia > Primates > Hominidae > Homo > Homo sapiens. The sequence goes on from NC_000015.10 coordinate 98,255,295, forward strand.
TCAATGACTGACTTGCCTTAGGCATTTTCTAAAGAAACAATGCCCTTTGGACAGCAATGATCACACCTGGGAGTGGGCTGTGGGCTGAGCCCATAGATAGAATGGATTTCTGTGGACAGTGCTGTAAAGTCCAGGGATCCCGCTCAAAGAGCCCAGAATGTGAGAACAGAGGAAAGTGAATCCTGGACAGCCCGAGGCCATTCATGCTCAAGGCTCAAAATGTTCAAAATCCAGGCAAAGCAGGTAGAGAGAAGAGAGGAAGACCAAGAGCAAAAGAGAGGGTCCTACATCACCTCCAAAGGCAAGACTCAAAGGCACAGAAATTCTTCTTATTGATAGCCAAATTTGAGGGCAAAGGAGTAGATTGGATGAAAGCAGAGAATCAGCCCAGAGAAACCAGAATTATCTTCACTATATCACGTATCTACTAAGAGCAGCCTTTTCACTACCAAAAGTTCTCTCCAGGAAGAAAGGGACTTAACACATTATCACAAAGACAACCTTACCTCTACAAAGAAGGCACAGTGTCACAAAGGATGGCCAAGGGCCTTCTAAATCACAACACAGGTGAGCTTTAGACTCCCCAAGACACTAACCATAAATCCTGGCTGTTCATTAAGAGGACCTGGGGGACTTTTGAAAAGTACTAGGGCCAAGGACCCCATCTCAGGCCAAGTGAAGCAGAGTCTCGGGGGCTCTGGTGCAAGCACTGGCATTTTTTAAGTCTTCCAGGAGATTCTAATGTACAACCAAGGCTGAGAACCACTGGTCCAACCAAATCTTGATTTAAAGGGAAAAGAAGCAAAAGAGATTGCAAGTCATTTTCATTAAGATCACAATTAGCACACCAACCTTGCTGCCACCCCAGTGCCAGCCTGGCACATGCCTAAAACCTTTTGACTCCACTGTCATCCAGCCCTCCTGTTTTTCATCAGAGAAACAAAGTGCATTTGTGAAATCAAATCCATTCTGAACACCCACAATTAATGTGCACTTCAGCACAACCCTCCTGAGAATGGGTACTAAAATGACTTGAACCAAGTCACTTCTTTATTCTTTAAAGTGTCCTCAAAGGTTTTCAACACCTCCCTACACCACCACTCCACAAAATACAAACCAAAATCAAAGAGACTTGAGCCCCTTTTATTCATAGAGGGAGTTATTTCCCCCAGCCCTCATCTATAGTTTTTCAGTTCAGCTTATTAGATGCTGTTTCTCATCTGTACTCTGCCTTCTCTCTGATTGAAAAATTCCTACTTGTCTTTTAACAACAGTAAACAATAGCCAGGACCCTGATGCTAGATCACACTCTGGTAGATAATTCATTGTGCACAGCTCTGCGTTCAGCACTTTGTTTGTGGACATTTAAAGCTCACAATGACCCTACGGCACTACTATGCTCATTTATAGGTGTGGGCATGGCTCCAGGCCCTAGAGCTAGGAGATGGCAGAGCAAGAGTCCAGATTGGACTCTTTATCCTGATACTAAATGCCCTTTGAAGACTCAAACGTCACTGCCTTTATAAAGCCCAGGCTTTCTCCTTTTGACAGCCAAGGGAGGAATCATTTATTCCTGCAGTATTCTCACCTCCTCCTTGCTACATCTCAAATGGCATTATAATATAATTTATTTAAACATATGTATTTGCCACAAGATTATGAACCACATGGATAGACACTCACTTTTATTCATCTTTGCTTATCCCAAAGCCAACACGAGGTACAGCGCATAATAGGGTCTCAATATCTGCCAGGTGAATGAATGAATGGCCAAAAATTCACTCCTAAGAAAGAGTGCCTTCACTGTTAAAACCTAAGCAGTCTATTTATCACAGAAGCCCAGTACTCACACTTACATTTTTTTCCTTTCCCACCCCCATTTCGATAAAATAAAGAATAATGGTTTTTTCACACAATCCCCGACACACACTTGCACTTTTTTTCCGCTTCAAAATGACAGTGGATGTTTGCAAAAGCCCCTGGAGTCTAGAAGGACATCAATCACTTTCACAGCTGGAGTCGTAACACTTTCCTTAGAGGAAATTTTATGCAGCAAGCAGAATAAGCTTCATCCTCAGCAGGACAAGACAAAAGGTAGGTAAAAGGAAAGGCTGGCAGCCACCACCAGGCTTTTGTGCCACTAACTGGGGGTGGGGTGGGGTACATCAATTGGAACTTATTCTTCACCCCAAGGCTTGCCTGTTTGCCTTCCATTTCCCTTCTGAATTTGAGGAGGAGTAAGTACAGCACCATGAAACCAGCTCATAACAAAACAAGCACTTACCTCCATTGCTACTCAAAACAAGGACACCACAGGAGAGTTCTCCAGGGATCTTTGTCCTTCCTTCTTAGGGCCCAAAATACTCGAGTTCAGCTGTCAAAATAGAAAGAAAAGGAAATCAGGAGTGTAGACTTCTGTTTCCAAATGACTTAGCATTTAACAGTCATGCTTCAAATGTTCCTTTAAATGAGGAAAGATTGACCAAGCAGGAGAGTCCATTGGGAAAAGTTTGGACAAACTATCATTTTCAAGCAATGAAATCATCATTACTATCTGAGAGCCATTTACTTCTAGACAAAATCTTGTCAACTCCCAAAATTACAGACTAGAGACAATGGATTCACCAGCCTCCTTGAGCAGAGGCAGAATCAATTAATATGAGCCAAGCACTTTCTCAGCTTAGTACCCTGGTTGGCTGTTGGTCACAGGCGCATTCCACAGATGATAAAATCACTCACAAACCTGTCAGAAGTCACATTCACATAGTCAAGAATGGGGCCTTTAGGCCGGAGGCGGTGGCTCATGCCTGTAATCCCAGCACTTTGAGAGGCTGAGGCAGGCGGATCACTTGAGGTCAGGGGTTCAAGACCAGCCTTGGCAACATGGTGAAACCCCGTCTCTACTAAAAACACAAAAAATAGCTGGGTGTGGTTGTGGGTGCCTGTAATCCCAGCTACTCAAGAGGCTGAGGCAGGAGAATCGCTTGAATCTGGGAGACAGAGGTTGCAGTGAGCTAAGATATGAGATCCTGCCACTGCACTTCAGCCTGGGCAACAGAGTAAGACTTCATCTCAAAAAAAAAAAAAACAGGAATGGGGCCTTTGTGATGCAATAGGTCTTGATTCCAATTCCAGCCCTCATTTTCTAGCCGAGTCTTAATTTCTGCATGTAGACATCTCATACATGGCTCATAGGGAAAGAATTGACTGGATCTGGAACACCTATTTCATTATACGACTGAATAAAAGCTTTAATTACCTTATTGAAAAAAGGCCATTAAATTTAAATGTAATCATGAAAATTTTATACCCGTTGGTTTTATCCAATGCATCTTGAAAATGTTGGTAATTCACATAAAGTTTCTGTTACATTTAGAAGACCTTCACTATTTTATCCAAAGTCTGCCCTTCTGAATTTAAAACATCCCAACAAAGGCAAAAATATCCTCTTTCTAATACCCTCAACAGAAATGTGCATAAAACAGGAGAAACTTGAGAGCACTGTGGGTTACAATAACCTGATTATTTTAATTTACACTTTTATTTAACACCATGGGGGTTTATACACTACTCGGGAGGCTGAGCAGGAGAATTGCATCCAAGTAACACATCCAAGTGAGATTTGGAAGGGCTGAGACATATGCCTTGGAAAGTGAAGGGCTATTAAGGATATTGACTCCTTCACAGGCAGAATCATTTTAGGAAAGCTGGAAGTGGAAGACTTGGAAATGGATTCTTAAAACTCTCGATATATGTGAACTTCCTAGACAACCACATCTACCAGGGGTATGTGCATACACATTTATAGACATCAAGTGTCTTTAGAGTTTTTGTATTTGCCATTCAATCTGCCTAGACTAGGTTTGCACCACTTATCTACTTAGAAAATTTGTACTCGTCTTTGGGGACACAGTGCAAATATTCCTTAGTCGCATACCACTACCATGGTCATGGAGGCTGGAGAAATAGCAGGTCCTGTGTTATGTGAAGAAAAAATAATAGTCAATTATGCCTCCAAGACTCCTCCCCTAACAAATGGATTAATGGTGGTACTATTTCTTGCTATGGGGAAGACTAGAAGGGGAGCAAATTTAAAGGACAAGATCAAGAGCTTAATTTGAAACAGATTAAGACTGAAATACCCATAGACTCTCAAATGGAGAATTTGAGTGGACTGTTGGCTATTCTAGTAAGGGAGTCTGTACTCCACACTAGTAAGGTCAAGTTTGAAAATATGAATTTAAAAGTCACTGCATGTAGAAAGTATTTAAACCAGAGACTGCGTAAAATCACCAATAAAGAAACTGTACAGTAGAAAAAGATGAGAACCAGGAACTGCTCCTGGGAAATTCCTACCTGATTAAAGAAAAAGGATATCAATATGAGCGACATATTCAGACAGGTGAAGCATTCAGTAAACAAAATATATCAAATTTCTCTGGTCTGGAGATACATTTTTTATTCTTTAAATTTGTATTCTTTATTCATTTTTATTCTTTTTTTAACACTTTCTTCCTGAATTACAATTAACAGTGGTTTTTGCAACGTGTTTTGCAGAGAAAAGGAAAAATGCTTTCATTCCAGTAAGTAAACATCATTTTTCTAAATTATTGCTACAGTTTAGCCACAAAAGCATCTTTCTTTATGCAAATATGCTAAATTCATAGACAGGAATAGGCAGTTGTATGATTTTCTAGTGCCACCTGTGAATACTCATTATCAAACCACTACTTTGCCTACAACTGTATTCCCTCTCGTATTCCCCAAAAACAACATAAAATAGCCTTCCATGGAATTTTAATTATACTACCTCCTTTTTATAGTTTGGTATTAAGACCTGTTTGTGCACTTCACTGTGATCAGAAAAACATTATCAAAGAAAATTTTCTTCAGTTTTCTTCTCGTACATAGAGATTTCATAGACTCCATGATTGATTAATAATGTCTCCCCAGCAGCAATGTTCCCTTAAGTCAGTAACAGATTCCAGCTTGCTTCCTAAGATCAGGAAAATTCATGGAGTCTGGAAAGGCCTTAGGATTTGGCTGCAAAAGACTAAGGTCTTCTGCAGATGGCACTTCATCTTACAGCTGGAAAAGAAAAACTTATAAGTCCTCCAATGATTAATTCATAGTGAAGAATCTATTCTTGTCCTCCCTTTTCAGATTTACGTTTTGGAGATTGAATGAAAATTATCCTGACTTGAGTTCCCACCACATATCTACCCCTACAAATTAAACAACATTATCTGAAGGCTTGTGAGTATCTCTATGCTGAAACAAGCATAACCTGTTAGTTTGCCAACCTCTCCCTTCTGCTGAATGGCTAACACCAGGCCTGAAAGCAGACACACAGTAACTAAGGGTTATGTGTAAAGACTCGTGATGAAAACTTGAAAATAGTCATTGTCTGTCAGTTGGAAAGTGACTGACTAAATTTGATATAAATTTGAGTATCATGAAGTAATTAAAATTATTTAGATCCCCTAGCACCCAGATTATGGTCTCTAAATACCATTTCCCATTAAAAAAACAAACCAGGGTTTCTAATTCCAAGTCTGGAGCAGGAAATGGACAAGATAAACCTATAATATTTTGTGTGAGAAAATAAAAAATACTCAAACACTGATAGGATTGAAAAGACACAGAAGCTAGCTTGAAGAATCTCCCACTGGCCAGAGAAGGTATAATTTTAGCATAAGAATGACTGCAATGGATTTAATCCTATTAAATATATTTCTATGAGTTAATAGTTACATGATTTTTTTAAAAAAACTCATAGTTCATCTTCAGAGGATGTTGGGTCACTAACTCCTTGTTTTGAAAAATGTGAAATAAAAGAGAAGAATCAACATTTATCCAGCCTTTCCTTGTAAGCTCTACCTCAAGACAATCCAATAGTTGTTGAATGGAAGTATCTATTTACAGAAGCATTTGAGCTGCTAAAAAAATGTAATGATAAAATTAGAATAACATCATGTTGCAACTCCTGGTGAACTAATGGGTCTAGACAACCATCATCAACAGGCTGTTAAAATCACAAAAAGAGAGACAATCAGACATCATATGCCCCCTAATGGAAATATACAATACCACTGACTAAATAATTTTGAGAAAAAAAAAAGAATATGAATCAGACCAAGCTTCTAGAGCCATCAATTTACAAAAAATTGGATTCATTAGAATATGTTATCCCAGCATGGTGGCTCATACCTATAATCATAGCTACTCAGAAGGCTGAGGCAGGAGAATGACTTGAGGCCAGGAGTTCAAGACCAGCCTGAGCAATGTAGCAAGGCCCCTTCTCTTAAAAAAATGTTTTTATGCAGTGGCTCACACCTGTAATCCCCGCACTTTGGGAGGCCAAAGCAGGCAGATCACGAGGTCAGGAGTTTGAGACCAGTCTGACCAACATGGTGAAACCCCATCTCTACTAACAATACAAAAATTAGTTGGGTATAGTGGCACATGCCTGTAATCCCAGCTACTCAGGCTGCTGAGGCAGGAGAACCGCTTGAACCTAGGAGGCGGAGGTTGCAGTGAGCCAAGATCGCACCACTGCACTCCAGCCTGGGTGACAGAGCGAGACTCCATCTCAAAAAAAAAAAGTTTTTAATCTAAAAATAAAAACAGAACATACCAACTGACACTATAAGAATGTAATCCACAAATCTACATTAGGAAATTATATGGCAATGCTACTCATAGTGTGATCCATTGACCAATGCAGTCCACAAACTGCTTACTACTGGCCCACAATGAGGTAAGTATAGAAACTGAGATTAATAAGCACACAAATTACAAACATTTGCAAACATGGATAGCAATGTAACATTGTAATCTGATATTCAAGCCTCTGGTCAGTGCACTCATCTCACTGAACAGAGTATGAGCCTGTTTAGGCCAACCCAACTCATGTCTAACTCCTGAGATGAGTCAGGTGTGCTGTGAAACATTTATTAATTTAAAGGAATAGGACCATGTTACAATGTGTATTAGTTTAAGTGCAATTTGTCAACTGTAACCCAAAATTATATAAAATCTAGAATCTATTTTTTCATCAAAAGATAATTTAAAGTCATAAAACATAACAATTATTGCCAGGGTATAGGGATGAGTGTGGGAATAGGGAGTGATAACTTATGGATGCTACGAGGAAACTTTTGTGTGTGGTAGATATGGTCATTATGTTGATTGTGGGGATAATCTCACAAGTATGTACATATGACAAACTCATCAAATTATATTCTTTCAATATGTGCAGTTTATTGTACATAAAATATAGTCAAGAAACTTAAAGCAAAAACAAAAATGGGGCAGTTTTTATGTGCTTCTGCTTAGGATATAGAAATCAGCAAAGAATGTCACTCCCTCATTAACAGAAAAACCTGAATAATCTATTAAAAATATAGATTTTCATGAACCCATCATAAACCTTTGGTCACTAGGCAACTAAGTGAACCATTTTCCATGAGTGACAGTCCTTCCAAGGAGATATTAGACATATGGACTGTTCACATTTGGCAGAGCCTGGGAGGATGTGGTGGTCACCATATAAGCCTGTAAGAAAAAATCAGATAAATTTTAATGAACTCTTAAAGCCCAAGTGTGGGCTAGCATGTCGGTGTGGAGTCGCTGGGGACTCCAGACATAAGGGAAGTCTGCAGTTGCTCACGAGCTCTTCTCCAAAGGCCTCCACTAGCCTCTCATGAGAAAGACTGGGGATTGGGCAGTAGTTTGAGAAAAGGCTCCTGTGGTGACACAGGCATGCAAGCATCAGGAGGTGACCTATGGAAGCAAAAAGTCATACACAGAACTTCGCTTTCATTCCCGTCCCCTTTCCTCCTATGAATCAAAAACCTTAAGCCACAGGAAGGACATTATGTCTTTTCATCCACAAGGGCATGGACAAAGATCCATAGTTTCTTAGAGAGAAGTGAAAGAAAAAGGTGACTTCCTTTGAGGAAGGGGCCAAAAACACTTTTCCAGGGCACAGGCAAAGATCTCTTGCTGCTGTGAAAGAGACAGAATCAAAACTCTCTACCTCTGAAAGGGAAAATAAGCAGTCTTGGGGAAGGGATCTTACACTAATACAAAGCATAGGTTTGTGAAGTTCTCTGTTCGTAGTTTTATTTTGTTTTTAGCACTGGAAGAGCATTATTATCATTTCCATTTCAAAACCAATTACAAATACAAGAGGTGGTATGCTGGTAAATATTTAACTAGCAGTTCTCCAGGAGAAAAAGCCCAGATTTGCAGTGTTGGCCAATTTCCATGGTGTAAATATTCCAATATTCCTACTATGGCCTGTTTGAAGCTACCACATGGCTTCACCAAATATGAAGTTGGAAAGAGAGGCTTATAACTGGCTCTCATGAGCCTATATGCGACAGCTCTAGCACATAATTGAATACAAAACAGAGTTTAACAGACCTCCTTCTACCCTCCCACCATGCTTCTGGCATGCAGAGATAGCTGATAGAAAATGTAGAAGGAAAACTAATAAAAACTCTTCAACATTTGAGCCCCAACTCTAAACACAAGGTAAAAGCAGCCTACTGCTACAAAAATGTGAACACTTAGATGCACTGATGGTACCAACAATAACAACAAAACCCAAACCCAGATCAACTTCTAATTGGATTAGCTCAACCCCTCACACTAACAGCCTGGCAGAAAAAGTATAACCATTTCCGGGCATAAATACTTTTACCTCGAGTCTAATGTTCTATACAAAATGTCCAGCATTCAATCAAAAATTTCAAGACAAATAAGTAAGGAAAATCTAATAATTTTCAAAAGGCAAAGCAATCAATAGGCCAGATGTTAGAACTACTGAACAAGGAGTTTAAAGTAACTATGACTAATATTTTAATAGATTTGTTAGAAAAGGAAGACAACATATATAAATAGGTGGAGATTTTTAAACTATGAGAAAGTCAAAAGACAATGCCAGAAATAAAATCACATAATAGCAGAGATAAAGAATTCCTTCAGTGGGCTTGTCAATAGGCTGGACACAGCTGAGGACGTAGTCTTGAAAATAGATCAGTAAAAATTATCCAAACTGAATCATAAAGAGAAAAATAAAAAAGACTAAAAAAACTCATTACTCCTAAGAGCTGTGGGACAATATTAAGATATCTAACATTCATGAAATTAGAGTTCCAAAAAGATTAGATAGAGGAAACACATCAGAAGAAATATTCAAAGTGATAATAGCTAAGTGTTTTCGAATAATAATGTAAGAGATCAATTACAGATCGAAGAATCTCAGAGAACCACAAGCAGGATAAAAATAAAACTCCCTCTCTCACACACACAAATACACACCCCTAGATATATTATGATCAAACTGCCAAAAAGCAAAAATTAATAGAAAATTTTAAAGGCAGTCAGAGGCTAGAGGAAAAAAATAAACATTAAGTACAGAGTAAAAGAGAAAACAGAGATATGAATTGTGGCAGAATTCTCAACAGAAATCACGAGTGATATTTTTAAAGTACTGAAAATATCATCCCAGAGGTCAATAATAAATGGAAATATCTTACTTTTTATGTGACTATTTTAGATGTGTATTTGTATACTTACGTTTACAAAACCTAGACAATTCCTTACATAGAAACTCATAACCTGTTTTTCAATGTTTTCTGAGAGATGTTGAATATCAGTGACGATGTCTTTACTGTTTGTTCCCTTTAGCTTCTCAGAATAATCACTGTGTTGACACCAACCAGGAGCTGCTGGCCATTGGTAAGACCCTGGCCATGGGCTTCCTGGGGACTGGGCCTGCCCCTCCGTGTCTCCTGCATTGAAGGAGGACCCTGATGGTCGTGATGAACTGGGAGGGGCAGAGTGGCCCCAGCTGGGCTCTTTTGAAATATTAGCAAGGACTCATTCCCAGATCTTCACACTTTTCAGTTTAGTTCCTAGGAAGAGGGAGCTGACATCTGTTGTCTGTTCTGCCTACCACTTATTGAGCATCTGCTGTCTTCCCGACCCTGAGGTCTGTAGCCTTGGTCTATACCAAGGAACACATGGAAGGTCCCACCTCAGGGAAGGAGCTCCCAGGGCCAGGGGTCAGAGAGCTAAAGGCTGTGACCCGGGCAATCTCAGGGAGAGTTTACTGATTGTGCTTGTGCCCTACCCTGTGCCCCATCCAGGCAGGGACAGGTGGATTCGTGAAGACTCAAGAGCCCCAAGTTGCCCGACTGTGGATGGGGGTCCATGCCAGGTTTCACAGTTCAGTTTCCTCTTGCTATGTCTCTGTGAGCTGACTTCTCTAGTGATGTATTTTGAGACCACAGCATGAATCTTAAATTCAGTTATCGTGACTGTTTTTGGCATATCATAGGTCCCAGGCCTGCCTGCCTTTCCTTCTCGCCCCTTGTGAGATGGGTATAGGCTAACCCGGGCAACACTGTGGGGTTCTTCCCAAGGGGTGTCCACCTGGACAATTTCATGAAAGCCACTTGGCTTCTAGACAGCAAGGCGTGTGACCCAGGTCAGGTCACAAAGGTACGTTGCCAGAGCTCCTCTCTGAGCAGTGGAGAACTGGACATTTCCCAGTTGAGCAGTGGAGCTTGGGCTTCCTAGGCCTCACTCACCCTCAGGCCGAGAAAATCCACGGCCTCCTCCAGCCCTCACCAGTAAATCTTCCAAATGTGATTTCCCGGAGCATCTCATTCCCATTACTTCAAAAATAGCACAGAACTGTTCTGATGGCACAGTGAGTTCCAGGGATACAACCCAGACAGAGCGAAAATCAACGTTACTAAGGCAGCTACAGAATTCCTTGATCTCAGATAGGCCAGGCAGTCTTCAGCAGCTGCACAGCAAGAGGCTGACATGAGCCCACGAAGGCCAAGCATGGAGGGGTCGTCCCAGTCAGCAGCAGTTCACAGAGTTGAGTCCCAGATCCAAGCTGTTGCAGAGTGAGGGTGATCACGTGCAGCGTGCGGTCACCGCAGGTCTCTGCTGAGCCCTCCCACGTCTGCATTTCCTTGCCCCAGCCCCTCTCTCACAAGGCTGTGAGCTGGGCTGCATGACCCAGGATGGCCTGGTACTGAGTTGGCCCCATTCCAAGCCGTCTTGAGAGCAGGCCCTGCACCCGTGGGTCTTAAGACCCCACTGCCAGTCTTAGATAGCAGACGAAACTCTGGTTTTTGTGACGGCCCGGGTGAGACGGATGCTGGCAGGATCTTGTGGTCAACCTGAGCAGTAATATCAGTTCTTGGGCCCCAACAATGCTATGGGTGTAGGCAGCCAGCGTCACCTGGGAAGACAGCTTACCAGTCATGACCTCTGGCCTCATCTTGGCTGTCATCTGTGAGAAGGAGTGGTGGGTTTGAAAGGAAGTGGGTGGAAAACTGTGAGTGGCCACTGACCACCCGAGCACGTTGTGTTTGTCTTACAGGCACTTCCTTCTCAGCCATCACCCGTTCCTGGGAAGTGAGATGCTCCCCTCTGTTATGCGTGAGGAAGATGTGTCCTTTTCGTCTTTGTCCTGACTAGAAGTCTGCCTGTCCTGACCCCACATCCCGTCCTCAGCTGTGAACTGTCCATGTGAACTGTCTGAGGGCTGACCTTCCCTCAGAAGATCAGCCACAGCAGCATGGACTGATGTCATCCTGCTGTCCTCCAGGGTGTCCTCTGGTTTCTTTGCACTCATAGTCAGGACTGCAGTTTAATACTCAAAAGTTCACTGGGCGCAGTGGTTCACACCTGTAATCCCAGCACTTTGGGAGGCCGAGGCGGGAGGATCACTTGAGGTCAGGAGTTCAAGACCAAACTGACCAACATGGTGAAACCCTGTCTCTACTAAAAATACAAAAAAAAAATTAGCCGGACATGGTGGCACGAGCCTGTAATTCCAGCTACTCAGGAGGCTGAGGCAGGAGAATTGCTTGAACCCAGGAGGCACAGGTTGCAGTGAGCCGAGATTGCAAAGAGATCTGGGTGACAGAGCAAGACACCATCTAAAAAAAAAAAAAAGTTCCACTGGGCATGGTGGTATACGCCTGTTATCCCATTTACCCAGGAGGCAGAGGCAGGAGGATCACTTGAGCCCAGGAGTTTGAGGCTGCAGTGAGTTGTGATTGCACCACTGCACCCCAGCCTGGGCAACAGAGCAAGACCCTGTCTGAAAAAAAAAAAATGCTAGAAAGTTCCCAGCACATTGAAGCCTTCCTAGCTTTTGGTACCAGAGTTGATTCCTAAAAGGACGTGGGGACAGGAAGGACTGTGGCTCTCCCCTGAAGAAGTCCAGCATGAGGTTTAGCCCAGACCCCCAACCCCACTACCCCGTGGCCTTCCTAAGTCAGGACAACAGGATGGGGGTGATCTGTGGCTTAAGGGAGAGAAGGGGACGTCACCTGGCAGTGCCTGGTCCCCCAGCTGCTGACCACCACCCTGCTGGTTATGGGGCCTCCACCTGGATGGGGGAAGGAAACAAAGCCAGCTAGCATCTGAAAGGACTTGTGCTTCCTGACTTTTCTTACAGTCAGAGTGCCCTGAGTGCAGCTCAGTGACTGCACCCTAAATCTCTTTGCCTCAACCCCCGGGCCTCAGCCCCCTTGTCCCCTTCCCCCTGCTTCCTAAGGCATGCTGGGAGCTGACCTTCCCTCAGAAGATCGGCCACAGCAGCATGGACTGATGTCTCTCCCTTCCCAGTCCCTGGCGACTAACCATCTCTGTGCTGCCTTCCAGGACAGCTGTGAATGCTCAGTTGGGGGTGTTGCACCCCAGGAGGGGGGCTGGTGATGGGTAAGCCCCCCTGGTCTTCCCCTTGTGCCCACTGCCGAGAGTGGGAAAGAGGGAGGAGGGAGCCCACAGAGATGTTCCTACTTAGCAGGACGCCAAGTCTGCTTTGGCTCACAGGCCGTGTTCCCCAGGGTTGCACAGAGGCTGGGATGGCCATGGGAGACCGAGCAGGGACTGGGGGCCTTGGCTCTCATTACCCTACCCCACCACTGTCCCAGATGGGGCTCCTCTGAGCAGGAGACTATGCTGCTTGCTAGGGGGGCCCTACACCCCACGAGGTCACCCCATGTGCCCGCGCCCCCACAAGAGCGCTGGTGCTGCTATCGCTGGACTGCCTGACGTCACTCTTCTACTACATCCCCAACTCCGACCTGGCTGCAGTCATCCTCAACATTGCTGGAGTGCAATGACATGATCTTGGCTCACTGCAAGCTCCACCTCCCAGGTTCAAGCTATTTTCCTACCCCAGCCTCCCGAGTAGCTGGGATTACAGGTGCATGCCACCACACCCAGCTAATTTTTTTGTATTTTTAGTAGAGACGGGGTTTCACCATGTTGGCCAGGCTGGTCTCGAACTCCTGACCTCAGGTGATCCACCTGCCTCGGCCTTCCAAAATGCTGGGATTACCGGAATGAGCCACTGCACTCGGTCAGAAAAATATAGCTTTTATAAGTAATTTAAGTTTTATAATTTCCAGTGCTATTTATTTCTGTATGTAAATACAAGTTTTTATGTGATATCATATTTCTTTTGCTTGAAGAACTTCCTTTAATATTTTGTGCAGTGCATATCTCCTGTAAATTAATCATCAGCTTTTGTGTATATGACAAAGTTTTTATATTGTGTACATTTAAGAAAGATATTTCTGCTCTTGTCCCTCCCCAAGCTGGACCGGGCAGAGCAGCGGCTGGAGGTGGGTGGCAGGGAGGGCAGGGATGGGGGTAGGGGAATCAGAAGGGGGACCACCCCATGCTATGGTCCGCTCAGGACCCCATGTGTCAGGACGAGGAGCTCAAGCTCTTCCTGGCAGCCCTGGCCCACGGAGCAGCGGGGCCATCTTGGAGCCATCTCCAAGTCATCCACTCCTCCGTCTCAAAAAATAAAAGCTATTTTTCCTTATTTTTAATTTCTTTAAAAGCCAATTAACTGGTTAAAGCAAAAATAGTAACAATTTATTGTGGGGCTTATACATAAAAGAAATTGCATGGCAAAAATAGCTCAAAGGGAGAAACTGAAAATACACTGTTGAAAGGTTCTTATGTTATACAAAAAGTAGTGTAATATAATTTGAGCTGGATTATAATAATTTAAAGGTGTATATTATAAAGTCTAGGAAGACCTAGGCTTTTAATTTTCAATTTTGTAAAATTGAAAACCAATTTTACAAGAATTTAAAAGATGTTTGATAATACTGTCTCCACCAATAGTGTAGACAAAAAGAAATCATAGAATGTGCTCAGTTATTCCCAGTGAAGGCAGGAAAGATAGATTTGGTATGATATGGTAGATTTAAAGCTAACCATATCAATAATTATATTAAATGTAAATGCTTAAATATCTCAATTAAAAGGCAGAGATTTTAAGATTGGATAAAAGATCATGTAAATCAAGCTATACTTTAAGGATAAACTGTTGGAACTGGCTACTGATAATGGATTGAAGATGAATTTTGAAAACACAGTTTGACTTGTTCCATTTTGGATAAAAGCTCAAAATGAGTGTCCCAGGTTTGCTGAAATTGCTTTAGAATCTCCTCTTCCATTCCCATCAACATGCTTCTGCTTTCTCTATGCATCATTCAAACAAAGTAGGAAGGAGTTCACATGCACATTTTTCTATACAGGTAATGTTTTCATCAATTCAACCTAGATTAGCCACATTTACAAACAAGAAGCAAGTTCTCTGCTACATAAAAACATTTAATAATAATATAGATCATGTTTCTATGTACCCAAAGTATGTATATGTGTTTAACATAAGAAGTTGCTATTTTATTCATTAATTTTGTTTGGTTACAAATGTGTAAGGACAAAAGTTGTGAGTGTAATTTGAATTTTCTATATTAACATCTATATACACACTTTAAATGAGCGATGCATACAATTTGTGTAATTATTTTCTTTTATTTATTTGAAATGTAATTTTATGTCTGTTGAATTTAACATTAAGAAATCGGGAGTGGTATTGCCTACGTCTTTTTATTTAATTTTCAAGTAATTAATTCTTAAGTATGACCCCAGTATTGGTCTGTGATTGATTAAATTAAAAAAGATAAAACTAGTCCTTGACTATACATATGAGAAGCTGCTCCACAAAACACATAACTCAGTTTCTCCAAAAAAAAATAGCAAAGAAAAACAAAAAGAGATTCTGTTTTGGTAGAGAAAGCCTATAAATGGAAAAGGACTTAAAACATAACAAATTGAAATACATGGTGCTTATCTGGAACCTGATTTAAACCAAAAATACTAAAATAAAATTATGAGACAATGAAGGAAATGAGAACACTAGCTATTTGATGACGTTAAAGAACTTTTCTTAAGCTGTTAAGTGTGATAAAGTTATTATAAATATATTTTAGAAAGTCCTTATACTTTAGAGATATATGCCAAAATTTACATGAAATGATATACTGTCTGAGATTGGCGTCAAAATAATCACTGGGAGGGGGGAAGAGAAATAACAAGTGCTGGCGAAGGAAAATTGACCATGAGTACTCATTGTTGAAAGCTGAATGATGGATACGTAAAGATTTATTATACTGTTCTGTATGTTTGAAGTTTTTCTCCATAAAAAGTTTACAGAAATTAGGTGTATACCAGTTGGCCGGAAGAGATTCCAGTTGGTACTGCAGTGGGTGATGAGCAAACAGGAGGAATGTGCAGGCAACACACACCCACCAGGCCTTCCGGAATGGTGCCTACTAGAGACTCTTGCGGAGAGACAGAATAGCAGGAGGGAGGCAGGAGCACTCTGGGACAGCACCCAGGACTCTGAGAGAGGAGGCCCTGCCCTTGGGCCTTAGAGACGTGAAACTGAGTGAAGGTTGACGTTTCCTCATCCCTAGAAAAGCACAAAGGGACCCTGGGCTTCAGCCACGTCCTTCCATTTCAGCAGCTGTGTTAGGAAAGTAACTACCCAACCCTTGATATTTTTAAAAAATCAAATATAAAAATAAATTTTAAAAAGATGAATTGACTAACCTTTTCTCATTATAGAAAAGGGAGAGACACTTTGCCATGGGTAGTAAAGTATGATTAAGTGTAAAGCATTAGAGACAGAGAGGCCTGAATTTGGGTCTGCCACTGTGTTAAATTGAGCAAGTTATTTTTACCTTTTACCTCTTTTCCTGATTTGTGAACTGTATATAGTTGGGAGAATTGTTGTGAGGATAAGATGACATGATGTGTGTAAAGTCTTTAGCACATATTAAATGCTCAGAAGAAAATAGCCAGTAAATGGTACTTGATATGCTGTTATCATTAGCAATTATAGGAGCATGAGTTCATTTAAAAAAGCGGAACTGGCATTGACTGGATGGAATAAGTGCTATTGTTAGGAACAATATTAATATCATATATTCAATTGAAAAATATTGCTCTGTGGTCAGCGCCGTGTGTAAAACAACACACTTCGTTTCCCTCACACTTCCCTGACTCATCTCTGGCTTAGCATGTGTGAGTGAGATGACACTCACCGCACCTCCACCAGAGAAGAGAAGACCTTTTCTCCACAACGTTTATCAGAGCAAGACTAGATGGGATAAAGTGATCTGGTCTTCTGGGAAAGTGAACGGAATATATTTCATAAATAAATAGCAACTTTTGGTTTTCTTATTAAAATCAAAATATTCATTTTTGAAGTTTGATGAAATATCCAAGTATACCCCTTAACATATTCTTACACATCCAAAGAAAAAGTGAAAAGAGCGATCCCCTAAATCTTTCGATCACTTAATTTCACAGACTGGAATGTTTCTCAACACTTTGATTTTGAAGTGAGCAATCACTAATGGGCTGGATCAGAGGGACAAGAAACAGTTCAATCATCTCTAGGGATTGTCATAATAATAATAACTAGATGTTCATCATTGTAGAAGGACATCCTCTTTCCAATAGAATGATCTCTGCATTTTTCATATGACTATTTTATAATTGTTTTCATGCTAGACTGTTATAGTTTATTATATAATGATAATAATAATATAACCAGAAATTGAAAGGAAAGAGGGAAATACACATATACACGTACGAGACTGTGAACAGCTTTATTGCCCGATTATTTTTGCCACCTCCAAAACCTTAATAATCTTTTAGACGCAATGCTTGTCTCTAGAAAATGTTCTTAAGCATTTGACAGATGCTAATGCATTTTTTGCTAACAAGAGCAGATAATAAAATGAAATAATAAGTAGCCAGTTAATTTACCAAAAAAAAAACCTCAGAAATATTAATTCCTAGAAGGTGTTGGGAGTCGCAAAATTTCATGTACATCAAACAGACTCACTTTCTCTTAGTACAAACCTTTCCAGTCGGCTGGAATTACATATGTGAATATTATTCACACATAATATGTGAATAATACATTTCTGCTCCCTTGGCCTGACCTAGTGGAAAATCTTTAACCATTGAGCTTCTTTATGCAGGGACATTTCTACCTGAGCACTCTGGGTAGGATACACTTCTTTTCTCCACACCTGACCCCCTTGTGGTCACAGGGAGGTACGTATGGAAATGGTGCTGGCAGCAGGTAGACACCTTCCCCACATACCCTATCTTCTCTCTTCTTCCCCCCCTACTCCAGGCATCGTGGGGTGGGCGGATAAAGAGCAACCCAGGTGGATGGAGAGTGAAGCTAGGCTGGCTGGGGGGGTATCCCCGTGGGATTTCCTGACTCATGATAAAACAGTGGCACACAGAGGAACACACCCAGCCCTGCAAATATATCACAGTACCTTTGTTTTAGTCCAACTTTGGATGGAGTCTTCGGCTCTCAACTTTATGCCAGTGTTGTAAATTTAATTTACAACCTCAGAAAATGAAAATTCAATCATTACATGTGAAACCTCACTTGACTAAACTATCCTAGTCTATTTAACTTAATGGGCAACATATTTTCATGAGAAACAGCAGACAATCTATTAAAGTGACCTTAGAGATTTAAAGGGCATTAAAGGGCATTAAAATAGCAATGCTGCATCTGATTTTTTTTATTTTTTTATTTTTTTTTTATTTTTTTTTGAGACAGAGTCTCACTCTGTCACCCAGGCTGGAGTGCAGTGGCGCGATCTCGGCTCACTGCAAGCTCCGCCTCCCAGGTTCACGCCATTCTCCTGCCTCAGCCTCCTGAGTAGCTGGGACTACAGGCGCCCGCCACCACGCCTGGCTAATTTTTTGTTTTTTAGTAGAGACGGGGTTTCACCATGTTAGCCAGGATGGTCTTGATCTCCAGACCTCGTGATCCACCTGCCTTGGCCTCCCAAAGTGCTGGGATTACAGGTGTGAGCCACTGCGCCTGGCCTGCATCTGATTTTTTTTAACTTTCCAATTGGAATTTGTTTTTCACTGGAAAGGGAAGAAATTCTCTTTTCTTTTATTTCTTCTTTCTTTCTTTTTTTATTTTTCTTGTATTTTTATTATTTGTTTCTATAAAACAAATAGCTTTTTAGCATGCAGGACTCAAAATTTATGAAAACTTAAAAGACCTACCAACAGTCTGGTCTACTACTGATAAGTGGAAAGGAACAAGGAGACCCAGCACGCTCGGAGTCACATTCCGGCCTACCACCTTCAGATACAGGCTGTTATGGTCCTCTCTGTATCTGAATTTGTTTTCTTTTTTTTTTTTAATGTATTTATTTGTTTTATTTTAGATTCAAGGGATACACAGGTAGGTTTGTTACATGGATATATTGCATGATGCTGAGGTTTGGGCTTCTATTAAACTCATCATCCAAATTGTGAACATAGTCCCCAATAGGTGGTTTTTCAATCCCCACCTCCCTTTCTTCCCCCTTTTGAAGATCCCAGTGTCTATTGTTCCCATCTTTATGTCCATGTGTACCCGATGCTTAGCTCCCACTTGCAAGTGAGAACATGCAATATTTGGTTCTCTGTGTCCATGTTAACTCACTTAGGGTAGTGGCCTCCAGTTGCATCCATGTTGCTGCAAAGGACATGATATCATTCTTTTTTATGGCTGCAGAGTATTCCGTCGTGTATATGTACCATCTTTTCTTTATCCAGTCCACCACTGATGGACACCCAGGTTGGTTCCATGTGTTTGCTATTGTGATTAGTGTTGTGTTGGTATCTGAATTTCTAACACAAGCACAGAGCAGTTTGTGCAAGTCAGTGAACAGCATTTCTCTTTTGGATCCTCCAGCCATCATCCAAAGTCACAGTGCAACTCTGGACAAAGGCACAACATCTCTGAGCTGTTGTTTCCTCATCTGTGAAACAGGGGAAAGAGTCTCTACATGAGGCATTATAGGGAGGATTAAACAAAACACCATAATAAAAAGCATGCAGCACAGTTCCTGGCATTCTGCAGAAACTCCATACATAGTTATTAATGACTCCTCCTTGTCTTAAATAGGAGGGATGAGAACAAACACCTTGCTTTGTCCCAGTCTTAACCATGATGTCATTTGCAGATTTTCCTTAGTTAGCTAGATTCTTCTTTGACAATGTGGGAGCTAACATCTCACTATCTTATAAGATTGTTGTAAGATCCAAACAAAACAATGTGTGAGAGAACTTTATAAGCTATAGATTATTCTATGTCAGCTGTTGGCATTCATTGAATCACAAAAAAACTAAGGAACAAAACAAAAAAGAAAAGTACAGCACAGTCTGTGAAAAAGGATTGCCAAAATGACACATTTCAAAGATACACATTGAGAACACAGTTATTGTTTTTACTAATTAATAAAGTGGACATATTTCCTCCATTTGTGATGATACTATCCTTTTCAAAATTGATGATCCATTCAAAGCCAAACGCTTTTACATAAACTTAATATATTTTTGTTTATCAAAGACTGTTGTCATTCTTAAAAGTTACTTTTTATCAATCCTCCTCTACAGGATAAACTTTCAGGCAAGCTCAGAGTTCATTGGTTTTGGGATATCCCTTACCCTTTCTCTTTATCAGACAGTTGATGATACATTAGCCTCTGAGTGTGGTCTGCTCAGAAAGAAAGGGTGCCATAGTCCTGGACCTGGACTTTAAAACTAGGAGTGCTCTCTCTCTCTTTATGTCTCTTTCTTAAGGCTGCATTTATATCTCATCAGAGCAACATTCAAACCTGCCCACACGTAGGAATTTGGTGTTTTCTACTCTCTTACCGCCCTGGCGAAATTTTAATTTCAAATCTATGTATTTTTTCCCTTCTTATATAGTTGGAAAGAAAAAGCTCTTCTTCCCTTAGAAGAAGGGGAGAAAATCTCTTTGATGTTCAAATTTTCATTTGTGATTCAGAAACCTCCCTGCCCACAACAGTAATTGTAAACTCAAAGAGAAACTTGTTTGATAGGGTTTTGTGTGTGCGTGCGCGTGCGTGTGTGTGTGTGTGTGTGTGTGTGTGTGTGTGGAGAGAGAAACCTTTTTTAAATGATCAAACACGGATATAAAACCACTATAATTAGCTGGTTCAACACCGCACCATCCAAGTGGTGCTTGCTTTGAATTTTCAACCATCATAAGGCCGTGTCTTCATGGCTTTATACAATTACCCATTTTCACTAAAATAGGCTGCCTTGATCATTATTTCTGTGTAATCCATAAAATTAGTTGTGCCATTACTATGGTTGTTAACAATAAAGCATGCTAATTGGTGGTTGCAATCCAGAAATTTGTAGCTGGCTTAAACCAGGCACAAAAGGATGGAAGAGCCACAGTCCTGATGCAACCAGGACAAAGTGTGATGAGGCAGTAAAGGGAGGTGAGTGGAGCTTATGTCTTAACAGGAACAGATACTTCTGCTGTACTTGCCAAGGGAGCTGTGTCCTGCCTGGGACGGAGCCAGGTTCAATCTGTCCAAAAGCCCTCCTACTGCCATGGCGGAGCCCCAGAAGCAAGCCCAGATTTGCACTAGAGGTGACAACACAGGAGACTGAAAGAGGTTCAGTGGACACATCAGATAGGCTGATGAAAGCTGGAGTTCTGAATGGAACCAGGACAGACCTGGAGCCCCACCAGGAACTGGAACTCAAGAGGGACTCACAGTTGATAACAGAACCAGCCTCCAGTGCATTAGCACGTGGGGGCCCCATACTGGCCAGCTCCACATTTGTTGAGTGGGATTTAGTCTATTTTCTGGAGTAATAATTAGAAAGCCCCAAATTGCTTTCAGGTGTTGACCAAAATAAGCATTTGGGCCATCTGTCAACTGAGTCAGCGTTTTACAAAGCAAAACCCCCTTTAGAAGGGTTTCCAAACTCAGGCCGAGTCCTCTTGGGAGGTTTCCTAAGTTTCACAGGCATTCACACTAAAAGTTTCCTCCACATTCCGAACGGTAGCAACCGTGGTGTCATCTGGGCCTATTTCATCCTCAGCGAAGAGTCAGATAGGAAATTATGGGAAATCATCTTTCTCTTAAGTGCCTCAAAAAACGACTGTGCAGGGGATCTGCAGTGGGCTGAATGTTTGCGCCCACCCCCAAATTCATATGCTGAAATCCTAACCCCCAAGGTGATGGTACTAGAAGGTGGGGCCATTGAGTGGGGATTAGACCACAACAGTAGAGCCATCGTGATGGGTTAGTGCCCTTACAAAAGGGACACCAGAGAGCTCTCTCATTTTGCCATCATGTGAGGATACCAGAAGAAGACAGCAATCTGCATCCTGGAAGACAGGGAGCCCTCCCCAGAACCTGACCATGCCAGCAGCACCCTGATCTCAGACTTCCAGCTTCCAGAACTGAGAGAAATAAATGTTTGTTGTTTGTAAGCCGCCCAGTCTGTGACACTCTGTTTTTGTCAGCCTGACTCAGATGAGACGTAGGCAGTTCTAGAGTGGAGACAAGGCACCACCTCCAGGAGCAGCACAGCACACTGCCAAGGCAAGCTCTGGAATGGCCCCACGGCCAATGGATATGGCTGCCTCTGCAGCCTCCCAGATGGTGGCAAGAAGAAGACAGGCAGGCTGAGGTCGCTACAATTAGGTGGAGGCAAGGGAGGTCGAACAGGAACCCACGTGAGCCCATGAATGGCTCTACGGCAGCCAGGAGGACAGTTTGTAGGGAAGCGCCATCGGGTTCTATCCAGCTGTAAACCCCCATCAACCTGGAATGAGCCAGAAGAGACTTAGCAAAACTGAGTGGAGCTGGGAGATAGATAAATATATCGGGGGATAGAATCAGAATCCAAATGTGAGTGTCCATAGAGATTGTCATAATCGCACACAATGAGTCTAAAATGTGGATGAACATACAGCTCTTCA
This sequence comes from Homo sapiens, assembly GCF_000001405.40. Lineage (NCBI taxonomy): Eukaryota > Metazoa > Chordata > Mammalia > Primates > Hominidae > Homo > Homo sapiens. Next base: position 98,277,499 of record NC_000015.10, read on the forward strand.
CTTGCATGTAGAAGTCAGGGCTCAATCCTAGGAAGGGAATTGGAGGAGGAATGTGATTTCTTACAAAGAGGATGCATCAAAAAGACTCGGGTTCTGAAGTGAACAGAAAACCTCATCATGCCATTTCCTACTTAAAAGGGCTTGGCAACAGTGCAAGGCAGAACCCTGGCCACGATTCACAGGCCCTCTCAAGACCAGGCCGGCTCCAGCATCTGGCCTCCTCCTAACCTCCTCTGGCCTTGCTCTCTCATCCAGTCCCTCCTATCCAGGACATCCAGTCATTCACTGGCACACCACGCCCTTCCTCGCCTTCGGGTTTTGGGTGTGCTGTTCCCTCTCTAGGTGCACTTGCCACACCCCCTTCCCACTCCTGCTCTACCTGGTGAGCAACTGTGCAGCCTATAGGGCTCGACTTCAATGCTTCTTCCTCAGGGGGCTTCTCCCCACAACAGAACTAGATATGAGCCCATAGCCTATGTATTAATATAATCCCATCAATGTCTGGCCTCACCTTTCCTAACACAGTGATTCCTCCATCCAAGTGGATCTTCCTCATCACACTGTGAACTCTCTGCAGGTAAGGGCCACATCTGTCTTGCCCACCGTGCTATCCCTCGTGCCCAGCACATCATAGGACCCGATTAATAGTGACTAGAAATCAACACTGATGGTTAGTGTGATGTAGCTGCCAAAGAAATCAAAATGGTCTTGAGATGCATTAATAAAGCTAATTAACCTAAAGAGCTTCTGCACAGCAAAAGAAACCACCATCAGAGTGAACAGGCAACCTACAGAAAGGGAGAAAATTTTTGCAATCTACTCATCTGACAAAGGAATCTACAATGAACTCAAACAAATTTACAAGAAAAAAACAAACAACCCCATCAAAAAGTGGGCAAAGGATATGAACAGACTCTTCTCAGAAGAAGACATTTATGTAGCCAAAAGACACATGAAAAAATGCTCATCATCACTGGCCATCAGAGAAATACAAATCAAAACCACAATGATACTGTCTCACACCAGTTAGAATGGCGATCATTAAAAAGTCAGGAAACAACAGGTGCTGGAGAGGATGTGGAGAAATAGGAACACTTTTATACTGTTGGTGGGACTGTAAACTTGTTCAACCATTGTGGAAGTCAGTGTGGCGATTCCTCAGGGATCTAGAACTAGAAATACCATTTGACCCAGCCATCCCATTACTGGGTATATACCCAAAGGATTATAAATCATGCTGCTATAAAGACACATGCACATGTATGTTTATTGCAGCTCTATTCACGATAGCAAAGACTTGGAACCAACCCAAATGTCCAACAATGATAAACTGGATTAAGCAAATGTGGCACATATACACCATGGAATACTATGCAGCCATAAAAAATGATGAGTTCGTGTCCTTTGTAGGGACATGGATGAAGCTGGAAACCGTCATTCTCAGCAAACTATCGAAAGGACAAAAAACCAAACACCGCGTGTTCTCACCCATAGGTGGGAATTGAACAATGAGAACACATGGACACAGGAAGGGGAACATCACACACCGGGTCCTGTTGTGGGGTGGGGGTGGGGGGAGGGATAGCATTAGGAGATACACCTAATGTTAAATGACGAGTTAATGGGTACGGCACACCAGCATGGCACATGTATACATATGTAACTAACCTGCACATTGTGCACATGTACCCTAAAACTTAAAGTATAATAAAAAAAAGAAGAAAAAAAAATAGAGGCATATATTCTATGACAAAAGAGGTGACAGACATTTCCTTTGTGTGCCAGTCAGATCACACAGCAGGGCTCATGTTGAGTGCTACACCAAGATGATGGCTAAGGTAGGAAAGAACGCAAACCATGCCCCCAGTTCCCAGGAACCCAGTTAAAGGAACTGAGCACATTTAGGCTGGAAACAAGACAGGGAAAGTATGACTGTGGATGCAAGTATCTGCAGAGCTCTTCTGTGACAAGGGAGATGTCTGATCTGCAGAGAGAAGGTGGTAGCATGACACCTGCTCAGGTCCCCTGTCACTGAAAATGTTCAACCTGACTTTTTCCAGCCATTTGACAAGGGTCCCAGTGCTGGTTGGACTGTAAGACCTTTTCTTTCTCTTCCCTCCTGGAGGGTCCAAGCATCTCCAAGCTGTTGCTCTCGGCCTCCTTGGCTGGAGGAGAATATGGGACCTAGTTTCTCTGCAACATTCTCTGAGCTTATGCACCTGGTAGGCAATGACTGGGGGGCTTATAGTCTACTAAGCTAAAATAGCAACTGGCCACTCAAAATCATTCTCACGCTTAAAGGAACATTTCTTAAAATGGCCCATTTGTATCTGGCTTCTGGGAATTGATATCTCCGAAAGAAAATGAACAATTGAAATCCAAAGTACTAATGAAAAAATGCATCCATGCACACGGCATGATGTTGCAGGAAAATGGCTCTATCTCTGTTACCTTTCGGCCTATGAGGGTTTGGACTCATGGCATTATCCTCAGGACCCTGTTCAGGCACAGCTTCCAGGGCTTAGAAGTCAGAGGACTGAAGGCAGAAGCCGAAGAACACTCCCGTTTTCAAATCCCCTGAAATCTCTCTGCAGCTTCTCTCGCCACTTTTGCATAAAAGGTTGGGAGTGCTAAAAATCACATTTGAATTTTAGAATCTCATTCCCTACCAGAAACCCAGGCTATTTCTCTCCCCGAAACATCAGCCTGTATTGAAAGCCTGGCAATTTGCTGGCCAGACTCCCTATTAGCTTTGCCTTAAAGCCTGCATGCGAGGCCACCCTTCCTAAAAGTCCACACACCTGACCCTGGATATTTTCTTGCTGTCTCCTCTCTCCCTGAAGTGTTAAAAGGGTACACTCTGCTCTAAGATCCATTTCTCTCTCCCCGCAACAAGTACTTTCCTCCCCATTTGTAACAGCCCCTAATATGCACCTCCATTCGATTTTCCTTACCCAGCTTGAAATCCTCTCATTCTAATTACCGTTTCAGTTTTCTTATATTTCTCCCTCGAGATGTCTCAATTAGTGTACTTTTTCATGCCGCCTGTCACCTCTGAGCTGCAAGGTAGGTCTAACTCCAACCGAAACCACACAGAAAATAAATGAGGAGCCGTCCTGGGAGGCCGGGCCGAAGGTGGGGTTACTTTACAAACTAGCGCACCTTTAATTGATGATAAATGGACAGGAAAGTAGCCTTATTAATACAGCAGCCCTGATTTGGTTGGCATGCAGTGTCCTTTCATTACTCAAAGGTACAGAGGAAGCAGGCCACGTTCAGTCCTGGGTGAGGAACTTCCATTCAGAGAGAGAGAGAGAGAGACAGAGAGAGACTGCACCACGGCTAATTAACATAGTTCTGGTCAAAGTCGGAAATTAACTCGCCTCTTTAAGACCACAGCTAAAAATGCCGTTTGTCTTCTCTGTAATTACACTTATAGGTAATTATACCCATAGACTACAGCAAGTTAAATGAAGGTAGGGCTTTCTCTCCCTATCACATAACTCTTTTCATTCCAACCCTGTCAAAAGAGTAAACAAAAATAAAGGTGTCTGCCACCGAATATTTTTTCATTAATGAGTGCTTTGTTGTCTTAAGGCTTCTCTGGAAAGCTGCAATTGTGTGGTGTTTATTCCTTTGTTCCCCTGGGAATCCAGAGTCCTTACCTGAAACTCTCAGAATTTACAAACACACAGAAGGCAAGTTGGACTTTAAAAAGCACTTTCCAACCACCAACATCAGCTTTGGTCTATCAAGGAAGGTGTAAGGACCGGGAAAATCACCTTCCCCTTTTCACCTTGGCCCTTCAGTCTGCAGATCTATCACATCCTGTCTAATGCAAATCAGCCCACACTTCCTTCCCATCACCTTAACTCTTATTTGACTAGTATCTTTCTAAGGACCTTTTGGGGGCCAAATAACTAAGAACGTGCACACAGGGAAGTGACCTTTAACCCCATGCTGGCTGGCAATAAATATGCGTCCCTTCTATCCCAGACACAAGCATGGGAGCCAGGGATGTGGCTAGCCAGTTCCCACTCTCCCCATGCCACTGCGCAGAGGACAGGAGAGCTCCATTAGAATTCAACTGTTGAGTCAGGAGTTCGAGACCAGCCTGACCAATATGGTGAAACCCCGTCTCTACTAAAAATACAAAAAAATTATCCAAATGTGGTGGCACGTGCCTGGTAATCCCAGCTACTTGGGAGGCTGGGGCAGGAGAATCACTAGAACCCAGGAAGCAGAGGTTCAGTGCAGAGAGGGTCTGTGCTTTCTCAATGATGATGCAATTTCTGTGACCCTGGAGATGCATCACATTCCCCACTAGTGGAACCTTCTGAGTGTTGCTAGTATGGTTTGTCTGTGTCTCCACCCAACTCTCATCTTGCATTGTAGCTCCCACAATTCTCACGTTTTGTGGGAAGGACCCAGTGGGAGGTAATTGAATCACAGGGTCAAGTCTTTCCCATGCTGCTCTTGGGATAGTGAGTAAGTCTCATAAGATATGATGGGTTTATAAAGGGCAGTTCCCCTGCACAAGCTCTCTCTGTTGTCTGCCCCCACGTAAGACATGCCTTTCACCTTCCACCGTGATTGTGAGGCCTCCACAGCCACATGGAACTGTGAGTCCACTAAACCTCTTTTTCTTTATAAATTACTCAGTCTCGGATATGTCTTTATCAGCAGCAAAAAAATGGACTCGTACAGTTGGCTTAGTGAGAAAGGCAGCCTGAGTCTGGGAGTGCTCAGCGGGTCCCACCTTCAGGGAGGCACTCCAAGGAGTTATCAAGGGGCTGCTCAATGCCAGGGGAGACCCCCCCGTTCCCCCAGATGACCAGCGCAGAAAATGGAGAAGCAGGAGGCATAGCCCTTCCCTATAACCTTCCCTGTGCCCTGGGTACCTTGGCCCGGGTGCCTCAGCCATGAAGGTGGGCTTCACTGCCTGCAATGCTGGGACTGCGGTCTGGGGTGGGAAAGGAGAATCATCCAGGCCTGGAATGCTCAGGTCATAGAACTGGCTCATCCTAGCCACTTAGGTCTTCATTCAAATGTCACCCTCTTCCAGTCCTCACCTTCCTGTCACATGACCCTGTCCTGTTCTGTATGGCACTCGTTTTGCTCTAATATTATCTCAGTTATTTGTCTCTGTTATTCCTCACTCTTTCCAATGCTTAGCACACAGTAGGGGCTCACATGTTTATCTACCACTGTCCTCTGAAAATTACATGCTCTCTAGCCACAAGGCCTCCACCCCTGTGGCTTTCTCTGTCTGGCCTGCTGTTATTTCCCATGCCCACTCAAGAGACTTCTATTCATCCTTGAAAACCCAGATCAAACTTTACTCCCCAGGGACACTCCATTCAAGCAGGAATCTTACTCTCCCCTCTACAATCTCCTATCCCTTTATCTACATCTGACTTGTAACCCTTCAAACAGGGTATGGAAACTTTTCATTTTAGAACTATCCTTAAATAGATGATAAACCTTTTGTCAGGCCAGTGTGTCTTATCTGGTGTCCCCCGAGACAGCAGCAACCACAACGCAAGTGCTCTGTAAATGTTTGTGGAAGCTGTTAATGGATGACAAAGACTAGGAAGTTATCTCTTCCTGAATGCAGGGTGCTAGGGACATTATTATTTTCCACATCTCATTAATAAGGAACGGTGACGTGGGGATGTGGTTACCGTCTGGAGTCCTGCAATGTTTAAACTAACAATCATTGCCTTAGAAAGCTCACTCTTCTTAAAGGGTTCTCTGTGCCCAACCTATGGTTTCATTTACATAGTGCAGATCTTTTCTTTGTGGGTGATACAAAGGGACACTTCAACCTCAGCCTGGTGGAATTTTCAGATTCCAAATTAAGGAAGTGTTAAAATGCAAAAGATCCATTACATCCTTCCTGAAGACATTCTTTCGCATCCAATATACTTCCTGAGGAAGTTACCAACATCTCATTACTTGCAGGACTCAAGAAGTCTAGTAGAAAGAGTGTGGGACTTGAAACAAGGCAGATTTGTGTTTAAAGGTCCTACCCAGGTGACTTCAGGCAAGTCACTTAACCTCTCTGAGCCTCAGTTTGTCATCTGTACAATGGAGATGATAATACCCACATCAAAGTTTCATTGTGAAGACTGAATACTACATGCTCTAATCTATGAAGTATCTAACACAGAGTCAGAAGCCTGGGTGATCAGTAAAAGTCAGTTCTTTTCGCTTCCCTTCCTATGTTGTCCTTGTTTTTCTTCCCGAAAAGAGAGAATGTCTAGAGCAGGGTTTTCCAGCCCCAGCACTGTTGACATTTTGAGCCTGATCATTCCTTGTTGTGGGGGGCTGTTGTGGGGGGCTGTTCTGCAGATTTTAGGATGTTTAGCAGTATCCCTGGCCTCTACGCACTAGAAGTCACCAGCACCCACCTCCCCAGTGATGCCAATCCCAAAAATGTCACCAGACATTGTCAATTGCCCTTGGAGACAAAATTGCACCCAGTAGAGAATCAGTGGCCTAGGGTTCTATAACTGGAATGTCACCTAGTAAGGAAAGTTGCTTGCTTTTCCTGCAGGACCTGTTCTGAATGGTGCTGAAGCCCCATGTGACAGAGTCCATGCCCATCAGGAGGCTGACCTTCAGGACAAGAGAGGATGCATTCTTAACCACAGCTGTCAATGGCAGCCTGATTCTTTCACGCTGAAAACCGGATCACTGCATCTTATAGCAATCGACATTCCCAGCACATGACCATTCAGTCAACAACTTTTAACTGAGCATCTACTAGGTACCAGGCCTCTGTGCTAGGCGCTGGGGGGCACAACAGTGAGTAAATACCTGCCCACATAGAGTGTATTCTCTAGTGGAGGCCACGAACAATACCCAATGGATAGAAAATTTCAAGAAGACGGAAGTGATATGAAGACCACTAGAGAAGGGGTAGGGAGACTTTAGATAGTGAGAGACAGTCACTTCTATAGGACCACACCTGACTTCTCCCTGCTGTAAGTCAGGACAGTGGCAGAGATGTGCACCCCTAGAGATGGATGCATTTTGCTAATGACAGAAGATCCCCCTACTCACAGCCAGTAATGTCATCTGAGACACAGCCAGGAAGGCCCTGCATAGCAATAAAAGTCTTCATTGCTCCCGTCCCTACCCTGCAACATGTTAGTGGCACCAAGATGTCAAATGTCTTAGAAAAAAATAACTTAAAAAACACTAGAGTCCATGAACATTGACCTATCCTAGTTCATTTACTATAAAGAACGTCATTAGTCATAGCAATGCTGTTTTGTTTTGTTTTGTTGTTTTGTGTGTGTGTGTGTGTTTTTGTTTGTTTGTTTGTTTGTTTGGTTTGGTTTGTTTGTTTGAGACGGAGTCTCACTCTGTCACCCAGGCTGGAGTGCAGTGGCACGATCTCCGCTTACTGCAAGCTCCGCCTCCCGGGTTCACACCATTCTCCTGCCTCAGCCTCCTGAGTAGCTGGGACTAGAGGCGCCCGCCACCACGCCCGGCTAATTTTTTGTATTTTTAGTAGAGACAGGGTTTCACTGGGTTAGCCACGATGGTCTCCATCTCCTGACCTCGTGATCCGCCCGCCTCGGCCTCCCAAGTGCTGGGATTACAGGCGTGAGCCACCCCGCCTGGCCAGTTTTGTTTTAAAGAAGTAGAATTAATGGTTGGGCTGCTTTTGGGCTATAGAACAAATGTACTATACCTTTATTATTAAAAATGTCTACAAGAAGCATTATTTCTTATAATCAAAAAGTCTCATAAACTTTCCTTAAAGTAGGGGTACCACCATGCCCAGTTTGATCTTGATTTAATAATCAGGGTTTCTCACTGATGGAGAAGGTTGTCACAGGAGGGAGCTGATTTCAGACAGAGATTTGTAATATTCAAGCATACAACACAGCCATGGAACTTTTAAAGCTTGAGTTATTGCGTCCAATCCCGTGGAGCAGGTAGTATGAAACGGTTGGCACTTTAAAAAGTCTTTTTTGATGTGAAAGACTCCACCGTCTCCTTTTGAAACAAATACAATTACAACTTATGGTGTAAATGCTTAATTTGAGAATGAATGACCCTAGAGCCAAGCAGCTCTCACAGACAGTCCATTGCGCAGGTACACGGCTGCAGGACCCTGCAAAGGAGACAATCCCACATATCAGCTCTCCTCGGTCCAGGATCCCAACAGGGAAAAGGCCTCCCTTAACATCTCTAAGCTGAGAGCATTCTTACGTGTTTTTCTTATGAAATAGTGTGGCTCCAAGCGAACAGTAGCCACTGCACTCAGAACAATTGTCACTTAATGTCCTTCCACTCAACTGCAGGGTAGCATCCTCTTTCTCAACACAGTCTAATGGCCAAAAAAGCACTCCGCAATATAGAAGGCAGAAGAGGCCGGGGACGGTGGCTCACGCCTGTAATCCCAGCATTTTGGGCGGCCGAGGCAGGCAGATCCCGAGGTCAGGAGATGGAGACCATCCTGGCTAACAGAGTGAAACCTGTCTCAACTAAAAAAATACAAAAAAATTAGCCGGGCGTGGTGGTGGGAGCCTGTAGTCCCAGCTACTCAGGAGGCTGAGGCAGGAGAATGGAGTGAAACCGGGAGGTGGAGCTTGCAGTGAGCGAAGATCGTGCCACTGCAGTCCAACCTGGGCGACAGAGCGAGACTCCAAAAAAAAGAAGAAGAAGAAGAAGGCAGAAGAAGGAGAACAAAATATCTGAAACATCTGCAACATTTAACTTCTCCTGCTTTTCTGTGCAAGACCAAGGCACTGCGGCTATGTCCTGGGACTGCTGGGCTCCTGATATCAAACGTTAAGTGGTGGCAGGTCCAGGGACATCCAGGCTGGTGGTGGCCAGGGGTCTTCTACTCCTCCCCCCACCAAACATAGCCTCCAAGAACACTGTTAAGCTCACAGAGCCACGTGTTGGCAGCCTCCCACCTCTTCTCCTCTGCCCCCAGCCTCTGCCAAAGCCACTGCTCCTCTGGACCTGAGTGGGAACCTATGGGTCCTTTGGGGCCATCGGAATTCAGAGGCTCAGAATCTCATTCTCTGATGCCTGTACAGCTTCCCAGCTTCTAGTCTGCGTGGGACTGTTAAGAGCACAATTATTTTAAGAAATGTTATCCCGATGTACTTCACAGGAAAATATCGGTAAAATTATGTTAAGCTTTGCAAATGCTGCTGGCAGAGAGAAAGAAAACTCAATTCTTTTTGTTATTGCTTCCCATTTACCTCTTTCCCCACCCTGTTTTTAACTTGTGGCCAAAAAGAAACTAAAATGAGCCCACTTTTTAAGGTTGCTCAGTTGTGATGTAAATTTCTTGCCGTTCGTTGCTTTTTAAAATTTTTTTGCCTGATTTGGTCATTCCTTTAGCTTGATATATAGTAATACATTTTTGCTTACGACTTCTAGCTTACTTTTTGTTTTTCAAAGAAGATTCTCCCAGGAGTTTTCTCAGTCACTCTGCATCTGGCAGAGATCAACTGTCCCTCTGAGTCCTGCCCAAAGCATTTCGCTCCTGGAGCCACATCCTGTTCTGCCTCATATACCAGCGAGTCATGTCCCAGTCTGTCTCCCCACTAAACTGGGAGAGCTTTGAGGCTGTCCCAGTTCCCTCTGGATTCTCAGTGCACAGGGCAAGGCCTGATATGTAGAAAGGTCTCAAAAGCAGCCAAATGAACAACTGATCTGATATGGTTTGGCTGTGTCCCCACCCAAATCTCATCTTGAATTGTAGCTCCCATAATTTCTACAAATTGTGGGAGGGAACAGGTGGGAGATCATTGAATCACAGGGGTGGTTTTTCCCATATTGGTCTCATGGTAGTGAATAAGTCTTGCAAGATCTGATGATTCTATAAGGGGTTTCTCCTTTTGCTTGGCTCTCATCCTCTCTTGCCTGCTGCCATGTAAGACGTGCTTTTGCCTTCCACCATGATTTTGAGGCCTCCTCAGCCACATGGAACTGTGAGTCCATTAAACCTCTTTTTCTTTGTAAATTATCCAGTCTTGAGTAGGTCTTTATCAGCAGCATGAAAACTGACTAATACATGATCAAACAAGGGAGCCCTTGAATTTCTTATTTCAAATAATTGACAATGCAGTGGAAGCCATTTTGCTCAAAATAGCAATATCAACAAAAGTCTCCTTCTTAATTAAAAGAAGCAAAGTGAGATTGTTGCCACCAGATGAAACAGGGTGAGGGGCTGCCCAATGGGAATAATTCTAAACACTTGTCTCAACCTGGAAGTTGCTGCAACCAGAGGGTTTCCTCCTTTCCACGGGGCCCTCTGAGTCCATCACCTGAATCCAGAGGTACAAGCGGAAGCTCCAGTTCCTGCTGTCTAAATGTTGGGCCACACAGACTCGGTAGGAATCAGGACCCAAGTACCAAAGCCTACACCTAACCCTAGCCTGAACTGCTAAACCTGTCTCCTAAAAGCCTCAAGGTTCAGTGAGAAAAATAAGATCTTGGAGTGAAGCAGATGCAGGTTCAAATTCTAAGTCAACCACTTACTGGAAGTGTGGTCCCGTACAAGTTACTAACTTCTTGGTGCTTCAGCTTCCTCATCCGTAGTATGGGTAATAATGCAGGACCTACCTTTTAAGATGTTCCCAAGGATTGAATATACTGTCACTCTTGCCTGGCATAATGTCCACTTCCATCCCTGGAGAAGGTAGCTGGGGCGAATTTTAAAGGCTGAGTATGAGGAAGGCAGACCAGAGGGAGAGGTTTGCTTCAGCAGCCCTGCCAAGGCTTCCAGAGCAGCTGCTTCCACACTAGTTCTGGGATGCAGGTGAGCACAGGGGCCCTCCCTCCCGGGACCTGGCTCAGGGAAAACACTTGGTAGACGTGTGGTCAATGCGTGATCCTCCTCCCGCTCACGGTCCGGCAGGGAAGACAGACAAGTGAGGGTGTCTAACAGGGCGCTATGAGGGAGTGAAGGAGGACAAGCCACCCCGGTGCTTCCCGGAGTTCCTTAGAGCCACCAAGTGACTTGTTTTCCAGCCCAGTAAATGCGTCTCTGTCATACAGCTCAGGGTACAGCTGTCATCACAACTACAAATTTGAAACCAGTCCATTCATTTCATCATCTTAGTCAAAGCTCCTTGCCAAACTAAATCTGTGTAAGAATCTATATAAGTATTGTCATTAAAACTGACCATATTTTTTGCCCAGTAATGTTACTTATGGGAATTTACTTAGACAAAATAATCAGGGATTCACTCAGAGGTATGTACATAAAACTGGCTTTCATCTCAGCATTATTTATAAAATGAACCAGCAACACGTGGAAACAGCATAGATGCCTGAGGTTAGGAGATTGATTTTTAAAATATCCCAGTGTACCTCTGTATGAAAGAACACTATGCAGTCATCAAACACTTATTTGTAATAACATTATATACAGTTACATGACAAAGCAGATTGCAAATCAGCATATAGAATACGATCTCCAATTTGTGTAAATACATATAAAAATATGTGATATTTGCATGCATTTTCAGAGAAAGAAAACACATTAATAGTGGTTTCCCCCAAAGGCAATAGACTTTGCTGTATAAATATACAGGTTTTAGGCTAGGCGCAGTGGCTCACACCTGTAATCCCAGCACTTTGGGAGGCCAAGGCAGGAGGATCAACTGAGGTCAGGAGTTTGAGACCAGCTTGGCCTACATGGTAAAACCCCGTCTCTACAAAAATACAAAAATTTGCTGGTCGTGGTGGCAGGCAACTGTGGTCCCAGCTACTTGGGAGGCTGCGGCATGAGAATCATTTGAGCCCAGGAGGTGGAGTTTGCAGTGAGCCGAGATCATGCCACTGCATTCCAGCCTGGGCAAGAGAACAAGACTCCATCTCAAAAAAAAAAAAAAAAAAAAATGCAGGTTTTGGAGCTAAATGGCCAAGGTCGAACCCTGACTCCACCACCTCCAAGTGTGTTGACACTGGAGTAGTTATTAACTTCCCACTTCCCAGTGCCTCAGTTTCCCCATATTAAGCATGCAGCTGCTAGCTCTCCCTACTTCCTAGAGGGTTTAATTAGGGTGCTAACAGAAGAGTGGTTCTAGATAGTGGCTGGGAACCAGTTAGCACTTGCAAGCGTAATCTATTGTTATGAGTTATTATTAGTGGTGGGATTAGGGTCATTTCAATTCTCCAGTTTATTCTTCTGTATATTTTCTATAGAAAATTGACTTACGATCATGGAAACAAAATAATTTTTAATCCATTTTGGTCAATGAGATGAATTCAATGAAGAGATTAGTTAGAACTACTTTGCCATAATTGACACAACATCTGCTATTTCTAGAACTAAATCAAATAAAATACAGTCAACTCTTGATTCTGCATGAAGCACATTCACTTAACTGCGGCTGCTCCTGCATTCCTGTTTTTATGGGCCTCATTAAGCACTGGATATAACATCATATGTTACAGCTCTATCTTGTGTCTGTTTACTTCCTCTCCCACAGCCAGCAGCTCAGCAAGAGCCTTGTAAACCAATTCTCTTAATGATCTATCCAGTCGGGGAAGGTGCAAATCAGTGATATGGGGAGCTTAGAGGAGAAGCCAGCAGCTCTACCTCAGAGAGGGGATGCTGCCACAACTTTTGGCACAGTTGGAGGGATAGCTAACTGCGGGGCTGAGGTCTAATGTGGGCCCTCTCTGGGCACCTCAATCTTCTATGTTAGAGCCATCCAGGGTCCGTGTCCACCTGGCCATATATAACAGTGGCTGGAGGAGGGGGAGGGTCTTTAACACAATCCTGTGTGAAGATGAGAGACTGATGGAGAATGGTTGACCCCACAAACTATGAAGAGGGTCGACCCTTTTATAACACATGCATTTTCACAATACAGGTATTCAAATGTGCGATCTCCAGTGGGTTTCTGGTATCAGGTCTCCATCCCCTCCATTAAATACACAGTTCTCTGCCTTTGTTGCAGACCTGGATGAGGCGTCACTTCTCATTTTGAGCCCACATTGCCAGATTTTCAGTCTTCATATCATCCAAAGTCAACAATCCCAGCCAGGTGCTGTGGTTCACGCCTGTAATCCCAGCACTTTGGGAAGTCGAGGCAGGTGGATCACCTGAGGTCAGGAGTTCGAGACTAGCCTGGCCAACACAGTAAAACCCCGTCTCTACTAAAAATACAAAAAATTAGCCAGGCTTGGTGGCAGACACCTGTAATCCCAGCTACTCAGGAGGCTGAGGCAGGAGAATCTCTTGAACCTAGGAGGTGGAGGTTGCAATGAGCCAAGATTATGCCGCTGCACTCCAGTCCTGGTAGCAAGAGCGAAACTCCATCTCAAAAAAACAAAATAAAGTAAACATTCCCTCAAGAAGTTGCCAGGAGCTTTGTTCCCCTCCCTTCCCAGGTTCTCTACTCCAGCATGTGGTTCCACCATGCTGCACCACTCTGTCCATCTCTCTCTGATGTAAGAGGCTGGCTCCAGATCCTGGCCAGCTAATTCCTCCCAGGGCCACCATCACTGTTGTGTGTGCTGTGGGGATGGGGAGGCAGTTCAAGGTTCTTAGAGTTAGACATGCCATATTCTGCTTGACGGCACTGCAGTCACCCCTGTGTCCCTGCTTCCAGCTGAGGCAGCCTGGCTGCCCTCTCCAGCCTCCCCAGCAAGGCTTGACTGCAGCATCTCTTCTTGGCAAGCAAGAGGCAGTAGAAGGAAAAAATTCTAAGAAAAGGCATGGGCTCTGGAGACAAATAAAACTCTCTGAAAATTTGACTCTTGCATTTCATAATTGGTCCTTCATACTAAACACATTGTTTGATAAAAGGAAAATTATTCAACCTCAGTTTTCTCAACAAATGGAAATAGTAATAATGACACCAATGTCTTTGGTACTGCATGAAATAATGCATGTGAAAGCCCAGGGCCTGGCCCATTGCATGCACTTCAAAAAGTTTTATTTTTCTTTTGATTTCTCTTCTAGGCAGCATTTCATCATGATATCTCATCTGAAAGTATATTTGTTATGAATTATTTGACTGCAACTAACATATAACCTACCAATGGCTTAAACGTTTAGGGATTTATTTTTCCTCATGATAAAAAGTCTGGAGGCAAGTTGCTTCTGGGGTTGGCTTACCCTGTTTGAGCAAGGATCTCTCCTATTCTCTTAGCCTCATCCTGGTCGTTGCAAGATAGCTGCATGAGTTCCAGACATCACATCTACATCTAAAGCAAGAGGAAGAGAAAAGTGGGTGGTGATCTTCTATATCTATTTTTAACAGGAAAAAAAAAAGATGAAAAAAGCTTTTCCAGAAACACCCGAGTGGACTTTTCCTTATACTTACATCATATTGACTAGCATTGTGTCACACGGCCACCCCTGCATTAAGAGAGACTAAGAAATCACTTACTGATTTAGTTTCTTCAGCCTCTAGCAGAAGGTGGAAAGAGAGAGGAGGGCTTGGAATAGCTGTTAGCCCAGACAATCTGCAGAGTCTTCCCAGAGGATTGGAAATTGCCAAATTAGAACTACCCATAGGTAAGTGCTGGGCGGGTGGCTGACGCCTGTAATCCCAGCACTTTGGGAGGCTGAGGTGGGTGGATCACCTGAGGTCAGGAGTTCAAGACCAGCCTGACCAATATCGTGAAACCCTGTCTCTACTAAAAATGCAAAAATTAGCCAGGCATGGTGGCATGCGCCTGTAGTCTCAGCTATTTGGGAAGCTGAGACAGGAGAATTGCTTGAACCCGGGAGGCAGAGGTTGCAGTGAGCTGAGATTGAGCCACTGGACTCCAGCCTAGGCAACAGAGCGAGACTCCATCTCAAAAACAAAAAACAAAAAACAAAACTACCCACGGGTAAATGTTATGTTTAAAATAATAATAATAAACACATAAGTAATAAACATACTTTCAAGCACATATGGTTTACCACCTATCACGGTGGCTCTGTCTTGCCTTGGTTTCTAGCAGAAGTTCTCCAGCTTGGAGGCACGTTAGAATCTCCTGGGGCGCTTGTAAAAAACACCAAGGCCTGGGTCCCTTCCTCAGCGCAAGGAAAACCTCTAGGGCTGGGGCAGGGCCGTTGACTCAGGGTGAAGATCCAGGACCACTAGGTTGGTGTCCACGGAGAGTTGGTATGCACACCGCTAGAGGGCGCAGGAGATCACTCGGCCCCGAGGAGCCCTTGGTCAAGGCACCTGTAAAGTCACCCAGCCCTCTGGCGGCTTCCCGTTTACCCAGGGCCAGCACCGAGGGCATAAAGGGCGTTCTAACCCACATAACAGAAGACATTGCGTTGCTATTCTGTACTTTTGTTAATTAGGTAAACTACGCCAAGAGAGGCTCAGAAACCTGCCCAAAATGAGCTGGAGCATCAGCAGG
The DNA here is from genome assembly GCF_000001405.40 of Homo sapiens. Classification (NCBI taxonomy): domain Eukaryota; kingdom Metazoa; phylum Chordata; class Mammalia; order Primates; family Hominidae; genus Homo; species Homo sapiens. Next base: position 98,292,859 of record NC_000015.10, read on the forward strand.
GGTTCCAAATGGCAGGCGTCCTCTCCCCTCTGTCCCACAAAGAACAGTCCGTCCCCTGGGCTGGGAGCTGGGCCCGGAGCCCCGGGGCAGCCCGCCCGGCCGTGCTCGCTGCGCCCCCGGGCTGCGTTCATCAAGCGCAACTCCAGGCGCGCGCCGCAACCGCGCAGGGCAACCGGGGGCTCTCCCGCCGAACCCGCCCTCACTTACATCTTTCTCGTCGCCCTTCAGGGGCTGCTAGTTTGCTAATGCTGCCAGGAAGCTCTCCTCCCAGTTTTCTAGCTGCCGTTCCAGCGAGCAGAGAGAGAGCCTCGGTGGTAATAAGCCTCGCACAGAACACAGCACTAATTCTAACGCACAGGCGGTTCCACTTACCGTTTATGGAAAGCCACAAAGCCGGCGTGAGAACACCTAATTACCGCGTGAATTAGTGAAAAAACAGATGCGAGGTTTACAAAAATGTCTGCCAGTGTCTAGTAAATGGCCACAATTGATAGAGATGCTCCAAAGGCCTGCTGGGGGCAGAGGCTGGCTCAGGCACAGCCCCAACCCAAAAAATGCTGTCAACAGTTGCCGGCACCCCCAGAGCGCGCCCCCAGTTCTCTTAGGTGAAAGGGCTGGGAAATCGTCTATGAGCAGCCACTTAATAGTCTTGTACTCACGAACCGCAATTATCAACAACAAGCGCCACCCACAGACTCAGTGGGAATGTGTTCATGGTTAATCAATTCGATTGATCACTGTTTATTAAGTAAAAACCTGCTTTCTAAACAGTTCCTCCCTAAATGGTGTTTTTGCAGGCTGCTAGAAAACAAGAGACTAATTGGGGCTCCTAATTTAAATCCAAGCGTGCACATTACTAAAAGCATTCGCAGCAGGGGTGTGGGCATGGTGAACCCTCAGTCCCCCAGAGTGGCCACGCTAAAGCCGACATTCTCACATTATAAAGACCTCCCAATCCCTGCTTTAATTTCTCCGATCAAGAAGCCACGGTGACCAGGTCAGATGAGGACATCAGGAAGGAAGTCCACTGATAATATAGATTATGGGAATATTTGAGTCCCATCGGTGCTGTTAAATTGATCGGCTCCATTCAGCACCTTGTGAATCGAGATGGGAAATCGATGGTTGGACGGGCCAGGTGCCGAGATAAGTGACCATAGCGTATTTTTGTTATCTCCTTACAGAGAGTCATGATCTCTACCACCCTGAGTGCTCTAAATCTAAGCAAAATACAACAGAAAATCCAACACAGAGGAGGTCAGGGTGATTGCGCGATTGTGCTATAATCCAGAGAGGAAGGGGTCTGGCTGGTCCAGGGCTAAACTCTTCCTAAATGTGGCCACCCCCGCATGTGAGGAATTGGACCCAGGAGCAGCACAGCAGCTCCACTTTATCCACACCAGCTCTTCATCTGCTGCAAGTGCTGGGGGCTAAGCGGAACAGCAAGGAGACTGCCCTCCACCCCAGCTGAGGCTGCCAGTGTCAAGGCACTTCTAGCATGGGAGCCGAGCCCGCCCTCCAAAGAAGAGAGCTTTGCATTTCCTGTGTATCACCTGCCTCTGTTGCAAAATTCCCATCCATGCCTCAGGAAGATATTGCAGAGAGTGACAACCTCCCACTATTCCCGTTATTTTTCATTGTTTGATATTCAGGTCTTTTCTGCCTGCCCAGCTCAGGAATTCCACTCTCCCTAAACGAAGAGACCGTGAAGACCCTCATAACTCCCATCCATCACAGACAGAAATACCACAGATTAGGAGCCAGTAAAGAAATAAAACACACATTTTCGCATGCAATTATATGTGAAATTACTGCATAGACAGATATCCAAACTCTCAGGAATCCAAATCAGAAATAACATTAATTACTCCGAAAGGGTAACTAGCCAAAGGAAATTGAAGTCTTCTAGGGAGGCTGCACAAGGATTTTAATTTTCGATTAAGAAACCATTTGCGGGTTCCAATCCCCAATAGATGCAAATAACCCTATTTCCATACACTGGATGCAGAGTCAGTTTTATGTATCTCCAAAAACAGGACAGAGAAACTCTGAAAATATTTGTCAATCGTTTCTGCACAACGTGCTGTGCCTGCAGTCTTTGCACGCCCACATGCAGGGCTGTGTTAAATCTGTCTCGACCTCAGTCTCATAAAGAAATAAAGACCAAGTTATCACCATTTGATACCCAAGCGGCAGATGCTCTTTTCCATCTGGATAATGAACATCAAAAACCTGGAATGTAGAGAGATGTGTGTTCTTGGTTACAGCGCCTGCAATGCCCCTGCTTAGCTGAGAAATATTAGGGCTCAGTAGAAACATATAAGTCACAACATCCACAATTCTGCAGGAAAGAGAGAAACTTTTAATAGGAGCGGGGCTGCATCAAAGCAACCCGTAATTAGGTACAAATTTGGCTCATGGTTCAGCAATTTCTACAGATTAGCTGTACTGACCTTCTGGAGCCCCAGGGTGCTTATTTCGCATTTGCGGTTGCAGAGTGACCTCTAGTGTTAAAAGACAAGGATTTTTTTTTTTTTTTTTTTTTTTTTTTTTTTTTTTAAGGATAGCATCCAAAGTTAACATCTTTTTTTTTCTTTTTTTTTTTATTATACTTTAAGTTTTAGGGTACGTGTGCACATTGTGCAGGTTAGTTACATATGTATACATGTGTCATGCTGGTGCGCTGCACCCACTAACTCGTCATCTAGCATTAGGCATATCTCCCAATGCTATCCCTCCCCCCACCCCACAACAGTCCCCAGAGTGTGATGTTCCCCTTCCTGTGTCCATGTGATCTCATTGTTCAATTCCCACCTATGAGTGAGAATATGCGGTGTTTGGTTTTTTGTTCTTGCGATAGTTTACTGAGAATGATGATTTCCAATTTCATCCATGTCCCTACAAAGGACGTGAACTCATCATTTTTTATGGCTGCATAGTATTTCATGGTGTATATGTGCCACATTTTCTTAATCCAGTCTATCTTTTATCTATCCTTACTATTGAAAGCACGAGCTGTAACACACCTTTGGGGAAAAGTCCCTGGGAAATCTCCATAAGGTAATCAGATACAGATGTGACTTTTTGTTGTGTGCAAATCACCGTTAGAGACTGTTCTAAACCTTCTGTCATGGAAATTTCCAAAGGGTTTACACATTTCAGAGAATATCTATGTTGGCTCTTTTTTTCCTCTTTTTGTTATATATTGGGGTTATGTGAAATTTTATTTTTAAAAATGTATGTGCCTTATGATGCTCTCTGGCCTATAGACAATTAAATAACTTATTATTCCCTCTTAAGGAGAATGGGCCCAACATTGACCCCAAACAGAGCCTGAAGTTTTTGCCTTAATTCCTTGAAAATAAAAATGATGGGAATCACAGCAGAAACTCTTTGGGACCAGGGCCGAGTTCACAGTGACAGCTCATTCTTGCCACTGTTGGCCCTAGTTGGGACTTGGAGTGCAGTGAGCAGGAGACAGTGTTTGCTGGGCACCAGTTGAGCTGGCCAGAGCCAGTTACAGAATGCACAGGGCCCAGTGCAAAGTGAAAATGCTGGGCCCCTTTTCCAAAAAGCAGGAAAGAAGGTGCCAGGAAAGGTACTAAAATATAAGGACTTTTCCTTTCTCCTGCTGTCTCTCTTTTGACTTGCAGTGTTATTATTTGCTATTTAATAGCTGCTAGGTTTGGAAAAATTAAACGTAAATTGATAGCACGAATCTTACCATTCCTGTGCCTTGCCATCTTACAATACTAATGGAAGCATTTAGCTCAAAGCATGTAGCTCACATGCAGAATCACAGAAATTATAGAATTTGTATTTCCTAACTTATACATAAATAGGTTTGGGGGCGGTGAGGTTTAACCAGTACAGATGATTGCATTCAGAGGCACACAATGGCACAATCGCCCTGGCCTTTCAACCAATCCCTTACTGGAAATGCTGCACAAAAACTAGCTTTGCTGGTTTTATTTCATTTCTGGATATGCATACATTCTACCAGCACCCTCTGCCTTCGAGTTACTGAGGATTAAGACAGGACTGAAGGCCAGGTGCAGTGACTCACGCCTGTAATCCTAGCACTTTGGGAAGCCAAGGCAGATGGATCACTTGAGCCCAGGAGTTGGAGACCAGCATGGGCAATATGGTGAAATCCCATCTTTACAAATAATACAAAAAAAAAGTTTCTGGGTGTGCTGGCATGCCCCTGTAGTCCCAGCTACTTGGGAAACTGAGGTGGCAGGATTGCTTGAGCCCAGGAAGCAGAGGTTGCAGTGAGCTGAGATCGTGCCACTGCACACCAGCCCTGGTGACAGACCAAGACCCTATCTCAAAAAGAAAAGAACGAAAAGAAAGGCTAGTTCCCTTTCCTCCTATGTCATAACTACTGGCATAAGTGGTTGACTAACACAGAGAAACAACAGGAATGAAAAAGAATATGCTAGGCTTCCTTGGCTGATGATGTCCTTAGAACATCATATCCTTCTTTCCATTTTGAGTCAAATTCTAGTTTGAATGGAAAGCATGGCCCATCAGGCCCATACTTAATCAAAGATGTAACACTTGTACTCACTTTGAGTAATCTTGTTCTCACTTTGAGTCTTTCTGAACTCCCACCATCATGGGAGCACCAGAATTCTGTGCTCATGAGGCAAGGAATGGCAGCAAACACACATACCACGCGTATCTCCTCTGCTCAGGTGCATGCTGTATTGTCCCATTGGACTTCATCACAAGTGTAAAGATAAAATCATGGAGTATTTAAAGATGGCAATGGCAGAGGATTCAACCATGCACAGGGCTCTTCTGAACATGAGTCCCTGTGTGACTGCAGAGGTCAAATGCCCATGAAGCCAGCAGGGGCTGGGGAAGCTGGCCTTCTGGCAACTGATGCACCTGGGTGCCGTAGAAGCAGAGAGTGGGACATCCCTACAGACAGAGTGGCTGGGGGAGGCTTCATGGTGCCCATCCTGTCTAGGAGGAATAAGAATGTGACTGAGACTGTTTTTCCTAGGGCAGCCCCACACGTAAATATAAAAATCAATCTTCAAAGTTTTCACAGTGGATCCTCCAACACTTGTGAAGCAGGGGAAATGTAATCCACCGCATTTACACTGAGGAATTAGAGACTTGGAGAGATGGGGCAACGAATGGCATAACGGCACCCAGCCCTGGGTGAGTGGGGCTCTGGGATCCCGAACCTCAACACTGCTCCCTTGTTGCACTTGGCTGCTCTGACCTCCTTGCTTTTCTCACAGGAGGCATGCTCCTGCCACAGCCTTGTTCCAATGCTACCCTTTCAATGAGACACACGGTCATCAAACCAATCACAATTGCAGTTCCCCCACCCACCCCCCACACACACCTATCTGCCTCCATTTTTGTATTTCTGGAATAACACTTGTCACCTCCTAACCTACCATGTGATTTGCTTATTACATGCATTGTGTATTGTTTGCCTCCTCCAGCTAGAATGTAGGCATCACAAGGGCAGAGCCATTTGTCTAATAATTTCACTCCTGGATCCCAAGTGCCCAGAACAGAGAGCCCAGCAATGAGCAGGCCCTCATTAGGCGTGTGTTGAATGAATGAGTCAATTAATGAAATGCACATGACTAATTACTGTCCGTGCCATCTTATAACTCTCCATCCTAGCCCCTGATACTGTTTCTTGGTCTTTCAGAATGTTCCCAACTAGAATGGAAAAGGCAGGAATTTGACCCTGGGGATGGCAGCCATTCCTTCTGGAGAGTTTGCTTCACCAGATTCCTATTAGCAGTGTATATGGTAGCATTGACAGCTAATTTTATGTGTCAACTTGACTGGGCTAAGAGATGCCCAGATAGTTGATAAAACCTTATTTCAGGATGCGCCTGTGTGGGTGTTTCTGGAAGAGATTGGCATTTGAATCAGTAGACTGAGCGAAGACGATCACCTTCCCCAGGGTGGAAGGGCATCATCCAGTCCTATGAGGACTCAAATAGAAGAAAAAAGCAGAGAAAGGGCAAATTTCCTCTCTCTCCTTGAGCCGGGTCTTCCATCTTTTCATGACTTTGGACATTGGCTCTCAGACTTTTAGACTTGGACTCGGGCTTACCCCATCAGTCTCCTAGTTCTCAGGCGTCTGAGTTGGACTGGAACCACACCACCAGCTTTCCTGGGCCTCCAGCTGGCAGACAGCAGATCGTGGGACTTCCCAGCCTCCATAATCATGTAATCCGTCAATCCCTCACAGTAAATCTCTTCCTACATTTCTATATCTATAAGTATACATATAGATATATTCTATTGGTGTTTCCTGGAGAACCCTAATACAGTAACATTCACTCTATCTGAGCCATTCTCTGTTACACAAAAGCTGTAAGTAATGAGAAATCAGTCTTGAATATCAGCAAGAGCTCGAGTAAAACCTGCTACTCGCTGCCAACTATGTACCTCTCTGAGCTCCCCTTTTTTCTCAATTACAAAATAAGACTGCTGTATCCTGAAAGGAACGTGTGCAGATTAACTGAAAGCCTGCATTCCATCTATTTTGCTACACCCACATGGCTACACTGGCTTCCAACCTAGTCAGGGGCTCTGTTGTAAATTAGAAGGGACAACATGCCCCACGCCCTGCCAGTCTGGACCTAGCATCATCAGGTTCGCTACTGCAGCAGGAGTCATAAGCCCATGGCCCAAAGAATGTGCTATGTTTGGCTGAGACAGTATTGTTCTGTTTTTAAATTAATCAACAGCATTTTATAAATGAAAGGTGTTGCACGAACACGCCACTCTGCAGAATCTCCTAGAAAATCAGCCCCTCTGGTGACAGCAGCCTCGATTCCCACCCAGAGGGCTCCAGCCGGAGCTGCGGGGAGGCACATCCCTCAAACAGGGTGTGCCCATTTGGCTTCCCTTCTCCTCCTGTGCCCACCAAATCTGAGGGCGGCTCCTGTGGATGTTCATATTTGCTACCCCGGCTGAGTACCTCTCCAGGACAGCATTCATCGCCCCAGCCTGAATCCCTCTGTCCCTCACTCAGGTGCCCGCTCTCTGCTGGCAAGCCTTCAGAGCACCCCCAACCCCTGCACCCACCTCCAGCCCATCCCACAGTTGTCACTAACTCTGAGAAAGAACACTGTGGTCTACCACAGGGCATAGAGTCACCCTATGGTCCGAATGGCATCGCAGTGGATTCCAATTGAAGGGGAGGGAGGGAGAAAGAAAAGGCCAGAGAGTGCTGAGGCTCCAGCACCACCAGCTTCTCCACTTGGGCCAGGCCCTGCTCACTTTCACTTGCATGGTGTCCTGTTTCCATACACTGGATACAGTCCTGATGGCCTTGCTCCCACCAAGGAGCCCTCTAGTTCTGAAGTCACCAGGCTCTGGTGGGTACGAGATCCTGTCCCCTTGTCCAGATCCCTCTCCTTCCTCTGCTTTCACTTGGCTGCTCCAAGGTGGCCCTGAGTCCTGCTTATTCCCCAGTCCCCACCCCTTTGCTGACGGCCCTTCCCGAGTACCCAGAATCTCTGCACACTCCCGCCCTCCCTGATGGATTCCCTTGCATCCACTTTGCTCTGGGCCACTCTGCACAGGGAGGAGTGTTCTGGAGAATCCAGCGGTCCTGGAAGCCTGCTCACCTCCCCGCGCCCCGCTCCACTGTCCCCTCCCAAGGCACACTCTCTCACCTCTCTCAGTAGAGTCTACCCCCTAGAAAACTTTTTAAATGTCTCCAGAATGATGTTTTTCCCTGCTTCGAGCCAACAACTCTGGTTCTTCCAAAAAGAATAAGGAAGCTGCAGTTTATTTAAACATTTTTTCAAGGAATTCTCCTGCTTCTCCCCAGAAGTCTGTTCTCTGTTTCACAGCTTCAGGTGATTCCCACCTGTGGGCTGTTGGCCTCCCTCCTTCCTGAGGCAGACCTTCCACCTAGGCTGCAGATACTGTTGCATCTAATTCAGACTCAGACTCACACACACATATACCCAGCTGTGTCTGTGTCTGTGTCTCTGTGAGTGTGTGCACGTGCACACATGCATGTGTGTTTTGTGGAAAGGATTTCAGAAGGAGCCTTCTGTTCAAAACCAGTTTCTCCCAGTTGTCTCTGCCATGGAACCTCCTCGTTTAAAAACATTCCCACTATGGGGAGTAAGATTCTTCAGGCACACTTTCCCATCCAGCAGGAGCTGGGGTCGGGACAAGCTTCCAGCATCCTCTTCCCTGGATGGCTGGAGAGAAATGCGGGCCCACAGATGGGTGGTAACCACACTGGTTTTCCAGAAAGTATTGATTTTAAGAATTCTAACCTGTATTCCACCTATATCCCAGTGCTCTAAGACCCAGCGACCATATGCCCAAGCTATGAGCTCAGGAAATAGGGTCCCCTTAAACTTTAATAAGTCATTTTATCTCCCCATTTCTCACTTAAAGAGTGAAACTGTGTAGACAACATGAAGTAACAAAGATGTGTGCACTATAGAAGTTTAAAATGCTACCAAATTAGGGAACCTCAACTAGTTCTTTGTTTTATGTTAGGAAAAATGGGAAACTACACCGCTCTCTCCTGTGAGTTTAAAATGCTGGTTAAGGCACTGCCACTGGGTCTTGCTAATCACAACAGCTGAAAATCTGCCAAAGAAGAAGATGAAGATGAAGACAAAGAAGAAAAAGGAGGGCTGGGTGCGGTGGCTCACGCCTGTAATCCCAGCACATTGGGAGGCCGAGGCGGGTAGATCACCTGAGGTCAGGAGTTCAAGACCAGCCTGGCCAACATGGTGAAACCCCGTCTCTACTAAAAATACAAAAATTAGCTGGGCATGGTGGCACGTGCCTGTAGTCCCAACTACTCAGGAGGCTGAGGCTGGAGAATTGCTTGAACCTGGGAGGCGCAGGTTTCAGTGAGCTGAGATCACACCACTGCACTCCAACCTGGGTGAAAGAGCGAGACTCTATCAGAAAAAAAAGAAGAAAAAGAAGAAGAAGGAGAAGGAGGAGGAAGAGGAGGAGGAGGAGGATGAGGAGGAGGGAAGGAGATGGAGGAGAAAACAGGCAGGAGGAGAGAAAAGGGGCCAGAGGAGGAAAAAGACATAAAAGAGAAGTAATATGCCTCCAGCCAGCTCCAACTAATGCCCACATATTGGCGTGTGTTCATTCATTCATGGCGTGTGTTCATTCATATAGCAGAAATGTACCAAATTATACTTGTTTTGTCCCCTGCATTTTCCCCTCACAGTTAGATTCTGGACATTTCCCTCAAGTACCCGAGTAACCTTCCCGTCATTGTTATGAATGATGGCTCTGGCTTCCCGTGATTTTCTTAACCAATCCCCTTTAGATGTCCTTTCAGTTTTTTCCTGTTGATTTTCTTCCTCTCCCTCTCCAAAACAGTATTATAACACTACCATGCGCATCCTTGAATATACTTATTTAGTGGTTTGTGATTAATTTCTAAATAATAGATTCCTAGAAACTGAATTGCTAGATTGAAAGGCATTAAAAGTTTTGAAATGCCTCATTTTTTTTTATTGTTGAGGAGGTCGTCTTGGTAACACATGAACTTAACATGTGGGTGATAAACACAGAACACAGGCGAACTCTGACACATGGACTGGAACGACTGCAGGAACCCTCTCTCCTTACGGACCCCAAAATAACCAGCCAAGTGCTATGGTAATTTGACAGCTTGGAGCCAAACCACCACTGAGATTGTTTCCTGCACAGAATTGTACCACTAACTTAGTGATTTTAAAACCCAAACTCGGCTGGGCGCAGTAACTCACGCCTGTAATCCCAGCACTTTGGGAGGCCAAGGCAGGCAGATCACGAGGTCAGGAGTTCGAGACCAGCCTGACCAACATGGTGAAACCCCATCTCTACTAAAAATACAAAAAAAAAAAAAATAGCCAGGCGTGGTGGCAGGCGCCTGTCGTCCCAGCTACTCGGGAGGCTGAGCCAGGAGAATCCATTGAACCAGGGAGGCGGAGGTTGCAGTGAGCTGAGATCACGCCACTGCACTCCAGCCTGGTGACAGAGCGGGACTCCATCTCAAAAAATAAATAAATAAATAAATAAAACCCAAACTGCAGGGCCAAGTGTCTGTCTGCCAATGCCATGTGAGGACCTGTGCCCCACGCTGAAATGGCCTCCCCATGCCAGAGTATAGATGGCAAATTTGATTTTGGACAGGGGTAGAAACATTTACAGTGAAGTAAAGAAGAAAAAGTGACATCCAAGTGTACAGAGAAGTCTCCTGAAAAGCCTACTTTTCACCCAGGAAACCCAAGAAGAGCCATTACAGACCCATCACCTGCAATGCCATTGCTGATCCATTCTATCCCAAAATCCATTTGCAAGATTGACAGTCACTTGGCTTCTACTGGAGTCATCAATGCCTGTGGCAGAGTGGTTGAGGAGCTCACAGAGCCAAAAAAGGTCAACAGATGTGACGTAATGAATGACCTCCTCCCTTATCACTAGCAGGGGAGGGATGGCAACAGAACCTTATGGCAGCGTCAGTCTTGAACTCGGGTCACAGATGAGAAAGGGGATCCAGTTAGAAGAAGAAGTAGACAAGCTATAAGACAAGTTTCACCTATGCATGAATGGCGTATTAGTCCATTTTCATGCTGCTGATAAAGACATACTCAAGACTGGGTAATTTATGAAGAAAAAGAGGCTTAATGGACTCACAGTTCCACACAGCTGAGCAGGCCTCACAATCATGGTGGAAGGCAAAAGGCACATCTTACACGGCAGCAGACAAGAAAGAATGAGAGCCAAGTGAAAGGGGAAATCCCTTATAGAATCATCAGATCTCACAAGACTTACTACCATGAGAACATATGGGGGAAAATGCCCCCATGATTCAGTTACATCCCACCGGTTCCCTCCCACAACACGTGGGGATTATGGGAGCTACAGTTCAAGATGAGATTTGGGTGGGGACACAGCCACACCATATCAGATGGAGACCATCAAGAACACCTTAGTTAGTGTGTGTCTGCTCCCTCCTCCTAAAAATAACAGTAATGCTTGCCCTTCCTACCTCCTACTGACGTGTGGCCAGGAATCACTGTGAGAATGAGAAAGTGCAGCCCTTGAAGGTGAGCTCAAAGGGTTAAGCAGGTCCCCTTTGGGCTGGGGCAGCCAGGAAGATGCTTCCTGGTGACCTGAGAACATCATGACATCCCCGCAAGGTTGCTACTGCCTAGTAGAGAAATCTGTTTTCATCTCAGATGTAATCCAACCACAAAGACATTGAAAATAGCCCTCCTGCTGCAAGCAGACAGCCACAGGGTGCTCACCCTACTGTTGTTTATAATACCAAACATTCAGAAACAACCTATGCTGTCCAACAGCCCTCAGATATATACAGAACGTCTATACAGTGGGATACTAATGTATTTTAAAAATAAGAGAACGGCCTGAAAATATGCTCAAGAAGCCATGTTATGTGGAAAAAGCAGACGGCAGGTTCCTCAGGGTCTCCTGTGATGTGGACCAAAATGTTGATGCTTCTATTTCTGCTGCAAGATCCTCTCTCCTTTCAGCTCATCTGTGTTTTCTAAATTTTCAACTGTGCTTGAATGAGTAAAGAAACTTTGGCTTGTTCTATTTGTCTTGCTTTGTGTTTAGCCTCTCTTCACCACAGTACAGCCGAGAATTCCAGGGGCCAAAATGCTGACCGAGCAGCCGGCATGGGTCAGAACACAGAGCTGCAGCACTGGGTAGGTTATTAATAAGTAATTAGCGGCTAGCATTTCTCAGAGCACTTTGGAAGGAAGTAATGCCTCCTAGTCCGCCCCACAGAAAAGACTTCAGATGTGGAACTTTGAGCAAGCTCAAGCACAGACTTAAAAAAGAAACAGCCCAGCCCACGAGAGCCTGCTTCAACCAGAACAGCATGAAAACGGTGGAAAAGAATCCGCAGAACCAGGCTAAGGGGAAAGACAGGGACCAGCACAAACCCTGCTTCTTTGAAGGGGATGTCAGCAGTAATCGGGGAGCAAGAAGCCTTCATTAGGACTCAGTTGTATAGCACATGTGATCTATGGTAGGTGAGCACCAAATGCATTGGAGCATTGCAGATGGGGAGACAGACCTGCCTCATTTGGGCAGACATGGCTTTCTAACCCAGAGTACATAGAACAGGCAAGCAAGAGCTTTGCAGACTGTTGCTTCAGCAAGAATTTTTTCTCTCTGGATATACTACAGTTTACAAAAACAATTCTTGTTAAATAAAGTGCAGGTTCTACATAAATGCAGTGTTCATCTTACCTTCAATTTCTGTTTGTGGAAAGGCTTGGATTTGGCCATTGATTCTGTGTTCATTGGAACAGCAGTGTGGGAAGTGTAGGGTCAGGGACCCATCCAGCCTGGGACTTGGACACTGAACTGCCAGGGGCCACTCTTACAGGGTGCCGTGACATGGCAGCAACTGCTGGCTGCTTTGGAAAGGGGACAACACCTCAACTCGGCAGGCACCCCACCCAAGGTGTTTCCTTTCAGCTCTCTCCCCACTCTCCCAGAGAAGGTCGTTGGCCCTGCAAAGTGAGCAATAAAATAAAATAAAGTCGTCCCAACGCGGTGGTTCATGCCTATAATCCCAGCACTTTGGGAGGCTGAGGCAGGAGGATTGCTTGAGCTCAGGAGGTGGAGACCAGCCTGGGCAACATGGTGAAACCCCTTCTCTACAAAGGATTCAAAATTTAGCCAGGTGTGCTGGCGTGCACCTGTAGTCTCAGCAACTTGGGAGGCTGAGGTGGGAGGATGGCTTGAGCCTGGGAGGTGGAGATTGCAGTGAGCCAGAGATCATGCCACTGCACTCCAACCTGGGCAACAGAGTGAGACCCCATCATAAATTAATTAATTATTTAAAGTCAAATACCATAAACAGAAGAGGAAGGAAGAGGGGGCATCATTCTGATTAAAACAGTCTTCCTGATTAGGTTACTTCCCCAAAAGGGGGAGGGGGTTGCTATGGCTTAAACCACCACAGAATCCCCCAGATCACAGGGGAAACTGATGTTGTGAAGCCTCTGCTCAAAGATGCTGCGACTGCCTTGACTCTCCTTGGAAAGGGAGAGGCATTATTACGACTGCTTTACGAACAGCACAACCAGAGGTCCTGGTTCCTTCATTCAGTTAAGAAAGCCTGCCTGAGTGAGGGGCCATGTTGGAGCCCAGGTCTCTAAGACCCTAACACCTCACTGCCCAAGAGCCACACCCAGATAAACCAAAGCTCCAGAAATAGCACCAGGTTCTCCACCCCATTCAATGAACTTGTGACTGAGAACAGTATCGTGTTTTATGAAGTGATTTATTTTATGAGTTGCAAATACTAGGCACTTGACCCAAAGCCTCAGAGAGACTTACAGATCCAAATCGCTTTATCATTCTACTCCTTGGGTTTTGTATGTTACAACCACCTATTAACTGATTCTGTGACCTTTAGCGGGCCACTTAACCTCCTTTTCTGAGTTTTTTTCATCCATAATAGAATCCCTCTCCATCCAATAACACAGAAGCCATGTGGGGTAAAACCCATAGACTGAGTTCATGAACTCACATGAGGAGCCTGAAAAAAAACATGCAGATTCCACCCCCCAGAATTCCAATTCCGTGGGCCTGATCGAGGCCCAGTGAACTGTACTTTTATAATAAGCGTCCCTGAAAATGAAGATGCAGGTGGTCAAACGCATACAAAAAATAAAAAAACCCAGAACAATAAAACCAACACTCCAGGCATTTTTCTCATCCAACGCTCGGTCAATCAATCAATTTTTAACTACAGAAAAGAAGATGTGAAAAGAAAATGATAACAATGACCCAACTGCATCTGCATAAACTTGTGCTTTCATAGACATGATGAAAATCTAATTTGATAGTAAGTCACGAGCCTGGCAGGCAGGAGGAGTTCAATGACCGCTGTGTAAATAAACGGGTTGTTTTTGTTTTTGTTTTGTTTTGTTTTCTGTTTTTTCAAGACAGGGTCTTGCTCTGTTACCCAGGCTGCAGTGCAGTGGCACGATCTTGCCTCACTGCAGCCTCAACCTCCCAAGCTCAAGCAATCCTCCCACCTCAGCCTCCTGAGTACTAGGACTACAGGTGCATGCCATGACACCGGGCTACTTTGTATTTGTTTTTTGTAGAGACAGGTTCTCTCTATGTTGTCCAGACTAGTCTCAAACTCCTGGGTTCAAGCAATCCACCAGCTTCAGCCTCCCAAATTGCTGGGATTACAGGCATGAGCCAATGTGCCCGGCCTAATTTTTTTAATACATGTTTTTTTACATTTTCACATTCTCCTGCTGTCAAATACTAAATTATTTATCATCAGCAAAAGCGAGTTGAAAAAAAATTACCTGGGTCTGACCAAATTGGAGTGGGTTTCATACTCCATTGCTCTCAAAGAGAATCTTGACCCAACTCCAGTGACCTAACCCAAAGCTGCAATTTTCTAGCTCACAGGTGACAAAACTAACGGAAAACGTACATCTAAGTACACTGCCAGCAGCAAGACAGACCCAAGCTGAAGTTACATAGATTTTCTGTTTCATGAACACTGTCTTTTTTCTGTCATTATCAATAACATTGGGGTCAGCCACAGGGGAGACCACACAAAACAAGATTTGAAGGCTGGGAATGGATGGGTCTTGGTGTGGGAGGGAGGGGTCTTCGTGCGCCCACATGTCTCTGGCTTCTAACCTCCTTACTGGAACCCTCAGGGGCCAAGAGGAAGGTGGAAGTGGATGGAGCCCAGCATTCTAGTCTTATCCTTACATTACTGCTGGGTGGAAAGTGGCAAAGGCCAACCAAATGAGAACAGCAAAGGCTATTTATTCAGAGTCTGCTTCAGCAAGGGAGTCAGCCATTGTCACTTGCATGTGGCAGTGACCTAAAGGCAGGCAGAGGAGTGGGAGAGCTTTATTGTGGGATAAAAGGTGGGGGAAAGGCTTTAGATGTGACCTCATTGGAGGCTGTTGGTGTCAGGAACAGGGCATCCTATGGGATTGGTTAGGGGTGCATAGTGGGCTCTGTCTAATTGGTCCTAAGTTGGAAGTAGGGACAAAAATTAGAGAAGCTATCAGTTATTAAACAAGTCTTGGCCATTTGGGGCTGATTGTTATAGAAGCTATTGTTTGACTTCCTGGATTGTTACTAGAGATGGCAATCTGACTTCCCATAAGTCTGGCTTCCAGCAGGCTGGCTTCCCAGGCTGGGTATTGTAGATAAGGGATTGATTTCCTAGGCAGGTGGCTACAGGTTGTGGGTCGGTGTTTTGTTTTTATAAATGGACCATCAATTGTTCATTTGTATATCCAATCTCTGCTCTACAGAACAAACCAGTCTGTAGCGAAGACCCCTGGATAAAGTCCTGAGGCCTTAGACTGTGCGCTGGAAACTGTACCCATCACCCCAGGCAGGAACTGAGACACAGGGGATGTTAGAGTGGGAGGGAACAGGGGTCTGCTCTCCACTGCCTCCTGTGGTAGATGAGCTTCCTGGTCACTCAGCTGGGGATGGTCGTGGGGAACTAGAACACCAATCCCCCAACTCCTAGCTCAGTGCTCTCCCCAGATCTCAAGGTGTGCCTATGATTCTGATGAGAGATGCCATTATTTATTAGGGGTATGTGCGGGTTGTCCTTGAGTTCACAAAAGCACTTTTATTAACCCAGAACTCCAAATTGCCCATGTTCTGAAGGACAAGCTGGGGAGTATTGGGTTACAAACCATGAACCACTCCAAATCCCCATTTCCTCATCTGGGAAGGCCAGATGATTCCATTTCTAAAGAGCTTTCCAGGCTATCCCTCTGTGATTCTATGATCTTAATGTGTCTATTGTGAGTTTGTCAAAGGAGAGTCCTCTATCAGGAACAACCAAGAAGTTGCTGATGAGTCTAAACCATTCTACTCAGAATTTCTCAACTCATCCCAGTAGCTGTCCGCTCCAAAATGAGACTATAAAAAATAAATAAAATAAAAAATAAAGGACATCTCTAAATACCATATGAAACTTTGACTTTATCTCCTCATCTATTGGTTTCCCAAAAGGAGTAAATTTGACTTAGCATCCTGTTCCATCAGTTCAGATAGTCAAGGAAAAGGAGTGTGTGCATAATCCAAGTTTAAGAGGATATCTCTGATATTTTGTCCAATTCAATCTTCCAATTCCAGGACTTGGGAGCAAGGGGTAGTTTGTTTTTGCTTTTGTTTTTTTGTTTTTGTTTTTGTTAATGTATCTTACTCACAAGTTTATAATTTGCTTTCCAAAAATGTTACTTCATATTTGAACTCCATTTATTGTTTTAGGTAAATTATTTGCAGGTCCCAGACCTTTATATCTTCTTTTTGACGGAATCTCGTTCTGTCGCCCAGGCTGCAGTGCAGTGGAGCAATCTTAGCTCACTACAATCTCTGACCTCCAGGTTCAAGCAATTCTCTTGCCTCAGCCTCCCAAGTAGCTGGGATTACAGGCGAGCACCACCATCCCCAGCTAATTTTTCTATTTTTAGTAGAGACGGGGTTTTGCCATGTTGGCCAGGCTGGTCTCGAACTCCTGACCTCAAGTGATCCTCCTGCTTTGGCCTCCCAAAGTGCTGGGATTACAGGCGTGGGCCACCTCACCCGGCCTCCTCTTCTTTTTTTTTTTTTTTTGAGACAGAGTCTCACTCTGTCGCCCAGGCTGGAGTGCAGTGGTGTAATCACGGCTCACTGCAAGTTCCACCTCCCCGGTTCACTCCATTCTCCTGCCTCAGCCTCCCGAGTAGCTGGGACTGCAGGCGCCCACCACCATGCCCAGCTAATTTTTTGTATTTTTTTCTCAGTAGAGACGGGGTTTCACCGTGTTAGCCAGGATGATCTTGATCTCCTGACCTTGTGATCTGCCCGCCTCTGCCTCCCAAAGCAGTGAGCCACCGCGCCCAGCCTGCCTCCTCTTCTTATTCTTTTTCTTGTTCCTTTTTCCTTTCAGTTTTTACTGCATTCCCATTTGAACCCTTCATTACCCTATCCTTTTCATTCTTTTATCTTTTCATTCTTTCATCCTTTCCAAAAAAAGAATCTTTTTCCAAAGAAGATATCTAGAATGCAGTATATAAACATTAAAATTTAAAATAAGACCTAAAAAAGAATAGGCAAAATTAAGACAAATGATAAATCTGAAAATATTTTAACGTATATAACAAATAAACATTTAATAACTTTTATATACAAACAGTTCTTACAACTCAGTAAAAACAAACATCTCCAATAAACATGAAGAGTTAATTATACACAAAAATGACTACAAACTTCCAATAAATGTATGAAAAAATACCTAATCTCAATAATAATTTTAAATCCAAATTAAAACAAATAAGTTGGAATTTAGCAACTATCAGATTGACGAAAATGTAATAAAATGTGATGCCTAGTATTGGTTAATTGTATTACTCAATTTTATATATCTTCGTACTTATTTGTCTCCTTAATCTATCAGTTTCCAAGACTATTAACATTGTTGATTCATTTATTTTCCTTGTACTTCTGCCACATTGTGCTTGAGACTAAATTGTTCCTTTAGATATACAGGTAGGTAGGTAGATAGACAGACAGACAGACAGATGGATAGATGATAGATAGATAGATAGACTTAATTCAAGGCAAAAATGAAAGAACAAAAAGGAGTAAGACTGCTATTCTGGCTTTCTTTGCTTCATATTTGCTTGGCCTTTTTCTCAATGCTAACTAAGTACTGATTGGTAATGATGATGATGATGGTGGTGGTGGTGGTAGTGGTGATGATGATGATATGACCACTAATATAGTGATTTAAAACAATAGAATTTAAAATCCTAAAAAGCATAAGATAGAAGATGGGAGAAATGTAAAAGCAATTTAAAACATTCTAAGGTCTTTGTACTCTTCTGGAGAAAGAAGCAATAATTGTTATGTTTAGACTTGTTAAGTAGGCATAGTATAAATTGAAGGGTAGAAGAGAAATAGTAAACATAACTTCAAAACAAGTAGATGAAGAAAAAAAAATTTAAATACACAGCCTCTGACAGAAAACAAAAATATGTTTAAAACAAAGCACAATAAACAGATAACAAAAAGAATATAGCAGAAATACATCTAAACATATTCACAAAAAATATAAATGGATTAAACTCTCCAGTTAAAGATCAATACTTCCAGATAAGATTTTTTAATTCAGCTATTTGTAAAAATGAATCTACTAGGTCTACCTATATAAACGTAAATAAAGTTCATAAACATAACGTTCAGTGAAAAAAAAGTTGAATAAAGAATAGAGTATTTCTCAATCATGTACAATTTAAAACATATAAAGCAAAACTATAAAAACAAAAAGTGTTGCATATCATTTTTAAGATAGTGGTACTATCTGGGGAATAATAGGGGAAACTGGATGTTGAGGGTGGGGACAGATGTGAATTTCATTTGTACCTGTAAAGTAGTATTTTCCAAAAGAAAATTTTAGGGAAAACATGTAGCAAAATTTTAAAAATGAGTTAAATCCAGTTGGGCATCTGTTATGTTTTGTATTTTGGTGTATGTTTAAAATATTTCATGATAAAAAACTAATTCAATAACTAAATGAAACAAATTCATATGTATAATAAATACCAATTTTGTTGGAGTTTTTTCAAATATTTTCATGCTAGGAAAATGTGTAAATATATAAACTATAGTTCTTACACTTTTCTGTATTTTCTAAATTTCCTAACACTACGTCTTTATAAATTTTTAAAATGTTCATTTAAAAATAACAGAACATTTTCTAGACAGAAGAAGAGAAAATAAAAGCAGATTTTCTCGGAGAAAGACTCTTTCCACACAAAAATAACCATGAGCAGCCCAATCAGTTACTCCACCCCAAGAAGACCTTTTCTCTAATGGAGCTTTAAGCTAATACCGTTTCTGGCCAGCAGGTGGCGGTGACGTAATAGTCGTTTTAAACCAAGCATTTCAAATCTAGACATCATTCCTAAAGTGAAACAGTTTTTATGGCGCATCTGATTTTTGTACCAAGGTTCTGTCTGGCTTGTGTGTGTGTTCACCCTACATTTGTTTCTCCCCATTCACTTAGAATCTATTCCAAAGCTTTGGTTTTTCCCACTCCATTTGCAGAAGCAATCCCCTAGTGATGCAAGAAAGCTACAAAGCCAGAGGCAAGAAACCCTGGAGCTCTTTTCCCCCTATTCCTTTATCCAGTGAAATGTTTCATTGCCACTCTATGTAAACCTGACCCAAAATAATGCTTTAAGTCAACATTTACCAGCTTGTCTGAAAAAAATGTGAAACAAAATCCAAAAACTAGCCCTATCTTTCCAGCACCGTTTGAAAAAAACTAGCTCTGTCTTCACCATCTAAAAGCTGCCTCTGCACAGCCTGAAGTGCTCCAATATTCTTATGAATAATTAAGTTTGTCTAGTGTGTGTTGAACATGGAGACATCTCTTAGCCCACACATGTCTTGTGAGCATCTCTAACTCAGAATTGACGTTAGCAAACTAACTGCAAAAAAAAAAAAAAAAGTGTTACATCAACCCAGACACCAGCCACAGACCCTGGTGACTGTCTTCTCTGCTCTCCCTGAGGGCTTTCCGGCCCTGGCCCATGTGAGTGACTTGCTTCCCAGGAGGTTCTCTGTCCCCTCTCCTAGTGTCCACACAGAGACCTCTGACTTCCTGTCTCCCTGGACTAGTAGAAGCCACAGAGAGCCTTCAGGTGCTGCCTCTGTACACATTAAAACTTGGGAGGCTGAGTCAGGAGAATCGCTTGAATCCTGGAAGGCGGAGGCTGCAGTGAGCAGAGATGGCGCCACTGCACTCCAGTCTGGCGACAGAGCAAGACTGTCAAAAAAGAAAGAAAAGAAAAGAGAAAAGAAAAGAAGAGAAAGAAAGAAAGAAAGAAAGAAAGAAAGAAAGAAAGAAAGAAAGAAAGAAAGAAAGAAAGAAAGAAAAGAGATAGAGAGAGAGAGAGAGAAAGGAAGGAAGGAAAGAAAGAAGGAAAGAAAACAGAGACCCAAGGCAGAACTTACCCAGCTCCCTCAGAAGGAACTTTTGGTTTTGTCCTCATCATCCTTCTGCCTTTTTTCTTTGATTTCCCATGAATCCCTCCCAAGTTCCTTGGGTCCTCTCTTTCTAACAATCCTTCATGGGCTGCTCGCTAGAGTCGTTCCCCCATGTATGGCACGAGGATAACAGAGGCGAACCTGGTTTGCAGCCCTTCATGCTGCTTTGGCCACAGTTGCACATGGGAAAGGCAGGTCAGAGCAGCAGTTCATGGCTGAAGCCCCACACAGTGGCAAATGGGCTGCTTCTCTCAGAGGCCCTACACTGATGTCAGTGCACACCCCCAAAATGGCCCTTCCCCACTCAACCCCCTGCCCTGGAATTCTATATTCATCCTTGTAACTGCCCTAAGAGGGCATGTGTCTGTGGTCCCAGCCACTCAAGAGGCTGAGGCGAGAGGATCGCGTGAGCCTGGAGGTCGAGGCTGCAGTGAGCTGTGATAGAATCACTGCACTCTTGCAGTATTACAGGATGCCTTACTAGTTGTTGGAAAGCTTTGCAAAAAGATTTACCCAGAATTCACTCTCTGGTGCTCCTGCACCTACACAGAGAACGCACGACATTGTTCTGCAGTCCCAGGATGGGGGCACCCTCCCTGCTGACCTAATGTAGGCATTGTTTAAAGATGTGTGTCTTACTGTAATCGTCAGCCCTGCATTAGAAAATTGCCTTCTGAGAAAGTGGAAAATCCTGTGAAGAAATCCTGTGGGACTAAGAGGCCTAGAAAAGCAGATACATTTAAAAAAAAAACAAAAAACAAAAACAACCCTGCAAGTGAGAGAGACAGACACGTAAAGACATACCCGTGGTCATAAACAAGTCCACGTCTGGAGCACATGTGACTTGATTATTTCTCTAACCATAAGAAATTTTTAAAAATCATGTGTGATTGGTTGTGGAAAGCTTCACAGTGTTGCTCAGGAAAGCACCACACTTTTTATTTATTTATTTGTTTATTTTTTATTTTTATTCTAAGTTCTGGGATACATGTGCTGAACGTGCAGGTTTGTTACATAGGTATACATGTGCCATGGTGGTCTGCTGCACCCATCAACCCGTCGTCTAGGTATTAAGCCCCACATGCATTAGGTATTTGTCCTAATGCTCTCCCTCCCTTTTCCCCTCAACCCCCGACAGGCCTCAGTGTGTGATGTTCCCCTCCCTGTGTCCATGTGTTCCCATTGTTCAGCTCCCACTTAGAAGTGAGAACATGCGGTGTTTGGTTTTCTGTTCCTGTGTTAGTTTGCTGAGGATGATGGTTTCCAGCTTCAACCACGTCCCTGCAAAGGACACGAACTCATTCTTTTTTATGGCTGCCTAGTATTCCATGGTGTATATGTGCCACATTTTCTTTATCCAGTCTATCATTGATGGGCATTTGGGTTGGTCCCAAGTCTTTGCTATTGTAAATAGTGCTGCAATAAACATATGTGTGCATGTGTCTTTATAGTAGAATGATTTATAATCCTTTGGGTATATAGCCAGTAATGGGATTGCTGGGTCAAATGGTATTTCTGGTTTTATATCCTTGAGGAATTGCCACACTGTCTTCCACAATGGTTGAACTAATTTACACTCCCACCAACAGTGTAAAAGCATTCCTATTTCTCCACATCCTCACCAGCAACACTTTATAAAAACTACAAAAACACCTCCCTTGACAGCCACTGTGGGATGCAGCTGCCACCCTGATGATACAAGGTATGGATCATCGAAGTTCTGAAAAGCGTTCGGAAGAAGGAAAGAGATAATTCAATGGAGAAGATGAGTTTCAAACCAAGGCCTGGAAGGTCAGGAGATACAAGAAAGAATGAATACTTGAGGCTGTGGCCGCCTTCTCCAGGGAGCGGCAGGCAACTGGAGGAAGGTGTCAACTCCAAAGCAAATTTTTTTATGTTTGCTAGTTTTTATGTTTGCTAGTTTTATAAAACTAGGGCCGTTTTATAAAAAAAAAAAAAAATGGGGCCAGGCGCAGTGGTTCACGCCTGTTATCCCAGCACTTATGGGAGGCCAAGGTGGGCGGATCGTGAGGTCAGGAGTTCAAGACCAGCCTGACCAACATGGTGAAACCCTGTCTCTACTAAAAATACAAAAATTAGACAGGCATGATGGTGTGCACCTGTAATCCCAGCTACTTGGGAGGCTGAGGCAGGATAATCACTTGAACCCAGGAGGCGGAGGTTGCAGTGAGTTGAGATCGTGCCATTGCACTCCAGCCTGGGTGACAAAGAGAGACTCTGCCTCAAAAAAAAAATGGCATTGTATATGTCCATTTCAGAAGACAAGAATATATGCCTGGATAGAAAGCCCCTAAACCAAGGCTAATCTTATTTTTGGAGGCATTTATGAAGAAGGTATTAGGCTAAAACTCTCACTGACGTATTACTCCAACAATTTCAGTGCCCTTTAGAGCCAAGTAGAAGAGAAGGCATTGTCTGTCACCTGGCATTTGAATCATAAGCCTGTATGAACCATTATCATAAAGCCTGTACGAACCAGCAGCTTTCTGTCACCATCCATTAAAGATTACATGAAGAATGAAAATTTTGCAATCAACACTCTTTTGTTGACAGAGCACACTCCTTCTAGTGCTGTTGATTATGAAGATAAAGTTCAAGTTGCTTTTACCACCAGTGGACCAAGAAGTCGTTGTACCTTAGAGGTTTAGCACAGACAACAACAGTGACAACAGTTCCATATCCCTTCTCTCACCTCCAAATCTCAATCACCTTCAATCTGTAGGTCTCCAATCTGTAAGGAATCATTTTTTTAAATTTGCATTGCTTGTTTATTTTACTTCACAATAGGCTTTCTTTTTTTGTATTTTGTCTTTTGCTTTGTTTTGTTTGGTTTTTTGAGGCAGGGTCTCACTCTGTCACCCAGGCTGGAGTGCAGTGGTGCTATCATGGCTCACAGCAACCTCGACCTCCTGGGCTCAAGCGATCCTCCCACCTCATCCCCTTGAGTGGCTGGGATAACAGACACATGCCACTATGCCCAGGTAATTTTTGTGTTTTTTGTAGAGATGAGGTTTCATCATGTTGCCCAGGCTGGTCTCAAACTCCTGGGCTCAAGCAATCCATCCACCTTGGCCTCCCAAAGTGCTGGGATTATAGGCGTGAGCAACCATGCCCTGCCTGCTTTTAATGTATTACTTTGTTGCTCATTTACCTTAGAGTATATGCTTGATGAAGTGTAGAAAGAAAATCATTTCTAGAGTTACTGTACACACAAGCATACCCATCAATGAGTTAATTATTTTAAAATGAGGTAACGTTTTAAACACTTTGTGTCATGCAGACATCTGTAGTGGTTTGTCATGAACCAACCTGTTTGAGTTTTAGGGATTTGGAGGGACGTCAGTTGGGACCTTAGGATGAGCTAGAAACATATTCATTATTTTTCTCACAAGTGAGATAAGTCAGGCACAGAAAGAGAAATACTGTATGATCTCACTCACTTTTTTGTGCAAACTAAAGAAGTCAAACTCACACAAGTGTAGAGTAGAATAGAAGTTACCAGAGGCTGCGGGGTAGGAGTGATTGGGGTGATGTTGGTCAAAGGATACAAAATTTCAGCTAGACAGGAGGAATAAGCTTAGGAAATTTATTGTACAACACAGGGACTATAGTTAGTAATAATATATTATTTTCTTGAAAATTACTAAGAAAGTTGATATAAGTGTTCTCGTCGAAAATAAATGATAAGTATGTGAGGTAATGCATATGTTAATTAGCTTGATTTAGCCATTTCACAATGTATATGTATTTCAAAACATCGTGTTGTACACCATTAATAATATATACAATTCTATGTCAGTTTTAAAAATAAATAATAAATTAATAATACATACATTAAATTAAATAAAGGAACACAGGCTCCTGCTCTGTGGATATTCACCGTCTTACCTGGTTTCGGGAACAAATTTGTTTTGGATTATGAAGGATACTTGCATTTCTTTTCCTCTTTTTAATTTTATTATTTATTTATTTATGTATTTATTTATTTTTGAGATGGAGTCTCGCTCTGCCCCCGGGCTGTAGTGCAGTGGCATGATCTCTGCTCACTACAAGCTCCACCTCCCAGGTTCACACCATTCTCCTGCCTCAGCCTCCCGAGTAGCTGGGACTACAGGCGCCCACCACCATGCCCGGCTAATTTTTTGTATTTGTAGTAGAGACGGGGTTTCACTGTGTTAACCAGGATGGTCTCGATCTCCTGACCTCGTGATACACCCACCTCAGCCTCCCAAAGTGCTGAGATTACAGGCGTGAGCCACCAGGCCTGGCCTTTTTTCCTCTTTTTATAGTTGAAGAAACGGAAGCATAGAGCATTTCAGTAACTTGCCCAAGAGCAAGTGGAAAGGCCAGGAATTAAACTACACTCAGTCACCTCTATAGCCTAGGCTATTACCTGTGCACCACACTTGCTCTTAGGAAACGCTTGTCAGGGTGGAAAAAACCGGAGATATAGTCCAACCCTTCAGTACTCAGCAGGCTAGAAAGAATAGAGATGCATTCATTTTAAATGTTTCAATAATTGGAAAAAACAACCCAAGTGACAAGCAAATACATTAGATGGCATTATTTGCTTTACAACAGGCTTCTTTGCATAGAGCTCAGGAAATTTTTTTCCTAAGTAGCATATTGATTGTTAAATAACACTATAACTTATCCATAGTAACTTAAATAACACTATAACTTACCCATAATAAGTTAAATAACACTATAACTTATCCATAATAACCTTATTTGTAGGTATGACTGTCATCTAAATTTCCAAGTTCTCTGTAGTAAGTACTTAAAGGACACAAAATTTCAGCTAAATAAGAGGAAAAATCTTAAGAAACCTAAAGTACTAAGTACTTACTAGAAAGAACTTGGAGGTCGGGCGTGGTGGCTCATGCCTGTAATCCCAGCACTTTGGGAGGCTGAGGCAGGCAGATCAAATGAGGTCAGGAATTCAAGACCAGCCTGGCCAGCACGGTGAAAACCCGTCTCTACTAAAAATACAAAAATTAGCTGGCCGTGGTAGCACACGCCTGTAACCCCAGCTACTCAGGAGGCTGAGACACAAGAATCACTTGAACATGGAAGGTGGAGGTTACAGTGAGCTGAGATCACATCACTGCACTCCAGCCTGGGTAACACAGTGAGACTCTGTCTCAAAAAAAAAGAACTTGGAAATGTAGATGACAGTCATACCTACAAAAAAAGTTAATACATATCAGGGAGTTATTAAAAAGTTCAAACTTCAGAGTATGTCTTGGAGTCAACAAAGATGGACTCTAACTTTACCTTACAAATCTAAAGTACTGTTACAGTAAATCAAAATGAAGACCGGGCTTGAAGATGCCCTGAGCAGGCAAAGCCAGTTAGACTTCATTAATGACCTTAACCTTGCTTGATTTGCAAACATAAACAAAACTTAACATGAGCTATTTCTGTAAATGCCCATATTAGAAAACCAGAACTGAAGCTCAAACAATCAGAAGCAGCCAACAAATTTATAATTATATAACTGGGGACTTCTCAGCAGGATAGACCAAATGAGGCAAGTTTTAACTGTAACCAATCAAATATTGCATTTCTGTTCTTTCCCCATTCACTCTACAAAAGCCTGTCTCTTCCTTTCCTCAGCATAGGCACTGAACCACTTTTAGTTTGGAGCTGCCTGATTCGTGAATCTGAAACTGACCCAAGTCTCATCAACAGTTTTTAGATAAACATAGAAATTGATCTGGCCAGGCGTGGTGGCTCACACCTGTAATCCCAGCACTTTGGGAGGCCAAGGAAGGTGGATCATGAGATCAGGAGATCAAGACCATCCTGGCTAACATGGTGAAACCCTGTCTCTACCAAAAATACAAAAAGTTAGCTGGGCATGGTGGCGGGTGCCTGTAGTCCCAGCTACTTGGGAGGCTGAGGCAGGAAAATGGCATGAACCCAGGAGGCGGAGCTTGCAGTGAGTCAAGGTCGTGGCCATTGCACTCCAGCCTGGGCAACAGAGCAAGACTCCGTCTCAAAAAAAAAAAAAAAAAAAAAAGAAATTGATCCATCTGATCTTAAAGCTTCAAACTTACATTTGTTTTATCTGAGTTGCTTCCACAGGAAAGGAAGCCCAGACCTCTCAAAGAGTATCAGAGAACTGAAACTCACCAGATCATCACATGCAATGAGATGTCAGGCCCCTCATTCTTCATGATTGCTTCCTTGCCCCTCCGTAGTTCCTGTTTTCTTACATACTGTTACATTTCTTCCCTGCTATAAAACCTCTAGTTTTAATCAGTCAGGGAGGTGGAGTTGAGACTGATCTCCCATCTCCTGGACAGCAGCACCTGAGTAAAGCCTTCTTCCTTGGCAATATTCATTGTCTCAGTGATTGGCTTTCTGTGTGGCAAGCAGCAGGACCCAGATGAACCCCTGGTGTTTCGGTAACAAATCATTGTTTGCTCAAATAAACTCTTCAAATTTTATTGTGCCTCAGTTTATCTTTTAACAGTACTCAGCATTTATAACTAAAAGACAACAGCATACATCAAGAAAAAAATTAAAACACATCTTATGTGTCTTACTTAGTATATCATTGGAAAACAATCATGATATTTTACATTTTCTACCTGACACTAAAATGTCACTGATGTCTCTTCTCCAGGCCTGATTTATGAGGCACAGCAGGCACCAAGCCCAGGGCCCACGGTTCTTCTAACGGCCTTTGAAAATATTTTAATTTATTTTAAAAACAAGAAGACAATAAAACCACAAACTTTTAGGTAGGGGAAAACATTTTAATATGTACTATGAATAATCTCATCTTTATACCAATATGTCTTAAAATACATTTTTTATGGAAAAGAGGAGGAGGGAGGTCCAAAAGTGCCAAAAGCCCATGGAAGTCACAATACATTTCTTCTTTTCTCCCCACATGAGTTTCTCCATGTTCCAGGAATTTTATTATCAGTCTCAGCCTTGCTGTTCTGGGCAGGAAGAAATGAAAGAAGAAGAAAGGAAGCCACGTCTCCTGAACACTGCCCGTGTGCCCAGCACAGTGACTGCTGTTGTGTAGTCAGCATCTCTTCGGGGAGGACAGGTGAGTCTCCGAGAAGACATATCCAATCAGCCGAGCAGCAATTCAATCATTGATCTTTAAAAAACTAGCCCCCAAAACATAATGTCAAGCAGTGGAAATGGCTATATTGATCAGGATATACCCAAATGCCAAGGGTAGTGCTCAGGGTCCCCCAGTATGACTGGCCTCTGCACAGTCAAACGCTTGGATACAAGGCAGGCAGTGTGCACAGAAGAAACCAAGAGCCTTGGCGATGATTTGGGTTGCATACTCTGTCCCCTCTTTTCATGCACAGTTTTACTTTCTACTTAAAGTAAAACATCCCAAGAAGCTCCCTCACTGCTTTTTCTGCCGCCTGTTATCCGCCATGGCTTGAGACTCCACTTTTGCAATGTCACAGTCTACCAACTAAACACCACACCTGGGGTCCCCACGTGCATGTCAGCTCCGCAAGAAGCTTCATCCTGACATTGACCCTCCCACCCATCGGTGCATCTGCCGAGTGTGTCACCAGCAAGATCGATCCCAAGCTGCTCAGCACCGTTAGAAACCAAGACTAATAAATCATTTGCCCGCTCTCAGCCCACAGATGGTAAGTGTGGTTCGATGCAGGTAATTATTTAAAAAAATGACTTTGGGAGCAAAAAATCAAAACATGGGAGTATGTGTCTAATAGAAAAGGCCTGCAAAGAGATTTGGGAGTTCTAATGACTCCAAGGAGCAGGTGAAGGGTCCCAGTGCCTGACAGTAGCTGGGCAGTCTGGTTGACAGAATTGATCCCTTCTGCCCCCAACACCGCCGGGCCTGGTGTCTGCTCGCCTCCAGGTCCCCCGTGCCAGGCGTGGGGAGGTGGGGGCCAGAGTATTCCCTCCTGCCTTAATGTGTTTGCAGAAAAAAGCCCCCACCAACCCATCAATTACCAAGACTGTCAGTCCCGAAGAAGGTGTTGTGACAGTGATGGGGTCAGGTAAAGCCTTAGGGGCTACAACGAGACACATTAAACCAGTCTTTTATGTCGCCACCTCCTGTCCCCCGTTAACACCCCCCTCAAAGTACACGTTTTTCTTTTCCCTTTAACTTTCACAAGGATGTTTCTGGTTTCTGCAAAAAGTAGCATGGATGGCATGTCTTTATTATTACAGCTGTCATTCATTAGAGTGACCTGTGCTCCCCTAAGCTCTGAGCTCCCTCTCTGTCCCCAAGCATGAACGGGCTGGCTGATGCTTCTGTCCTTCCACCATTTCAAAAAGAGAACATCTCTTAAGAGACTGCAAGTGTCCTCGTGCAGGTGAGAGATAAAAGACAAACCCTCCTCTCAAATTCCCTCAAAACATTCATCTGCTGCAGAAGGAGAGTTTCTGGATGTCATTCGGAACTGAAAATTTCACATCAGTTACCAAAACAAAAAAAGTTCTCATAACTTTGCTGGTGGAAAATGGCCTATGTCCATGCGGAATTCAGCCGTGGTTCCTTGGGCCCCTGCAATCGAACGCCACCTGCAAACACTGTTAACCCTGGTGATTCCACATTCTTCAGAAATGTATAAATATCACTTGATGCCCCAAACAGCCCATGAGTAGGTTAATTCAGTCCATGAGTGAATTAAAGGTGTAAAAATAATTCAATCCATTGTCTGACAGAACTGAGCCATTACCGTTCACTGATTCAACAACTGTTCGCTGAGTATCCATTCTGTGTTAGGGAATGTGTGAGCCATTCAGGACACAGAAAAAAATGTTCCAGTTCCAACTAACTTCAAGGAAATCACAACCAAAAGTTTCACACCTATGTAGACAGCTTAGGGGATTTCTTTAACACAGCGAGAAGAAGTGGAATTCATGTAAACAGATGAAAGGTAGCCCAGAAAAAAAAAATAGCACTAGGAAAAGGTATGTTCTCACCCCAGGTAAAAGAAAAAAATTCTATAAGTTCGTGCTGCAGAATTTACCTTGAGCTGTGAAAGATATCAAGTGGTGTACTTTAGAAATCTGCTGAAGCCTACAAATTATATTAAAAGGCATGGAAGCAAAGCTAAGTGCTTTAGCTTCAGAAGAAATGCAGTCAGTGCCCTGGAACAAATTCCCAGGAGAATGCCGTGGTTTTCACAACCCAGCGAGCTAGTCAACAAGTCCAGGCAGGGACTGAATTCGCCTCCCATTCTAGACACTGATGAAATAGCACTTCCTGCTACTCTTAAATATGTTAATCCCCATTTCAAATATCTACGGGGCAAGTCTACAGAGGGAGATGACAACTATTCTTAGAATGTACTTATTTTTCTTTAAATACAGAAAATATTCAAATCCAGCATATATAGACTTACGATCGCCAAATCCAGCATATATAGACTTACGATCACCACAAACTGGTCAGCAGTTAGTTGATTCGCCAAGCTACCTTTACGTGGCTTTTTGAGTCAGCCTCATACGTAGTTTGAAGAATTTGCTGTGTTTATAAGGTCTAAAACAATTATTTTATAAGTTCCAGTAACAATTCCTCAAAATGCTGAAAACGAAACACACACACACACACACACACACACACACACACACACACACACACACACACACACAAGCTCCAGCTCCCTAAAGTCTTTTTGCTTCGCTTCCTGGGGCCCACATAGGCAAGAGGGCCAGAAGCTTCAGCTTAATTAGCACCTTTTTATACCAAAGCCTCTCAAGGTGAGGTACAAAATATGCAGTAATCATTTAACAGCTCAGTCAGCTGTGCCAAGCTAATAGATGATGAGGAACAAAAGGAGACAGACAGAAAGACTCCTTCACTGCAGATGTGCCAAAGGAAAGTTATTTGGTGGCATGCGACCAAATAACCTTGAGTGTTCGTCACCTGTGTATTACGCAAATGACCCCACAAAAAGAAAAAAAAGTTATTAAAAAGCAACAACAAAAACAAAACAGTATCAGGTATAAACCAAAGAAAACATTCTCATGAAATGGCTCTCTGGGAATTTTCTAACATTTCTTCTTGGCCACCTTCTGAACCCACCCGGGAGAGAGCAGGCCATGAGAACTCACTTGAGATTCAGCAAAAAATAATTAAGAGGTTGTATAATTGACCATATTGCATGTCTCACCTCTGGGGTTGGGGGTCCCCTGGTTCAAGACCCCAAGTGGGATACAAGGTCACACCCAGTGAGGGCCGTTCTCTCACCTCCCTGACCATCCAGGTGGAAATTAAAGATCCCAGGATACTTTTCAAAATAGCGCAGGGGATCACCCAGCTGTCTGGACTAGCAGTCCCCAGTCTCAATAAAATCCAACTTAATGTTCCCGGCTGGGAATGAGCCCTTCTCGAACATAGAGGAAAGTCTGTGCTCATGGACACAATTATGAAACTGTCCTTTGAGCACTGTAATTACTTTATAATTCACAGAGGACTTGAGATACTTGGAGAGTGAAGGATGCTATGAAAACGTCAATTCGATTGTAATTTATAATTGAATTTATCCACAGAGAAACAAGTGGTCACTAAACGAAAGTATCTTCTAGGGAGCAAATTTACAGGTGTAGCTTTTACAACTACCAGTGGCTTAGCTCCAAGAAAATTCAAATTCCAAAGTGATAACTTTCCACAAAAACGTAACTTCAGAGTTGAGTATTTGTATTAATAAAATTCTCACCAAGTAGCATTTTTGTAGCTCAATCCCCCACTAGTTTAATATATACTCAAGTTAGGGGAAATAGACCCAATGTGTAAAGAAGGTGGCCCAAAACAGAGTTTCCATCATCTCCTCCTAGATAATCTTTAAATAACAATGGTTGGATGTTGTGTGTTTTGTATACGAATCAAGAAAGGTAAAACCTACAAACTATATTCATCTTACATTAATTGATTACAAAGAAAATACTGAGAGGTAAACATTAAGAATGTCTTAAAGGGAAACAAATTAATATCAACATTTTATGCAGCAAAGCTCATATGAACAGTCATAAATGACATTGCTAAATTTAAACATTGCATCCATAATCCACCTTTCAGCCCATGATCTGAAAAATATTTCTGTAATATATGGGCAAGCAGAGTTCCAAGAGAAAAGTGTAACCAAAGGATAGGGCAATGTGTTATTTTAAAGTATATAAAAAATTATCACTATATAAAAAATTATCCCAAAACTTACCAACTTGAAACAACAAACATTTACTATATCATCGTTTCTCTGAGTCAAGACTTCAGCAGTGGCCTAGCTGGGACCACAATCAAGTGTTAGCAGAGCATGGTGTCCCATCTCAAGGTTTGACTGAATATGGATCCACTTCCAAGCTCACACACAGAGTTGTTTGCAGGGTTCAGTTCCACACAGGCTGTTGGACTGAGGGC
Organism: Homo sapiens; assembly: GCF_000001405.40. Taxonomy (NCBI): domain Eukaryota; kingdom Metazoa; phylum Chordata; class Mammalia; order Primates; family Hominidae; genus Homo; species Homo sapiens. Next base: position 98,324,327 of record NC_000015.10, read on the forward strand.
TTCACTTCCTCCTGGACTGTTGGCCAGAGGCCTTCCTCACTTCCCTCCACATGGGCCTCTCCATAGAGCCGCTCACAACATAGCAGTTGTCTTCCTCAATGCAAGAAGCAAAAGAAGACGGTGAGTAACAGGGAAGGAAGGCAGAGCCTTTCTGTACCCTAATCCCAGAAGTGATATCCATCACATTTTTAGTATTCTATTTGCCAGAAATGAGTCATTTGGTTCAGCATAGGAGGTGGTCATACCTTATGTATGACCAGGAGGTGGGGGTCAGTGGGGACCATCTCAGGGGCTGCCTGCCCCAGGTAGGTGCCTGTGTAGTAAAGAATTAACTCTACCCAAAGAGCAGCAATCTAGCCTTTGAATCTCCAAACCCTTGGAATTTCCTGAGTGATAGCAGTGCCTTTGTTATTCATGGTGGACCCCACTTATGCTGATGAGGTGACTCATGGTGGGCCCCTGGAGAGTTTGTGCTCATAGATGACTCAGGGTGAAAGCTGGCCACCTTGAAAGCCCAGTGAGATTAGAAGGTTGGGGCACTGAATCAGGTAATATCAGCTGGTCAAGGATTCCATCAATCATGCCTACATAATGAAACCCCAATAAAAACTCTGGACACTGATATTTGGTGACTGCTATGCTCTGAATGTCCCCCCAAAATTTATGTGTTGAAGTGTAATCACCAATGTGATAGTATTAAGAGGTGGGGCCTTTCGGAGTTGATTCAGGCATAAGGGCAGAGCCCTCATGGATGGAATTAGGATCCTTATAAAAGGGCTTGAAGGAGTGAGTTTGCTCTCTTCTGGTCTTATGCCTTCTGAGGTCACTGAGACAGCATCACCTATGAGGAGTGGGCCCTCACCAGACACTGGCATCTTGAGCTTGGACTTCCCAGTCTCCAGAATTGTGGGAAATAAATATGTGTTCTTTATGTATAGTAAATAGTCTATGATATTTTATTGGAGCAGCACAAAGGGACTAAGACAGTGACCTCCATAGGCTAGCAATGCTGCATATTATCACACTTCAACAACGGGAGGGTAACACATCCCTGAGGACACCGAAGCTTTACCTTTGAGACCCTCTGAGTCTCAAATTCCGTCCCATGTGTCTCTTCCTGTGGCTGGCTCTAATTTGTGTCCTTTTGCTATAATAAAACTGTAATTGTAAGTATGGTGCTTTCCTGCACTCTGTGAGTCATTCTGGCAGTTTATCAAACCTGAGGGAGTCCATGGGAACCCCTAAATTTGTTGTTACCTTGTCTCATGTGAGGATGGCCCTGGGAACTCCCAAACTTGTAAGTGGTGTCAGAAGTCTTGGGCAGACTTGACAGTCTTGGAAGACTGTGCCCTTAACCTTGAGTTTGGCTGACTCCAAGTTAACACCTGAGAGACTTTTGCTGTTCCATTTATTCCAAAAGGAATTAACTATTTGGTTTGTTCATTTGTTTAGGTTTTAGTCTTGCTTCTCTTTTTGAAGACAATTTCCTCAAGAGATATCCTAGATAAGCAAGTGGGGAAACTAGTACCACTTTTTAGAGGACACCAGCCTCATCAAGTGATCATCCCCAGCCTAACAGAACTCCTTCTAGGGCTATGGTAACCACCGGGTTAGTGCAGGAGAGCTGGAAAGTGAACAGGACAATGGCGTACCCTTTATGAAAACCACCAAACACAATAGCAGCTAAATTATTGAAATGTTTGTCAATTTATTGCCACAGTAAATATTTTGAGATTTCTAGCTTGATGTATTCTACTGAGCATATTTTAGACAATATGAATTTTAGATCATTCCTTCATTATACTCCCTCTTTTTAATAAATGTTTACTGAGAGCATTCTATCTGCCAGGCACTGACATAAGTGCTTCCCAGCATGACCTTATTTAATCCACAAAAATTATTCCTGAGGCAGTTGTCTGTTACTTCAGTAACCTTATATTACAGATGAAGAAAATGAAGAGCAAAGAGATTAAGTCCATAAGAAAAATAAAATTCTAAATTCACATTGAAAAGCAAGTGAGCAGATATTCTACCAGTTCTTCTTAGGGTCACCTTTACTTGGAATATAAAATTGACAGGCACTAGACTCTGTTTTTTCATTGCCATAGATTAATCTCTGTAAATTTAATTGATTTTAAAGACAACTGAAATTATGCATGAAAGAAAGGAAAACTATTAATATCTTCTTAGAAAAGGGATTGCAAGCTCAACAGATTCAGGGGCCAGGCAGATAATGTGAGCGAATAAGGGAAGCAGCTGGGTGGGGCCTCAGTGAGCCCAGGAATGCCAGCCCCTCTACAGAATGCAAGAAACACAGGGACCCCATTGCTGCCTGTAGGACCAGTGGCTTTTCAAGAAAAACCCAGGAATCTGAAGTTTAAAACAAAACAAACAAAAAAAAACTTCCTTCTTGTTGGCAACAAGCTCTTTTTTTAAATTCTAAGCTAAACAAAACACACCAGTGGTTCAGAAGTTTGACCTAGGAAAAATAACTAAGAGAACAAATGTTATTTTGGCTCATTTGATCACTGTCAAGAACCAAACCAGGTTATCCTGGCTCCTGGTTGGGGTCAAAATGGCTTGACTGTATGGTGTGGACCACTTCACAAATAAGCTCTTCGCGTTCTAAACTTTGCAGACACGGAGCTGACCAGCTGGAGACAGCTAAGAAAGGAACCATGACGTCATGAGCTCTTGAGGTTGGGAGAAATCATAAAAAGACCTGATCCACTGAAGACATTCCTTCCACACACATCTCTAACAAATAATTATCCAGATTATCCCAGAATCTTCTAAGGGATTAATCTAAGGGATTCTTGAATCTATGGGGATTAATTTGAAGATATCTCATCTCCCTTCTAATGAGCTCCAGTCGTTATGAAATTCTTCCTAATACTGGCTTGAAGTGCGCCCTGCACTCAAGCATCCTAGTTCTCTTCCCTGGGTCCAGCTGACTGTACCAGCCTCTTTGCACATGACAGCCTTTCCCATATTCATAAACACCCTCTACACCAAGATTTATCTTACCTTACAGCCCTTCCAGGTAGAAACTCCTCAGTACTCTAGTCACCCTCTTCTGGGCTAGCTTCATAGTGTAAGTCTTCCCCTTAAAACATTGCACCTAGAACTAAACATGCAGGAAATGAGCTCAAACTGCTTCTCAAAATTAAAAAAAAAAAAAAAAAAAAAAAATCCCACCAAACACGGCCACGCTACAGTTTGCCAATGGGAAGGGCCAACTTAGATATAAATTTGAAGAATTAGAATGAAATAGTCAAATGTCTACTTTAAAATTCGAATTTGGTAATTTAGGAATTAAATTACATATTTATTCTGAATCACACATTCTAATAGAATAGATCAATTTAGAAGCACAGTTTTCTGGCTGGATGTGGTGGCTCATGCCTGTTAATCCCAGCACTTTGGGAGGTGAAGGCAGGAGGATCACCTGAGTTCAGGAGTTGAGGACCAGCCTGGGCACTATAGTGAGACCCCATCTCAACGACCACCACAAAATAAAAACATGGCTTTTCTTTTCTACACACATGTTATCAAAAACATTATTCACTCTTCATTTGCATCATTACATCATCCCTGCCGTCACTGGAGCCACCTTCAGAGTCACATAAATAAAACAGATTTCCAGAACATATCATCTTTAGCTCTAAATTGCTCAAAGTGTAGTATTTTTAAAAAGTTTCGGCCAGGCGTGGTGGCTCACACCCGTAATCCCAGCACTTTGGGAAGCCGAGGCGGGCGGATCACGAGGTCAGGAGATGGAGACCATCCTGGCTAACACGGTGAAACCCCATCTCTACTAAAAATACAAAAAATTAGCCGGGCGTGGTGGCGGGCGCCTGTAGTCCCAGCTACTCGGGAGGCTGAGGCAGGAGAATGGCGTGAACCCGGGAGGCGGAGCCTGCAGTGAGCCGAGATGGCGCCACCGCACTCCAGCCTGGGCGACAGAGCGAGACTCCGTCTCAAAAAAAAAAAAAAAAAAGTTTCACTGAAGTAAAACATACATATACAGAAAAAGGCACAAATCATCCGTGTTTGGCTTATTGATTTTGCTCAAAGTGAGCCAACAGAACGACCCTTGCACTCATTACCAACCAGTGCCCCAGAAGCCCCGCCCTTTTCCTCTTCAGAGGGAAACCAGAACCCTGACTCCTACCACAGCAGTTTAAAGGTGCCTGCTTTTGAATTTTATGTAAGTGTTTTTTGTGTCTAGTTTATTTTAGTCAATATTATGCTCATGAGAGTCATCCATACTGTTTCAAATTGTACTTACACCTGTAGTTCAAGGTTTAAGTTTACATCTGTGTGTGGTGCATTTACTATGTTGTTCCCCCAAGCCACAAGTGCCCATTTGCATAATATTAGGCAGCTGGGCTCTTGAAATTCATCTCATAGGTTTATAGATGTGTGATTTCCATAATATAACCCCTTACTTGTTGGCTTTGTCAAGTGATCTCTAAAAATCAATTAAAAAACTTGTTTAAATCAACATTTTGCATTTAAAACTGTGAGGTCACACACCCAGGAATAATCACTAAATTCATGTGAAATTTCTTTGCCTCCTTTTTTTTTTTAACTAATTCTATCAAGGGGCCTCTGTAAGCCTCAAAACTGGCATTGATTGAGGTCATATGTCTTCATAATACAATATATTCTTGTTTCCTGTAATATGAGAGACTTGTTAGACCTTAAATATAAGGTGGCTTTTTTCCCGATGGATAATTTTTGGTGGAAAAGTTCATCATATATTCAGGCATAAATTGTGTCTCATATTAACCTCTTTATCACTTGGGTTCTAATATTTTCTCTTATTGAGCCCATGATTAGCTAAAATATCCAGATCTTTTGCACATGAGTTCCTATAGAACTATTTATCGCCAGAGTATATTTCTATTTATACTTACACTTTTAACTAAGTATAAATTCCATATTAAGATCATCATATACCTCCATGTACATAATGCTTGGGATTTTTCAAAGCACTTTCGAATGCATTATCACGATAATTCAGTGCAATAGCCCAGGGAATGAATTGTTATGCACATTTTACAGATATGAATGTAATTATCACTGATGGATTTCAACATGTTTGAAGGGATAATGCTGATGTTTTATAAAAGGCTCCTTCAAATGGAAAAGAACACTATCTAGCAAAATCAAAAGTCATGATATTTGAATATTCCCCGAAAAATACAAAAAGTAAGCTAGCACACAGCAAAATAAGATTGTGATAAATAAAAGAAAAGCAAATTCAAATAATAATGAGGACCATTTTAGACTTAGTAAATGAATGAGGCAGAATCCAACAGTGACAAAATTCATTATTTGCTGGTAACACCATAAATTTGTATAATTCATTATTCATAAAATTGTTAAATTCATTATTTGCTGGTAACACCATAAATTTGTATAATTCTTCTTGAAAAGTAACTTGACAATATGTATATTTTAAAAACCAAAAACCAATCCACACCCTTTCGCCAAATATTCCCCTGCATAAAATTTATTCTGGAGGAAATTATTTAGAAGAAGAAAATATGTCATTTGCAGGGAGATGTTCATTGAAGCCTTATTTACAATAATAAGAAAAGGAAACAATGGAAGTTTATTTCAATTTTTTAAATAAAGCTTTGTTCAAATGAATACCATCCAATCTCTCTCTCTCTCTCTCATACACACTCACACATACTATACTTTGCAAATATGGGAGAGAATATTACTGTTTCTGTATTCCTGTTACATCTTGTTCACTCCCAATATTCTCCATATTGTATTTCACACAATACTTTCTCATCTGAATTTTCTTATCTAACCATACAGTTAAGTTTGCATTGGCCCAGGAACAGCCTTTGTGGTGAGGAAAAGGCTAACAGGTGTAACATGATTTTCAAACTGCAAAACCAGATAGGAACTGTGACCCTCTGAATGGAGAGGCTGTGGCTGTGTCTATGCACTTACAAATAAATTTTGTGATGAAAATACATTTGCATGAATCTCCGGATAACCCGAACAATTGCTTATCCAACAGTGCCGCCTCTAAACATTTTGGCAGATCACAGGACGCTCTCCCCAGCAGGCATCTCTCTTGTAGTGTAGAACGCACAGTGGCTCCCTCAATGTCTTGCTGATAGCGGCAGGAGGAGGGGGAGGAAAGACTTCATCTATGTCCTCAGCAAGCATAATCCAAGCCCTTGCCTCCATTAGTCAGTAAATATCATTTAGACTTTTTAACATCAAATTTGATTTTCTTAATTTAGAGGGGAAAATACTCGTTTAGTTCATATATTTCCTGAGATGTGCGGAAAATGTCAGGAGGTGGAAAACCGGGTATTTAAGGGGGTTTTGCACTTTTTAAAAAATCTAGTGCCTTAACTTCCCCTCAAGAGAGACAGGAGAGGCCGCTCAGACCATTGAAACAGTGTGCTCAATGTCAACGTTTGCCTTTCCAAATCCACACGTTTCTGGTCACTTCATGACATGTTTATTGGTCTTGACAGGCAAGGAATAGAACAGGAAACTGCAACCTCGCACCCATCTGACTAGTCTGTGGGCAGACAAGCCTTGGTTTCTGCTTTGTTGAGTTCCACATGGTGGCTAGAGGCCCTCCTGCCATTAACTCCCCTTACATCCGATTCTCTGTAAAATGTGTACCAGCAAGTCCAGGGCAGTTAAATATATGGCTTGGGTAATTAAGCAGGTTACAGATGAATATTATTTGGTCTGCAAACAATTCTGTAAAAGGTTCCAGAGGGTTGTCTCGAGGATTGTAGCTTATTTGTGGGGTTTTGGCAGGAAATGGCTAATTATGACACCTGCCCACGTTTCTGTGCAATTGGAGCCTGGGGATTCTCAACCTTGTGTACACAAGTCAGACTCGCCTTCATGGTGGGGAGCCACACAGCAGAGGACTGAGATCAAGCAGAGCCTTGTTAGCAGCACTATGGAGGAAACAGCTCAGCTCGGGCTAGCAGCTTACCTCTATGCCTTTCCCCAGCAACCAATCCTAGGGTTGCTGGCATCAAAATTAGCCCCTTACATACTCCCTATCCACTGCAGGTCTTCTGAAGGTGCACTAGTTCTTCGTGAAAACATTACTTCTTAGACTGGGCATTATTGGAGAGCAATTTCTCTGTCCTCCAAGGTTGGGAATTCCACTGACGGCATCTGGGAACCCTCTGTAAACCTGCAAGCAGAATTGGCAATGGGTATAAGCATGGAGAGAGATCCATAGCTTTTATCTGTTTCTCAAAGATAACAGATGGTGACTTTGCCTGATGTCGATGCTCCAATCTCAGAGCAGTGTGGGATCAGTTGAACGAGTTTAGGAAACGGAATGTGCCAAAACCACAGGCTGGCCAGCTGGAGCTCTCTCCTCTTCTTCCTCTGGGCATCCAGCTGACCCCAATTTCCAGCAGCTTCTGCTGGTAGGTGTGGCCATGTGGCTGAGTCCTAACCGAAGGAATATGAAAAGGAAGATGGCGCCTGTTCTGGCCAAGGCTTTTAACAGGTGACTGCCCCTCCTACAAATCCTTTCTCCTTTCACCAGTTCATGTAGAGGATGACAAGGGGGTAGGAGACAGTAGAACCATACGTCAAAAGGAGCTTGGATTCCTGAGTCACTGTATGGAAGAAAGCTTCCCACCAACCAGGAACAGCTGCCTCAGACCGTGGAACACAAAAGTAAACTTCTCTTGTGTTGAACAATTCATTGTACACATGTATACAGACTAGGCTAGTCTACTGTAAGAGAGGGAGCAGCCTGGTCGTATTTGCATTTTAGAATGGGCTTCACGTTTCGAATATGTTTTTTGTGATGAAGAGAAACATCAGGATTTCACTGTACTGCAATGCTTTTGTATTATCACTTTTCAAAGTGCCCGACACATCCTGCCATTCCCACAGCACCCAAATCTTAGACAACAAAAAGAGCATTTTATTTATAGATCAGCTGCTGGGTCATCTCCTTCAGACTCATACACAAGGGCACAAAGTCTTCCGATATTACTTCCGTAAGTATGACATCCAATTTTTCCTTGAATATCTCTAGTTCTAGAGTCTTGACAACTTCCTGAGTGAAATTATTCTACTGCCTGATTGACCTTCATGGTCCAGAATTTTTTTTCCCCCACTTCAGACTTTAGTTTTCTTTCTTCTGGCTTCACCAAGTAATTGGCCAGACCCAGGTTAATAAAATCACTCCATAGTGAAAACCCGAAACACAGAGGTAAATGACTCAAATTAGCCTTTATTAAGTACTCCCTAGGTGTGATCTCCTTCAATCCTCATACTAATCCTCCATTTGACAGGCTCTGAGATTTTAAATAACCCACCCATTATCACAACACAAAGGATGGAACTATGGCAGGCCTAGATCCTCATGGGCTCACAGCCCAGCCCAGCCCAGCCCATTCTAATTGGCTGTCTAGGACTCAGCTAATAGAAGCATTTCGTCACTGATTCATGCTCAAGTTCCTCAGTCATTTGGGGAAATAAAACCTTGAGTTCACTGAGTATTTTTACTTTGGTGAAGTCCACTACCCAGAGCCAAAACAATTATGTTTTAAAAAGTATTCTAATTCCCTTGAAAGAGACCCAGCAGAAATTTGTGTAGACAGGAGGTATACAGAGACAGTGGATTTGAGAAAATCACTTTCTCATTGCTCAGAATGAGCTTCCAGAACTGATTAGAAAACATTCCCTCTGAAAAGGAACTGGGGAATTTGGGAAATGTTATATTGGTGTTGGTCAGGTCCCTCTGCTCATGCATTGAAGATCTTAGACTAGGGGCCTGGGTGTCTCCTGTCTCTCCTCTTCATTGCCTGCCCTTGCATAAATGGGAGAAAGGGTCCCCAGCCCCTCCATCTCATCCTGGTCCTCCTGTAATTTTTGTTCAGTTGTATGCAGAGGGACTTTGCAGGGGGAGCAGAGGGATCAGACCTTTCTGAGCCAAGGCAGAGGCATCCCCAGCCACACTGGTCAGGTCAGAGGCATGGGGTCTGCAAGGGCAGGGCAGCCCCAAGCCGGCCGCAGCCGCAGCATGTCCATGTCAAGCTCATCACCAGGACTGGGTAATGAGGTCAATGTGAAAACAACTGGAAGGCACGTTCCCCAGGAAACATAAGCAGAGTGGAAACAGCCTGACCTTATGTTGCAGAATCCAAACCTATTGAGTCAATTGCCGGGAAACATGACATAACCTTTGAGATGCAGTGAACATCGCTGAGAGAGCAGGCTACCCTGCTCTTTTCCATTTGCTGCCCCCGAGGCAGCAAGTCACTGGAAATAATAGCCCTGGTTCCAAATCTGTGCTTCTTTGATGAAACACACATGCACAGCATCAAGCTTGACACTGGGGCAGACATGTGTGCATGTGCTTGTGTGTGCATACAGGCACACGTATATATATATATACTGTGTATATGCTTTTATTTATCTGTTAAGTCCCTTTCAACTTAATGTTTCATGTTCTATAATAGAATATGGTATCATTGTAGCTTTATATTTTAAATAGAAGTCTTTGGGACCCAGTGCATATTTTTGAGTGAGAAAGTAATCTTTACAGCCTCATTCGCAACAGCAGCCAGCAGCTCCCTCTTTGAGATCAATTAACAAAGCTACTTGCCCCTCCAACAATGACCCAGCCCTGAAATAAAACCAATAAATCCTGCTTTTCTGCTTTCTAATGTCCTCCTATCTTTTCCACAGCTTGTTAGAATCTGAACACAGAGCTTGTTCTTCATGATTAGCAATTGCAAGTTAAAGGAAGGGACACTGCTCTTCCTGCAGAAAAACTGTTAAGTCTGGTTTTTGGGGTTCAAACTTCAAGCCAGGAATGCTTGACTTGGAAGCCAGTTTGACGGATAAGCAGGAAAAACAGCTCTAAATTCTCTGATGAGAAAGCTCCTTTGATGAAATGTTAGACAAGGGCCCACTGCATGTCACCATAAGCCCCTCTGAAGACTTCACAATCATCCACAGAGCTAAACATTTTAACAGAAAAAAAATTCTTGCTGAGAAATGGAAAATGCTAGCGCTTTACTAAGAGTCTGAAAAATATGATCCTATTTTTTAAAAAAGAAACTTGGGGTGAGGGTGGGGGTCCCAATGGGTAATTCGTACAATATTTCATCCTTGTTGCTGAGGACAAGTTGTGGCATCATGAGTAGGCTGGCTAAACCTGGGTTAATTACATGGATATGGCATATATTGAGTTCCCAAAAGGATAATGTATGCCAAGATTGTTCTTCTCATATTCTGTGCTCTACTTAAACTTGGAATGACAAATAGGGGAGCTGGGAGGGCTCCCGGGAGCTATGAAATATATTCCCTGTAGATTACAGAATACTTTGAGCAATCATTAGAAAATGTAATCACTACTTTATCATATAAAACTGTTTCTCACTGCTGGAGGCTGATTTTTGTAGGTTTAATATAGCTCTAGGTCATGCTTTATGGATCGCTCTGCAGAAATGCTTTGTTGGAAGTCTCCATCAAGGTTAGCTTAGCCATGAGGAGGCTGGGGAGCCTGGGCAGGAGGGTGGCCCTCCTTCCCACAGAGCTGGAGGATCATAATTCTTGGGCCCCTTGAGAAGACTGAACTTTGGAGATATTCCCAGTGGAGAAGTCCTACAGGTCCTACTTTCTGTAGGTAAGCCCCATGAAATTTATCACATCAGCAAGTAATGGAATAGTCATGTGGAGTGAAAGTTGCCCTTGAAAATCCCTTAGGTAGCTTGTTAAGCCAAGCAACAGTAATCATGATAACACCTAGCACTTAGTAAGAGCTTACTGTGACCTGCACTATTCTAGCCTTGAGATGTAGGTATGATGACTAGTTCCCTCTTATAGATGTGGGAAACTGAGGCACAGAATGAGTTAGTGACACTCACCCAAGGTCACAGAGCCACTCAGTGGTGGAGCCAGGGTTTGGACGCTGGAAGTCTGGCTCCAGAGCCCTTGCTTGTTAGTACATGTGGCTTGGTATACAGTACCCAGTCTGTTACTGTGCATAAAAATTGAATGTCTGATGAACTATGAAGAGTGACGACTAATCCTGCATGTCTTCCAGTGATGCATCTTTCTCTTCCCAATAATACCACTGAAATTGTCATTTTCCTCTTGTAGTTGGAACTGATCCAATTGTCCCATAGAGGTGATGTTTACAGTTTCTTTGAATAAACATAGAAATTAATGCTTCCAGTCTTAAAACTTGAGAAAGCTACATTTGTCTTATCTAAGTTCCTTTTTCAGGAAACCAACCATCAGGCCTCCCAGATAGTATCAAGGAGCTGAAATTCACCGGATCACTGTCAGACCACTCACCCATCATGACTGCCTAACTGCCCACCTGCTTCCTGTCGACCAACTTCTCTTCCTTACCCCTCCCTAATTCCTGTTTTCCTACACATGGTTACATTGCTTCCCTGCTATATAAACCCCTAACTTTAGTCAGCCTGGGAGATGGATTTGAAACTGAGCTACCATCTCCTCGGCCGCAGCACCCAGTCAAAGCCTTCTTCCTTGGCAATATTTATTGTCTCAGTGGTTGGCTTTCTGTGTAGCAAGCAGCGGCACCTAGACCAAACTCTGGTGTTTCAGTGACATAGGGAGCTTATACAGTTGAACTTAAGTTAGGTGTTCATCCGATGTGATTCCACTGTGTGTGATGTGATTTTATTCAGTCGGGAATAATAGAATAGAAGTGGAGACTGCCTAGCAAGAGCTACATCCTTTTTCAAATTGAGACAGTGCATGAGCAAAAACCTAAACCTGGGATCAGAGACATAAAACATTTATGCCTGCCAAGAACAACCAAAGATACATTTAAGAACTTCTTCCAGCCAGGCGCAGTGGCTCACACCTGAAATCCCAGCACTTTGGGAGGCCAATGTGGGCAGATCATCTGAGGTCAGGAGTTCGAGACCAGCCTAGGCAACATGGTGAAACCCCATCTCTACTAAAAATACAAAAATTAGCCAAGCGTGATGGCACTTGCCTGTAATCCCAGCTACTTGGGAGGCTAAGGCAGGAGAATCGCTTGAACCCAGGAGGCGGAGGTTGCAGTGAGCTGAGATTGTGCCACTGCACTCCAGCCTGGGCGACAGAGTGAGACTTTGTCTCAAAAAAAAAAAAAAAGAACTTCTTCCTTCATAGACTTAAATAGCTAATTAATTCTACAAAAAGGCTTGTTGGTCAATGGGAAAGATATGCTGTGATTCTGGAACATTTCTGGGAGAGAATGGGGTGGCATCGCCTCTAACAGATTCACCACACAGCAGTGCCATACCCTTCGGCCTTAAAGGCACACAGTCCTGATTTTGTCGGCCCTCATATTTTGTCTACCAAGGGCCAGCTCACCATAATTAAATTAATAGAGACTAATATATAAGCCAATGCCTATGAATTAATGGCCTTGGTTTGACTGGACTATTTCTTGGTCATAGCCAGCAGATTCCCACCACTTAGGAAAGAATAGTAAATCAAATTACAATCAGAAAGGGGCTTGAAGAACATTAAATCAGAACCACAACATGTACTAGATCTGAAGACTGCAGCACTGATGAAGTGCTTGAGGGACTTTTCTCCATCATGCAAATAACTTTACCAAAGAATATCACCTTAAACTCCTGCCTCCCAGTCCACAGCCTGACCACCCTGAGACCTGATTTCCTCCCTGCTGTATATATCATCCCCATCAATCACCAGAGTGGAAATAACTTGCATACAAAGCTTTAATACCTACTGGGGTTGCAAATATACTCACACTACATTCAGATGTGCAGACAAAATGTGCTTAATATACTTTCTTCCTGGATAGCAGAAAAACATACATGTGCCAATTAAGCATTCTTCTGTCTCTTCAGGTTCGAATAATCTACTTTTGTTTAAATAGCCAGTCTATGCAAAGTTCAGCCCTCAAGCAAGGAGGCTTTTTTGCCGTCTCCCTTGGCAAATGTTCATCCTCTTCCCTAAGATGGTGCCAGAAGGTGCCAGAAGGTGTGAGGGGAGCTCACTGTGTCTTCCCAGGCATGGAGATGGAAGGAGGAGAGAAGGTCCTTGGATCTATGGCGTCCTCTGGATCTTCCTTGGTCTCTGCTACTGAGTGGCTGGACAGCTGATCATCATCATATCCGTGGTCTCCAGAGTGTGGCTTTTTGTCCTCAACACGAGGAACCTCCCCTCAAGAGTCCATGGTTAGGGCCAACTACCACCAGGCTCAAAGGCCCAGCCACAGGCCTACACCTTCCACCACTGGGGAACAAGGATCTTTGCATCCCACACTCCACCACGTTCAAGCCAACCTCACTGATCTAGCCCGCTCCTGCCAACACTGCTGTACTATCAACATGTGTCATGTCGGAGTGACAGAGGACAGGCATTTTCTTAGAAGACAAGGCAGGCAAGCATGCGAGTGGTCCCATCTTTTGGGAGACCTCCTCTGTACCTCTCCGGATGTTTCCAAAGCACTGCTGCCACTCCCCAGAGGTCGTTCTCTGACTCTATCCTTCTTTACCACATGCTTCACTAAGCCAGAAGAGCCAAGCTCGGGCTTTCCCACCTCTAGGGCCATGAAACTCATGCCCCAGCCTTCATAAGTGAAGGAGGCCCTTCCTCACAGTATAGGAAAACTATGCGACCTGAGGCATCCAAACTTGGTGCTAATTCCACTTAAGAATTTGAAAAAGCCTTTTTCCTCCAACAACGCCAAGAGCAGCAAACCCAAATCTAATGTGAAGGGCAAATCTGAGCAGCGACGTATTCTAATAGGGACCCACGCTTCCCCTGCACACCTGAGAGCCGTTGCTCAGCATGTAGGAAGAACAGTATTACAGAATAAGAAATTACAAAATATAGAATAAGAAAACTGTTCCACATTCAGCAATGGCGTGTTTGGTAGTGCCTGCAGCTTGGATCTTTAGAAGTCTAGCATAATTAGACCATAATGCAAGGTGAGACTATTAGGGGGTTTTCTGGAGCCCTTGCCATATGCCAGGTACTAAATGAGGTTATTCGTATCATTTCATTTAACTCATCAACAACCCTAAAAGGTAGATATTATTATTACCCATTTTATGAATGAGGAGACTGGGAGCTCGCCCAAAATCTTACCTTTTAGAAAGTGGTAGTGCTTTGTGAGCCCAGGTCTGTCTGTGTCTGACCCATGTGCTCTTGCCACCACGTGAAGATGCCTTTTCATGGGATCATCCTCTCTTTCCTTCGAGTTCCCAATAACCAAACAACTAATAAACGAATCAAGGCCGACTGCATTTGAACTTCTGACTGTTTTCCAACCAATCTGACAGAGAACCAATTTAAATACAACACGCCCTGGGCAAATGTTTCAGATCAGCACAGGCAGTCACTGCCTATGCCCTGCACGTCTGTCTCCACTGCTGTGCCAATGGGCTGGGGGCACCCCGCAGGGCTGACTTCCATGAGCTGGAAGGAGGAGAACTCACGGAGTTATTTGTCATGCTTTCCTTACCGTGCAGTGCACACAAGCATGATTTACGAAAGCCCGTAATTAACATGTTCATTCTGAAAGAACAAATTCTACACCCTGAGAATATGGAGCTCCCACAACACATCAAGATAATCCAGGGGACACTGGAAAGCTCACCATAAGGAAGAGGAAAATGAAATGGGGCTGGAGAGTTCTGATTGGCCCCAGGCCAGGGAAACCCTCAGGTTGGAGCAGGTGCCGTCAGAGGCCCAGTTGCAGAGATGACTGCCCAGGATACCAGGCTCAGTGTGGGACTTGGAGCAGCAAGGGCCAAAATACGTGCAGCAGCCAAGATGGATCCAGACTGGGCAGAGGAGCTGGGAAGAATACAGGCAGGGGCAGCAGGAGGTGGGCCTCAGAAAACCACCCTAGGATGGCCTGTGACCTGCAAGCATAGGCAGAAACAAATGCACTGGAGACGGGGATGGAAACATTGGCTCTCTAGTCAGCCACAGAGGAAGAGAAGCTCTCCATGCCCATTCCCCCTTCCCCATGGCCAGGGTCTCTACCCCTGTCCCAGGATCCAGGGCCTGCGGAGGGAGTCTACACTCCCCACATCCAGGATAAAGAAGCCAGACAACCGGGCCCTGCATCTTCCCAGGACATCTTTGGGTGACAAGTCTGGGAAAATGCTCCCCATGTCATTCCTAGATCCCTTTAGCCAGCTTGCTTTTACAGAGGACCAGTCCCCCCGTACGTCAAGAATAGCAGCAGCTCTGTTTTCGCTTCTTGTGGTTGCTATAACAAAGTACCCCAAGCTGGGTGGCTTAAAACAACACATTTATTCTCTTCCAGTTCTGGAAGTCAGTTGTCCAGAAGGAGTCTTGTGGGGCTAAAATCAACATATAAGCAGAGTCATGTTCCTATTTGGAGGTTCTAGGGGAGAATCTGTGTCCTTGACTTTTCCAGCGTCCAGAGGCCTTCTGGCTCCCTTGGCTTGTGGCCCCTTCCACCCTCTTCAAAGCCAGCTTCCTGACTCCCGTTTATAAAGACCTTTGTGATTACATTGGACCCACCCATATAATCCAAGATAATCTCCCCATCTCAAGATTCTTAACTGAATCACATCTACAAGGTCCCTTTTGCCATGTAAGGTAATTACACTCACAGGTTCTGGAAATTAGGATGTGGACATCTTTGGGAGGTGTTATTCATCCTACCAGATGCTCTTAAAATTTCTTTTCTATTATTTTGTTAATTTTTCTTCTATCTGCAAGGTCCCTTTTACCATGTAAGGTAATTATATTCACAGGTTCTGGGAATTAGGATGTGGACATCCTTGGGAGGCATTATTCATCCTACCAGATGCTGTTACGATTTCTTTTCTATTTTGTTAATTTTTTCTTCAATACAGCAGGTACAGTCAAGTGCCTAAATCTTTACTGTGAAGCTCCATCACTGTCCATATTTCCCTGTGGGGAGGAGCCTCTGAGACAGAGATTTGCCTTCTGGTGGTTGACGGGGGAGTGCTCCCAGATTGACATCTGGCTGACTTCACAAGAGTACAACCTGTGCCACAGTCCTGGGTCGTGCACGTAGAAGGGCCCTCACTTCACCTAGAGCTCTGTTGTCAACATTTTGGAATTCTTCAGAATGTATGAATGGAGGCCCACATTTTTATTTTGCATTGAGCTCTGCAAAGCAGGTAGCCAACCTTACCTATTAGGCAATAAAGCAGCAACACACGACAGAGAGAAGAGCTGGGCTGCAATGCAGTCATGAGAAAGGCTTCGACTGATCCTGTAAGAGCTCCAGAACTGGGATGGCCCTGGAGAGGTGCCTTAACTGGCACAGGCTCAGGTCTTTACCTCCAAAGGTTAAGTCTCTGCATGCTGGCTATTCTCGGGGAGGAACATAACCAAGGGCAATTCCTAGAGATGAACTCAGTCGAGAGCCCTGTGATGTCAACATTCCCAGCGGTGGAGGCATGAGTGCCCGGGTCCTACAGGGGTAGACTGAGTAGTATGCACAGCATCCAGTATGAGCTCAATGAATACTAACTCACATCTCCATCTATGTAATCACCACATATAGAATAGTTTTGGCCGGGCGCAGTGGCTCACGCCTGTAATCCCAACACTTTGGGAGGCCAACGTGGGCGGATCACGAGGTCAGGAGTTCAAGACCTGCCTGAACAACATGATAAGACCCCCGTCTCTACTAAAAATACAAAAATTAGCTGGGCGTGGTGGCACGCGCCTGTAGTCCCAGCTACTCAGGAGACTGAGGCAGGAGAATCACTTGAACCTGGGAGCGAAGGTTGCAGTGAGCTGAGATCGCACCACTACACTCCAGCCTGGGTGACAGAGCAAGACGCCATATCAAAAAAAAAAAAAAAAAGAATACTTTCAGCACCCAACAGGCTCCTTGTGCTCCATCCTGGTCCACAACTGTCCTCACAGAGATAAATACTGATCCAGTTTCTATCATCATACATCAGCCGTGCAGTTCTTGAACCTCACATCAATGGATTCTTTTGGATCTTGCTTGTTTTACCCATTCATGCATGCTCTGGTATATTTCAGTAATTCTTGTTGTTTTGCTATATAATATTTATCCATTCTCCTGAGGATAGACCTTTGGGATATCTCCAATTGTAGATGAATATCAGAAAAGCAGCTGTGAGCACTCTTGTACCTGCCTGTCAGTCATTTCTCTTGGGTGTAGACGTAGGAATGGGAATTGTTGCATTATAGGGTAAGCGTGTGATTAGCTTTACTGGATACAGCCAACCTGTTTTCCAATTCAAAGTCCTACACACTTTTATTTTAAGTAGATTCTGGCTAGATAGAAAAGCAACTTAGAAAAAACATAATTGATTAATGCAGAGGAAAAAGCCACCATCAGTCCACATATATAACCACGATAGATGTGAGTTTAGCTGCAGTTTATAGGCTTATACAAATTTTTTTGGCTGATTGGGACACCTGGGAAGATGGGATGGTCTACCCTAAATATTCTCTGAATAGAGCATGTATTCAGCACTAGAGGCCTCAGACACTCTCCTGTTGATAGATTTCTATTGAAGGCTCAGGAAAATCCCAGGAAAGGGCAAAGGGCTGGACTTTTGTTCAAGGTACCCTTAATAAACATGCTTGGATTGAACTGATCCACACAATGAGAACTGTGTTAACAAATCAGGAGGGGTCTGGGGGGACCTCTTTGCTCTCTGTAGACAATAGAATGGCTGAGAACTGGGCCTGCGACTGATAACACTCGTCTCTTCACAAGAGGCGTGGATGTGGCCTAAGTTTACTCTTCTGTAAAATTGGAATAGGAAAAGCCCCTTCACAAGATTTTAGTGAAGATTCGATGAAATATTGTTTATGAAAGGGCTTACAAATGATAAAGTGCAACATAAATCCCAAGTGTTTATGATTAGCTATTTTCCTGTGCCACTTTTCCTAACAGAGGCTAGGTGCCAGGTGCACAACACGAGGTCCTAAGAAAAGCAGGTGGTCCCTGGACTCCAGGAGATGAAAATACAGTGCAAAAGCCATTCTCCACCCCTTGCAATGGTTTTGTTGAAAAAGTTTATTCCAAATAAATTCTTTAAAAGTTTTCTTCCATGAAAATGCATTCTTCCCACTGAAATAATCTTATAAATCCCATTTGGGTGCCCAGAGGAGTCACACAATATAACACACCTTTCTCCTGGCTTACAGATTCTCATGTAACATACAATAACAACAGTGTCAATTGTGTATTTCTCCAACTCAAAGGTCACATTATAAGTATAGGGTAAGAGGGGCCAGATGCGGTGGCTCACACCTGTAATCCCAGGACTTTGGGAGGCCGAGGTGGGTGCATCATTTGAGGTCAGGAGTTCGAGACCAGCTGGGCCAACATGATGAAACCCTGCCTCTACTAAAAATACAAAAAATAGCTGGGCGTGGTGACGCACACCTGTAATTCCAGCTACTCAGGAGGCTGAGGCAGGTGAATCACTTGAACCCAGGCGGCAGAGGTTGCAGTGAGCCAAGATGGCACCACTGCACTCCAACCTGGGTGACAGAGGGAGACTCCATCTCAAAAAAAAAAAAAAAAAAAAAAAAAAAAAAGTATAGGGTAAGAGGGAAGGGAACACTGGAGGCAGAAAGAGCAGCAGACAGAAAAAAAAATGATAATGCAGGGCTGACAGAACTGACAAAGATGTTCAGGAAAGCAGCATGGAGATGTTTCGTGTGAGAACATCTGGATAATGCCGGAAGAAATTGCAATGCCCTACCACTCAGGTTCATGACAACTTTGAGTCATGAAGAAAACATGACGTCATATTCATTTCATGAAGTGGTGGAAAATGTATCACCCTTATTGGGAAATCTTTTCATCCAAAATACTTTGTAAAATATTTAAAGCAAAAACAAACAAACAAACAAAAATCTATAAGAGGTTTAAATACAATATATTTACTGAATATAGGGTGACTTGAAAAGTCCATTGCTGTGGCATAAACATCTCATCACCTAAATACAGCAACACTAAATAAAAATAGTTCTGGGAACACAGCTCAGATTATGTATGCCTTTAATCACATTTTCTACTATTTCCCAAAGTGATAAGGAAGAAACTGATCAGAAATTCTTCATGTGAGAAAAATACAGACAAAATGAGTCCAATCACATGCAGAGGTTCTTTCACTTCCTACATTATTTACTGAGGCATAAATATATTATGCATTTTATGCTGTTATCTTAATTCTTGAAACTTAGAAAGAAAAGAATTTGAAGCTTTTCCATATAGAGGAGACAGAAAAACATACACAGTAATAACCATAAATTTTGAAGCATGTGGATAAATGGAATGCTGATGCATTGAAATAAAAATCTACAATAATGTGACATTAAAACAAATACACCCTCCTACACAATAGAACCGGGGTCTCAGGGTTCCATTCATGTGAAAGGATCAGCAGATTTCTGCTCCATAATAATAACTGTTATTATTATTTATTAAGCGCCCAACACATAGTGGATGCCTGAGGCACCATCCATAAATGAAAAAGATTCTTTTTTTAAAAAGTCAGTGCTTGAAGGCCTTATGAAATAAGAGGATTCTATATCCAATATAGGAAAGATTGTAATGGAAGCAATGTGCTTTTCCCATGTGTTTCATTTTATGGCTCCAATCAAAACCAAGGAAGATTTTGTCCTTCTGGCCTTGAGAAAAAGCATCCATCATGAATGCCTACAGGAACACAAGACTATAGGGGAGTTATCATCAACCCACTGGAGCTTTGAATATACATGTAAGCTCCACCCTCATTTATAACAAGTACCTATTCACAATAGTAAATATTAAGAATGAATCACATATCAAAAACACAGCTGAATACTGGCTGGGCGTGGTGGCTCACACCTGTAATCCACACTTTGGGAGGCCAAGGCAGGTGGATCACTTGAGGTCAGGAGTTCGAGACCAGCCTGGCCAACATGGTGAAACCCCGTCTCTACTTAAAAAATACAAAAAATTAACTGGGCATGGTAGCAAGTACCTGTAATCCCAGCTACTCAGGAGGCTGAGGCAGGAGTGAATCTGGGAGGTCGAGGTTGCAGTGAGCCGAGATCATGCCACTGCACTCCAGCCTGGGTGACAGAGTGAGACCCTGTCTCAAAAAAAAAAAAAAAAAAAAAAATATATATATATATATATATATATATATACACACACACAAATAAAGACTCCACTGATTTTTTAAAATCAGAACAATGTGCTAATATTTTAGCTGGGTCTATATAACTAAAACAGGTCATCAGTTTGGTCAATTCAACTGAGTAACCAATCAAGTTAACAAATATATCAATTCTAGCTTGCTTTTTAGATGAAAAAGATCTGGCAGCATGCAAGAAAGATGGATGGATGGCGGATGGATGGATGGATGGATGGATGGATGGATGGTGGCTGGGTGGATGGATGGATGGATGGATTGATGGATAGTGGATGGATGGAGGATGGATGGGTGATGGATGGATGGATGGATGGATGGATGGATGGATGGATGGATGGTGGATGAATGGATGGATGGTGGATGGATGGATGGATGGATGGATGGATGGATGGATGGATGGATGGGTGGATGGGTGGGAGGTGGGTGGATGGATATGCGAATTGAGAACAACAGAGAAAGAGAGAGAAGGTGAGAGAGGAATTCTTGCTGATATGATCTGTTTCAAACCCCTTCCTAACTATAGGCTCCAGATTTTAGCTATCTTCAGTAGGACTCATGTCAGCCCCAGCTGAGCTCCATTTCTGGGAAATGTCATCTTTCTGGCTTTCCCCCCATGGTCAAAAGCCATTTAGGATGCTGTGATTATGTGCTTGTCTTGAATTCTCCTAAAGGAAAATGATTTTGTTCAATTTCGTGAATGCAGAGTGCATCAACTTTGCCAACTATTTGGAAGTGAAGAACAATATAATGTGGAAATAGTGAGATACCCTAAAATTTGATTAAATGCACGTATACTGGATGACCTCAAACATCTCTTCAAGCAACCTATCTAAGGGATATACTGTAAGCTGGTGATGGATGGGTATTTGAGAAGCCCCAGAGTACTAAACAAAAGATGAGTACATACCTAATGCCAAAGTCCAGCTATGGAAACATGTAGAAGACATGCCATAAAATAATGTGAACATGGCCGGGCACAGTGACTCATGCTTGTAATTCCAGCACTTTGGGAGGTCAAGGTGGGCAGATCACGAGGTCAAGAGAGCAAGACCATCCTGGCCAACATGGTGAAACCCCATCTCTACTAAAAATATAAAAGTTACCTGGGCGTGGTGGCGTGCACCTGTAGTCCCAGCTACTAAGGAGGCTGAGGCAGGAGAATCACTTGAACCCAGGAGGTGGAGGTTGCAGTGAGCTGAGATGGTGCCACTGCACTCCAGCCTGGTGACAGAGCAAAATTCCATCTCTAATAATAATAATAATGTGAACATCACTGATTATTTCCTCCTTGTATAGTGAACTAATTATCTCACAAAGTATCATTATTATTCTCATCTCACAAATGAGGAAACTGAGGTAAAGAGGTTAGTTAACTTCCCCAAGAATACACAGGCAAATAAGAGCTGGAGCCAAGATTCAAACCTAAGCTGTCATCAGGGTCTACACATCACCTCACTAACAAAGAGGCAGTGCCATTAGAAGATACATAGGCAGCCTAGCAGGTAGAACAAGGGACATCAGGGGGTCCTGGGCAGTGCCCGTGGAGCACTGATGAGAGAGACCTCACAGGGGAGAGGTCTCCTGACCAACAACAATCCCGCCTCACGGATCCTGCTGAAACTTCCCATCACCCTCCCTGGCCTCTTGCCCACCCCAATCTACCCTGGAAACTGTGCCCCCACAAATCATTCCAGAATACCTGCACACCAAGTCACTCTCTTGTTCTGGAATCTACAATGGATGCTGGGATCTAAAATGAATCTAATTCAGTCTTTATCCTGATGCTGAAGGATGTCTCCTGCATGCTCAGCTTTCTCCCAGACACCCAGCCTCATCTGCCTCTGCCACCCCTGCTGCCCCCAGACTCATTCTCCCCTCACTACCAGGATGCCCTCCTCCCTCCCCCGAGCCCATCAGACACTCCCAGCCCTTCCAGCTCACCTCTACTCCAACTTCCTTCTTGGTGATGTGCCCCTTTCTGACCTCTCCTGACACTGACTTTGGCATTTGAATTCCTTGGTACGTTCACTTAATGCACTATGGTTGGTATTTTAGTCCATCCGGGCTGCTATAACAAAACACCATAGACTGAATGGCTTATAAACTGTGGACATCTATTTCTCACAGTTCTGGAGGCTGGAACGTCCGAGATCAAGACATCATTATGGCTGGGTTTTGGTGAAGTCTCTCTCCTTGGGTTGCAGACAGCTGCCTTCTCACTGTGCTCACATGGTGGAAGGAGAGAGAGGGCGATCTCTGGTGTCTCTTTTTATAACAACACTAATCCCATTATGAAGATTCCACCCTTGTGACCTAACTGCCTCCGAAAGGCCCCCAACTCCAAATATCATCACTTGGGTGTGATTATTTTAACATTTGTAATGGGGTAGGGGGACAATGGTACAAAAACATACAGACCATAGAAACTGGAAATCTTCCAATTCAGGGTCTAAAGTGGACATGCTTTTCATTAGTGCTGAGTAACAAACTACCCCCAAAATTTAGTAGCTTAAAACCATGATAATTATTTACTTTGCTCACAAATCTGCAATTTGGGAAGGATTTAGCTGGGTTGTCTCTTCTCTGCTCCACGAAGCAAGAACTGAGGCAGCTTTGGAAAGGATGCACTTTCAGGACAGCTCACTCACACAGGCGTTGTGGTAAAGCTGCATGCCAGCTGGGAGCTCAGCCAGGGATGTCGGCCAGGGGCCTTATTTCCTCCGCACATGAGCCTATCCATGGGCTACGTGGGCTTCCTCACAGCAGGCCATGCTGACTGGATTCCAAAAGCAAGCACCTCAAAAGGACGAGTTTGTAAGCTGTGTCACCATTTATGTCCCAGCCTCAGAGGTCACACAGCATCTCTCCCACCATAATCACGAGCCCACCTACATGCAAGGGGAAGGAATATAGACCCCATCTCTTATTGGGAAGAGTGTCAACATTACATCGCAAGAAGAGCAGGTTACAGCCATTTTTGGAGAATACAACCAGCCACGGTTAGGCCCGGAGATCAACAAGGACACCCAAGCAACAGACTCAGCTACTGCTTCATGGAGCAAACAGAATGAATTCTTCCCAAACCAGCTGAATTCTTCCCAAATTGCAGGTTTGTGAGCAAAATTAATAATTATTGTGGTTTTAAGCTACTAAATTGGGGGTAGTTTGTTACTCAGCAATAATAACCAGCATGTCCTCACAGTGCTCATGGATTTGGAGAGGAGAAAGATAGCTAAACTGATATAGCCAGTATGAGATAGTGTCTAACTATTTTTTGAGCACTTTGTATGCATCAGACATCGTGCTAAGCCCATTTCATGTATTTTCTCACTTACAACTCACAACAACCACATGAAGTAGGCATTATTATCAGACTTATTTTGTACCCTAGAAAACCGAGCTATGGAGCAGCAAATCACTTGCCTAGAGCTTCGCAGCTGGTAATCAAGAGCTGGAATACACTGTGAGCTAATACTGGGGACTGGCAGCACTTTGCAGGGAAAGCAACACTGATGTTGTGCTTTGGAGACAGGTGTGCCCAGGAGGCAGGTGGGGGACTCCACGTGGAGGGAACAGCCTCCACTAAGGATGGAAGTAAGAATGAGAGGGCAGGCAACGTTCCAGCAAGGCAGGCGACTCCTAAGAGCTGGAGCTTCAGGTAGAGCGGGGGCAGTGGCAGGAGGAAAAGTCAGGGACCTATGGGCATGGCCATCTCATGGAACACATCATACATCATGGAACGGAGAAGACAAAGCTAAGGCACAGACTGAAAAGGAACAGCAATCTGAGCTCTGAAGTTGAGGGAGGAAGAGGTAGATTACCACAGGATTAACCTGGAGAAGCTTCTTAGAAGGTACGATGAGACTCAGAAAGAACAATCAACTGCCCATTTTAGAGAAAAGAGAAAAACATAACCAAGGATCTCTTTCCAGAGAGAATCAGTTGGCCGGGTGCCGTGGCTCACGCCTATAATCCCAGCACTTTGTGAGGCCGAGAAGGGTGGATCACGAGGTCAGGAGATCGAGACCATCCTGGCTAACACAGTGAAACCCCATCTCTACTAAAAATACAAAAAAAATTAGCCGGGCGTGGTGGCAGACGCCTGTAGTCCCAGCTACTCGGGAGGCTGAGGCAGCAGAATGGTGTGAACCCGGGAGGCAGAACTTCCAGTGAGCCGAGATCGCGCCACTGCACTCCAGCCTGGGCGACAGAGTGAGACTCCATCTCAAACAGACAAACAAACAAACAACAACAACAACAAAAACAGAATCAGTTTACCACCCATGGGACCACATAAGACCCAGGGAAGGCCCTCCTCATCTCTTGAAAGCCCACTGCAGAAAGTGGGGCAAGGACCTAACACCGTGCCCTCTTACTCTGGCGGTGGTTCTCTTCATCTTGTGAACAAATTTCATGTGTGCATCTCACAGTGCAGACTACTATACAAAAATAGAGTCAGGGCTCCCAAAGGGCATCCTATGCCTGTCTCTTGCACTTAGTGAAGACAGACAGAAAGACCCAGAAGGTAGGAATAATAAAACGTCCTGGCATCTGTAGATAATAGGAAGCAGCATTATCCACAGGGAGCTAATTTACAGTGATGAGAGTGGAGGACAGTTGTCAAGCAGGCTTTGTGCACCTTCAGGCTGGTTCAGCTTAGCCCCTGACAAGAGCAGTCATGAGTCCCACGCTCCTCCTTCACCCCCACCCCATGGAATTGTGCTCCCTTCTTACCTCCGGGATCTGCATCAAAGTCCATCAAAGGACAGGTGCAAGCTCAAAGGAAGATTAGTTCAGTGTTTAAAGCTCTGTGTTGCTAATTGAAAATCCCCTGGATATTTTAAGGTTATCCTTAGAGGGAGGCCTGGAGAATCTCTTGGCACTGAGAAAGAGGGATCCAGCTTCCTGGAGTCTTTCTTAGGTGAGAAAGGAAATGTAAATCTTACCTGCCGGATGCTCTATACACAGGTGCACAGCAGATTGGTTTCTTCTTTCCATCCTCACCATTTTACAGAGCCCATTCTCTGGTCTGTTCTGAAGACCTCACGAGTAAAGACAGGTTTCCAGAGGAAGAACAAATTCTCAAGACTGTAACATGGAAAGCGTGCCTGAGTTTCTAAAGGCTGCCCTGCAGAATTCAGACTCAAGACTGTTGTAAGATCAGTATTTACCTGAATTTACAGCATGCTACAGATTTTGTACTTGTCAGACCCCAAAATCATGAGTCCATTCCTTAAAAAAATAAAATGTCATTGTGTTCTTGTCACTGCTGTTATTGCCTTATACAAATCTAGTCAATGACTGAAGATATTCATTCAGTCATTTCAGAATAGATATGTGTATTATGTATGTACACATTATATATGAGACACCTGTGTATATATCATATAAATTATATATATGATATATGCACATTATATACATATAAACATGTAACATTAAGTACCTACTATGTGCCAGGCAGTGTGTTAGGAGCTAGAAGGTGGAATAGAGTGATAAAATAGACGCATATTATATAAAGATCACACAAATAAAAGTAAAGTTGCATTTGCGATCAGTGCAATGAAGGAAGGGTTTGATGTGATAGAGAATGCAACCAGGGGCACCACCTCAGGGGTGGGATATGGAGGAAAGAGGGGAATCAGGGAGCATCCTTCTAAGTGAAATCAGGAGGATGAGTCATTTCTCTGGTATTAATTACTAGGCAATTGCCAATTAACTACTAGTCAATTGCCACATGATCAGGCTTCCTATCAGCCCAAGAAAATAGAAGAACAAATTCCCTGAAAAGCCAAAGGGAAGAAAGAGCCAGCATTGTAATGAAGAACTCAGATGAGAGACAGGATCCTAAAGTTGAAGTGGCTCTTTAAGGTCATCTATTCTATCCCTCCAGCAGCTGCTCCCATCCTTTCTACTTCTGGCAAAGTGACCCAAGGCTGTGTTTGAGCCCAATCCAACTTGGGCATGTTTCACTCTTGGAAAGCTCTTTCTTAACTGAGCTGAGCTCTGTCTTCCTGTAACATCCATTCCACTCATCTGTCCTGGTGCAAACATTTGGGACTATGTCAAGACCGTGTCTCCTTTGCAAACAGTCTCTGGCACGTAGTAAAGACTCAAAAAGAAGGTGTTGAATTAATGAGTGAGGGAAGGAAGCACTAAATCAATTCAGAATAAGATCAAAGGAAGGTTTTCTGGATGAAATTCTTAACATACAAATTAAACTAATAAAAGCAATAGGGAAAATTCTCTGAATATTTTTTCATCTAAATTGATTTTGGAGTTTACTTGCCTGAAGGCAAGGAGATAAACCAAACCCTTCAAAGTCTTGTCAGCCTCAGAATTCTAGTCCTTTGAATTATAAAACCATTTTCTCAAGCACTCACACATTTCTTTCAGCACATCTCATAAGGACAATAATGCTGGACCTACACCAAAGGTCAGTAGAATAAATATTCACAGAATAGACTCTGAGTGGAGAGATCCAAAGTCAGGAAACCGTTCAATCATTTAACCTGCCCTGTGTCTACTATAAATCAGGTTTCCAAATGAATCCTTCCTCCCTTGGTTATTTTGCTTGAATAACAAACATTGCTAAGTAGAAATAATATTTATAAGTGAACCATGATTCCGAATTCATATATATATATATATATATAACTCTTTCCCTCTTTCCACCAACAACTTTGACTAAAAGGGTCATTGCTATAGGTACCGTGAGCTAGCCAGTGGCAAAAGTACTGCATTCTCAGCATAATAAAGGGGGGAGAAAACAAGAGATGCGAAGAGAGGGACATGCGGTGAGAGAGAGAATTCAAGTGAAAAATTAATTTTTTAAGCACAGTTAGAAGTTAATTGATGACTCTTGAAGGTAATTAGCATCTCATTTGGAGCACTGAGAAAATGGTTAGATGCCAGAGCTGCCTGTCTGAGGTCCAGCCAGGGAAACAGAAACCCCACCAGTTATATCTAACAGAGAGAATTTGATATAGGGAATTGGTTAAGCAGAAAGTATGCAGAATAAACATGTGGGTTTCTCAGAAGACCAGATGAGGAACCCACAAATGCAAGGTTGTCTAGAGTCATCCAAAAATGAATACTGCCCAATAGTACCATTTGGAGGGTCCTCAGGCACCAGGGAAGCCCAGAGGCTGAAGGGAGTCAAAAGCAGCTGGATTGCAGGGAGAAATCTTAGATGGGAACCACAAAGGGTTAACTCAATCCAGAGGACACCAACCTGAGCCAGTTTCAACCTTTCTAGTCTCATTAAACTGTGCCTTGTCACACTCTTGACCTGGAGGTATTGAAGGCAGCAGCCAAGCATTGGGGGCAGATGCAGCAAGGAGAGGTAAGATAAGCCAATCAACCAGCCACATCACCCAGCTGCAGGCTGGTGGCAGATATGGAGGAAGATGGGACAGGAAGAAGGTTGAAGTGACATTATTATTAGACTGAGTAAACTTCTCATTATCTAAGATGTGCCAGCTCAAGATTCATCCAGGAACAAAAAAAATGACAAAATGAACCCAGAAAGGGAGTTGAATTGGGAATACTTATAATTCATAAAACTGCTCTATAAGTTCCCCCTTCTAAATCAAGCTCATTCAATAATTTAGATACTTAATATTACTCATTCAGTTCAATAGATAAGGCTATTAAAAAAAGCACAGTAGAAGCTTAGTAACAAGTACCAACATCAGGGCCTATGATGGAGAGCCATAGGGAGTGGCGGGGACAGTGACAAACTGGCAACCAGATAGCTGTGTTATCTGTAGAGTTTGGCTGCATCTACATAAAATAACGTCATGCTATCTGGGGGCCAGATGCTTACGTGGATTATTTTGGGACCACATGGAAGGCCACAGAACACATCCCTACCCTTCCAGAGGACGTAACTTTCACCTAGCTCCAAGGTATTGTTACCACACAGACTTTATGGATCTTGCATTAGTCCATTTTCATACTGCTATGAAGAAAAACCCAAGACTGGGTAATTCATAAAGAAAAAGAGTTTAATGGACTCACAGTTCCACATGGCTGGGGAGGTCTCACAATCATGGCAGAAGGCAAAGGAGGAACAAAGTCATGTCTTACGTGGCAGCCAGCTAGAGGGCATGAGCAGGTGGACCGCCGTTTATAAAACCATCAGATCTCATGAGACTTATTCACTATCATGAGAACAGCATGGGAAAACCTACCCCCATGGTTCAATTATCTCCCACCGGGTCCCTCCCACAACACATGGGTATTATGGAGCTACAATTCAAGATGAGCCTTGAGTGGGGACACAGCCAAACCACATCAGACCCAATGCTGTGAGGTCTGCTGACTCTTCAAGAAAAGCTGAAATTCCAGGTGATTATGTAAACTCTCCTGATCCTCCAACATTGCCAACTAATTCTAAATATCTTTAGAACATTGTGTGAGCCTCTAGTTTACAGGCCAAGCAAAACATATCTGCACTGAAGTGTGGTCCAGGAGTTGTTGATGATACCAGTGACCTAAATCTACCTCATGTTTTGGTCAAAGCAGAGGCCAAAGCATCCCGGATTCAGGTTCTGGCTCTGAATTTCTTGATTTCTTGAGCTTCTATATCCTCTTCTGTGAAATGGGGATAGTGAGCCTTATCTTTCATGTTTGCTCTAAAAATTGAATGAGATGATGCCTGTTGTGTGTCTAGCATGGTGCTTGACATAGGATATTAACTCACAAAAGTTATCGCTCAGCCCTTCTCCTCTTGAAGGGACCAGGGCTCTGAAGCTGATACACATGATTAAAACTGAAGAAATGCTATAGCACAGGTGTCTTCATGTAAATGCTGCCTACTCCAAGAGCCCCAGCCTGTAAATCAGAGGGCTCTCTGGGACCTCAGATTCACCAAGTTCAGATGCAGCAGAAGCCACTTAGGCCCTGTCCTGCCTTTGCCCTCAGCTCCCATGTTCCACCTTCCCAATTTTCCAGCATGTTGAAGAGCTAGAGGCTGGGCAGCAGGACAATTTGTCCCAAGATGTACACGGAGGTCTAGTATGACCTCACTCTCCCTCAGAGCCAGCCACTTATTTAAGCTTTTTCAGGACCTCACTCCTGCTTTCTCACAGAAGCTCCCTCTAGTTTTCTATGTCTGAAAGTTCTTGAGGATGACGGGGACTTTTCACAGGAAGGGGCACATTAAGGGAGGTGACAGAGTGAATTTAATTCAACTACACTGCAAAATGATCTGCCGGTAGAATTACTTTTCTTCCTTTTAAATTTACCTGATTTGAGTTTTTAATTATGAAAAGATGGTAGATGAAGTAAATGTTTGTCTCCTTTCTTCCTATGCCCCACTCGTATTATAGCAAAAGAGAGAACTGCGCAGCCCACAAGGTGAGAGAATGGTGGCAAAGACATCAGTGGGCAAAAGAGTTTGACATATTTTTAGGAAACAGAAGGCAGATGTAGCAGTGGTAACTAATTTGACAAACTGGAGGAAGCAATAGCCCAAAGAGTCTGCAAAGAGGCATCTTGACAGGAAGAGAGTCCAATTGCACTGCCCCCATCAAAATATCCAGGAAGCTGGAGTCAGAGGAATGCAGTTGAAGATAGCAGTTAAAAGTAACACACAGAAACGCCTACTGCCACCCCCTCCCCAGCTCCAGTCCCACACAGAAGGCCAGCAGCAGGTGTGCACCCCCATGCAGGAAAATGGAAGTCCTCATCCCGAAGAAACTGAAAGAGAATGGTGCAGGAGTTAGAGACATCCAACACCTGAACTCAAGATGGGGACATGTAATTGAAGGACCAAATATGGAGTGATCATGACTCTTACCTCCAGTCTCACACCCTAGATACCAAATGCCAGCAGCCAAGAATCCATTCCTCCAGGAGAGAGATTAGAGCATTCACCCGGAGAAGTGGAATAAACCAAAGAAAAGACCACCATATGGCCAGGCGCAGTGGCTCACACTCATGCCAGCACTTTGGGAGGCCAAGGCAGGTGGATCACGAGGTCAAGAGATCGAGACCATTCTGGTCAACATGGTGAAACCCCGTCTCTACTAAAAATACAAAAATTAGCCAGGCGTGGTCACATGCGCCTGTAATCCCAGCTACTCAGGAGGCTGAGAGAGGAGAGTCGCTTGAACCCGGGACACAGAGGTTGCAGTGAACCGAGATCATGCCACTGCACTCCAGCCTGGTGACAGAGCAAGACTCTGTCTGAAAAGAAAAGAAAAGAGAAAAGAAGAGAAGAGAAGAGAAAAGAAAAAAGAAAAGAAAAGAATAGAAAAGAAAAGACCACCATAGTCTGGCATTTGGAAACCACCCAAATAAAGGTCAGGCCCTCCATGAAATCAACCAGCACTAAGGAAGTACCATCAGACATGGGAGCAAGTCACTCAATATGAAAACAGAAAGAAAATAAACAAATGAGAGGAGAAATGAACCCAGAAGAAAGAGATCATGCAGTGAACAGGGAACAAATGAAAGAAGCCTCTTTTACTATTCCTCTACACGTGCTTTGTTCCACAAAACAAACACACAATGCTATTTTATACAAGAGTGCTCATAGAAATTTAAAAATCTATTTGTCTAATTGCAAAGATAAAAGAAAAAATTTGTAGATAATTTGTAGATAGTATTGAGAAAATGTCCCAGGAAATAAATAGGACAAAATGACATAAAGTTGAAACGGGTAACAAAAAGAATAAAAAATATCAAAGGTCATTCTATAGAGTCCAAAATCTAACAAATAGAGAGAACAGAGAATTAAGGAGAGGAAATTTTAAAAACAATACAAGAAAATTTCCTCAAAACTGAAAAATATGGCTCTCTACAAAGTGCCTACTAAGATGGGAAGACACATGTGCACACACATATATTACATCATCATGAAATTATAGAACTTGAAAATTAGAGAGAATATCCTAAAACCTTCCAGAGACAAAAAGAAGTAGAAAGCAATAGATCAGAAATCAGAAATACATCAAGTTTCCCAGTACAAGATCTTAGAAGACAATAGGGTTTACAAAATTCTGAAGGAAAGTAATTTTCAAGTTAGAAGTGTATACCCCGTTGGAATACTCTTCACATGTAAGGAGAGAATGAAGGCCTTTTTAGGCCTACAGAGACATGGAGCATTTACTTTCAAAGCATTCTTTCTTAGGATACTATTAAAGACATGCCTGGCAGAATTGAAGAGTAAACCAAAAACTGAGGTAGATGGGATGCAGAAAACAAAATCTAACACAAGAGACCTAGTACCCCGGCTCCCCCTTGTATCAGTTCTCCACAGAAAGGCCAGAAGGATCCTTTGAAAACATATGTCCTTTCTGCAAAACCCTCCTTTCCTGCCTCATCTCACAAAGAGTGCAGACCAACATCCCTCCAGCGGTCTACAATGTCCTGCATGCATGACCTCCTTGCACCTCTGACTCATCTCCTACTGCCCTCTCTTGCACTCGCTCAGCTCCAGCCATGCTGCCTCCTTTTATATTTGAACCTTCCAAATGCATCCCTACTTTAATGCCTTTGTACTCTTCAATTTTGCTAGACCACACCTCATGGTAATTTCCTAAGAAACAGTCATTACACTTGAATATTCTGTGTCCTTGCACATCCCAGAAGGTCTTTATTTTATCCTTATATTTCAGTGGTAGTTTGGCTGGGTGTAAAATTCTAAACTAAAAAGATTTTCCTCAATTCGTTCTGCCTAGAAACGTTTTTCCCCAGATATCCATGTGATTGTTTTCTTCACTGCCTTTAATCTCTGTTCCAATGCACTTTATCAAGGAGGACTCTACTGTTCATCCTATAAATCACAGCGACCCCTTTTCTACTTCCATCACTCCTTATCATCTTTACCCTATTTTTCTCCCTAGCTCTCATTACCAATTGATATGTTACTATTCATTCAGTTAGTTTATTTTATGGCACCAACCTCTGGAATGTGAAAACCATGAAGGCAGGGATTTTTGCTTTGTTTACTGCTGTGTCACACCCATAACAATCCCTGGTGTGTGGAGAAGAGGGAGAAAGAAAGGGAGGGAGGGAGCGGGAAGAGAGGGAGGAAGGGATGGAGAGAGGAAGGGAGGGAGGAATTTGAGTAACCAGCAGCATTAGAGAGCAACCATTCATGTTAAAACAGGAAGAGTGATAACTCTGGATGGGGGAGTCCATGGAAAAAAATAAGAACTCTATAGCATAAATCATTTAATGGAGTATTTAGAGAAAATAAGAAGAGATAGTCAATTATTTGAGTAAAAAAAAAAACAAGCAGGAAGAAAACATGGGAGACATTCTAGATGGCCTTGGGTATGATTTGACTTTTTAGACACAACATCAAAGACACAATCCATGAAAGAAATAATTGATAAGCTGGACTTCATTAAAATTAAACACTTTCACTCTGTAAAAGGCATTGTCAAGAAAATAAAAAGACAAGCCTCCCAAGACTGGGAGAAAATATTTGCAAAGGACATATCTTATAAAAACTGTTATCCAAAATATATTTTTTAAACTCTTAAAACTTAACAATAAGAAAACTAGCAACTCAATTTTAAAATAGGCAAAAGACTTAAACAGGCACTTCACCAAATGAGATAGACAGATGGCAAATAAGCATAGGGAACAATTCTCAACATCTTGTGTCATTAAGAAATTGCAAATTAAAACAATGAGATACTACTACGCATCTATCAGAAAGGCCAAAATCCAAAACACTGATAACACCAAATGCTGGTGAGGATATGGAGCAACAGAAACTCTCATCGTTCATTGCTGGTGGGAATGCAAAATGGTACAGCCACTTTGGAAAAGAGTTTGGCAGTTTCTTAAAAATTAAACAGACTCGGAGTCGGGTGCGGTGGCTCACGTCTGTAATCCCAGCACTTTGGGAGGCCAAGGCAGGTGGATCACGAGGTCAGGAAATCGAGACCATCCTGGCTAACACAGTGAAACCCCGTCTCTACTAAAAATACAAAAAATTAGCCGGGCATGGTGGTGGGCGCCTGTAGTCCCAGCTACTCGGGAGGCTGAGGCAGGAGAATGGCGTGAACCCGGAAGGCAGAGCTTGCAGTAAGCCGAGATCGCACCACTGCAGTCCAGCCTGGGTGACAGAGCAAGACTCCATCTCAAAAAAAAAAAAGAGAGAGAGACATACACTTATATACACAATGAGTTTATATAAGTAGGTAAGTTCCAGGTAAGTTCAACCAACAGTTTAAGAAAATACAAAAATTCTAAGTAAAATATGAGCAAGTAGAATCCAGCATCATATAAAAAAATACGATATGACTAAGTTTTCATATCAGCACTGCAAAGATAACACAATGATTGAATATGCATTAAAATATCTATTATTACTATATTTATAAAAATCTTGATCATCTTAAATGCTGCAAAAATTTTGATATAATATTAGACATCAATTTTAGAATTTTTAGAATTTTTTAATTAAAAAATTGATGGTTTCTTCTTAAATGTGATCTCATGTTGCTGTGGGTTGAATGTTGGTATCACCCCAAAAAGTCATATGTTGGAACCTAATACCCTAAGTGATAATTTTCAGAGGTGAGGCCCTTGGGAAGTGAGTAAGTCATGAGGGTTCCACTCTCATGACAGGATTAATTTTCTTATAAAAGAGGCTTGAGAAAACTCCCTTGCTTCTTCTGTCATGTGAGGACACAGCAACAAGCCAACATCTACAAAGCTCTTCCCAGACATCAAATCTGTTGACACCTTGATCCTGGACTTCCCAACTTCCAATAACGTGAGCAATACATTTCTCTTGTTTATAAATAACCTAGTGTAAAGTATTTTGTTATCACAGTACAAATGGACTAACACATACAAAGGTATGCCGTTCACTCTTGAACAACACAGAGATTGAGGACACAAACCCTCCATGCAGTCGAAAATCCACATATAACTTTTGACTCCCTGATAAGTTAACTACTGATAGCCTACTGTTGACTGGAAGCCTTATAAATAACATAAACCAGCCAGGCGCGGTGGCTCATGCCTATAATCCCAGCAGCTTGGGAGGCCAAGGCGGGCAGATCACTTGAGGCCAGGAGTTCTAGACTAGCCTGGTCAACATGGTGAAACCCCATCTCTACTAAAAATACAAAAAATTAGCCAGGCATGGTGGTACACACCTGTAATCCCAGCTACTTGGGAGGCTGAAGCACAGGAATCGCTTGAACTAGGGAGGTGGAGGTAGCAGTGAGCTGAGATCAGGCCACTGCACTCCAGCCTGGACAGCAGAGTGAGACTCTGTCTCAAAATAAATAAATGAATAATATAAACAGTTGATTAACACATCTTTTCTATGTTATATTGTTAGAGTAGGTAGTTAGGCAGACATGAGAAGAGCAAGAAAGGGCCCCCCAGGAATGCCAGGTGACTATCAGATGATGGTTCGGCAGTTGTTAAACTGCCTTTCTGAAAATGTATAGGAAGACAGTCTCCCAACAGATAGAAAACACCCAAAGCTGGTGTTCCGTAGCCTCCTGATAAGATCTCAGGAGTTGGGCGAGCAGGCTCAAGCATGCACAGGAAGAAGCAAAATGGCGGATGTATGCACTTCCTCTAGAGGCATTTGACCCACAAAGGAAAATCACCCCCAGAGAGCGTGGGCACAACCTCAGTAAATGCACTATGCATGCGGTCACGCTCCCAAGTGCTGACCAGCACTGCACATGTGGCAGTTGAGCAAAAGCCCTCCCCAAGGGAAGGATTAAAGGAGGAGAAAATGAAACCCCAGAACCATGCCAATGTATAAAATCCCAGGTCAAGGGCTGAACGGGTCACATGGATTGCTCAAGTTGCTTGCTTGGCCCCCTTCCAAGTGTACTTTGCTTTCTTTTGCTCCGGCTCTAAAACTTTTTAATAAAGTCTCGCTCTTGCTCTAAAATTTGCCTCAGTCTCTCCCTCTGCCTTAAACCCATTTCTGCCTCTTGGCTGATTTACTTTCTCTGAGGAGGCAAGGATTGAGTTTGCTGCCAACCCATAAGAATTTGCTGCTGGTAACAATATGCATTATATACTGCATTCTTGAAATAAAGTAAGCCAGAGAAAAGAAAATGTTATTAAGAAAATCAGAAGAAACTGTATTTATGTACTATTAAGTGGAAGAGGATCATCATAAGGGCCTTTATCCTCGCCATCTTCATGTTGAATAGGCTGAGGAGAAGGAGGAAGAGGAGAATTTGATCTTGCTGCCTCAGGAGTGGCAGAGGCAGAAGAGGTGGAAGAGTTGGAAGGGGAAGTAGGAGAGACAAGCATACTTAGTGTAACTTTTATTGAAAATATCCATCCATGAAATATTTTTGAACTTTATTGAAAAATATAAGTGGCCCATGCTGTTCAAATGCATGCTGGTCAAGGGTCAACAGATACACAGGTAAATAGATACATCTATGTAGCTATCTAGATATATACATGCACAACATACAAACATATACGCCTCATGGTAAATACTAGAGGCTTCCTACTAGTGTCAGGAATAAAACAAGGATGTTCCCTGTGCTGGTTATCACCCCCTTTGTGTCTCTAAGTCCACTGTTTGCTTCTCCATCTGCTCTTGCCCAAGAAGCAAGCTCACCTGTGTCACCAACAGGATGCTTTATCTCAGGCTGCTCATTGGGTTCAACCAATGGAGAGTACTGGCAGATCAGAGGGAGGGAGAGAGCAGGGCTAGGTATCATTTTCCTGTTTTCTCACTGTCATTGCAGGTTGGCTGTGACCCTCAACTAAAAGCCGTTGCTCCTGTCTGACGGCCCCCTCCACACAGCTCTCTCTGGCTCCAAGCTCCAAAGCTTCTTCCTCCCTTTACCCATCAGGCTTAGAGGAAGTAAGGGTTTCCCGCGGTCGCTACAGAGTCCTGCAACATGATGCCTCCCCACACCTTGCTCGCTTTGGAAACAGCCTATTCATTAAATTTTTCTCAAATCACCCAATTTAGAAATCAAATCACCCACTTGTTCCAATATCAGAACTTTTACTTCCTCTCCACTATAATTTAACTATCTGATGCAATTAGAAATAAGGAAGAAATTAAAGTACATAAACGATAAAGAATAGAGGTAAAAGTATCATTATAGTCAGGCAACATTACTGCATATCTGAAGAAACTAGAAAAAAATCAACTAAAAACATTATTATAAACAATATAAAAATTAAATGTATGATTACAAAATTAACTTACAAGATTATTAGAATATATACAAGTTAGGAAATACAATGGAAGAAGAGAACAGAGAAGATTGAATATATGAGAATAAAAATATTAAGAAATGTTTAAGATTCACCTAAATAAAACCTTACAATGCTACAGAAGGACATACTTGAATAAATTAAAAGGCATACTCCATTTTGTTGAGATAGGAAGACTCAGGTTTTGTTTTGTTTTGTTCTGTTTTTTTGAGATGGATTCTCACTCTGTCGCCCAGGCTGGAGTGCAGTGGCGTGATCTCGGCTCACTGCAACCTCCACCTCCTGGATTCAGGCGATTCTTTTGCCTCAGCCTCCCAAGTAGCCGGGATCACAGGCATGCGCCACCATGCCTGGCTAATTTTTGCATTTTTAGTAAAGATGGGGTTTCACCATATTATCCGGGCTGGCCTCGAACTCCTGACCTCGTGATCTGCCTGCCTCAGCCTCCTAAAGTGCTGGGATTACAGGCGTGAGCCACCGCGCCTGGCCAGGAAGACTCAGTATTTAAAGGATGTCATTTTTTTCTACATTAATACATAAACTTAATGTGGTCTCAACGAAATATCAATTAAAAATACAGAACACAATCTGATTCTAAAGTTCATATGGAAATGCGCAGAAAGAAAAAATTTTGAAACAAAAAGTTGAGATATTTGTCCTACCAAACATTAAAGTATTTAATAAAACTAAAGTGAAAATATTGTGGTAATGGCACATGAATAATTAGATCAATGCAACAAGATAGAAGGCACAGAAATAGACCAAAATTGCTATTAAAATCTAAAATACTATTAAAATGGCATTGAATGTCACTAGGGGAAATTCAGTAAATCAGTGGTGTTGGCAACTGAGTAGGTATTTAGAGAAAAAATTGTTAGGTCTCTATCTCAATCCTTAGAACAAATGAAATTAATTCCAAATAGATGAAAAATTTTTGGCCAGCGGGGGTTGGCTCACACTTATAATCCCAGCACTTTCAGAGGCCGAGGTGGGCAGATCACAAGGTCAGGAGATCGAGACCATCCTGGCTAACACGGTGAAACCCCGTCTCTACTAAAAATACAAAAAAAAATTAGCCGGGCTTGGTGGTGGGCGCCTGTAGTCCCAGCTACTCGGGAGGCCAAGGCAGGAGAATGGTGTGAACCTGGGAGGCGGAGCTTGCAGTGAGCCAAGATCGTACCACTGCACTCCAGCCTGGGCGACAGAGCGAGACTCCGTCTCTGGAAAAAAAAAAAATTTAACATAAAAATGAAACCAAAATTATGCCAGAAGAAACATGGAGACTTGTCTTTTTTTAAATTCTTTAAGTGAGGCAGGCCAGGAGCCACTGTGCTATCTCAGTTAGAAATTGCATTCTAGGTATATAGAGACTTCATAACAACAAGGTAGGCCATTGCTGCAGATGGTTCATGATATCAGAGGTGTCAAATGTAAGGCCTCTGAAATTCTTCTGATACTTCATTCACGAACCAAGGATGGCTGCTGGAGCTCCAGTCACCTTGTCACCTTTTCTGCTTCCAAGACAACTGGAAACAGAAAGGCAAAACGGACTTTCACAGAAGGCCCACTTGGTAAATTCCCCCTTTCTTCTCATCCATCAGCCTTAATCTGCAAAGAAGCTAGAACATTAACCAGGGTTCTTAATAAGGAAAGAGAGTAAAATAAATTTTGGTAGATAATTGGAAGCCTATGCCCAAATTACATTTTTAAACTATTTAAAAAAAAAAACTAACTAATTTTAGGCTTACAGAAAAAAGTACAAAACAAGAGCAGAGAGTTTTTACATGCCCCCACCCCCATCCTCAGCTTCCATTAATGCTGACGTCTTACATAATCATAGTACAATTATCAGAACCAGGAAATTTGTACTGGCATAATGCTAAAGACCTTATTCAAATTTCACCAACTTTTCTGCCAATGTCCTTTCTTCAGTTCCAGGATCCTATCCAGGAACCCATGTTGCATTTAGTTATTTCTCCTTCAGCTCCTGTATCTGTAACAATTCCTCAATCTTTCATGACCTTGGCACTTTTGAAAGTATTGACAAGTTATTTTGTCAAATGTTCCTCCATTTGAATTTATCTGATGTCATCTCATAATTAGATTAAGGCTTATACAATTGCAAAATTTGATTAGATAAAAAAATGAAAATTTCTACATGAAAGAAACACTATAAACAAAGTCAAAAGATAAACCCCAAACTGAATAAAATAATCTGCAAGTCATATTCCAACAAAAAGCCAATTTCCCTAATACATGAATAGTTTCTACAATAAATAGGATATGCAATTCATAGAAAAATTGGCAAAATATGACTAATAAAAAGTTCAGATAAAAGGAGATATATTGACTCTTAAATATACAAAAAATATACTAAAACTCATTCATAGTAAAAGAACTACAAAATAAAACTATAATCACATCTCACTGTAGTATTTTATCAGATTGGCAAACAGTAAGTCAAGTCACTTACCAGGAAGGAAGGAAGGAAGGAGAGAGAGAGGAAGGGAGGGAGGGAGGGAGAAAGAAAGAAAGAGAGAGGAGGCAAGGAGGGAGGGAACGAAGGAAGGAAAGGGAGAGAGAGAGTTCATCAACCTGGCTCTCCTTTCTCAAGTTACCAAGTCCCCTCCATAGTCATAGTGTTCTGGCCTCTTACTGGTTGTGTGCAGAGGGTACACAGGTCGGGTTGTTGGGGTCCTTCCAGCATTTGCTGGGGCCAGTGACGTGATTGGGCCTTACCCCTGTAGCAGCCATGGGGTGCCCTGCTCAGAGCTCCCTTCCTGAGACAATCTTGGGTGAGGGGTGCAATCAGCTGACATTCTTTGGCTGCAGCACCTTTAGGACTTGCTGGAGTGTTTGAGCCAAGGCTGTAGTCTCCTCAGCAGTGGCCAGACAGTGATGGAGCCCACTGCAGTACTAGGCCTGGCCACTTCTGTCCCTTAGGGACACTGTGGGCAGCCTTTGTGCTGAAGCTCCACTGGGGAAGGCTAACTTCCCAGAGCTGCACGGCAAGGCCTTCTTTATGCCTTTTCTTGCACAGACAGCAGACCCACCTCATAGTCTGCAGCTTTCTCTGCCTAGTCCTGTTCCTTCTCCTTTTTATCTTTCACACGCATTTACCTCCAGAATAGTTTGCACTTCTGTGTCTCACCAGCTGCTTCCCAAAGTACCCAAACTGACTCATTTCTCAGCCAAGCAATGCCAGAGGAGCCTCGCTGCTCTTAGGTTTATTCCACTCAACCAGTACGTCAGCTCCCAACCATGCAGTACACAAATATTCCTGTGCCTCTTCATGGGGACCCTCCAGCTCTCTGGGGTCAGCAATATGGGCAGCCTCCCTTGGAGCAGACGGTGCAGAGGCCTGGAAGTTCTCAAGGGGCACAATTGGAGTCTTCCTCTGGGCTGCTGGGAGAGGCAGGGCTTCTGTGCATGAGTCCCTCGTGTTTACCCTGTGTCCTGGAAAATGCTAGCCTCCGCCTCTTCCTTTGAGAGCTTGGGGGAACTTACTGCCTCGCTGGCCTTGGTCGTTGAATTACTCCAAAGAGGAAGAGGGCCTCGGAGATGTGCATGCAAGCTGACATATTCCCAGAATTCCCTAGTAGTGATACAGGAAGAAAGCAAGGGGTGGAGGGGTGTCCAGGTACAGGCCAATGAGGAGGGAGAATGGTAGGGGTCACCCAGCATAGATGTGTCCCACTCTCATTTCAGCATTGCCTCCTGGCCAGATCTCTAGTTGCCCTGAATTCCTCTTAACAGTACGGCATAGATGTTGGCCTAACGAGATGAATCTGACTAATTACTTTCATTTTGTGGGTGTACACACACTACCAAACTGTCACAAGAAAATCAAAACTACACAGGATTTTCAGACTGGTATCCACTCTCCCAGAAGTTCTGAATCTTTCAAGTCAGTTTCTGTCACTAAGTCTTGTCAGATAATGTGGGAGAAAAAAAGTGACAGGGAATTTAAAAAATCAAAGAAGCAGTAGCCCAATAATAGCATTATGTTCTTCCTACTCAGTATCGATCATATGTCATTAACTGTTGGATTGCTTTCCACCTTTTCACTTCAAAATTATTCCAGGAAGAAATGAATATTTTTCAGCAGGTGACCAAGATCATCAAATGTGCTTCTGAACTCTTCTAATGAAAGACAATTACTTTATGTTGCCTTAGGCTCTTTCCAGCCAACAGAATGTCAATGTCAGATTCTCCAATTAAAAGGGACATTTTTGAAAAAGACTGATGAAAACTTAAAAGAATAAAGTTGGTTTAACAACCATGCCAGCAATCAGAACTTCCTATGGGCTAGCATGATAGCTACTGCTGTGTAGTAAAAAACACACAAAGTCTGGAGGCCTGGGTTCAAGTCCCAAATCTGCCCCGTAAGTTGTACTACTTGGGCAAATCGTCTACCCTACTGGGCCTCAGTTCCCTCATGTTTCAGATGATGGATTTCCAAAATGTTTAGCAGTGAACTTCTTTTCCAACAAATTTTGCCCTATTAAAAGAGGGTAGAGGCCAGGCACAGTGGCTCACACCTGTAATCCTAGCACTTTGGGAGGCAGAGGCAGGAGAATCACTTGAGCTCAGGAGTTCGAGACCAGCCTGGCCAACATGGTGAAACCCCATCTCTACTAAAAATATGGAAATTAGCCAGGTGTGATGGCACACACCCATAGTCCCAACTACTCAGGAGGCTGAGGCAGGAGAATCGCTTGAACCCAGGAGGCAGAGGTTGCAGTGAGTCGAGATCACGCCTCTGCACTCCAGCCTGGGTGACAGAGTGAGACTCTGTCTCAAAAAAACACAACGAAAAAAGAGGGTAGAGCTCCTACCTTGTAAAAGCACCTGTTATGGGCTGAATTACATCTCCTCCAAGAAAGATATGTTGGCGTCCTAACTCCCAGTGTCTCAAAATGTGACCTTATTTGGAAACCAAGTCTTTACAAGAGTAATCAAGTAAAATGAGGTCATTAGGGTGGGCCCTAATCCAATATGACTAGTATCCTTTTTTTTTCCTTTTTTTTTTTCTTTTAGACAGAGTCTCACTCTTTGCCCAGGCTGGAGTGCAGTGGCGCGATCTTGGCTCACTGCAACCTCCACCTCCCGGGTTCACACCATTCTCCTGCCTCAGTCTCCCGAGTAGCTGGGACTACAGGCGCCCGCCACCACGCCCGGCTAATTTTTTGTATTTTTAGGGAGACAGGGTTTCACCGTGTTAGCCAGGATGGTCTCGATCTCC
The DNA here is from genome assembly GCF_000001405.40 of Homo sapiens. Classification (NCBI taxonomy): domain Eukaryota; kingdom Metazoa; phylum Chordata; class Mammalia; order Primates; family Hominidae; genus Homo; species Homo sapiens. The sequence continues at coordinate 98,365,952 of NC_000015.10, forward strand.
TGACCTCGTGATCCACCCGCCTCGGCCTTCCAAAGTGCTGGGATTACAGGCGTGAGCCACCGCACCTGGCCGACTAGTATCCTTTCAAAAGGAGGAAATCTGGACACAGAGATGTGCACTAAGGGAAGACAATGTGAAGAGACACAGACAGAAGATGACCGTCTACAAGCCTGAGGCTACCAGAAGCCCAGAGGAAGGTCTGGAACAGATCTCAATCCTACCCACACCCCACACACACACACACACACACACACACACACACCGATCTCCCAGTGCCTTCAGAGGAAGCATAGCCCTACCAACACCTTGACTTCAAACTTCTGGCATCCAGAACTGTGAGATAATAAATTTCTGTGGTCCTCAGCTACCCAGTTTGTAGTACTTTGTTATAGAAGTCCTAGAAAACTAATACAGCCCAAATGCCCAGTTAAAATCCTCCACTGTCTGTAGAGTCCCACAGAGCACAACCCAAAGCCCCCTGAACTAAATGATGGCTAAGTGCCCCACTGCCTCTTCTAGCCCATGAGAGCTGGTGTTTATACACGACCCTGGGCCCTAAAACTTCTGAGCGCTCATCAAAAGAACATTCCCGCATGTGACATTTGAAGGTGAAGTGTGTGCATGTATTCCATGCCTTTAAAAATTACTAAATTGGCCGGGCACAGTGACTCACATCTATAATCCCAACACTTTGGGAGGCTGAGGTGGGTGGATCACCTGAGGTCAGGAGTTTGAGACCAGCCTGGCCAACAGGCTGACAAAACCCCGTCTCTACTAAAAATACAAAATTAGCCAGGCATGGTGGTGGGTGTCTGTAATCCCAGCTACTCAGGAGGCTGAGGTAGGAGAATCTCTTGAACCCGGGAGGTGGAGGTTGCAGTGAGCAGAGGTTGCACAACTGCACTCCAGCCTGGGGGACAGAGTGAGGCTTCATCTCAAAAAAAATAAAATAACATAAAAATAAATAAATAAAAATTACTAAATTGCATATGGTTTACCTGCTACACTCTTAATGGTAGAATTTGATTGACTGAATGTGTAATGCCCTAATCCTGAATTTTTTTAAAAAGGAACCTACCTCTTTGGGTCTGTTTTAAAAATAGATAGATGACAGAGAGACAAACGGAGAGGGGTATTTAGATTACATTTGTAATCTAATGGACCAGTGTCAGCAGCTTCTTTTTCATGCTTACCCAAAAAAAAAAAAAAAAAAAAAAAAAATCTCTTAGGAGAAGATGCAAGACAGAGAAAAGAAACAAGAAAGGTTGAGGGTGGGACAGAAGTGGAAAAAATCCCATTCTGCCATCTATTTTATCCATGTTCTATCCACATGGATGTACATTCAGATAAATATTTCCATATTTACATTCAGGTCAGCACCAAGACAGGATATAAAACTGTAAAGGGGGATAAACGTTGCTGACCTTAAAACGTGATGAGAGACTACAAGAAAGAGACTGCTTCCAATGATGATACCTCAACGTTAAGAGTCCAAGGCATACACAGTGACACTAAATTTGAGCCATTGGATACCATCACAGAGATGCTGTCATTGTTGCCACATACCCTTTCTGGAAGAGGTCAATAGGTTCTCCTGGACAGGCATGTTGGCTTATGCCTATCATCCCAGCACTTTGGGAGGCTGAGATGGGAGGATTGCTTGAGGCCAGGAGTTCAGGACCAGCTTGGACAACATATCAAGACCCCTGTTGCTAGAAGAAAAAAAATTTTAATGGTCTGGCATGGTTGCACACACCTGTATTTCTAGCTAATCGGGAGGCTGAGGCAGGAGGATGGATTAAGCCCAGGAGTTTGAGATTGCAGTGAGCTAGGATTGTGCAACTGCATTAGGCAACAGAGTGAGTCTGGCCAATAGAGCAAGACCTTGTCTCTATTAAAAAAAAAATGAAGAAAGAAGGTTCTCCTATGAAATTATGAAATGGAGCCTTGGGTCTTGGGTGCCACACATCCTTGGCTAAGACAGAAAGAGTCACCAAGGGAGCAAATAGAAAGCACAGTTGCTGCCCTGTCTTCAGGTCTCTGTGTGTTGCACTCTTCGCATTCATTGTTTCATTTAATCCCACAGCAGAAGCACTATTTATCCTCATTTATGATCAGGAAGGAAACTAAAGCATAGATGGTTTAGCAAATTTCCCATGTTTCATGACCAGAAGGACTCTCCAGTTTCTAGAACCTTGGGTTGTCAACACAGGAGAAGCTGTCCTCACCTTTCCCATAGGAAGCAGGACACCCTCCCTGTAGTCTCTATATTCCTCAAGTCCATGCCTTGGATCCTTTCTCAGACCTAGAGCTGCTGTCCTCAGGGTGCCCACTCTCCTCTCTAGAGATGGTTGAGAAGCAACAGGGCATGAGGACCTGAAGGAACCCACTCAGTCACTTCCTTCCCGGGAGACGCTGGGGAATTGTTCTCACCCCTTCCAAGACTCGCTGTCCTCCAACGCAGGGTGGGGGTAAATATTGCACACCTTTTGGTGTGATATGTGCATGCAATGGGTTAGCAAACTAAGGGCACGAAAAATAGAGGCTTGTGAACAACAGCAAAGACAACAACCATGCATGATTTTTATTTAGTTGGTGGGGATCTTCACCCAAGTAAAAGATCTGCAATTCTACAGGTCCTACACAGAGGTAGGACCTCTCCAAGAAACAGGAGGCCTGCAAAATTCTCTGTGCTCGTTTTCAGTTCCAAAATTTCAGTTCCTGCAGGTGTGCACTGACACCCTGCCTATGAGTAGCATCATCAGTGGAAACAACAGTTCCTCCTATTTAGTCAGTTGCCAAATTAAAAGGTGTCAACTGAGACACTTTTTTGGAGCTTTCTGAACCTAGCTTTGTATTGGCATCCTGTCTAGTATCTTCCCTGTGAAACATAATAAAAATCCCATTGGCATATATTTTAAAATTCAAATGAGTTCGAATCTTATTTTAACCATTAGGAGAAATTATTTGCAGCTCCTTAGAGATGCCCTGTAGTGTAAAGCTAGAATAGAAAAAAAAAAAAAAAAAACATAATTCTAAACTGTTCTCCTCTATCTCATCTTTCTCAAGAGAGTGTGTGTATGTGTGTGCATTTGTCAGCCTATGGAGCAGGACGTTGTCAGTGCAGAGAGGTAGAAAGACAAAAAAGAAATTAAACTTTTCCATTGGGGAAATGTTTATTGGACACATACTTTTAGCCAAGGCTGGGGAATAGTAGACACTGGTGTATGTCTCTGCTGACTCACAGTCTGGCAACAGAAGTGGACCAGAAAGCTAATAAAGACAAATAGTGTGGCACATACTAAGACCCAGGGAAGCCCTTGGGCCTGTTGAAAGCCGAAGGAACCACACTTACATCCAAGAATGGAGATAGGAAGCTGTTTCCTATCCTTTCTCAGCGGTGGTGGAGCACAGTTTTGTATTTGGCAAGCTTATTCCTGCTTTGGGTATGAGGTCAGTCTAATTACTTGAGAGCTCTTTCCAAACCTTTAATTTTTCCACAGACTTCCTCAAAAAACTAGACCAGAGAGATAATCTTTCTTCTTGCTCATAAGGCATTTCTCACACAGGGCAGTCTCCAACACATCCTTACTGTCATGTGTATTGGTTGTGGGTAATCCAGATGGTGTGTAACTAACGTGATGTGCCACTATCCCCTGGCTAACTCACAAAAGCTTTGACCAACTGACTAGCAAGTTGAGCCTTCTCTGGTGCTGCTCTGGGTCCATGTGCAGCATGAAATGCAGCCCCAGTGTGCCTGGCTCCAGGGCGGACAACACTGGGATGTCCTTGGAAGAACAGCTTGGCCTTGAACCAGAGACAGGAGTTTGGAGGCTTTGCACAAAGATTTCTGTGCTGAAGCACTGGCTTTTTCACCACCTACATCCTGTGAACTCAGCTGTGTGTCCTGGTCAGTAGTTAGCATGCCTCTCAGTGTATCCCGATTGGTGACTGCCTTTCTCAGCGACATGTCCCACGGCCCCTAAAGTAAATGCGCATTCTATGACACCTGCCTTTTTGTTAAACCACTTCAAATACACCCTTTAATTCAAATGAAAATCTCTTCAGCCACTTTGTCTTGATAGTGTAACAACACTAAGATAGAAATTTAATTGTATTTATGTAAGAGACATTATGATTTTTCTTTATTTTTAAAAAACCTTAAATGTGAACTATAACATACCGTATCAGGCAGGTGTCATTTGGCATTGTCAGGTAAAAGCAAACATCTGCTGACTGTGCTTGCAAATGGGTCTAGTGAGAAGGTATTTATCTGGTCGATAGCTGCGTTCCAATATTAAGGGTCATGTTGATTTGCTCCATAATAAAATTCCACACCTGGAATAGCAGCAGCAATTGAACTCACCACTTGATTAAGCAGAAAACAGCCCATCTTCATTCCCCAGGATCCATCCACAGCCCCAACAGGTGAGTTAATAGGATCACAGCATGTGGTGAGTATCACCCACATCTATCCATATTCGATGGTGGAACTTACATCCATTCAGAGTCAGGACTGTGGTTAAGCTTTTGGTTTACTATCCTGATAGGGAAGGATGTTCCAGGGACTTCCCATCAGAAAGAACTAAACAATTCTGCCCATTGCCAAGTATGTACATTATAAATTTTATATTCTGGAAATGGAGAGATAACCACAGCATGAGTCCACAGACCTACAGGGACCACCATGATTTGAGCTTGGCTTAATTCTCCATTTATTACCTAAGTGCTATAAGCCCTCACTTTGATGCACAGATCCCAGTGGTATTTTGGATCCCCAGAAATTAACATCAATTCATAGTCAGAATATCCTGAAGGGTCTCAATATTTCCTTTTCCTCTGTGTAGCATCACTCTTGTAAGTGACTCCGTGTTCCTCTGGGTATAGCTTGGAAGAAGATTCATGATCTGCACTTGTGACAGTGCAGCCGCCCTCGAGAGGATTCAATCAAGGGGCTTCCAATCTGAGAACTGGTTAGGCCCGGGATTGGGGTGAGGCTGTGACTGTTCCCTGTGGCACCTCTGGCTACCCAGACCTGGTGGAGTTTCTGCCATCAAATAGATAAAGCAACACTTATTAGGCTGCCCATCTACTTCATTCTTAAGGACACCATAATAGCCAGTCAGCCATTGCCAAAGATCCCTGTGGCCAGCAGCAGTCTGCTGGCCCCTCATTCCCACTGCCCATTCTGCATGGCACACCTATCTGTAGTGTTAAGTGCTGCCACTCAATCTCTGCTACTTGGGGATCCCATCATCCCCACCGCAGTCAGAATCCAAATGAGTGGCAGCATCGTCCATGATGGTACAATGGCCTCCTCACCACTGCGCTTCTCAGATTCTTAACAAAGGGAAGACACTCTGGGTCCTCTCGAGGGATGTAATTGAGAGGTAGCGGGGTTGGGAGGTAAAGGTTTCATGTAAAAAATCCATTTCATGCCGGGTGCAGTGGCTCACACCTGTAATCCCAATACTTTTGGAGGCTGAGGCAGGCGGATCACCTGAAGTCAGGAGTTCAAGACCAGCCTGACATCAACATGTAGAAACCCCGTCTCTACTAAAAATACAAAATTAGCCAGGCATAGTGGCGCATGCCTGTAATCCCAGCTACTCAGGAAGCTAAGGCAGGAGAATTGCTTGAACCCGAGAGGCAGAGGTTGCGGTGAGCTGAGATCACACCATTGCACTCCAGCCTGGGCAAAAGAGCGAAACTCCGTCTCAAAAAAAAACAGACAGACAAACAAAAACAAAAACAAACAAACAAAAACATTTCAACATTCCCGTCTCCCTAAACCTTTGGATCCCTTCCCCTCCATTATGGCAAGAAGTTCTGGCATCTCATCTTCGTTAAGGGTGGATCCTCACTGGGCCCAAGCTTCAGTCATCCAAACCAAATAAACCATTAGACCTAATTCCAGCCACACATTAAATACAAGGTCTCTGGTAAGTGCAACCACATACAGGAATTTGGTCCTACCCAGTGTAAACATCCTGTCTTCTTTGTCTAACACCCTCATAACACATTACTACTCATATCCCTCAAGTTTCTAGTAACATAAATTGGTCAGATCTCACAATTCTTTTGAAACGTAAGCCATTTCCTCCGGTGTCCTGCTTTGTACTTGTTCTTTAGACCTTGTTGAGCAACAAAAGGTGGCTGCTTTGGTCTTGAAAGGATTGGCCCACCTTTCAAGGGAACTTCCCTCCATGACATTATTACAATTTCTTCCAGCAATAAAAGCCTGGTCTCCTCAGACACCAATGGCAAGCTGTTTCCACCGGTAAGGAAGGAGGATCAAAGGGACTCAGGCCTCCAAAATTATCAGCTTCATCTGAATGCCCCCAAATATCTCCATTATCAGTTCTTAAGGTCCCACTCCTTCCCAAAGAACCCTCTAAATTTCATGTAGAGGCTTGCCATAGCTTTGAATTCACTTTAGGTTGCAATTCTTCATCTTGCACAATTAAGTATTTTGTCTAGTTTTCAGCAAGGTCGGCCCTGGAGCTATAAAGAAAAAAGAAAGATTCAGAGGGTTCTCTCTGATTGTTTGGTGGAGACTTGAACTGAGAGTTTAATGGCCTGAGTGTGTCCTTTTCCTTTCTCTATGTGCTCCAGTGCACTGAGGAAGAACCACTTGCCCTCCAGTCCTGGTGGTCATCATGACCCCTTCACAGTCAAGCATGGCAGCCACCTGCTCCTCAGGCATTTGCTTCAGGAAGCATTTCGTTCACATGCCACTGCAGGTGACACACTAATTGCTCATGATGCCACTGCCTGCCATGACAAGGAGCTCAGCACTGTATTCAAATCCAAAGATCAAATCTTGCCCCAAATCCCATCTTTGAGGACCTGGGGGTCACTCCTGGAACCATTTTCTGTACTACAAGCGTTCAGTCAAGAGACCAGTTATTTTAATAGAAAAAAATATAATATGAAGAAGTGTTAACTAAATTATTGAGAATGAAAAAGATAACGGTAGACATGGATTTCCCACAGAGGTAATACCTAGAGCATCTCCCAAAGGAGACTCCTCAGCAGTTCCTCCAATGCTTGGTAGTAAAATGCAAACGACAACAACAACAGTAAGAGGGCCCAGTGCCATTTATAACCTTAGGTAATAATAAGTTGCAAGTGTTTTCTATAGAAATTAGCTGCCTGAAGGAAGCAGCTACTACCCCCAGAGCCGCAGGGATAAAGGAAGGAGGGTGGGAATATTAAAGTTTAGAAGCTTGAAGGAAAGATCCTGCAGAGATGGAACTGAGACCTTTGAGAAAAGGCTCCACTGGGAATGGGTGCCTTGCTGGCTGGTGCTGAGCCCTCTGAGAAGATACATCAAGGCTGTTTCAAGTAGCATAAGAAGCTGGACCTGGTGTGGTGGCTCATGCCTGTAATCCCAGCACTTTGGGAGGCCAAGGTGTGTGGATTACCTGAGCTCAGGAGTTCAAGACCAGACTGGCCAACATGGTGAAACCCCATCTCTACTAAAAATACAAAAATAGCTGGGCATAGTGGCAGGCGCCTGTAATCCCAGCTACTCAGGAGGCTAAGGCAGGAGAATTGCATGAAACCGGGAAGCGGAGCTTGCAGTGAACCCAGATTGCGCCATAGCACTCCAGCCTGGGTGACAAGAGCGAAACTCCACCTCAAAAAAAAAAAAAAGCTACAAATTGGACTCACCAGCTGCTACTGGAATTGACTGGACCTGCTAGGGTGAAGGAGTGTGGCTGCAGAGACATTGACAAGAACAGAAAGCCAAGAGAAATAACGAATCCCATCTCCCTCCTCTAGCCTACCAGCCTCTCTCCAGAGGCCCCTACTGTCAGTGCGTTACAGAGCCATGTGGCAAAGGAGAATGTGTTTTCCAGAGTCCCAGCCCCAGCATCAAGAAAGGTATATAAAAATGTGGGTTTAAAGCTAAACGTCAAGAGGTTAATAACCAGCAGACCCACACAGAGAGAAAGGCATCAGGTCTCAATGTATACAAGTTAGGTACTGCCAGCTCCAGGAAGCTCCTACACACTCTTCCCATGTGCAGCCCTCACCCAACCCCATGAAGGCAATCATCATCCTGACTTTCAATGTACCACCTCTGTGCCTTTCTTTATACTTTTACCACCTAGGTATGCATCCCTAAGCACTATCATTTATTTTTACTAGTTTTTAAACCTACAATGTGGTCCAGATGCAGTGGCTCATACCTTCAATTCCAGTGCTCTGGAAGACCAAGGTGGGAATATCTCTTGAAGCCACGAGAGACCAGCCTGGGCAGCATAGTGACACCCGTCTCTACAAAATAAAAATTAAAAAAGTAAAAAGGGGCCGGGCACGGTGTCTCACGCCTGTAATCCTAGCACTTTGGGAGGCCAAGGCAGGCAGATCACCTGATGTCAGGAGTTTGAGAGCAGCCTGGCCAACATGGCGAAACCCATCTCTACTAAAAATACAAAAAAATTAGCTGGGCGTGGTGGCGCACGCCTGTAGTCCCAGCTACTTGGGAGGCTGAGGCAGGAGAATCATTTGAACCTGAGCAGCAGAGGTTGCAGTGAGCTGAGGTCATGCCACTGCACTCCAGCATGGGTGATAAAACGAGACTCCATCTCAAAAAAAAAAAAATTTAAAAACTCTTCTATATATATTCTTCTGTGCCTAGGAGCTTTTATTCAACATATAATTGTGTGTAGCTGTAGCTTATCCATTTTCACTGCTTTATAGTATTCCATGTATGAATATATCATCATTTATTATCCATTATAGTTGAAGGACATCTTCCAAACAACTGTTGCTTTTAAGGTGCAGTTATCTGAGATAACTCAGATAGTTATTCTTAAACTTTCTGTTTTCAGGATCCCTTTACATATTTAAAGTTTATTGAGGATCCCAAAGCAATTGTATTATTTTGGTTTTATCTATCAAAATTTACTTTATTAGAAATGAAAACTGAGAAATTTTAAAATATGTAATAGTTCCTTTTAAAATAACAATAAAAACCCATTACATGTTAATATAAATATTGTATTAGAACAACTATAAAAGAGAAAATTTTAATGAGAAGAGAGGCTTTGGTTTAAATTTTTCAAATCTCTTTTAACATCTGGCATCACAGAAGACAGCTGTACTATTGGGTCTGCTTCTGCATCCAATCTGTTGCAATATTTTGTTGGGTTGAATTAGGCAAAGAAAATCCAGGTTCACACAGACATGTCATTGGAAATGGGAGGATCTTGCAGACCGTCTGAAAGAAACTTCGGGATCCCTGGGGGTCCTTAGGCCATCCTTTACAAACTGCTGACTTAGACGAAGTTCTAGAAAATCAAATGCAATTCCTAAATAAGTTTCCATGGAGGAAGGCCAAGTGGGTTTCTACAGTTCTTGTGTTTAAAATGCTATGATTAATGTGTCTCTTCTCCCTTTGCAAGCCTCTTACCTTATCCTCTGCAAAAAGAAAACTAATAGTAAACTCATACAAATCAATTGGTCGGGGGGGGTGGGAATAAGGTGCATCATCCCCCCAACCCTGTTGACCAGTGGATCCCAGTTTAAACTCAACTGAGTGCATTTTGCACAATTTCAACAGGAATCATGCAATACTTTTGTAATAAGAAAATAAAAGTTCTTTTCTAGAGAAGAAATAAATGGAGGAAGAGGAGAGGTAGAACATCCAGAAGTTTTTCCCACTTTTCTGACTTGACAAGGGGAACCCCAGAGACCAAGATGGTGAGTGGAGAGGAAAGAGCTGGATGAGGAAAGAATGATGGAGCAGCCAAGACACCCAGAGTTCTGCTCATGGGCAAGACACACATATGACACGTGTCAGAATGTGACTTCCTGTTCCAAAAGGGAGAGAAAAGTATTTTTCTGAGTTCATATTTCTTCATCCATGGGACTGAAATGCAAACCTCAAGAGTCCAGGAGAGAAAAACAACCGTGCAAGTAGAATACCTCAAGACCCTTCCACTGAGACCGTGGTTGTGCCTCTCCTTTATGCAATTCTCCGTGCCTCCACGTTCCTGCTTGAGTGAGTAGAGTAATAATCCTCCAGCTCCCAAAGCTGTCCACTAACTCAGATAAAGAAACCATCTGCAAAGTAGAACTGCACCAGAGCACAAAAGGTGGGTCCTCACTAATGAACAGGAGCCTGGTTTGACAGCCTGGGCTGCCCGCCAAACTCATTTGTTTCCAGATTTTCCATTTGCCAGCTGAAGTTGTTGAGAATTAATAGCCCCCAAAATATTTCCTTGGATACATGATGCAAGAGCTGCCAACTCTGGCCACTTCCAATGATGTTAGAAAAAGCAAAGTTAAAATGTAATGAAACAGAAGAGCCAAGGTACCATAAAGCACACTCCAAATAGAAGCCATTCCGAAAGGAACATTCTGTTAATTTGCTGCATTCACCGAGAGGAACACGTCTTCTAAATTCGTATTCCGATCTCAAGTGTCAGCAAGCTACCGCTGAGAGCAGGAGAAGGGAAGTCTTTGTCTACTACCATAGTTAATAAATAAGCATTCAATTGTATGGGACTGTTCAATTTAAATAATCCCCATAGTGTATACTAACTTTTCTTGGGAGAGATTTAGAAAGTAAATTTTAACTGAAACAGAGAATAAAAGGTAAAGTAAAATGGAAGGAGAATCCTGGAATCCTCATAAAATGTTAATTTTTTAATAAACCTAAGAACTCTTTTTAAAATAAACTGATTGGCTTCCAGTTTTGGGCCTGGCATGTAAGGAGTTAACAAGTGAAAAGCCAAACAAACTGAAAAATCAACAGTTCTTGCTAGATATGTCGGAGAACTGGGGTCACAGGGCAAACCAATGCACCAAAAATCAGAGAAATGAACAGGCAGAGGCAGAAAATCACAACTTTCTGGATGCAAAACCCACGAGCAGGAAACTCCATGAAGACCAGTGTTGAGGTAGGAAACCTGAACTATAATTGATGGAGGCTCAGCATGGACAAGTTTGAGAGTCAAAAACTCCAGAGGGGACCCAGTCATAGGGGAATCCCCATGCTTTCGTGAGTTTTACCTCCAAGAGCTCCAACAAGTCCTTACAGTAAATATCAGAGAAAATCCCCTTGTGCTTCCAAAAGGGGAAGGAAGAGAAAGAACCATTTTGAAATATGCCAGAGCATTCTGGTCTTTTTAACAAGGCCTGCTCTGAGGAGAAACACTTTTACCAGAGCCTAACCTGCTGGCATATTATCAAAGCCTAACTTACCTGGAGGAAGGAAGTTACCCAACCCCAGATTCCTCTACCCATCCTGTCCCACCTAAGTGGGAAACAAAAAAAAACTGAAATGCACTGGTGAAGTTCACAGTCCAGGGCACAGGCTCACCGGAAGTCTGAGACCTAATCACAGGACAATGGAATGCTTCTCCCACCCCACACCTTACCACCACACAGCTAAAGGTCTATTTAACAGAGTTCCTTTCTACCAGTACATCATTTCCAGATTTCAACAAAAAATTTACAAGATATACGAAGAGGCAAACAACACAGTTTGAAGAGACTGAACAAGCACCAAAAGTAGACTCAGCTATGGCAGGGATGTTGGAATTATCAGACCAGGAACTTTCTTAAAACTTAATACCCTAAGGCCTTAATGGAAAAAGTAGACAACATGCAAGAACAGATGGATAATGTAAGAAAAGAAGTTGAGATTCTAAGAGAGATCAAAAAGAAATGCTAGAGATCACTTTAACATGAATAACAAATGCTTTTGACAGACTCAATACCATACTTTATACAGCTGAAGAAAGAGTATCTAAGCATAAGTATATAATGATAGAAACTTCCAAAACGGAAAAGCAAAGAGAAAACATATACCGGAAAAAAATCAGAGCAAAGTAATCAAGAGCTATAGGACAGCTATGAAAGGTATAACATACATGGGAATATCAGGAGGAGAAGAAAGAGATAAAGGAATAGAAATAATATTTGAAGTAATGATAACTGAGATTTCCTGAATTAAAGTGAGACACTGAACGACAGATCTAAGAACCTAAGAGAATACTAAGCTGAATAAATGCAAAAAAAGAAAAAAACTACATATAAGCATATTATATTCAAATTGCAGAAAATCAAAGATAAAGAAAAAATGTTGAAAGAATCCAGAGAAGAAAAAAAAACCTTAAAGAAAAAGCAAAGCAAAGATAAGAATTACATCTGACTTCTCTTCAGAAACCACGCAAGCAAAAAGAGAGTGGAGTGTAATATTTAGTGTTGAGAGATAAAAAAAAAAAAAAAAACCAACCTAAAATTCTGTAACCTGTGAACTTATCCTTCAAAAGTGAAAAAGAAATAAAGATTTTCTCAGACAAACAAAAATTAATGGAACTTGTTACCAGCAGACCTACCTTGCAAGAAATATTAAAAGAAGTTCTGAGACAAGGAAAATCATATAGATCAGAAATCCATATCTACATAAAGAATGGAAGCACATCGGAGAATAAATAAGTGAAAGTAAAATTAAAATGTTTTATTTTTCTTATCCTTAATTGATCAAACAGATAACACTTTGTTCAAAATAATAACAATCATATATTCAATTGTGTATGTATATATATGTATATATGCTTATGTATAATTCAAATAAGTGATAGTAATGATACAAGGGATGGAAGAGAGGAATTCAAACTATTTTGTTATTACAAGGTTACCAGGTATTTGCATTACCTATGAAGTAGTACAGTGTTGTTTGAAAGTGGACTTGAATTAGTTGTAAAATATATTTAAAATTCTATGGAAACCACTAAAAGAGGGGAAGAAAGCATAACTGATATCTAAGAAAGGAGAAAATCATATAAAATCCTCAATTAAACCATAAAAAGCAGAAAACACAATCTGCCAACACTCAAACAAGAAGAAACAATCTGGATAGGCCTATATCTATTACTATCACTGAATCGGTAATTAATAACCTTCCAAAATAGAAAGCACCAGGTCCAGATGGGTTCACTGGTGAATTCTACCAAACATTTAGGGAAGAAATTATACCAATTCTCAATATTCTCTCCCAGAAGATAGGAAGAGAGGGAATACTTCCTAAATCATCATGAGGCTGCCATTACCCCAATACCAACCAAAGACATTAAAAGAAAAGATACAAGAATTCTCAAGAAAATATTTTCAAATTGAATCCAACAAAATATATAAAGAACTATGCACCACAACCAAGTAGGATTTATCCCACGTATGTGAGGGATAAATCAATTAATGTAATAAATTACATCAACAGAATAAAGAAGGAAAATCAAATAATCATGTAAACAGATGCAAAAAAAAAAGCATTTGACAAAATCCAACACCTATCTAAGATTTTTTAAAAATCTCTCAGCAAACTAGAAATAAAGGGGAGCTTCTTCAACTTAATGAACAACATCTACCAAAAAAAGAAGAAACAAACTACAGCTAACATAATTCTTAAGGTGAGAAACTTGAAGTTTTCCCACGGAGGTTATGAATGAGGTAGGGATGTGCTCCTTCACCACTGCCTTTTAACAATATACTGGAAGTCTTAGACAATGCAATAAGACAAGAAAATGGGCTGGGGAGAAGCTATACAGATTGGGAAGAAATAAATAAAACTTAAAGCTGTCTTTGTTTGCAGATGACATGATCATCTATGTAGGAAATCTGAAAGAACTGACAAAAAAATCCTCTGGAACTAATAAGCAATATTAGCAAGGTTGTAGGATACAAGGCTAATGCATAAAATCAATTGCTTTCCTACATACCAACAATGACCAAGTGGAATGTAAAATTAAAAACACATTGCCATTTACATGAGCATATAAAAATTAAATACTTAGGTATAAATATAGCAAAATATGTACGAGATCTACATGAGGAAAATTACAAAACTTACAAATCTCTGATGAAAATCATCAAAGAAGTAAACAAATAGAGAGATATTCCATATACATGGATAGGAAGATCTGATATTGTCAATATGTCGGTTTTTCCCAGCTTTATAAACTTAATACAAACCCAATAATAGTCCCAGAAATTTATTTTGTGCATATTGACAAATTGATTTTAAAGTCTATATGTAGAGGCAACAGAACAGCCAACTCAACACTGAAGAAAAACAAAGTCAGAGGACTGTTACTACATGACTTCAAGACTTAACATAAAGCAACAGTAATTAAGACTGTGTGCTACTGTTGAAAAAAATACACCAATGGAATAGAATAAAAAGCCCAGAAATAGACCACATTAAATAGCCAACTCATGTTTGTTTGAAAATTGAGCAAAAGCAATTACATGGAGCAAGGATTGTGTTTTCAACAAATGGCGCTGGAACAACTAGACTCCCATAGGCACACACACAAAAAATTTACACAGGCTTTCCACCCTTCACAAAAATTAACTCAAATTCAAAACTATAAAACTCCTAGCAGATAACATAGGAGAAAAATAAGGGTTGGGCAGTGGGGAGGAATGGATAAATAGGCAGAGTGCAGACAATTTTAGGCACTGAGACTATTCTGTAAGGTACTACAATGGTGGATGCATGTCATTGTACATTTGTCCAAAAGCACAGATTGTACAACACCAAGAGTGAACCCTAATGTAAATGATGAACGTTGGGGGGTAATGATGTGTCAATGTAGCTTCATCAGTTGTAACAGATGTACCACTCTGGTGTGAGATGTTAGCAGTGGGAGTGGTTGGGGAGGGTGAGGCAGGGGTTATGTGGGAAGTCTCTGTACCTTCCACCTAATGTTGCTTTGAATCTAAAACTTCTCTAAAAATAAATCATATTAATTTATTTAAAAGATAGATTTTCTTGCAAATCATTGGCAGTATTTCCTTTCAGATTATGTGTTTTCTCAAAGCACACATACTTATCAAACCACTGTCAAGCAACTTAAACTCTGGACTTGCCCCACCCTCTGCTGAAATTCTGAACACAAGTCCGTGCAGTTAATAAACATCATATCCCCTGTTGAGAGAGCTCACTGAGGTCCCAGCACAGAACTCAGCACTTTTACACAGGTTATCACATA
This sequence comes from Homo sapiens, assembly GCF_000001405.40. Taxonomy (NCBI): domain Eukaryota; kingdom Metazoa; phylum Chordata; class Mammalia; order Primates; family Hominidae; genus Homo; species Homo sapiens. The sequence continues at coordinate 98,380,966 of NC_000015.10, forward strand.
CGTTCCCACTACAACCCACAGAGAGAGATAAGTATTTTTACCTCCACGTGGAACATGGAGAAACTGAATTTCAGAAATGAAGTAACTTGCTCTCCAATACATACAGTCTCAAACACACTACTATTGGGAGATCAAAACAAAACAATATGAAACTAACCTCTGTAAATGTGTGTGTGTGTGTGTGCGTGTGTGTGTGTGTGTATGTGTGTTGGGATGTAAGATAGAAGGCGATGAGTGTCTAGAGCAGTCTCAGTAACATGAGAATAATTCCTTACAAGTTAGATTTAGGAAGTGGCTGCAAGAAATTCAGTTTTGTGTTCAGGGAAAACCCCACGGAGGAATTTAGACACCACTGGGGAAAAACTCTAAGAGACTAAAGACAGAGAGCACCAATAACTGGTGGGCAGTGGCTATTTGCATGCCTTTGTGGCTCCATCCTAAAAAACATAACCATGTCAACAATCTTCAAAGAAATATCATCATAGAAATTTCAAGTTGGTACAGACCATCTTCACCAAAACCTTACACCCATCTCAGAATATCTGGAACATGGTTTCTCCCCACTAAGCAGTCATAACCTTTACAAGATCGAAGACAAACATTTGTGTGTCAGCAACCCAAGAAGCCTGTCTTTGTCAGGATTACTCACACTAGCTGCTGCGTCAAAAAAAAAAACAACCACATTTCTCACTGGCATAATAGGCCAATGGAAGCTGGGCAGCTCTCTTCCAAGCATGTGTCAGACCCCTTGTATCTTGTGGCTCAGACCACTAGTCTTCTTAATGTCTCCTGGATCCTTCACATTCAAAGAGTCTGCATCACACAAGACATTTTAGGGGCCAGGATGGAAAGTAGCAAAAATCACTTCTTCCCACATCATTGGTTCAAACTCATTGTACCAACCAATTCAGGTGAGGCCTTGGGAAAAGCAGTTTAGCTGTGTACCCAGGAAGGAAAGGAACCCCAGATATATGCATGCAAGCAGGTCGGTGAACAGTCTCTGTGATTCCTGGGGCTCCACCAAAGGAGGGAATGCCTGGAAAGGAGGAGGAGCCAGTGTGGAAGTAGTAAGGAAAGAGGAAAAAGACTCCATGAAACTCAGCCCAGCTCTGACATGGAATGACTTTGTGGTCTTGGCCTAGATATGGAAGCTCTTAAAGACTCAGTTTCTTATATGTGATATGAAGCTAAAAATAACTAGCTCATGGGTTATTATAAGGACTGATGGAAGCAATGCATGGAGGTGTGGCTTTAAATGATTCAAGAACGGATGCTGGACCCTTCCTCCAAGGAAGGTCTTTAGCGACATGACCCAGTAAGTGTGAGGGAGCTGAGGACCTCTGCTGGTAGGGAAGGTGTTTTTCAAGAGGTACCCAGCCTCAAATCTATTCCCTGCTCAAATTCAGAAGGGCCTGCTCAGCACACGGTCCCCATGCCCCAGCTCCGTAGCCTAGAGTAGCTGAGCAGAGCAAGCCCATCACAAAGGAGGAAAATAGCCTCTGGTCCGGCTTTGCCTGGATCCAAACGGTGACATCCTAAGGACAAGGAGATCTGATGAGGTGGAACTCTAGTCCTTGCTGTCTAGACCTTTGGATATTTGCAGGAAGAGGGAAAGCACATATTTTTTTTTCTATTAATCCTAAAGGCATTGATACCAGGATACCATGTGTTCAACTCAGAATCAATCCAGAGCACACAGAATGGACTGGGGCCCTGGAGGCAGACATGTGATAAGCTGAGGGTGACTGAGGAGTCCCAGAGGGGACCAAAATCCACATCCCTCAGCCACACATCATGGAAGGTGTCAACCCCTCCATCCTTCCCATGGCCAGGGCATGTGCTACAGATGGCCCAGCCCATTCTCTCAGGGGCCAGGAGAAAGACAAGTGGCTTCTTCCTCCTGGGAGGCCAGGGAAGCCTCACACAAAGCCCTCCCATGTGGCATCCCACTTCTTTTGGCTCTCTGCCTGAAATCAGAAAAAGAATTTGATTCTAAATCTAAACTTTACGGTTTGAAGCTTGATCATTTAGAATACTTGACAGCCAACCCTCCTCCTTCGCATCTGCCCAAGGAAATCAAGAAAGAGCCAGGTTCCCTCCAGCTGCTGACTGCACCATCCTTAGGACAGAAAATTTATCTCCATGATTACAAAATGGCGCCCAACCGTAGGCTCTGCATTGCTGTTCCAGGCAGAGAAAAGAAGGAGAGGGGAGGACTAAAGGAAAATGGAAAAAAGCACATGCTGGCTGACCCTGTCCATTTTCATCAGAAAAAATCAACAACTTTCCATGAAGACCTACCCAGCAGACTTTCACTTAAATGTCTTTGGCTGAAACCATGTCACACAGCCACGCTCACCAGCCAGACAGCCTGGGAAATAACATCCTTTGATCTCTATTTTGTCTTGCTGAAAAAAGTATTTGTCAATAAAGAAAAGTGAGGAATAGCCATTAGGTATTGCCCAAAAAGCCAACAAAGCTTCGCTTGGGGGAAAAACTTAAACCTAGAGTTGGGACTAAAGTGGCTACAATGCCCTGTTTAAGTGACCCCTTTTGACAGTTCATTTCCATCACACACCCAAATGCCTGGAACAAGACCAGAGACAGAGCATCAATTTGACTCACTCAAATAACTCCAAATGTGTGCATTTCCACATAATTACTGATTTCCTCAACAGATTCAATGTCTAAGTTTATCTTCACTTTAATCCAATTTCATGCCTGGAGCAGAGGGATTCCAGCAGAAGGTCTTTCTTAACCTTCTGATATCATTAATTATTACTACATTGGGAGTTACTGCACAGAACAAGCAGGTTTTTAAATAGAAATCATTTGTCTCTCAGCAGGGAGACTCAATGGCTTTATTTCCGAACATTCAAACTGCTGCACTTGAGTAATCAGGTTTCATGGTGATCTCCCCATGCTCACCTCCAAGCAGAATAAATCCTTCCTCTTAGTTCCCAGACCAGCCCAATTTGCCACCTGTAGCAGGAGGCGTCCATTTCCTCCTTTAATTGTTGAGTAGGTTTTTCTAGAAGGAAAGGCCAGCCTCTCCCTGAGTTCTGGGCATTTGGTCATGCTTCCTGGTGATTTTCTGCTAAAGGAAATCCCCTAACTCATTAAAAAATAATAATAATAGATTAATTGACCAGTTCAGTAACAAGTCGCTCCAGGACCCAATAAACTTTGCAAAGAGTACATTCCAATTACAACTGGGCTCAGCGGGAGCCCAGTGGGTAAGCCAGCATAATCTTTCTCCAGCACACAGGAATTTTTGTGTTTTCTTCTCCATTCATGCCACTCTTCTGCTTCAGTGTGGGCGTGGGGTCCATCTGCAGCCCCTATTCTGTCAATTTCTTGCCACTAAGACTCTAGTGACTCTTGTGACCCAAGGTTCCAGTGAATGACTTTGTCAAACCAACATGGTCTCATGAAGGGTTACTGCGGGCTCGGGTTTGCAGAAGCCTTGCAATGGGGCATTCGGGCCAAGTAGAGACAAACATCTGGGAATCTGTGAGTGTTTTGGTGGGTGGTGCAGCTGCAGCTTGCCCTCAACGGGGTGAGAAGGTCAGCAGGAAGCAGGGACTTCGGTAACTAGCCCGATTGCAAAAGCAGGCAGAAGAATTGTGGCCAAGTCTCAGATAATGAGCCTGCTGAGAGGTAGAGGATGCTTCTTGATGGGGCTACTCCCTCCAGGACAAGCTACACCATCATTTTGAAACCTTGACACCATAAAAATAATCCGCCTGAAAGGGCACCAGAGTGCAAAGCAACTCAACAAATGTTTATTAGGCACCTCTCACGTGAGATGATGGATATGTTAACGTGTTTAATCATTTATATATATAATGACATCATGTTGTAAACATTTAATTATGCAGTACAATTCATTTTAAAAAATAATAAAGAAAGAAGGGAAAGAGAAAGATGGAAGGGAGGAAGGAAGGAAAGAAGGAAGGACAAGAAGGAGGGAGGGAGAGAGGGAGGCAAGAATGAGAGAAAGAAGGAAGGAAGGAAGGAAAAAAAGAAAGAAAGAGAGAGAGAAAGAAAGAGAGAGAAAAAAAAAGATATGACCTCTTATGTGTCAGCTCTGACCCAGAACTCATGGGCTGCAAAAATCTAAGCCAAGGGCCAGGCATGGTGGTTCATGCCTGTAATCCCAGCACTTTGGGAGGCCAAGCCAGGCGGATCACCTGGGGTCAGGAGCTCAAGACCAGCCTGGCCAACATGGCAAAACCCCCTCTCTACTAAAAATATAAAAATTAGCAGGGCATGGTGGCAAACACCTGTAATCCCAGCTACTCAGGAGCTGAGGCAGTAGAATCGCTTGAACCCAGGAGACAGAGGTTGCAGTGAGCAGAGATCAGGCCACTGCACTCCAGCCTGGGTGACAGAATGAGACCCCGTCTCAAATAAATAAATAAATATTTAAATATATAAATAAATAAACTAAGCCAAGGTCCTTTGCCTTTCTCAATCCCTCTGAAATGTCTCTGCAAATAAAATATGATCTAGAAATTAAAGGTACAGCTATAACATTCTAAACTCAGCCTCTCTTTTCTTGGCCCTCTTCCCCTCATCTTTTTTTCTCATTTCAACTTCCCCTCGCCAGTGTCACTTTTTTATGTAGGCTAAAAGAAGAGCCAGCCCCAGCAACGAAGGAAGGACATGGCTTGTTTCTCACATAAGAAAAGGCAAAGCAAACATCCTAGTCCTGGGCAGGGCAACCCCGTGCCCAATGAGTCTATGCAAAGACTTGGCTGCGGGGCACTCCCGCTTCTAGAAACCAACAGCTTTGAGACCTTCAGTGACCCCTAGCTATACATCTCCACCCCGTTCCTTGCTGTAGATCACAAGCTTCTCAAGGGCATGAATCAAGTCTCATGGACCTCGATAGTTGTAGTGACTACCAGAAGCTACTAGGTACAGAATCGGGGTTTCTAAACCTCACACTGTTGACATCTGGGGCCAGATAATTCTGTCTGGTAGGGCCTGTCTGGGGCACTGTAGTACCTTCAGTAGCATCGCTGGCCTCGACCCAACAGATGCCAGTAGCACCTCCGATCTCCTTGTGACAACCAAAACGGTCTCCCGACATTTTGTCTGGTTGGAAAGCCACTGAACAAAATACATGTTTGTTAAATGAAATACATAGATGGCCACTGTCCTGTCCAAGCGTTTAGCTGCACTGATGTTGCTTTTGAATTCTAACTTCCAGTATTATTTCTCAGACCTGTTTAACCTCACAATCTTTGTAGAAGTGAGACCTCAGGGTCGAGGGGTACAATGACAGGGAGGGTGATCTATCTCTACGGGGCAGGATCACAGTATATTAAACAGGCTCTTGGGCAGTTAGTGAAGTTTCCCCAGTGTCAATGCTATGGCTGGCTATGAGCTGCTTATCACAGATGGGTTCAGCAGTCAGCAAAGCGCCTCACGACCCCACTGGAAATCCCTCAGGTCAGTCTACAGTGCCGAGCTCAACTTGCAAGTGTTTTCATGATCTCAACTCCAAGGTCACAGCGTGCCCCAAGCCTGCTGTATCCTTCCTCCTCTGCCCTCTCCTCCTCTGGCTCATGGCTGCTCCTTCTGCCTGGACAGCCTTGGCCCCTTCCTTGCCTCCCTGCAGGACGTTATCTGAGGGTTCTGCTCTGGGCTCCGAATTCACAACCCTCCTCAAGCAGGGTGAATAATTCTCTCCCTCAAACGCCATCTGCCCCATCCCTGCAAATGCCAGGAGGGAGGACATTGCTCTGCCCTGACACTGAGCCAGGAACCCGACAGGCACTCCATGGGTGTTTGAGAAGGACTTCACTCATGGGTCAAAGCCTGAATCATTATCGCCGTGCCTTCATCCATCCCGTGTTGTGCTAAGTGGTCAACTCCCTCTACACTTGGGCAGTAACACAAAGTTAACTCAGGAGCTATACTTATCAAAATAGTTTTTTTTTTTTTGACATCATTTGGGAAAAGAAAACAAACTCGTTGATGAAACTCGATTTGGGGATTTTTCTACTGATTATCTGAGCACTGTGAGTACATCATCACAATTCTTGTTTCTTGGAACCTTACAGTAGCATTCTAAGCATGCCACAAATATTCAAAAATTACACACAGCAGTGGGAGGTGTTTTAAAAAAACACATTAGTAAAATTGGATCTACTGCACCAAGTGTTAGCGATGGTTTAAAATATTAATGCATGTTGGATGCCAAGTTATTTTGAAGGCTCAACCAGATTTCTATTTGGCAGGAACAATTTCGCATAGACAATTAGATACACGTGCAAATATTTAACTATAAGTTAATGCCTACACCACTGAAATACAGAGGTTCATCTACTAGCCACCTGGTTGGCAGAGACAATTAAGGATTTGTCCATATTACAGATAAATCCTCCCCACCTTTCAGCATTTTGGAAATACAAATAATTGGGGAAATTGTAGGGGGAGGGCAAGAAGGAACGAAAGATACTTGTGAATTCTAAATTCTCAATGGAGCCCGAAGTACTGGAAATACGCCAGCTGTATACACTTATCTATATATCACATTTGATGTCTCCTAAGAGATCATGAATTGCTAAGTTGGCTAAACACACTCAAAGTCATTTTTCAGTTTGGGTGGATTTTTAACAATTGCACATTTCATATAAGACATGAACATTTTCAAAAAAAAATTATATCAAAGATCAAGTTTCATCGTATATGCTAAGTGGTAAGTGCTAATGTGTGCATAAATACACACATACATGTAGATGCATACACTGAAAATATATCTATGGAAATCTGTAAAGAAGCCAGAATTTTCTCATCTTTGACTTTGTCATTTGTCTGGAAGAACCAAATGACAGGAAATTCATCATAGCATACAGGGGTGAGAGCTGGACTTGGAATCCAAAAGTAGGATCAAGCCTGACTATTTTGTTTACTAGTTTGTCACCCTCAACAAGTTAACTCCCCTGAGCTTCAGTTTCCTCAGTGGCAAAATAGAGAAAACAATATCTGTCTTACGAGGTTGTAGTGAGAATTGAAGTAGAAGAGCCAAATGCCCACTTTCTTTGTTTGCAAAAGAGAGAAAGCCAGCTCTCCAATCTGCCCTTGGCAAGGCCTCTGGTTTGCTGAGAGGCACTGCTTACAGTGCAGAGAGGTTTCTCCTGTTTTCCTAGAGCACACTGCTGGAGTGGTCGTTGAAAGCCATTCATGTCTCCTGAGACATTTCTGAATTAATATAACATTTTATTCCAAATTAGACTGACAATGGATGAATGCTTTGACCCCACATGATACAGAGGGAGACTGGACCCAGTAACATGAACTACTGTCGTCTTAAGTTGTAGGCATTCCAGCAATTCCAGGAACCAACATTTTTCAAGAAAGGTAGAGCATATTTTAGCAATGATACCCGGATTTTATAATTCTTGCTTTTAAATATATCCATCCCCCCAAATTCCCTATGCCAAGTCCATCCAAAGAATTTCCAGATACATATATTCTTTCTCATGAAGCCCAACATAGCAAACGTCTGCATTTTGTCTTCTATTTAAATGCTGGGCCAGGTGTGGTGACTCATGCCTGTAATCCCAGCACTCTGGGAGGCCAAGGTGGTCAGATCGCTTGAGCTCAGGAGTTTGAGACCAGCCTGAGCAACATGGCAAAATCCCATCTGTATGAAAAATACAAAAAAACAGCCAGGTATGGTGGTGTATGCCTGTCGTCCCAGCTACTCGGGAGGCTGAGAAGGGAGGATTGCTTGAGCCAGGGAAGCGGAGGTTGCAGTGAGCTGAGATTGTGCCACTGCACTTCAGGCTGGACAACAGAGAGAGACCCTGTCACAGAATAAATAAATAAATAAATAATAAAAATATGCTATATGCCTTGCAAAAACACCAATCCCAATACTAGAATGTACCTGATGTTTTTACTGGTTGCTCAGGCATTTTGTAAATGACAATTTGATCCTCAATAATTTCAACATAGACATCCGTTAGTATCGTCACACTGAGAACCCAGGATCTCACATCATTTTTGTTTCACCGCCAGCAATAGACCAGGCAAACACAGTCCACGTTCACACCCTCTATTCTTTGTAGCTCAGTTTCCCTTGGAAAGCAGAATGGTGTCGGTGGAAGAACAAAAACTCTGTCATTAAATGAGCCCAGCCTGGCTGGCTGCTGACCACATGACTCTGGACAGTCACTGACCCCTTCAGAGCCTCCATCTCCTCATACGTAAAATGCAGTCATGATTCCTATGACTCAGGATCATTGCGCCCCACTGTGTGCTGAGTTCCCCAGATGTCCAGTGCCTCACAAGAACAAAGCGCTAAGCCCTTCCCTTTGCACAAATAAAATGCCAAACACAATGTTCCAACCTCCTCCCTTGCTGTCATTACAGACATTGGATCATTTTTCTGGTGAACAAAAATTTTCTTCGGAATTTTCTCCTAATGTAGTAATGAGTGGTCCTTAATAATTCAGGAAACCGTGAAAGACTTCTGGTGATATCCTCACCTGGTGCCTCATAATATGACAACACTTGGTAGCTGAGCTGATGCAGCAAGTCGATTACTAACTTCTCTTTAAAGTGTGCAATTCTTTAACTTTTTACTGGGAAATAATTATGTACTCACAGAAAATTGCAAAAATACTGAGTCTGTGCACTCACCTATAGAACAGAACTATTATTAACAGTGGTCTCCTATAGAAAAGTGGCCCAATATCAAAACCAGGGAACTGACTTTGGTACAATACTAATAATTAGATGACAGGCCTTATTCACTTTTCACCAGTTTTTACATTCTTTCAGTGTTTGTGTTTGCGTGCGTGTGTGTGTGAGTGTGTGTGTGTGCACGCATGTCTAAGCAATCTGACCCCATGAATAAATTCCTATAACAACCACCACCATTAGGACACAGAACATTCCATTTCTACGTAGGAATTCCCTAATGCAACTCTCGACAGTCACACCCCAAATTGATTGTGGCTCATAGCAGCATTATTCACAATAGACAGAAGCAAAAACAAACCAAATGTCCATTGGCAGATGAATGGGTAAGCAAAATGTGGTATGTGCATACAGTGAAATATTAATCCTTAAAAAGGAAGGAAATTCTAACACATGCTATAACACGGAGGCACCTTGAGTAGTTAGATTCATAGAAACAGAAAGTAGAATGGTAGTTGCCAGGGACTGAGGGGGTAGAAAATGAGGAGTTCTTAATGGAAATAGAGTTTCAATTTTGCAAGATGAAAAAATTTTGGAGACGGCTGTTGGTGGTGATGGTTGCACAACAGTGTGAATATACTTAATGCCACTGAACTGTATATTTACAAACGATTGAAATAGTAAATTTTGTGTTATTTTACCACAACTAAAAGTAAAAAGTAATTCGATTGTGATTATATGGCCTGCAGGCTCTCCCGGTGAACCTTGGTGCCGTAATGAAGAGGAGAAAGTATAGCATGTGGTTAAACACACAGCCCCTGGAATCAGGAAGACCTGGGTTCAAATCCCATCCTGGAATGTTTACTACCTGTGTGGCTTCCACCAGGCACTTAACCATTCTGTGCCTCCATTTCCCCCTCTGAAAATGGAAATAATTATAGAACATACCTCCTGGGGCTTTTATGAAGATTAAATAAGGTGATGCTTTTGAAAGTTGCCTGGCCTGTGTTTTCCACTCAGTGAATGAAAGACCTTGGCTATAAAGGCCACTGCCCCCTTCCTGGGTATCCCGAGACTTCCTTGCCAGATTGGACCTGCAGGGGTGGGGTGGGGGTTCTGAAAGGGATTGAGATAAGGTTCCCAGGTCAACCTCTTCCCATTGAATGACCTGTGAACCCCAACTCACCCCAAGCATGCTCCAACTACTCACCCACCCCACTGCAGTTTTATCCTATTTCTACTGATTTTAAGTCAAAACAGTATTGTGGGGCTTTTTTTGTTTCAGTCCTAAGTCCCACTTGCCCTGCATTGGTAGCTTTAAAAATGTGAGAGGTCAAAGAAAATATAGGCCAATGAAAATAACATTGCAGCAAGAAATTAATTGCACAGTCTGTTTAATATGACAGGGGATTCCCTAAAATCCTATTATACCGTTCCCGGCTTCCCTCCATCGTGCGCTCTGATTCTGTGCACAAAGGCCAGGGCAGCCTCCCCGGTGCATTGCTGCATTAATTTGACATTTCTGGCTCCAATTAACCTTACATTTCAGCTATTTTCTAAAGATTGTTCTTTTAATTTGTGATAAGGTTATTTTTTTTTTCTATTGGTGTTTCACTGCCTTGTGCACAAAGGGCTCTTGTAGGAAATCCGGCCCAGTGTCTCCATGTTTCAAAGCAACACATTGTCCTTTTTACTTTGCCTATTCGTTAGCAGAAGACTTGGGTAAGAGACAGTTTCCTGTGATGTTAGCATGGGATAGGTTACAATTCCAGGAGAGCTGGGTAGAGTTGCCCTGTGTTGGCACAGTGGGTGTTGTGAGCTAGTAGCCTCTACTCCAAGGCAACAGCAAGGAAATGAAAGTGTAGAAAGGACATGGGATTCTGACTCAGTAGATCTGGATTCAAACCCACCTGCGTCTCTTGTCAGCTGTGCTAATGTGAGCAACTTGGCTGATACGTGGAGTCTCAGTGTCCTCATCTGCCAGATGGGGCAAGGCCACCTCCCTCCGTGGAGTGAAATAAGAGATAAGCAGAAAAGTGCTCTTCTCAGAAGAGATTTTCAGGAACCTGTTCTCTGTTTGCCTCTCCTATTGTCACACACAGTTCTAAAGCAGGAGCCAGCAAACAACGGCCCACAGGCCAAATGAGCCCACTGCCTAGTTTTGTAAATAAAGTTTTATTGGAACACAGCCATGATCATTCATTTATTGTCTACGGCGGCCCTCAGACTACAAGGGCAAAGTTGAGAAGTTGTGACAGAGACATTATGGCCCTCAAAAACGTAAAATATTTAAAACCTGGCCCTATACAGGCAAAATTTGCCCACGTCTGCTCTACAGGAAGGAAGGAGAATGGGGGGCCATGGGTCTTGGTACCATGGTACCCCTTCTTTACCCCTGTGGCCTAGCTTTGGTGGTGGTTGAATCCTAGAAGATTTGAGGACTAGGGAAGATGCCTGTGAGTCTCTGCCATCTCTGCTGTACCTCAGCCTCAAAACAGGGCTTCAGCTGATACTGTGGATAATGCCTCCCACTCAACTGGGGACACTAGTATATACAATTTTTTATTTCAATAATTTATTTTCTGAGCTATCCTAACTCTTAAAAATTATCTTCCGGCCGGGCGCGGTGGCTCACGCCTGTAATCCCAGCACTTTGGGAGGCCAAGGCGGGCGGATCACGAGGTCAGGAGATCGAGACCATCCTGGCTAACACGGTGAAACCCCGTCTCTACTAAAAATACAAAAAATTAACCGGGCGTGGTGGCAGGTGCCTGTAGTCCCAGCTACTGGGGAGGCTGAGGCAGGAGAATGGCATGAACCTGGGAGGCGGAGTTTGCAGTGAGCCGAGATAGCGCCACTGCACTCCACCGGCCTGGGTGAAAGAGCGAGATTCCGTCCCAAAAAATAAAATAAAAAAAAAAAATTATCTTCCAAGTAGAAGCCCATTGTGGGACTAGATTTGACTTCTGCAAGTACAGAACTTATTTTCTATAAGACATGTTGAGGCTGGGGGCCTTTCTCCAACTCCCCTCTATATAAACTGCTACCTTTTAGCACAAAGGGAAAGATGCTGTGCTATTAGAACACTTAGGGGGAAACAAACATGAACCAGACATGAGTCCTTTTCTCCTTCATGCCTACACTCTAGTTGGAAATATATACGTAAAATAAACTTGCGGGACAAAATACCACACGGGCGTCAAATGAGTCTCACTACTCAATGTGGGGTCCAGGGACCAGCAGCATCAAGGGGACCTGGGGGCTGGCTAGAAGTGAAGAATCACAGGCTCACACAGACCTGCTAAATGAGAATCTTCATTTTAACAAGAAGCCCAGGAGACTGATGAGCAGGTATATCAGGTGCTTCCTCTGGGAACAAGTAGACAGCTGGAGCCAGAAGTGCAGGAGATTTATAAAGGGGAGAGGGAACAGGAGCAGGAAGGGGGCCTTCAGCTCAGGATGCAGATCTGAGATGCAGGAAAGAGAAGGGAAGGAAGGAGAACTGGAAAGGAAAAGCCTCACATTGGGGTACAGCTCTGAGAAAGTCACCACCGGCCCAGGGAAGGTTCAAACAAATTTGAGTATGCTGAAATGATTTTAGTGAGGGGACCTGCCCATCTTCACCACTGCAGCCCTTTCTTCCTTTAGTCCTGATTCCATCAACTGTCCCTTCTATTCTTTTGCTTTTTAAGCCTCAAAGCCTATTTATATAAATACTTGTTTTTTTAATTCAAATAACCCCATTTTTATTAATTGAATTTGAGTAATCCTTTCTCAGAAGATCACCCTTGTCATTGAACACTTAGACCACTTTTCTACCAAACCAACATTTTAATGAAGCTGTCTTTCGGCTGAAACGTCCAGGATCATTTCAAAGTGCTTCCTGCAATGACTGAGAGACACCAGCATCCTGTCAATGCTGTATGTTCCCAAGTTAGTTAAGAAAAACTTTGCCGGCATTCGGTACCCACAAAAAGGATAAGAAAGATGTTTTTTTCACACTTCAGGCATCAGATGCTCGGTTTTAAAATACCCTGCCTGGTGTGAACTTAGCTTTCAACATCAAATGCAGCTTTTCCAAGTTTGAAACCAAGTGGCTGAGAAATAGAGATGCTGGGTGGGAAAATGCACATGTGCACGGAATCATGTTGTGAAACTGGCATACGTGTGGGCAAGTGCAACCGTTCACATCCAAATAAACAGCTGGACAGCCTTGCGTGATTCTGAGCCCCTACCACCAGTGGGTGTGCATGCACAGAAGCACACACACACACGTGCACACAGGCGCACACACACACGCACATGCATACACACAGACATTACATCAGTTACTAGACATGCCAACTGAAGCACTGTGTGTCTTTTGCATTCATGTGTGGTTCCATCCATATGTGTTTTAGACATGTGCACCAAGCAAAGAATGCTGTGGAAACACGCGATGAAACAAAGTTGCTCTTCTTCCTCCTTTAAAAAGAAATGGCCCAGTACACCTTCCAAATCACTACGATTTTGTAACATTTAAACAACCAAGAATGGTTTCAATCAAAAGTATTAGCTGACCTTCTGCAAGATCTGTGCCTTGTTGGCAGCCTGGAGCAGGACTAGTCCCGGCCCGCATACTCACTCCACCTTTCCAAGTTTAGCCTTTGTGATGAGGCCCGTCCTTGTGGCTGTTCTGATTTTGCCGCGTGCTAAAACTCAAAGAAGGCAGGTGGGCAATGCAGCAGAAGGAAAGCCGGTTTCCTGTTTTAAAATCCGACACTAGTTCTGGCTCTGCCGCTGGCTCCTTCTGTGTCCTGAGTGAGCCTCAACATCTTCATCTGGAAAATGGGTCCTGCCACTGAAGCACAGTCATTGTCTGGGGTAAATAGCCGAGATTCATTGTCTCATGGTCGTGGAAAACTAAGACACGGACACACCAGAGTGAGGTTAACAGCGGAAGTTTCATTGGTGAGAGAAAGAGACAGAGAAAGAGACGGAGAAAGAACCGGAGAAGCGGGCTGCCAGTTCCAAGGTGAAATGCAACGAGTTTTATAGATGAGCTTGAGGAGTCTATAAAGGTGTCTGATTTACAAAGGGCACGAAAGATTGGTTGGACCAGGTGTGCCATTTGCATAAGGTGCGAAAAACTGGTTCGGACTAGGTGTGTCATTTGCATACTGCATGAAAAACCTGGCCGCCCCATCCTAATCTTTTATTATGCAGATGGTTTCTCTACCTAGCTGGCATCGTGTTGCCTGCTTCTTTACTGTACATGTGGTGACAAAGAAAAGGAAAGATAGAGTCTCCATGTTGAACATACCTGGCCCCCAGGTAGCCCTTTTCTATTGGCACAGTTGCCAGCATTCACCCGTGCAAGCTTCCAGATTTTCTTATCTATGTTTGCAGCTCCAATTTTTAGGCTGCTCTTTGTTAGAAAAGAAATGGTTTGGGGGCTGCTTTTTGTTAAAAGGGAAACCTTGTTGATGACTCTTTTAGCCTCACTATCTACCTAGTTTCTTTCTATCTCCTCTATCCCCATCTCCTTGAGTGGCTCAATTAGGGATTTAGGAGGTGTAGGTGAGAGAGCGTCATCAACCATGCAGAGGCGTGCAAACCAAGGTATCCATCCTTACAGCAGCTGTTACAGAGTATATGGCTGTCACCAAGAATAGGGCAGACCTGGCCAGACTTCAGAAAGCTCAGTGGAATGGTTTGAAAGTTTGTCCTCTCCAAAAGTCATGTTGAAATTTAATCCCCAATGTGGCAGGATTGAGTGGTGGGGCCTTTAAGAAGCGATTGGGTCATGAGAGCTCTGCCCTCATGAATGAATTAATCCGTTCATGGGTTAATAAATTCATAGATTAATGAATTATCATGGGAGTGGGAGATATCATAAGGAGAGGAAGAGAAACCTGACGTAGCACACCAGCCTCCTCACCACGTGATGCCCTGTGCCACCTCGGAACTCTGCAGAGGGTCCCCACCAGCAAGAAGGCGTTCACCATGGGGCCCCTCCACCTTGGACTTCTCAGCCTCCACAAATGTAAAAAATAAATTCCTTCTCCTTATAAATCACCCAGTTCAGGGATTCTGTTATAAGTGATAGAAAATGGACTAAGAAACACAGAAAGGCAAATGCTTCTCTATGTATTTCTTAGACTCCCCCTTCTAAGTGCCTCTTCTGAAGGAAAAGCAGTTTCATCTTTAATAAAATGTGACAAGACATTTTCAACATCAGTACCACCTTCCAATCCAACCAGGCTCCTGCAAAGCTCAGTCTTTGGAGAAGTCAGACTCCATTTTGTTGTTTTTAAACCTGATCAAATTCATCATTTTAAAACATACAGTAATAATAACAGCTACAGTTAAGGAGTGCACAGTATAATGCTGCAAAGCATTGAATGCTTTCTCATGTTCTTTAACCCTCATAACAATCCCTATTTTGTAGATGAGAAAAATCAAGGTACATGAGGTGAAATAACTTGCTGTAGGACACAGAACTACTATAGTAAGGGGTGATGCTGAGATTCCATTCAAGCACTGTGTCACCTCACTTCACGTACCGTAGCGACTGAGCTCTCCTGCCTTTCAAGGGCTTCTCTGGAACAATCCCTCCCGGATACTGCAACTTTACATATTTTAAACCCATTGGAATATTTCAGAGAGCACTTGAAGCAATCATCAGGACAATGAAGGTAGAACCAAAGAAAGAAAAGGCTATGATTACGTTGGTATCTCATTTCCGGGAAGACCACTCTCCTGATTCCCAGTTGATCCTGTTGTCCCAAGTTAATTATTAACATTATAGCTTTGCCTTTTACTCTCAGATGCAGCCAGGCTGGAACCATAAACTACATGGTCATCCCAGGCTTAAAATGTTGCAATACATTAAGCTGAGTTTTTAAAAAGGAATTCCCAGAAACAACCCTTGTGGAAATTGACTGCTGTTTCTCTGCAAAAAAGTCTTGGCAGATTTTATCTTACACTTTAATAGTCCTGGGTGTCAAGTCCGTAAGCCTCACCTGAATTATAAATTGGGGTATTTCTCTATTAATTCAAATATCCAGGCCAGGAGCGGTGGCTCACGCCTGTAATCCCAGTACTTTGAGAGGCTGAGGTGGGTGGATCACGAGGTCAGGAAATCGAGACCATCCTGGCTAACACGGTGAAACCCCAACTTACTAAAAATACAAAAAATATATTTTTTTTTGTAGTATTGTAGTATGTAGTATTTTGTAGCATGTAGTATTCGAGAACACTCCTACAAATCCAGGGGTCCTGGGAAGAGGAGAATCACTCCAAAATTCTGTTCTAAATCCTTGCCACTTCCTATTTTAAAGTAAGAGTTTGTGTGTATTATTCTGTTTTGTTTCATTTTTAAGTTATGTTCTGACTTCAGTTTACCTATTTCTTTCTAATTCAGTCTGTGAGTACAGCTACTAAATAAAGGAGACAATTATTTAAATCTTATCCTAATTGCATAGTTCATTTTAACTATGTTGACACTAAAATTGATTCATGTGTATATTTAATTGACTTAATAAAAAATTCCATTTTATAGAGTTATTTCCAGTTACCTCTATATACTATAGCTAGTTGTAAGGAAAGTTGAACATAAAAGTGAACATAATAGTAATTCCCTAAATCTCACCTATTTAAATGTGGTATTTGGGTTAGTAATAATTAAGCCATATTGACCCATCAGTGTGATGAAGATTTCTCTCCATGTTTAAGAGTATACTTTTGTGGGAAGCCCCGCTGGTTATCTCCTGCAGGACCACCCCTATGGGACAGCTGGACAAGGGGTCACAGTGCCCATCTCTTGCTTTGAGGTACCGGGGAGACAATAAAGAACGTTTTGGGTGTGAACCTCGTAATGCAAGCAGCTGGAGGCCCCAAAGACTAGAATTCGCCCCAGAGACCTATGGGTTTGCTTCCTGAGAAGAGGAAGCCAACCAACGCCCACCCATTCCTGGCCATTAGCTCATGACACATGGAAACCGGGCAGGGCCTCCTCCGAGCAGTTGCTCTGCCCCGTTCCTCCACTGGAATGTCCCCTTGTCCAAGCTGGGGAAATGGCAGGCAGACAAAACTGTTGTGAGAGAGTTCCAATTTAATCAACCTTAAATAAGCCATCTATTTTCCTGGAACAAGGATTTTTCTAAGCTGCCTTTTACATAATGAAATTACCCACATTTCAAATTCTTTTCTCAGAGCCCCAGAGCTGAAACATTCGTTTCCTGTAAAATGAGGACCTCTAACCCCTTCCCCATTGCCGCGTATCCCAGGTTGGGGCTACTGATTATCTCCTTTTTATTTGAACTCGCTTCACTCGAAGGACAAAGCATACGGGCCTTCAGCACTTGACCCTGCTGAAAATATTTAACATCTGAATTAAACCAACAGGCTTTGCCAGAAATGCTCTTCGTATTTTATGTCTGAGGCTATTTTCCCCCAGCATTTAATCACTAAAACATAAGTAGATACAGACAACTCCGATGAATTGTGTTCCCTGAACTAAATGCCATCAAGGAAATTCTTTATTTTCGCTTTTTCACAGTAAGTGTTATAAAGTGTTCTATACCCTTTGTTTCCCCTGCTGGAGTCAATTATTCTGGAAACAAACATTATTGTTCACAATGAAGATCCAAGGGCTATTAGCGTGATCCAACAGCTGTACTGGGGGTGAACCCAGAAGCAATGAGGCAGAGATGAGGGTGGAGGCGAGGAAGCTGGCTTTGATGGAAGATCAGAGACAATAAAATTATACAGCCATCTTTGTTTACTGCCCTTTCAGGATTAATGCCAAAAGGCCCATTCCACAACAATTGACTGCAAAAAGGAATAATGGGGCTTACTGGACATTTCCAGAAGGCATGTCTAGACCGGCTTTTTCCCAGTGAATAAGTCAACAATATTTATCAGGCACCATCATCATATAAAGCATGCTGCATGGTGCTGCCAGCATATAGAGAAAAAGACAAAACACAATGCCTTTCCTAAAAATGATCTGTATTCTTCTCACTGGTGAGCCCAGTGCCTATTTCATGCAAAGTAATGAGCTGGACACCACAGCCCATAAGGAAAAATAAAGTCTCGCCCTGGGCTACAGGAGGCATGTTCTAGAGTGCCTGTCCCACTCCCGTCCAGCCTGTGGCTTTGGTGGCTGTGTTTGGTCTGGGTGGTCTTGTGGCCACAGCTGGACTGAATAGAGCAAAACATACATCCTAGGGATCCCATTAACCGTTCTAAGGTCTGGCAGAAAACAGTGGTGGTCTCTCTTGAAAAGCTGGGCCACAAGACACAGAGCAGGCAGATGTGGTCAACACAGCAGCTCTAACACCACGTGGACTCAGCTTACAAAAGAGGCCAGACAACAGGAGGAGATGGAAGCAGAGACGAGTAAGATCCTATGCACCCGGTGTGGCCAGGGCTGCGGATGACCTCAGGGCTCCTGAGAAATAGGGAGGATCTTGGGTCCTTCCCTCAAGGTTTCAATTTGCAAGTTCTCCTGCAAAAAGGGGCTCTGAAGGGACACTTGGAGGAGCTCAGCAAGGGCCCTTGAGTTGGGGTGCAGTGGGCTGTGTCTGGCCCATGCCTGAGGATCTAAAGAAAGGATCTCCTGGAGCTGAGGCAGAAGGTCAGGGACCCAGAGAGGAATCCACAGGCTAGAGCTTGTCTTGGGAACATTTTAAAAGAGGTCATGCCACCAAGAGGTCTGTGTGAGGTGAGCATCACCCTCTTCCTGAGGGCCTTTGCCTCTGAAGGACCCGCAGGCACATGCTTGTGATGAAGAGGCAGCTCTGGAGATTGGCCAGATGCAGGGAGCTAACAGTAACTCATGGTATCGTGAGTCAAGGCTGGGGACTGCCCTGTGCCCTCCAAAATTCATATGTTGAGACCTTAACCCCCAATGTAATGGTATTTGGAGATGGGTCCTTTGGTAGATAATTAGGTTTAGATGACGTCCTCAGGGTGGAGCCCTCATGATAGGAATAATGCCCCTATAAGAAGAAACCGCAGGGAGCTGGCTCTGTCTCCTTCCTCCATGTGAGCACACAGTAAGAAGGCAGCCATCTGTAACCCAGAAAGACAGCTCTCCCCACGACCCAGAACCCAGTCATCCTGGCACCTCCATCTGGGACTGCCCAGCCTCCAGAGCTACAAGAAATCAATGTCTGTGATTTTAGCCACCTAGGCTGTGGTGTTCTTTAAGGCAGCCTGAACCACCTAAGACATTAAGTAAAGTTATTCTTACCTCTTTTCCCTGTTTCTCTCCCCCAAGCTCTAGCCTTGAGGGAGGCAGAAGCCAGAACTTGAAACCTGTGGGAAGAGAAGCAAGCAAATGAGCTGAGCCCATGCCCTCGCCTGGGCCATATGGCTGGCTCTAGTTGGGGAGGAGAGATGCTCTGACTTTCATCAGAGTCAGAGTGCTCAGTATTACACTGGAGCGGGCATCTCCATGCCTGCTGAAGACTGTGTTTGCTGCAGAAGCTGTAGGAGCTCCTATAACCTCAGAAGGACTTTCAGGCCACAGAGCCCAGGCACCATGGGAAAGTCCATACTCAGAAGGAACAGTGGGGAGAAAATCAAGTCATATTTTGATCACATTCCCACGTCATGCTTGTGCACAAAACCAATGTGAAGAAACTGGGAAAGTCACATGGGGAGGTGGCCCCTCCCAACATCCAATCACCTTCAACTGATTGGATGAGGCCCACCCACATTGTGGCAGACCATGTTTTACCCAGAGCTCGTCAATCTAAATGTTCTTCTACCCAAAAACACCCTCCAGTTGACACACAAAATTCACCACCACAAAGATCATCACAACACCCATCTGGCTCAGTTGCCCATGGGCACAGTGAAAGTGGACAGCTCCCCTCAGTGCAGAAGCATCAAAGGTCTCAGCCACTCAGGACTGGGCACACATTTCCTGGAAGAATCATGTGAGGAACTTGTGCAGATACCACCAGAAGCAGCATCCAGAACCTCTGAGGGCCAACCTGTAGCACAAAATCACATCCTTTAGGTGGAGACTTTAGAAACTTTCCAGCTGCATCCAGGAGTCAACCATGGGTTTCATTATCAGCTTAAGAGGGAAGATTCTGGCATTCACTCACACAGTCAACATGGCTCAGGAGGGAGAATGTGGAAGATCGTCAAGATGTGCAGATGATAGGGTCCTTCCTGATAAAGGAACAATGACTTAACTAGCAAATATGAAATTATTTCAGGACTCTGAGTTATCTAAATTCCTCTAGCCAGCCTGCAAAGTTCACTTATTGGGTGATCTAAGTGGACGATAACACCTGTCTCATGTCTGCTTGATGTTTTACAAGGGCAAAATGTGTTCATGTGCCTCCTCTTATGAAATCCTTAAAATCTTTCTCAAAGTCCTAATTTAGAAATTAGGAAATGAGATTAGGTGGTTAATCATAAGAGTGAGTGAGGACTTTAGCCAGCAGCCTCTGGCTCCAGGTCTGGCATCCTTTCCAGACCTCTCCCGAGGAGAGGCTGATGATTGCTCAAACTATAAGACGCCCAAGGCCACCACAGCAAGGACTGTTGCTCATCACCATACAGCAACCCCCAAGAGGGAAATCAACCAGAAAGGGGTGATGCAATCAATCAAGGGTAAAGGGGCTGGGATTTTGAAGTGAAGGACATTCTGAACCTCTTCCCAGCAGGTCAGCAGAAGGCACACAAAGTGACTAAAGCAAATGCCTCATTCCTCATGTTACTGCAGCCCTGCTTTGCAGGGGAAATGTCTAAAGCCAAGCAGACCAGAGCGTTTTGGCCAAAGTGAGCTCCCCAGATAGAGTTGGAAGGATCCACATGTACTAACAAGACTTGCCGTGATAAACAGAATGCTGAGAAGACCCCCAAGCTTCCCTCTCCCTGGTATACACACACTTTCCCCCAGATATTCAATCCAGCACTAATCCAGATGCTTCCATAAAGGGATTTTTACAGGTGTAATGAAGGTCCCAAATCAGTTGATCTTAAGAACAGGAGGTTATCCTGACTGAGTGTGACCTAATCAGCTGAGCCCTTAGAAGGGGCAGAGCTCTTCCTAGCAAAAGAGACTCAAAGCATGAGAGGGGTTCCATGCAAGGGAGGTTCTCAGTGGCTGGCTTTGATGATGGAGGGACCATAGGTCAAGGAATGTGGGTGACTTCTAGGAGCTGAGAGAACCCCCAGCTGAAAACCAGCAAAGACAGAGACTGAGCGTGGAGGTGGATTTTTCCCCAGGTGCACTGGCCTGGCCACCTCCCCAAGCACAGAATTCAGTCCTGTTGCATCCAGACTTCTGTCTTACGGAACCATGAGCTAGTAAGTGGGTTGCCCGAAGTACCTAAGTATGTGGTCATTTCTTACACAGCAATAGAAAATGAGCACAATTGCAAATGCCTACTAATTGCTCCCTCTTTGCCAGGCAGCTATATGTTTAGTTAATTAAATTAATCCTCACAACACTATGAGGTGCACACACTTATCATCCCAATTTTACCAGTGAGGAAATCAGGGTACCAGAGACTAAGCCAGTTCTTACATATTAATACTTTTTCTAACCTGAAATTCTGGGAGGCTGTCAGCCTCCCCACAGGGCCCTGGTTTGCTTTCCCAACTTTCATCTTTGTATCTGTAACTAGTCTGAGGGGTGCCCGCCTCCCACCCCTGCTATCAGGACTCTGGGCTGACCTTCTAGGCTAACAGAGAGACAGAGAATGAAGGGTGCTGTATTAGTTTGCTACGGCAGTATATTAGTCAGGGTTCTCTAGAGGCACAGAATAGGCTAGATGCATATATGAAAGGGAGTTTATTAAGGAGGATTGACAATGCAGCCTTCAGTCTGTGGCCAAAGGCCTGAGAGTCCCTGGCAAACCACTGGTGTAAGTCCAAGAGTCCAAAAGGTGAAGAACTTGGAGTCCAATGTTCAAAGGCATGAAGCATCCAGCGCTGGAGAAAGATGAAGGCCAGAAGACTCAACAAGTCCACCCTCATTCAACTTCCTTCTGCCTGCTTTATCCTAGCTGCGCTGGCAGCTGATTAGATAGTCCCACCCAGATTGTGGGTGGGTCTGCCTCTCTCGGTCCACTGACTGAAATGTTAATCTCCTTGGGCAACACTCTCACAGACACACCCAGGAACAATACCTTGCATCTTTCAGTACAATCAGGTTGACACTCAATATTAACCACCACAGGCAGCCTCAACAAAGTACCATAGACTGGGTAGCTTAAACAACAGAAGTTGATTTCCTCATAGTTTTGGAGGGTGGAAGTCCAAAACCAAGGCATCAGCAGGGTTGCTTCTTCCAGAGACCCCTCTCTCTGTCTTGCAGACGGCCACCGTCCCCACCCCCCACCCCGTGTCTCCATATGACCTCCCTCTGCACATGTGTGTGTGTGTGTCCAAATTTCCTCTACTTATTAGCATACTAGTCACATCAGATGACTTCATTTAACCCTAATCACATTTTTAAGGGCCCTGTCTCCAAATACAGTAGTCACATTCTGAGATACTGGAGATTAGAATTTCAACATATGAGTTTTAGAAGCACAACATTCAGCCCAAAAAAGACACCAAGTTCAAACTCAGAGGCTTGAACAAACTTGTCAGAGCCCAAGTGAAAGGCCACCTCAGAGCTCCTCCCAGCCATTCGTCAACTAATAGCCAGCAGAGCCAAAGGTTCCCAAATTCCATCACCACTATCTCCCCCAACCTCTTCCCTCACCTGTGCTCCGGACCCTCAGCACCAGGCCATCATTTCCTGCCCTGCACTCCAAGACACGTGGCCCCACAGAGCCCAGGGATCACGCCAGGTAGTGGACTGTAACCAGCTGGTCTCACTGGAATTTCAAAGGAGAGCAACATTTAACAGTTCAAGCGGGGCCAAAGGCTGACATTAAGCAAATTTCAAGGGTTATTTGAAGTTAATTGAGTTTAATCATATAATGATTTTATAATTAGTCATAGTGTTCTTGTTTCTAGGAGGGTGGACCTGAGCTCTAAAGAAAAGGGCTGAATTGAGCAGGGAAGGGGCCCGGGCCGCAGTGGTGGGAAGCAGGTAGGGCCCCGGTGGAGGACGTGCTGTGCGGATGAACCCACAGAAATGCACAAGTGTGTTGGGTCCCAAACCGCACCAGCCTGAGCTGGGATCCCGAACTCGCGCTCCATCTGCTGGTGCTTCCTGCTTTTTCAAACTCCTTACTTGGGAGTACATCTCATCTGTGTTGAGATGGAGGCTTGTTGCAAGCGAGTGGCACAATAAAACGTCCAAGGTGACCAGGATCATTGTGAACTCCGCAAATGCTGCTTCGGATCCAGCCATGAGATCTGCAGGGCTATTAACCTAACGGACCAGTAGCTTTGAACTTCTGGGCAATTATGAAGGATTTCTGTTTGCCGGGCTTCCATCCCTGTAGGTCTTTGAGGTCGGTGCCGTGAGGGCCCCATGGGCCTCTCACCCAAGCTGACTCTGGGCTGTAGGTTTTGCTTCCAATGCCACAACATTTAGCCCTTGGGGCCTCATCGCATCCCTGAATAATGGAATTGGGAATCACTCATGGGAAGTCCTGCAAACGCGTTGTGAGATGGGCTTCTCAGGAAGAGCCCAACTGTCCGGGGTGGGGGGAGTCAGACTGACCAGGGTGACAACATCCAGCGCATCACCATGTGTGTGGGTCCCCAAAAATCAGGGAATGTTTTCTCTGAAGTTCATGATCACCAAGTGGGAGAGCAGTAGGAAGAAAACCACCATTTATCACAAAAGGACTATTGTTCAGACACTGTGCTCTCTCATTTCTTTCCCACGGCCGCTTTTGGGGACCACAAATGAAGAGAGGCTCACAGAAGCAAAGTCACCTGCCTGAGGCCACACACTCAGTTCCAGGCCATCCGACGCCAGCATCAGTGGCAGGGCACCGTGCCATGCCAGCCAGCGCACATAAAGAAGGCAAGGTGGGGAAGCTGGGTAGGTTCCGGTAGAAACACCCCATCCCTGCACAGACACCTGCGACACCATCAACCTGAGACGTCCACCCACTGTCCGCCACAGGAAAGTCTAAGGGTTGCATCAGAACCACACTCATACTTTTCTTTGCCTCCCAGGCCCTTTCCCACAGAAGGATCAAGTTAACCACATGAATATAATTTCAGGGAAATGAATCAATGAGACAACGGTATAGAAAACACTGCGTGTAAACTCCAACCTCTTATTTAATTATTTGATGATCGAAATACTAAAGATGCCCCATGCAACCCAAATGCCTGTCGACGGATGACTGGATGGATCATACATACATACGAGGGGATTATTATTCAGCCTTAAAAATAAAGGAGATTCTACTATGCAGCCATAAAAAAGAATGAGATCATGTCCTTTGCAGGGACATGGATGAAGCTAGAAGCCATCATCCTCAGCAAACTAACACAGGAACAGAAAACCAAATACCTCATGTTCTCAGTTTTCGGTTTCAGTGTTGCAAAACAATAAGAGTTCTGGAGATGGATGGTGCTGGTGGTGGCTGCACAGCCATGTGAATGTACTTAATACCCTGAACTGTACACTTAAAGTAGTAAGATGATAGATTGTATGTCATGCATAGTTTACCACACATAACCTTGGGCTAAAAAAAAAGGCACTGTGCACGTCACAGTTGCACTGTTCCCAGAGCTCCTAGACACCCCTTCAAGGCCAGCCACCCTGAATAGAATCTCTGTTTCTGGAACAAGTAAAGTGAGGCTGCAGATCCCAAGGCCAGCCTGTCTGAGCTCCTTCCTCACCCTATAGAAGTTTGTCCTGAATGGAGACTGAGCCTCTGACTTGGACTTTACCGGGACAGCTTATCCTGTACAAGGTCAGTTCACCATCGGCTACTGGGGCCTCTGGGGCTTCTGGCCAGGCCCCTCCTCCCCTGCCCCAGGCTGCTGTTGCTGCTGCTCACGAACTTTTCTCCTTCTTTTCCTAGGCATCCCCAAGTCTGATGAAAACTGGGACATGCTCAAGCCACACTCTAGGTGTTGTAAATGGGGCTGTGACTACACATATGCAGGACACAGTGCAGAATGATGCAGGCTGTCTCTCTCCCTCTCTCATACACACACACACACACACACACACACACACACACACACACACACACACTCACACTCACCCACAAAAAAATACTACACAGTTCCCAAGAGGCCATACCTACAACATTGAGGCAAAGGGGTATCTGTTGGCCTCCCCTAGCTCCAGGCTGAGATTAGTGCATTCAGTACCTGTTTAGTAAGGGACCCAGCATAACAGTGGATAAGACACAGCTCTGTCCTCAAGGATCCCAACGTCTCCAGAAAAGCCCAGCATTAAAGTTGGGATAGCAATACAAAGACATGGGGCGAGGGTAGGGGGAGCCCCCAGTCCTCCTGAACACAGAGAGGGGCTCCAACCTGGGCCTTGGGAAGGAGCAGGAAGATTGATAAGGTAGCCACGACCTGGAGTCTCGAAAGACAAGAAATTCAGGTAGGCACAGAGGAAGGAGTGGCCCAGGGCGCAGCAACAGCTCGTGGGGAGACAGGCCAGTGAGAAACACTATGTCTCCCACCAGACTCTCCCCTCCCTTCCTGAGTCTCGCTCGTGAGCTGAGGGACTTGCTCACTAAAGTCCTGCCTTCCATGTCCTCATCCATAGAGGGAGGCAGACAATCTCTCTCCTGCAAGGGGAATTGCTAGCAGTCCCAGAAACTGTGTGGGGGGTTATGAGGCCCTTTCCCTACAAGGGGATCTTCTGCTGCCGTCTCCCACTCCCAACACCCCCAGCCACCTGTGCTCTTCATTTCCGAGCAGAATGGGACTGCCCTTGTTGCTTCTCCAAATCTCCAGGCTTATGCTGTTTCGACTTCAGCCCTACTTGTCTCCGTCACCACACACATGTGCACTCACATGTACAACACACATGCACATAAGAACACTGCACACGTGTGCACACACAAACATGCACACAAGTATGTGCACATACACACACCTACACGTGCACACTCACACAGTTAATCCCTCAACTGGATTACATGGACAGAATCCTGTCATCTTCCTGCTGCTCCCACCACTGCTGAGTCCTCAACGCAAGAGTTCAAAGACTAGCTTAAAAAAAAAAAGTTGCTGAGAACACTTGCCCTATCCCAAGAGATTTTACTTTTGGTGGACCTGGGGCTAGAAGTCTAAGGTTTTGACTGATGACTTTGAGGTGGGTGAGTAGGTGGAACTGGGTCACTCCTTCCTTCTCCTCCTACCCCAGGTGCATTTTCTCTTGCCCTGTGCTTCCAGGTACCTGAAGGTGCCAGAGGTTGCTCTCTCACTGTCTACATTTTGCTGGCTTTTACAGAAGAAACCATTTTAAAGCACCATTGAGGGTAACATCCATCAGTCGTGTGCTCATGACAATCATTAAAGCATGTCACCCAAGTGGAACTGGTATTGTTGATCAATCTTGACTTATCTAGCAATCTGCCCACGCAGGTGTGTGGCATCCAACGTCCACACTCTTTCCCTACCAGACAATGCCCACCAAGACCTCCCAGCAAGATATGTGATGAACCCTACTGGCTTTACTGTGGGCAACACAAGCCATTTCTTTTCAGACATTCTGCGATTCTGACTCCCTTCCCACACCTGATGGCCCAACTTGTGGATTTTATAATGTCCACCAGCTCAGCCTGGCCACATTTCAGGATGGCAGCTTATGCCCAAGGTATCCACCACTGCCTAGTTTGGATGTTTTCAACTACAAGCAACAGACAACCTGGATTCCAACTGGTTTTAAAATATGGACATTGAATATTTCCTGTTATAAACAGGACAGCCAGGTAGGATGTTGATCTACCAACTCTACAGAGCCTTCAGAAATTGTACTCTGCCATCCATGGTCTTAATGTCATCTTCACTCTGGTCCCCTGGAGATCCACCAATGGCTCCATCAGCAGCCTTCCATCAAGCAGATGGACCGTGTCATCCAGGTGGGCTGGAAGGTAGACAAGGTAGACCACTTATATCCTGCAGGAGTGAGAACCCCTCCCACCTGAGTGGCCTCCAGCACTTTTCTGATTGGGCCAAGGAAGGTCCAATGTTCACCCCTTGACTCAGCACAGTCACCTGGGGTCGACCACACTTCCGCTTCCCATGGCTGTACCAAGGAGAAGCAGGGGAATTAACAAAATCTGAGTCCCTTAGAAAGAAGGAAGGGAAACTGGATACTGGGTAGGTGGCTGCAAGAGCCACAGCATTCCATATGACATTGACTCATCAAAACAGGCCTCAGACTCGGCCCCCTTGGCAGACAGAAAATAAGAAGCTGTTGCATGGACCGGATACGGTGGCTCATGCCTGTAATCCCAGCACTTTGGGAGGCCAAGGCGGGTGGATCAGCTGAGGTCAGAAGTTCGAGACCAGCTTGACCAACATGGTGAAACCCTGTCTCTATCAAAAATACAAAAATTAGCTGGGCTTGGTGGTGGGCACCTGTAATCCAAGCTACTCGGGAGGCTGAAGCAGGATAATCGCTTGAACTCAGGAGGTTGCAGTGAGCCAAGATGGTGTCACTGCACTCCAGCCTGGGTGACACAGTGAGACTCCGTCTCAAAAAAAGTAAAAATAAAAACTGGTGCATGCCCTGCGCAGGGGGCCCCCCAAAAAGAAAGGGGTTCATGGAGAGCTTCACAAGCAGATCCAGGCAAAGCCAGGCTTCCCGTCACAGAATGCTTCATTAGTCATAAGGATTTTCAGGACTTTTTGAAAGTACTTTGCTCCAAGCACCTGATTAAACATTAATGAAAGGTCAAGGTTGTGGTGCGAGGGACCTCTGTCTCTATTCCTCAAGAATTCTCCTCAACGCCCTTGCCTCCTCACTCCCCTGCCTCCCTGTCTGCCCCACTGTCCGAACGCTGAGAGACGGCGCCAACAACCTGCCTCTGCTTCCTTTGGAACGGGGCATTTCCAAAGCCTTGGTTTGTAGGAACAGTTTTAGGATTTGGGTCATTTGTGGCCCTAGGTTAGACAGTTTTGCTTCCCTGCAAAGCACTTACAGGCGAGAAAAAATGGATGGTCAACACAATGGGATTTCTGCATTCAAGGCCACCTTTCCTGTATGTTAGTATTATTGATCACCCACACCTCAGGGCGTGACAGGTAATCAATAGACCCTCTGACCCAGATATGTGACTTGGCCTGTGGGGGCTTTAAAAACAAGAAGTGAACATGGCAACTCTGGTTCACGCTTTCATACACGAGAATTACATTTTTTTTCCCCAGAGCTGCAAAGCCGTTTCTGCTCAAATTACCCCAGCCAACTTAGGAGCACGTAATCAGAGGGTCCTTTTCATTTTTTCCTGCCGGATAGTTCTGCAACCAACCTCAAGCCATTAAGAGCAAGTGACAGGCCAAACTTTGGGGGGAAAAAAATCTATTTATGCCCCCAAAGAGCTAGGATTCCATATCACCATTCCTTGGAAGGGGCCATTAACCTTCTAGATGTGGGAAATAATGACACCACAGTGGGGGCAGGAGAAGAGGAAGGGGAAGGGGATGGAATATAGAAGCCATGGACACTGTGACCCTCATAAACAGAAGGATCATAGCTGGGGATAATGACATTGACCCTCAGGCTGTGAATTTAGTGGAATGAGGGTCGGGGGGAGTGTGAAAAACTCATAAAGAAAAATAGAAGACAAAAAACTCTAAAACTATCATCTCTTGCAGGAAGCCAGCCCTGACACAGCTTTATATCCTATCTAGACCAGAAGCCACCTCCTCAGTGGGCTCATACTTCCCTGGACATATCTGTACCATTGTGTGTGTGTGTGTGTGTGTGTGTACACATATGTATATGTGTACATATATGTATGTATATATGAATACATGTATGTACTTACAGCCTTCAGCCTTAGAGGAACAGCTGTGGGTGTACACATATGTATAGTATACATATATATACATACGTACACACACACACGCACACACACACACAGAGCTGTTCTTCCAAGGCTGTGAGTCCACTGAGGTTGAAGGCAGAAATCCTAACCAGTCCTTGTCTAAATCCCAATCCCAAACAAAACCCAGCACCTGACAGATTCTCATCAAAGCCTAAGGAATGCGTGAATGAGTTAATGAATGAGCAAATGAGTGAATGAATTTATGAAAGAGTGAATGCATGGATTAGTATGTGGATAAATACATGAATGAATTTATGAATGAATGAATAAAAATGTGACATCCAACCAAACACAGAATGTCAACGGGCTAATACCATCAAGGATAATTTCTATAACATCCCTAAGGACAGAGGCACCTTTCATCCCTCTCCTAGAAATTTACAAAGGAGAGTTGGCTAGGTGCAATAAAAAAGAACATAGACTTTTACATCCAGAGTTGGGACCAAACCTGGGCTCCACTATCAAAGAGAGGTTAGGCAATCTATTTAAATAGGTTTACCCTGTTTGTCCCTCAGTGTTACCATCTGAGACATGGGAATAAGATACAGCCTCACTTATAGAGTTATAGTAATAATTAGAGGTACTCATTGCCTGGCACATAGTTGGCACCCCATCAGTTGTCATTATCAATATTAACCATGGAGTGGCCTGGCCAAAGCTGGGGCATCTGTTTTTAAGCCAGGAAGGGTTAACCTCACAAAGTATGCCAAGGTCATTCTCAGATATCAGACCACTTGGCACTGGGCTGAGTTGCCAAAGATATTAGTCCACAACATCCTCTTCCCAACCTTGAAAAGAATAATAAATTCTAATTGGCCATTAGTGAAAATTCGCACAAGAATTGTGAATTGACAAAACAGCAAAGGCACACTGCCTTTGTGCAAGCAAAGTTATGGTAAATATTAAGTTGCTGAAAATGCCAAACGCTATAGATCAGTCAGGATATGCTAGGCTGTGCTGCAGTAACAAACAACTCCAAAATCTCAGTGGGCTAAAAATCATGATACAGGTCAGCAAGGGGACTCTGCTCAGAGATCCAGGCTTACTGAACAATTACCATCTCAAATGGTTCTGATCAGCAGTGCCAGGAGGAAACAGATCTGGAGGGTCTCATAATGACAATTAAATGTCCAGTCTGTGGATATGATCCATGCACAATCATTGATGTGAGCTAATTACTTGACACTATCCAATCATGACAGGGCCAGGATGGGCAACCCTAGCATGCGGCCAGAGTGGGAACAAAGGAAAATATTTCGCAAATAACACTAAAGGGCACCACACACCACAAGAAAAGGAAACATCCAGTAAGCTCCATCCATGCCAGTGCTGGACAGTGATGCCCACAAGAATGACTCCCAGACAAAGGAATCAAACCCTTCCCAAGACGCAACAGCTCTGAGTAGAAGGGGAAGGTCATTGCAGAAGACAGCTTTGTTTTGCATTTAGCAAAGCGTGAGGGAGCTCAGAATTCCCTTACTGCTCTCTTTAAAAGTCAACTGTATTCATATTAATTGGGCATCCACATCATATCACAACACTGCCTGTGTTAGGCAAGAACAGGGCGGAACCATTCAGAAATGTGGATTCTTGCACAAAAGTGAGAAAGTGCTTCTTTCCCTAATTTGGAAGTGAGTTTAAAAATGCACAAAGAAGCAGAAATTCCTCTGGGCATATTACTCTGCCAGATATGCTATGAGTTATTAGTAGCGGCTCTGCCAGGCTTACAGGGGGCTCAGCAAAGAGCCTCATTTTCCAGGTCAAGATCATTAGGGAGTTTAATTAGCACCTTGGTTGCAGAATCCATATGTACCCTGTCCTCCGAGGCCTACATAGAATTAACTGAGGAGCCCCATTCTTTGCCAGATGGAAGGCTGAGTGCTCCCCTAGATGTCTTCAGGCTCTTGAGGCTTGCATTCACGTGGGTTCCCTCTTGTACAGCTTTCTTTCCCACTGGCTCTTCAACTCACCTGCCAAAGGGAAACAAGCAAAGGGAAAAGGTGGGCACCACCCAGTGTGTCTGTAACAGCCTGGGGTGCAGTGCTGCAAGAACAAGACATGGGAGTCTTGAGAGGACCATCAGCTGGGGGACCTGTAAGAGGGTCTTGGATTCTGCAGGAGGAAGCTGGACTTTATCCAGTCATTGATGCAAGGCCAGGGAAGGATTTTAAGCAAAGAGTGGATGTGGTCAGATTCACACTTTAGGTGGGTCACAGGGCAACTCCAGACATTGGTGAGGAAGCAGGCAAAGGTGGAGAGAGAACCCAGAGGGGAAGCTTTTGCAGGACTCCTGATGAGAAGCCAGGGGTCTGACCCTGAGCTGGAAAGAGAGAGAGAGAGAGGTGGGGAACTATTTGTGAACTCATTAAGAAAGTAAAGCCAGCAGGTCTTGGTGATTAAAACTGGGTGTAAGGGAGAAGCAGGAGTTCAGAGGGCAGTGGGAATTGATGGAGCACAGGATATGTCCAGAAGAGAGCGAGTTGCCAGGTAAACTAGAAGGTAGGCTGCCCTTTGCGGAGTAGGAGAGGATATGGCCAGAAATGTCAGTTACCTTAAAAGTTAGGGGTGGCAGTGGGGCACGGCGGCTCACACCTGTAATTCCAGCACTTTGGGAGGCCGAGATGGGTGGATCACCTGAGGTCAGGAGTTCAAGACCAGCCTAGTTAACATGGTGAAACCCCGTCTGTATTAAAAACACAAAAAATTGGCGGGGCATGGTGGCTCATGCCTGTAATCCCAGCATTTTGGGAAGCCGAGGCAGGTGGATCACAAGTCAGGAGATTAGGACCAACCTGGCTAATACAGTGAAATCCCGTCTCTACTAAAAATACAAAACAATTAGCCGGACGTGGTGGCATTTGCCTGTAGTCCCAGCTACTTGGGAGGCTGAGGCAGGCGAATCGCTTGAACCTGGGAGGCAGAGGTTGCAGTGAGCCAAGATTGCACCACTGCACTCCAGCCTGGGCAACAGAGCAAGACTCTATCTCAAAAAACAGAAAACAAAAAACCCACCATAAAAAAATAGCCAGGCATGGTGGCGGGCGCCTGTATTCCCACCTACTCAGGAGGCTGAGGCACGAGAATCACTTGAACCTGGGAGGTGGAGGATGCAACGAGCTGAGATCATGCCAGCGCACTCCAGCCTGGGAGGCAGAGTGAAACTCCATCGAAAGAAAGGAAGAGAGAAAAAGAGAGAGACAGAAAGAAAAGAGAGGAAGGAAGGGAGGGAGCGGGGGAGGGAAGAAGGAAGGAAGGAAGGAAGGAAGGAAGGACAGAAGGAAGGAAGGAAAGGAGTGAAGGAGGGAAGGAAGGAAAGTTAAGGGTGGCAGAGGGTGGGAGAGGCACTCTGTGCTGAGTTCTTTAAACACGGGGCAGTCTGTAATGGTTTTTAAGGAAAGATGCACCAGGACTGGGTTACTTTTCTGGCGGCTTGTCTGTCTAGACTGGGTAAACCAATCATACAAGAGCCTGTGGACTAAATTCCCTGAAAACACAGACAGCAATGTTTACATAAGGGATGAGATCATTTTAAAGTATGTCCACAAATTCTTCAACACCATTCCCTTCTAAAGGTGGAACCTAATTCCCCTCCTCTAAACTAAAATGTGGGCCAGCTTCTAACAGAATATGAGGAAGACATGGTGTCTGGCATCCAAGACTAGGTTTTAAAATGCATGGTATTGTCCTCCTCGCTTCCTCTCATGGATCACCTGTTCTGCAGGAAGCCAGCTGCCATGTCATAAGGACACTCAAGCAGCACTGTGGAGAAACTCATGTAATGAGAGACTGACACCTCCTATCAAAAACTAGGGAGGAACCGAGGTCTCTTACCAATAGCCATATGAGCATGCCATCTTGGAAGTGGATCCTTAAGTCCCGGTCAAGCCTTAGATGACTGCAGCCCCAGCTGACATCTTGACTAAAACCTCATGAGACACCATGAGCCAGAACCACCTGGCTAAGATGTATCCAAATTCCTGACCCTTGGCAACTATGTGACATAGTAAATATTTGTTGTTTTTAGCCAACACGTGTTGGGCTAATTTTTACTCAGCAACAGGTAACTAATACAATGGAATTCCTGGGAAATGGTTGAAAGGTGAATGATAAAATGGAAGGGAGGAAGGATACAGGTTAGACAGCCCTTGCCAAAGTTTAGGAAAGACACACGAGGAGCTGAACAAAGGTGATGTGGATGGAAAGGAGAGAAACAGCAATGTGGGATGAAAGGTGGAAATCCTAGGGATCTTGGCAACTAGTTGACCATGAGATGATATGCAGGAAAGAAAGATTATTCCAAGGTTGGGAGCCTGAGTGACCAAAAGGAACCTTTGGGAAAGGAAATTATGTGGATCTGTCACTGTTATCATAAACAGCACCACTGTCACCATTGTTAGTATTTAGAACAGTTTTCCTCTTAAAGAATATGTTCTCAAAAACAGCATGATCTCACTTAAGGGGGTTTCCATTCTCTTGTCATTTCAACTACTGAAGTGGCCAAAGCATGTTTTGTAACAAAAATTTTCCATTTGGCTGTTTTGTTTTCTGAAAATGCTTGTAATTACCCCCGAGTACTGGAGGAACTTGAAGCAGGCGTGGCCTTTTTCAACAGCCAAATGAGCCAGACCAAATCCTTTCCAGCAGCATCCTGCAGCACTTTAAAGAAGTGTGCATTGATCGAGGAGCTAGCTGGCACGCACGCAGGCAGACGGCCACCTCACCGGAATTCCCAGTGAGACGCAGTGGCAAGGGCCGCATCGATTGACTCATCAACACTTTGGAGTTGAGCAGAGAGAAAGAAACTCAGCTGGACATGGGGAGGCACAAGTGACGGGTGCTGACGGCCTCTTCTGTAATGGATTCTTGAGCCAGATGGTTCCTTCTCCTGGATGTCAGGGCAGCAGATGCATGTGACTTCACCAAGCGTCAGATGAACCAAACACTTGGCAAAAGCTGAAGCTGGCTCCCCTGGATCAGATACAAGGAAAACTATTAGGACCCTCTTCTTTGCCTCCTCTTTAAAAGGCCACGGAAACATTAAGGGAGAGGTTTACTCAAAAGTAGAAAACCTCCTCTGGTTGCAGGCCTGCCGCCAAATGAACTCATTCTCCTCCACTGCACTTATTTCAAGGTAAAGGAAAAGCAGAAAGAGATTAGCAAGGAAGGTCATTTTATTGTTCATCTTATTTACAGATACCTGATTGACGGAACCAATGCAGAGAATCCAGGACAAGCGCCCCATGATATTAAGACAGTTGGGTGTGGTGGCTCACACCTGTAATCCTAGCACTATGGGAGGCCAAGGTCGAAGGGTACCTTTAGGCCAACAGTCTGAGACCAGCCTGAGCAACACAGCAAGAACCTGTCTCTACAACAACTATTAACTAAAAAATTAGCCAAGTGCAGTAGAACATGACCGTAGTCCCAGCTACTCAGAGGCTGAAGCAGGAAGATCACTTGAGCCCAGGAGTTGGAGGCTGCAGTGAGCTATGATTGTACCACTGGTACTCCAGCCTGGACGACAGAGTGAGATTCTGTCTAGAAAAAAAAAGTTCTTCTCCTGGCTGTGGTTTTATGTGGGGGTCTTACCTCCTCAACAGGTATGTACTAAACACCTACTGCAAATCCCACTGCCCCAGACTCTGATCAGGAGAAGATTCCTGAGTAGACCCATCCGGGGACTCTGGCCATGCTATGCAAGCTGTATTGCCCAGGCTGATGGGTTGGCTGTTTTCCCCACTGGACCTGTGGTTCTCAACCAGGGAGACTGACACCCATGGGACATTGGGAAATGTCTGGAGACATTTGTTGATTGCCATATACTGGAGCAGAGGGAGGTGCTATTGGCATCCAGTAGGTAGCATCCAGAGAGGCAACTGCACACCACATAATTCCCAGGACAGCTGCTGACAGCAGAATTCCCCAGCCCAGAGCACTAAATAACGCTGAGGCTGAAGAACCTTGGTCTAGATTATAAACTCCACACAGGC
The DNA here is from genome assembly GCF_000001405.40 of Homo sapiens. Classification (NCBI taxonomy): domain Eukaryota; kingdom Metazoa; phylum Chordata; class Mammalia; order Primates; family Hominidae; genus Homo; species Homo sapiens. The sequence goes on from NC_000015.10 coordinate 98,415,572, forward strand.
CAGCATTGGGCCTTTTGTCCCCAGTGCCTAAGACACAGTGACTGATTCATAGTAGGTACGGAATGGAGGGAAAAAGGGAAAGAAGGAAACAAGAGGAGGAGGGAGGAAGTCACATTGCACATTCTCAGAGAAACTTAAAGGCTGGATGGGCCGGGCGCGGTGGCTCACGCCTGTAATCCCAGCACTTTGGGAGGCCAAGGCAGGCGGATCATGAGGTCAGGAGATCGAGACCATCCTGGCTAACACAGTGAAACCCCATCTCTACTAAAAGTACAAAGTTAGCCGGGTGTGGTGGCGGGCACCTGTAGTCCCAGCTACTCGGGAGGCTGAGGCAGGAGAATGGCGTGAACCTGGGAGGTGGAAATTGCAGTGAGCCGAGATTGCACCACTACACTCCAGCCTGGGTGACAGAGCGAGACTCTGTCTCAAAAAAAAAAAAAAAAGCTGGATGAAAGGGCATTGCAATTTGGCTTGACCAATGTGCTGTAGTCTCTCTGTCAAAGTGTTTCACCGTCCTTCCAGATTTTTCCAGTTCAAGCCCAGTTGTTGATATCAAGTCAGCTGCTCCTCCCAGAACTCTGACAACATCAATCCTCATCAGTAGCCCCCAACTCTTCAGTTTCAGAGAGCCATAAAAAAGGTGGTCTTCTTCCCTACTCTGCCCCAAGTGTGTACCCACTGTGGCCCATGAGTGGCCTTGCACAGCACTGACCTTCACCGTCACCCCTGGAGCTCACAACAGTTTTGACTGCCCCACAGCCTACACAAGTGCACACACACACAAACACACACAGGAAGTAATGTGCAGGGCCACTTGACTCTACTGCTCTCTGCTGGGGCTGGTCACCCGAGATGGCCTCATTCCCAGTTGCAAACAAAACCTAGTGAGCTCAGAGCCCTTACATTCCAGAGCGGTCTGTACCATGTTTTGCTTCCCCTTCGGACTTGCCATCGGAGAGAACGCAAACTCCACTGAGACAGGCTGTCATGCAAAGCCAGCTCGCCACTCTCTTCCCAAGGGGTCGGTCCTCTTCTTGGGCCTCCCCAACCCACCCCAGGCAGGCATCTCCTGGTAACTGCACTGGCTGACCTGTTGAGCAAGAAACAGATTGAAGAGAGGCTTTTGACAAGGCCTCTGCAGGCACTGCTCTGCCTGCCAAGCTTCATGGAATGCTGGAAGCATCCCCATTTAAATGAAGAATCTAGCCATTCTGTGCTCACCCAGGAAGTTTATATTTGTGTCAGTGAAGCATGCATTCTAGAAGACCATAAACAAAGCCATAGCCTTGGGGACCCAGAGAGCAGCCTCCTGAGGGGCTGTCCAAAGTTAGAACGTACTCCTCGCAGGGGACGGAAGTACCCATATCAAACATGTCTTCTGATTTCTTTTATTTCTGTATTCTGATGCTATGACATTTGTGGTTTTGCTGACCCTGAAGGGACTGCCCCTCCAGCGATAGCTGATTCCTAAGAGAGTCAACAAATTGCCCCCCACCCCCAAGTATGTTTTTCAAGTGCAAACAAACAAATCTTGATCTCACACACCCTCTCCAGCATCCTCCTTCATTAGGTTCCCACCCTCCTGAGCCACCATCCATCCACCCTGATCACCCCAGGGCCAGGTGCCAGACAACTAGGGACACCCTGGATGCCCTGGAGCCTGGAAATTCTTCAAATTTGCCAATCCTGAGACTGCTTGCCCTGCCTCTCTGCTCCATCCCACGGAAGGCACAATAAAGACCTCTGACCCATTTTCCCCAACCCAATCACCCTGACTGACCAACCCAATCACCCTGACCAACCCGGTGCTTCCTCTTATGAATGTGCCTCTTCTTTGCAGGAAACTGTAATTAGGATAAGGTGTTTCTTGGTGACAATTATTTCCATATCTGGGGCATGGTGACGTAGCCTCCCCATCTCAATGCTGAGGGAGTACAGAGTAGTCAGAGGCAGGAGGAGGCGGCGCACTGCACTGTGGAAGCTCTGACTGTAAGCAGACACGACGTCTGTTCCCTAGATCACTCCCTCTATCGTCCCCACAAACTGTGGACACCGAAGAGGCACAGAAGCGGTTAAAACCCCTCGCTCACCAGAGGCAGAGCCAAGATTTGAACCCAAGACTCGAACAGCGAACAGTGGTTCTCTTTCCACCTCCTCTGGCTGCTTTCTCAATGGACGCTTTAAAGCATCAACAAGGATATGTCTTTTTTCCTTTCTGGGACCAGTGAGGGCCACACAGAAAGGGATGTCTACAAGGGTGTCACCGCTGCTATCAGTCCCAGAGACCATGCACCATGCACCCCTGTGGTCCAGTTCTCCACCATCCTCCCCAGGGACACCCAGTTATTAGGCCATCTTCAGTAGCCAATGGCCAGTAATAGCTTCTGGTGTCCCCTCTTCTTGGGACATCGGCATTTTAGCAGCACTCCAAGTGCAGAGAGGTGGCCCAGAGGGCAAGGGAGCCTGCCAACCGTCTCCCTGGAAGCCCCGCTGTGCTACGGCACACTGGAGTGTTTTCAAAACGATGTAGCGAAACCACCGCGGAGGTAAAAGGTCGATTGTTCCCAGCCACAGCCGCTCTGTGGGGACGACTTTATAGCGCAGCCCGGCCAGTACCGACAGGGAAAATGGCATTTGGGAAGGGTGGGAACTGCCAGCATCACTCATGCCTAAAGCCGGCCTTCCTGCTCGAAGCCAGGAGGCTTACTAAGGTCTTTCAACCACAGCTGAGAATAAATGAGTTTTTTTCAGAGTCCACATTGAAAGAGAGCCATCTCCTGACGTTCCAGCATTGCACAGATCCCATGGTAGCAAAGAGAAATGAAAATATTAATAGCTTGTGCTATGAGAAGGCATTTCAAGACGGTTCTGATTTTAAATCTGCTTTCACATGGGATACCTTGAGAAGAAATAAAATCGTCTGCTCTGTGTTCCTGCATAATTACAGAGACTCATCGGACACACACAAAATAAAGAAGGTTCTTTTTTTAAAAGCAGAAGTACTATATGCTTCGAAAATGCCAGTGTCATAAAAGACAAAGAAATGCTGCGGAAATGGTCCAGATCAAGGTATATAAAGAGACATGACAGCTAAATGTAGCATCTGCCCCTAAACTGGATCATCTACTATGGAGGAGGGGGGATGCTACAAAGGACATTATTAAACCAAGTGGCAAAATTAGAATACGGACAGTAGATGAGATGAAAGTATTGTATCAATGCAAATTGGTGTCAGTGACTGCACTGTGATGACATAAGAGGTTATCTCCATTCTTAGGAAATACCCACTGGAGTGCTGAAGGGCAAAGGGCCATGTTCCATATAATTCACCCTCCAGTGGCTCCGAAAAAAAAATTACACACAAGCAAGCTGAAATAAAAAGTACACAGGAGCGCCTTGTACTATCTGCATTTTTGCATCTCTTGTCAATTTAAAATTAATTCCAAATAAAAGCTCTGCTTTTTTTTTTTTTTTTTTTTTTTTTTTGAGACAGTCTCACTCTGTCACCCAGGCTGGAGTGCAGTGGTGTGATCTCAGATCTCGGCTCACTGCAACCCCTGCCTTCTGGGTTCAAGTGATTCTCCTGCCTCAGCCTCCCGAGTAGCTGGGACTATAGGCGGGCGCCACTACACTCAGCTAATTTTTGTATTTTTAGTAGAGACTGGGTTTCTGCATGGTGCCCAGGCTGGCCTCGAACTCCTGGCCTCAAGTGATCTGCCCACCTCAGCCTCCCAAGTGTTGGGATTACATGCATAAGCCACCATGCCCGGCCAAGTAGTCTGCTTGTAAATCTCATCTTTGAGTAACTGCAGGCAGAGGGAGAGAATGTTCTACCACTAGAGCATAAGCTGGCAGCATGGGTGGGGACCAGCTTGGGGCCCAGGAGAGGGCTGATTCCAATTTTCTCAAGTCCCACTGGATTTCAGGAGCTGCCCCAGGCCCTATCACAGTGGGGAGCAAAACTGACAGTCTCAGGAGGCTTACAGCCTGAAGGAGGAGAAGGAGGAGGAGAAAATGGAGGAGGAGGAGGAGGAGGGGGGAAGAGAAGAGCGGGGAGGAGAAGGGGGAGGAAGAGGAGAGGGAGGAGGAGGAGGGGGAGGCAGAGAGACAGGCCAAAAATCACACCAGTAGATGGGTCATAACAAACTGTTAAAAGCTGTAAGGGAGAAGTTCAAAAAGATCTAAAACACTAGCTTTAGCAACATGGTGATATCCTATCTCTTAAAAAAAAAAAAAAAAAAAGTAGTTAATTAGCTGAATGTGGTGTCCCGCATCTGTAGTCCCAGCTACTAGAGAGGCTGAGGCAGGAGGCTCGCTTGAGCCCAGGAATTCAAGGTTACAGCGGGCTTTGATTGCACCACTGTACTCCAGCCCGGGCAGCAGAGTGAGACCCCATCTCTTAAATTAAAAAAAAAAAAATCTTAAGGCAGTAAACTGGGGGGGCTGATATAATTTGGCTGTTTGTCTCTCCAAATCTCATGTTGAAGTGTAAACCCCAATGTCGCAGGTGGGTCCTGTGGGGGGTGTTTGGGCCATGGGGGCGGATCCCGGGGGTATGGCCTGCTTGGTACTGTCCCCACCACAGTGGGTGACTCTTTGAGACCTGGTTGTTTAACAGTGTGTGACACTCTCCCTCTCTCTTGCTCCTGCTCTCGCCTGTGATGCTGGCTTCCCACCCCACCCCCCGCCCTCCGCCATGATTGGAAGCTTCCTGAGGCCCCCACCCAGAGGCAGGTGCTGGTACCATGCGCTACAGCCTGCAGAACTGTGAGCCAATTAAACTCATTCTGTTTGTAAATTATCCAGCTGCAGGTATTTCTTTCTAACAATACACGAACGCCCTAACACAGAGCCCTATGAGAAAGTAAAACCAGAAACCTGAATTAGAGTGTGTTTCTGGAACACTAAAGCAAGAGCTGAGGGAGGCTTGAGGAGCGGGGCATTTGAGGGGTGGTCTTGAGGGGCTCGTTGAAGCATTTGCCCGAGAACACGCAGCAAGAAAGCGGCGAGGGCAGCTCCCAGGCATCCCAGATTGAGCAATTAGGTGAGCGGAGCGCCAGTCACTGAGAGGAGACCCTGCCGGGAGCCTCGCTCAGCTCCAGGGGTGCTGTCTACACAGCAATTTCCTGCACTCGTATTTCATGTTCATCCACCTCCCCCTCTCCATCTGGTCCCTATGGACACGTCGGCTCTGGCCGACCGCTTGCCCTGGTGCAGAGGTTTCCCACTGCCCTCACCTAGTCTTCTGTGCCGTGGCTGTGGTGCCTTTCTCTTCCTCAGAAGATGCCCGATTCCAAAGCTGCAGCCCTCAGCGATGCCTGTCAGCAGTCTCAGGGGTAGGGCATGGGGGACTCAGCACTTTCTCTTAAGCCTCCCAGGTGGATTCAAAGCTCCGTCCTTTGGGAGCCCCAGCGCCTGCAAAGCTGCGCTGAGGGAGGAGGTGGGGCCTTGGGTGGAACAGTCGGGAATCCTGGGTCCCGTGGCTCCTCCTTGCCCCTGGAGCCAATGAGGAGAGACACATCCCAAGAAGGCCCCAGGCTGGGGCAGCCCCCTCAATCGGGACACCACAGCTCCTAGGACCTCTACTGCAGACCTTGGGGTCTCTGGCTTGGGGCAAGGAGGCCCTGGAATCAGAGGCCTGGTTTGGAATCCTGCCTCCACTTCCCCACCTGTGTACTGGGGACACCACAGTCCCTCCCTAGTAGGGGTGCAGTGAGGGCTCAGTGCGTTTGTTCTCATTGCCGCCCTGTGTTTATTACTATCGCCATTACGGCCTCATCCTCCAAGGAGACTGCTGCTGGAAAGGCCGTGGTTGCTGCGTGTGTCCCGCAGCCCCCTGCAGCCAGCGTCTCCTCGGCCCCGGCCCGACCCTGCCGTCCCTGCTCTGCTCCCTCAGCGACCGCAGACCCCTCACGCACATGCCCAGCCCTGCAGTCCTACTCTGCCACCCCAAGGGGCTTGGGCTTCAGTGGGGGCAGCGTGCGGGGCGTGGAGAGGGAGACGTGTAAAGCCCTGAGAGGCTCTGCAGCCACAGTCCCGCAGTCAGCGTTCCCTCTCGGCCAAGCCTCCTGGCTGCACATCGTTTCCCGGGCATCTCAGTGAGACCGGCCTCGGCTCACAGCGGCACGTTGTTTTTACACTTCGGGGACTCTGGTGGGACCGCGGGAAGCCAGGAGGCGGGCGCGCCCCGGGAGCCGATAGGAAAGTGCAACAGCGCCATCTAGTGGCCGCGCGGGGAGGCTGCGGAGCGCGCGCCGCGACCCGGGATCCACCGTCCGCAGGAAAACGTGTTCCCTCCGATGCGTGGTCACAGCGCGGCAGCGCGGCCTTGGGAGCTTCTTAAACAACAGGTTAGCTATCGCTGCCGCCTCAGTAAGAGAAGTCAAGGCCAAAACGCTTAAAGGATTTTGACCTATTCGGCTTGGTGGAGAGCGCTAAAAGGGGACGCTATAGCGGGATTCTCAGCTCTCCTGGGCTAGTGGGACCCCCGGTGCGCCGCCGCCGATGGGGTCTTAGGGCCTGTCTGTCTGGGCTAGAGCCGGCCCGGGAGCCTGTTTGCGGGGAGTGCGGGTCAGCAAAGCTGTCACAGAAAATCCTCCTCCAAAGGAAGGAAAAAACTGTGTTCTCAGGGAAGGTACCCTACAGAGCGCAGGTCCCCACCCCTGAGCGTGCATCGGCGTCCCCCGGAGCGCTTGTTGAAACAAGGATTCCCGGGCCTCCCTGAGGCTGTGATTCGCAGGTCTGGGGTGAGAGCTGAGGATCTGCATTTCTAGCAAGTCCTCTGTTGATGCTGATGCTGATGTTGCTGGTCCGGGGCGCACCTTCAGACCCACTCTTAAGCCTCATGGCTATTTAAGCTGGGCTACTTCTTCCTGAATATTTGAAAATTCCCGTGGTCTACACTTACCCTGCTCCACCTACAATGGCAGAGTTCCAGAGCCTCAGTGTGGGACTTTTCAGGAAAAGCCAGAGAGGCGCTTTGGGGGCATGGGAAAGGGGGTACGATGGAGCTGAACGTGGAGCTCTCTCCCACCCGCTGAGCTCTGGCAGCCCAGATCCACCAGGAGTTGAAGTCGGACCCAGCCCCAGGCCTGCAAAGGCTGTTGGTCCCCAAGGCAGCATCCAGACAGTCAGTGAGGGCAAGATGCTTACACTCTGGAGGCTTACATTCTGTGGAGGACAGGTCTGAGGTCATCTGTGCAACATAAACGCTCGTGGATTTCCACTACCTTTACAGACAGAATTGCACTGGCGACATTTTATGCTAGAGATTTATCGACACAAATGAGAAGTTTCTGTTCTGATACAACCACCATGATTTCATGAGAGGGTTGGTTCTTCAGCCTGCAGTCTGTGGGTCTCTGGCTAACACTTAGGCCAACAAGACCACGTGTGCATTCAGTCAATCGGAGGTGAGCAGTGCTCTTTAGTGCCGTCCTGTTACATTCCAGCCAGTCAGACAGCAAGCGTATTCAGCCAATCAGAAGTAAGCATTGCTGTGCACTCCATCCCCATCACATTCAGCCTAATCAGACCACAAATGCATTCAGCCAATCGGAAGTGATCACTAGTCTGAGCCCTCACCCACCGGGATCCATAATATTGTTATACCTGTTCTATTAATTCATAAATGGCCTTCATTGATGTGGCCGTTAATATGTGCTGTAGATCAGCTGAAGAGTGATGTGCCTGCCCTAGGAACCAACTGTTCATCACAAATGTATGCCCATGACAAAAATGTATACATCAGGCTGGGCACAGTGGCTCAAGCCTGTAACCTCAACACTTTGGGAGGCCGAGGCTGGAGGATCACCTGAGGTCAGGAGTTCAAGACCAACCTGGCCAACATGGTGAAACCCCATCTCTACTAAAAATTCAAAAATTTAGCCGAGCATGGTGGCACGTGCCTGTAATTCCAGCTACACAGGAGGCTGAGGCAGGAGAATCGCTCGAACCCAGGAGGCAGAGATTGCGGTGAGCTGCAATTGCGCCCATGCACTCCAACCTGGGAAACACAGTGAGACTCCATCTCAAAAAAAAAAAAAAAAGAAAAGAAAAAAGAAAAAAAAGTATACAAGCAAGAAAAGTTAACACCGCCGGAGTTGATTTATCCATTAAGTACATAGGCATCTTGTCCAAGGCCCAAGGAAATATTTTAATTTATTTTTTAGAAAAGTAAGTAAATACAATCTGTCTTGGAGTATGTTTGTCTTTATACTAACACAGTGCCAAAATATATTTTTTAATATTTTTATGGAGGAAGGGGCCTATGAAGGCAAAAGTCCCTAAGGCCCAAGGAAGTCATGCTTCAAGCAAATAGGAAGAATTGGATCATCCTGAAGGCCTGTACAGCTCTAACCATCTGTGGTTGCATATAACCATTCTCTTTTCCCTCCATTATTACAAAAGATAGTAGACTTCGGAGAAGGAATGTGTCAGTCTGGACTGTTGGTTTCAGGGGCAGAAAACCAACTCGAATTAACTTGGGCAAAAGCGGAAGATTTTTAACTCTTGTCACTGAAAACTCTAGGAGTAGTTCTGGCTTCAGTCAGAGCTGGGTTCAGAGACTCAGTAAATCCCAAGTTCCCAGGTCTCCCCATCTCTCAGCTCCCATTCCACTTTCTGGCCCTGCCCTGTAGTCACAAGATGGCAGCAGCTTTTTCACACTTACTTCTACTCTTTTCGGGCATCTGAGGTTCATTCTGTCTGGACCAGCTCAAGCCAACTTGCCACCCTGCGTGACCCAGGAGAATCCTATGCTCTGACTGGCTTAGGCCTGGGTCACCTGCCTTATTCTAACCACCAGGTAAGAGGCAGAGAGGGATTTCAGGCAAAAATCGGGCTATTCTGGAAGTGGAGAAAATGAATGCAGGAGGCAGATGACACCTGCTGGATGGACTGCCCTCTGATCTGCACTGTGGAACAGCTGCTCCACCTTACAGCTGAGACGCCTCCACCTACATCAGCTTATTGCACCACCTAGCAACACCAGGACTAGGATATCATCATCCCCTTTTCACAGGTGAGGAGACTGAGGCTCAGAGAGTCAAACTTCCCACCCAAGGTCACCTGCTGTGAACACAAAGCCACATCAACATTCCAGCTGTGTTCTGCCACTTAACCAGACTCCCAGTTCTGTGTTTTCTCTTTGTTGTACAGGAAGTGAGGAGAGAGGATGATCACAAACCTGAGAGAGGAGGAGGAGAAAACACAGGAAGGATGAAAAATCCCTGAGGAAGTTTTACCAAGGCGCCGCCCTGCCTCCCCGCCCTGCCCCAGGTGCTGGTCGGTTCATTGCTCTCCATTTAGGAGACTTCTTCCCAGCCTTTTTAGTGGTTTAACAAACATATTCATTTCCATGTCATCCTCACGATTTTGCCACTTGTATTTTTGTTTACTTATTTTCTTAAGTCAACTCATTATTATACTTGCAAACAGTATGTAAATATCAACTTCATAGGGCAACTGTCAATCAAAAGGAGTACCACTTGCCTCAAATAAAAATTAACTTCAGGATCAACAGAGAACTATTAAACTTAATAACAGCCATCCGCACAGCCCTCAAAATCATCTCACATCCAAAGCAGGGTCCTCAGACTCACTCTGGGGAATCAGAGCTACCTGGTCACACCGGAACACTAGCAATCACCATGCTCGTTATTCTGCCACATGCATTCTGCCAGGCATGCCTGCACCTCCCCTGTGTTCTGATATGCAGGGGAGGGAAGGCAGAGGGCCCTAGGAGCAGGAGGCACGTGCAACCCACTCCAAATGCGGCCAGCGTGCTGCGGGATTACAGCCCGGTCCGCATCCCCCCACCACAATGCCACTAGTTCTTCCGCTATCAAAACAGTTTCACTATCAAACTAGGGTATCAGAAATCCTCCCCTAACAAAAAATATTTCCTGTACCCTCTTTGGTTTTATTCCTTTGGGTAAGAGCTCTCGGCTCACTGCAACCTTCACCTCCTGGGTTCAAGCAATTCAGCCTCCCGAGTAGCTGGGACTACAGGTGCATGTCACCACACCTGGCTAATTTTTTTTTGTATTTTAGTAGAGACGGAGTTTCACCATGTTGCCCAGGGTGGTCTCAAACTCCTCAGCTCAGTCAATCCACCTGTCCTGGCCTCCCAAAGTGCTAGGATTACAGGCGTGAGCCACCGTATCCAGCCTAGATCGTTCTTTATAACAGCATGAAACAGGAAGGACCCTAAACATTCAAGAGGAGGAAAGCGGTGGTGTCCACCGTGGTGCAGCTATGTGATGAGATCTTAGGCAGACTTAAAGTATGACGGGCCAGGTGGGGTGACTCACGCCTCTAATCCCAGCACTTAGGAATGCTAAGGCGGGAAGATCACTTGAACCCAGGAGTTCAAGACTGTCTCTATTAAAAAAAAAAGATGATGGTTAAAACACTGGGGTGAAATAGGTAGTTCTCACATTTTTAAAAAAACAGGAATTAAACTGCATGTGCGGTATGATTTCTAGTATAGAATAAAATGCTTCACTTTTAAAGCAAAGTCTAGCTGTATATACACCAATAATAGCATTGTTAGTGGTGTAGTACTTGGGCAGTGTGTGGAAATATAGCAAGATATGACTAATTAAAGGCAAGGGTCCCTGTTCCCACTCCAGGGCCTCCCAGCTGCCTGGGACACCCAGCTCTGCCACTGCACGCCCTACACAGCTGTCACCTGGACCTCAGGCTAGGATGCTAACCCAGGTGTGTGCCGAGCCCATGAACTTCAGGGTTTCTTCATGCAGGACACCACAGCAGCAGGAATGCCACCAGATGTGGCAGAGTCCAAGTTCTCCTGGAGATTCTTTCTAGCTCTTCAGACTTTCAGCTGACACTCACACGGCGCTGATTGCATCAATACTGAGGGCGCTGTGAGCCCTGACCCTGACTTCAGGGAGCTTACAATCCAGCATAAATATCCACAAGTGGACCCCACCTGCCCCTCCTCGGAAGTCCCCTCCTGTATTCATCTCGCTGGCTGCACCTGCATCTGGTCCTTGGGAGCCAAGGGCTGTAGAAGGATAATTTTCTGCCATACCCACGCGTCTGTACCAGTCCTCAGCACAGCACTTGGCCCATGGAAGCCACCAGTGTGCATGGGAAGGATGACTGCATGAACCAGTGTTTTGTTTTGTTTTGTTTTTGTTTGTTTGTGTGTTGAGACAGGGTCTCGCTCTGTGGCCCAGGCTGGAGTACTAAGGTGGGATCACAGCTGACTGCAGCCTCAAACTTGTGGCCTCAAGCAATCCTCCCATCTTAGCCTCCCAAGTAGCTGGGGTTACAGGGATGTGCCACCATGGTCAGCTAATGTTTTCATTTTTTGTAGAGATGGTATCTCACTATGTTGCCCAGGCTGGTATTGAAATCCTGAGCTCAAGCAATCCTCCCACCTCAGCCTCCCAAAGTGCATGAACCAGTTTTAAAACAGTAATTAGAACTTCTATAAGCTGAGAGCATGCTATCCTTAAGTCGGTAGTCCCCGGAGGATGGGGCACCCTGTGGCTGGGAGGATCTTGGGCACCTCTGTTAACCAGTCCCAGCTTGGTTTAACTAGGGGGAGGGCTTCTTGGGCTAGAAGGGCATCTTCCATCCCTCCCACCCCAATTCAAGTACCAGGTCTGCCTCCCCCAGCTCCCAGCTATCTCAGTTCAACCTCCCTGGGGGCAGGTAGGGGCGCCCGGCCCCAGCACGTTCTGTTGGATGTTCCACCTCCTTGTTCCCTCTCTTCCCTCTTCTCACCCCCAGTTCCATTCTCATCGTTGCAAGCCAGGGCCACTGTGAACTTGGCATCCCTGGGACGCTGCACATTTACCTTCATCTTCCCAGCGAATCCTTCCAGAGAGACACTGTCCCCATTTTATAAACGAAGCACACTGGCCCCAGAGTATTTTGGCTGCTGCTGCTGCTGCTGCTGAAAAGAAGCCAAATAACACATCAAAAAAACTACAGATGAAAATGGGGCCAAATTGATGACACAGAACAGAAGGGAGTCCAGATCACAGCTGGATCGGGGGGTGCCTCTTGGCCCATGGCCCCCGTGTTTTCTATAGAATGCCCAAGGGCCAGAGAGGCTAAGAGGGAGAAAGTGGGCGGCCCCCACTGCACCCCCCAGCTTTTGTGCCCGGGTGGGGAATCCCAAGGAATACGTGAGTCTCAAGGCCCCCCACTTTCAACCTGTGGTGAAGGGAGGCAGGGTGCATTGCAGTGGGTTAGTTGAATTGTTTACGTATGTATTTATTTATTTGCAAGTCTATGGGGTTAATGAAGTAATTAGGGAAATCTGGGGTCTGCACTCCTGGACTTACAATGAAAGCTAGACATTTTTTTTTTCGTAATCCCAGCACTTTGGGAGACCGAGGTGGGCGGATCACATGAGGTCGCGAGTTCGAGACCAGCCTGGCCAACATGGTGAAACCCCGTTTCTACTAAAAATACAGAAATTAGCTGGGCGTGGTGGCGGACGCCTGTAGTCCCAGCTGCTTGGAGGCTGAGGCAGGAGAATCGCTTGAACCCGGGAGGCAGAGGCTGCAGTGAGCCGAGATCGCCACTGCACTCCAGCCTGGGCGACAGAGCGAGCGAGACTCAGTCAAAAAAAAAGAAGAAGAAAAGACACGCGAGCCCCTTTGAAGAATAAATCTCAGCTGTGTTATCTGTCTTGTCACAGCACTGAAACGTGGGGATGGGGAGAACGTAGTTCCACGTTGGCACAGATGAGCTGTTTACATCGAGGCGGACGAGCAGGCAGGAGCGTGCAGTCCGTGCGGCTCTGTTTCTTTCCCCTGTTAAGCGCAGAGTTTCTAGCTGCAGCTAAAGACGCCCACCCAGGCCGAGCGCCCTTGGATTCTGTGGGAGGGCGGCCCCGCGTCCACCGCCTGGGGGCACCGACTCGGGGCTGCGGACCTCGGAGCGCGCCCGGCGGGCTTTGGTTTGGGCAAGGCTGCCATCGTGTGGCCGCCGTGGGTATTTCCCTCGGAAAGCGGCCGGGCAGCGAGCAGGCGCCCGCGCCTCTTCTTTTTACGGGAGTCCGCGCTCTCCGCAAGTCTGTCCTGAGATCGCCGTTTTCTCCCACCAGCCAGAATGGGGCTCACTGCTGCAACCCGGGTCTCAGTCTTCTCCAGGGCACCTCCTGGGCCGTGCCCCGAGCCTTGACTGCGGCAGGCGGTGTTTTTTCCTCTAAAGGAAGAACTTGCCTGTCAGGGCAGTCCACAGTCCAAAATGTGACGCATACCGGAGCTCAGGCCTGGTATCAATCTTAGCACAGCATTTCGGGCTGAATAACTCTGTTATGGGAGCTTTCCTGCCTCTACCCACTAGATGTCAGTACCACCTCTCACCCAACTGTGACAACCAAAAATATCTCCAGACATGGCCAAATGTCCAGGGTTAGGAGGCAAAGTTACCCACCTGAGAACATAAGAGGGAGTGTACTCGTTTCCCATTGCAACTGTAAGAAATTATCACAAATTTGGTGGCCTAAAACTGCCAGGATTTCTTACCATACAGTTCTGGAAGTCAGAAGTCTCAAACAGGTCTTGCTGGGCTGAGGTCAAGCTGGTTCCTTCTGGAGGCTCCAGGGGAGAATCTGTTTCCTGGTCCTTTCCACACAGGCGGCCTGCATTCCTTGGCTCATGGCCCCTTCCTTCATCTTCAAACCCAGCAATGGCTGACTGTGTCTCACGCTGCGACGCTCTGATGGTTCTCTGGCAGTCAAACCTTTCTGTGTGTCCCTCATTTAAACAACCCTTGTGATCACACTGGGCCCACCCAGAGGATCCAGGATAATCTCTCCCTCTCACAATCTTTAGCTTAATCGCATCTGAGAAGTCCCTTTTACCAGGTAAGGTAACTGATACGGTTTGGATGTGTCCCCACCCAAATCTCATCATGAATTGTAGCTCCCATAATTCCCATGTGTGGTGAGAGGGACCCAGTGGGAGATAATTGAGTCACGGGGCACCTTCCCCCATACTGTTCTCATGATAGTTAATAGGTCTCAAGACCTACTAACTATCTCAAGTGGTTTCATAAGGGGAAACCTCTTTCACTTGGTTCTCATTTCTCTCTTGTCTGCTGCCATGTAAGACGTGCATTTCGCCTTCTGCCATAATTGTGAGGATTCCCAGCCACGTGGAACTGAGTCCATTAAACTTCTTTTTCTTTATAAATTACCCAGTCCCAGGTATGTCTTTATCAGCAGCATGAAAACAGACTAATACAGTAACACACTCACAGGTTCCCAGGATTCCCATGTGAGCATCTTTGGGGGCTGCCATGAGAAGATACAAGTGTAAGCCTTGACCAGGCTAGAGCAACAGTGCAGATGAGTGACACTGGCCAGTGAGTGGTGGGGATATGCCCTCCAGGAAAGGGACCGCAGTTTCCAGGCCCTAAAACGTCTCATCTGCTGACTAATTTGAACCCTCAAGCTGCCAGTTTACAGACCCTGACTCATCCTCTACCTTTCACCAACGAGAACCCCGGCGACCCAGAAGGAAAGTGATCATCCCAGCCCTCTCTGGAGTAAGGAGCCAGGCTGAAGCCAGACCCCAAGCTCTTCCCAGTCCTGGGACACAAGTCCATGTTACCCACCCTCAAAGGGAAACATTTCTGTGCTGTGGGATTTCAAGCTGTGCATGAGGCCAGGGAGGAAGTGGTGGTCCCCACACCATCTACACTCCACACCCCCCACCAGGGGTTGGAGGCCGGCTGTGAGAATCAGCCCAGGGCCCTGCCTGAGGGGCTGGATGTGAGGGCAACGTGGGCACCATGACTCTCTGGGGACTGACAGGATGAGCTCAGGGGTCTGTCCCTCACTTGGAGGGTGAGACCCCTGTTTGGCTCTGCATTGAGTGTGAGGATATGGAGTGCCAGGGAGGGAGAGAGAAAGAAATGCCTTTGCTATTTTTATTGGCTTTGAAGTCTAAAATGCCAGGCTCACTTGGGCAGTGGTGGGAAGGGCATCATAGAAGTCTTCAAATAGGTTTGGGGGTCCCAGAGTAGAAGAGAGGTGCGTTCCAATTCCAGCTCGGAGTTCTCAGAGAATGAGTGGCCCCAACCCCAGAGCTCAGAAGAGGACTGCATGAGGGTGCAGGGTCAGCCCCACAGCAAAGCCAGGAGTCCCCAGTGGGGACAGAAAAATGATGCTTACCCATGTGGCCAGGGACAGAGACGATGCAGGTTGAGAGCGAGAACTTGCCGGCCACAACGTCACTTCCTGGTTAGGACAGGGGTTTGGGGTAGAAGCATCCGCAGACACCAGCAGGACCACACACCAGGTGTCCAGGGAGCCTGAGACCAGAGACCATGACAGGACAATTGTGCATGTTAGCTCTAGCCAGGGTGGGCCAAGAGCAGATGGCATCTCCTCACCAAGGCCCCTGCCCTTGGAGCTGACCCCAGGAAGAAAGAGGTACCAAAGAAAATCCTACTTGGAGTGAGGTTGGTTGGAAGGTATCTGAATCCACGCGACTACTTTTTCTGCCATCAACCAGAATGGGTGCTCCAGATACAGATACAACTCAGTTCTAGGAAAATCAAGCCCTAATTTTGCACACCTGAGTGTGAACTGTGTAAAGTGAAAATTAAGTATGACAATAGCAGAGGCATGTGATAACGGAGCCCTTTACAGATGGAAGAGTGCTGTCCTGGGTGACATCCATGGCACCCTCACAGGGACGTGCTGGGGCTGGTGTTTCATGCCTGTGGATAGCCAGGACCTGTGGGGCTCAGAGCTGTGCAGTGATCACTCAGCAAGACCTGTCCAAATGTGCCGGGCCAAGTCTTCAAAACACTGTGTGTCCCCTCTCAAGCCGGCTTCATAGGAGAGACAGTGCCCACTTCCCGATCTGTCACCGAGTGTCCCCACGCACCCAGGACCATCTGAAGCACAGGGCTGGGAAGCCGGCGGGGCTCTGCACACACAGAATCCAGGCTTTGCAGGGGTGGGAGCAAAGGCCTCAAGTCAGCTTGGCCTTCCCACAGCACAGGCGCCAAGGCCAAAGCTGCTTGGCCTCCAGAAACCACCTCTGCAGCCCAGGCTCTGGTCCACAGCAAAAGTGGGTGGGATAAAAGTCAGCGCGTGTATTGTGAAATCTGATTTCTTCTGCTCGACTTATGTCTGCAGCATTCAGGGAGCAGGGGAAGGTCTTTCTTTCTCTTTTCTCTTTCTCTCTCCTTCCTTCCTCCCTTTTCTCTTTCCTTCTTTCTCTTTTTCTTTCTCTTTCTCTTTCTCTCTTTCTCTCTCTCTTCTTCTCTTTCTTTTTTTTTTTGAGATGGAGTCTCTCTCTGTTGCCCAGGCTAGAGTGCAGTGGCATAATCTCAACTCACCATAACCACCACCTTCTAGGGTCAAGTGATTCTCACACCTCAGCCTCCCAAGTAGCAGGGATTACAGACACATGCCACCACACCCAGCTAATTTTTGTATTTTTTTAGTAGAGATGGGGTTTTGCCATATTGGCCAGGCTGGTCTCAAACTCCTGACTTCAAGTGATCTGCCTGCCTCAGCTTCCTAAAGTGCTGTGATTACAGGTGTGAGCCACCACACCTGCCCCCTTGTAGTATTTCTTTATGTAGCTTATGTGAATTTAATTTAGACTGATTTTCATGAAGCTACTTTACAAATACAATACTTATAGTTGGTTGTAATACCTACATTAGATGGGACGGATTTTATCTGCTTCTGTTGTTCACACGGTGATATGGTGTGGCTGTGTCCCCACCCAAATCCCATCTTGAATTATAGCTCCCATAATTCCCACCTGTTGTGGGAGGGACCCGGTTGGACATAATTGAATCATGGGGTGGTTTTCCCCATATTGCTCTCGTGGTAGTGAATAATCTCACAAGATCTGATGGTTTTATAAGGGGTTTCCCCTTTCGCTTGGGTCTCATTTTCTCTTGTCTGCCACCATGTAAGACATGCCTTTCACCTTCTGCCGTGATTAACCGAGGCCTCCCCAGCCACGTGGAGCTTTGAGTCTATTAAACCTCTTTTTCTTTATAAATTATCCAGTCTCAGGCATGTCTTTATCAGCAGCGTGAAAACGGACTAATACACATGGAGACCCAGCAGACATTTCCTCAATCGAAGCACCCCTATTGCAAGTTGAGAGCCATGAGGGAATGATCGTAAAAAGAGCCTACCTAGTCCTGTGACTGGCGTCACCTGGGAAGATTATACCGCAATCCGACCCGAGGAGACGCCCTCCCAATCCCATGGAATTGGAACAGAACCTGGGTGCCCAAGGACCCAAAGCCATCTGCTGGGAGCCCATCCTGTACAGCATCGGCCGCCCACTAAGAATGGCTCAAATCTCAGGCAGTGAAGATCACCCAGGTTCACAAGTCCTGTAGCCCGTCTGTCTGCACATTGTCAAGAATCCCTGTTAGAAGGGTTTGCTGCCTAGAAAATCTGAAGGTGACTTTTTTTTATTTTTTTTTTTGAGACGGAGTCTCGCTCTGTCGCCCAGGCTGGAGTGCAGTGGTGCGATCTCAGCTCACTGCAAGCTCCGCCTCCCGGGTTCACGCCATTCTCCTGCCTCAGCCTCCCGAGTAGCGGGGACTACAGGCGCCCGCCACCACGCCCGGCTAACTTTTTGTGTATTTTTAGTAGAGACGGGGTTTCACCGTGTTAGCCAGGATGGTCTCGATCTCCTGACCTCGTAATCCGCCCGCCTTGGCCTCCCAAAGTGCTGGGATTACAGGCGTGAGCCACCGCGCCCAGCCCTGAAGGTGACTTTTGTTTGGTGGGAAGGAAAGTTCAGAAAGATGAGGCAACTCTATTAAACAGAGTTAGTTGGCACTAAAGCACCCTCCCGGAAGCACTTCAGTGGTTGTGGTCACATTAGGATTTTCCTGCCAGGAAAGAAATTATTCCTTCCAGTTGTGTCTCATCTGATGCTGAAAATAACACAAGACCTTCCTAGAGCCAGAAATCACAGCTGCGTAGATACCGGACTTAACGGACCTCCCGTGACTGCATTGCTGTGGTTTGAGCTCGGTAGAATACCCAGCTCCAATCCCTCTTGCTTTGCCATGGTGATGTTTTGTGCCCTGTGTGAAATGGAGAAGCCAGGGGAAAAGAGGAAGGTGGCCAAGGAATTTCATGGCTTTTCAAGATGGAAACTTAGATACCTAACTTTAAAACTTCCAGCCGCTAAGCATGCTTTCCCTAGAAAGAGAATTAAATCAAATGCAAAGATTGCTTCTTGCAGAAAATGGGGATTTTAAAAATTATCTCATAATCCATTGACCCCCTGAGGTTTCTGGAAGTAGCCAACAAGTTGAATTTATTTCTTCCTCATCCCGAAGGGCTTGTTCTCAAAGACTTTCTGGAACAAAATACCCAATGCTGGGAGAGTCTCAAAACCCTGCTTCCTGAAATATAACCTGTTCGAAGGCTCCGTGCATAGCAGTGAGTGTCCGTCACCACTGCCAGACCCTGGTCCGGAATGCAAGCTTCCGAGTGACTATGGACTCCCTGCCTGAGCCCATTCGTGAGTGTGGGGCAAAGCAGCCCTCAGGACAGTGTGACTGTTACAGGGCATGTGCATCTGGCCACTGCCTTTGAAGAACGTGGGATCCAGAAACAGCCTTGTTCTAAGTCATGACTTCTTTGTGGATTTCCCACGTTGATTTCGGAGTCAGATCACTTTCTCCCCAGTAACTCCTTTTAGATGGGAATGAAAGAGCAAGCATTTAAAAAAAACACACAGCCGGTCGTGGTGGCTCACACCTATAATCCCAGCACTTTGGGAGGCCGAGGCAGGTGGATCACCTGAGGTCAGGAGTTCGAGATTAGCCCGACCAACATGGAGAAATCCTGTCTCTACTAAAAATAATTTTTAAAAATCAGCCAGGCGTGGTGGTGCATGCCTGTAATCCCAGCTACTCGGGAGGCTGAGGCAGGAGAATCGCTTGAACCCAGCAGGAGGAGGTTGTGGTGAGCTGAGATCGAGCCATTGCACTCCAGCCTGGGCAACAAGAGCGAAACTCCATGTCAAAACACACACACACACGGACACACACACACACACAATATTTACTACTGCAACTGTCTTGCTTTGTTCAAGCAACAAAGAGAAAATAATTGGACATTGTCAAAATTAAAACTAGGCCAGCATGGTGGCTCACACCTGTAATCCCAGCACTTTGGGAGGCTGAGGAGGGAGGATCACTTGAGATCAGGGGTTTGAGACCAGGCTGGCCAACATGACAAAACCATCTCTACGAAAATACAAAAATTAGCTGGGCATGGAGGTGCACGCCTGTAGTCCCAGCTACTGGGGAGGCTGTAGTGGGGGGGATGGCTTGAGCCCGGGAGGCAGAAGTTGAAGTGAGCCGAGATCACCCCACTGCACTCCAGCCTGGGCGATAGAGCAAGACCCTGACTCAAAAACAAACCAAACCAAAACAAAACAAAACAAAATTAAAACTGTACTTCAAATGACATCAATAAAATGAAACGAGAAACCAAAGAATGGGGAAAAAAACTGCAAATCGTATATCCAAAAAGGGATTAAAATCAGAATTTATAAAGAATTCTTACAAATCAACAAGATAAAAACAACGCAATTCAAAAATAAGTGAGGATTTGAATAGACATTTCTCCAAAGAAGATAACACAAATGACTGAAAAGCTGTTTGACATCAGTAGTCACCAGGGCAATGCAAATCAGCACCACGGTAAGATGCCACTTCCCACCCACTAGGATGGTGGCTGTATCAAAAAGACGGAATAGGCCCCGGGCGCGGTGGCTCACGCCTGTAATCCCAGTACTTTGGGAGACCGAGGTGGGTAGATCACGAGGTCAGGAGTTCGAGACCAGCCTGGCTAACATAGTGAAACCCCATCTTTACTAAAAATACAAAAAATTAGCCAGGCATGGTGTCAGGCGCCTGTAATCCCAGCTACTTGGGAGGCTGAGGCAGGAGAATCGCTTGAACCTGGGAGGCGGAGGTTGCCGTGAGCTGAGATCACGCCATTGCACTCCAGCCTAGGGGACAAGAGCGAGACTTTGTTTCAAAAAAAAAAAAAGATGGAATAAGTGTTGGCTGGGATGAGGGAAGCGGAAACCCTCATACCTGGCTGATAAGAATGTAAAATGGTGCAGGGACTTGGAAAAATAATTTGGCAGTTCCCCAAAATGTTAAACATAGAGTTACCATATGACCCAGAAATTCCACTCTCAGATGTGTACCCAAGAGAACTGAAAACATATGTACACACACAAACTTGTATTTTGTTTTTTTTTTTTTTTTTGAGACGGCGTGTTGCTCTGTCGCCCAGGCTGGAGTGCAGTGGCACGATCTCGGCTCACTGCAAGCTCCACCTCCCGGGTTCATGCCATTCTCCTGCCTCAGCCTCCCGAGTAGCTGGGACTGCAGGTGCCCGCCAGCACGCCCGGCTAATTTTTTTGTATTTTTAGTAGAGACGGGGTTTCACCGTGTTAGCCGGGATGGTCTCGATCTCCTGACCTCGTGATCCACCCGCCTTGGCCTCCCAAAGTGCTGGGATTACAGGCGTGAGCCACCGCGCCCGGCCATAAACTTGTATTTGTGTATGTGTATATTCATGGCAGCATCATTGATAACTACCAAAACCTCAAATCAATCCAAATTACATCACCTAGCGAATGCCAAAATACAGTGTTCTACATCCATACCACGGGACGTTATTTGGCAATAAGAAGGAGTAAGAACTGATGACACGCACCACAACACGGATGAACCTTGGAAAAATTATGCTACGTGAAAGATGCCAGCTGTGAAAGACCCCGTATTGTGTGATTCCACTTACATGACATACCCGGAAGAGGCAAATTTATATATAGATTAGTGGCTGCCGAGGGCAGGAGGAGGGGGTAAGTGGGGAGTGAGAGACTCATGGGCGCAGTATTTCATTTTGGGGCACTAATGGTGGTGATGAGGGCACAGCTCTGTAAATATACTAAAAATCATTGCATTATTACTTTTTTTTTTTTTGAGACAAGGTCTCACTCTATCACCCAGGCTGTAGTGCAATGGCACGATCTCCACTCGATGCAGCCTCAACCTCCCGGGCTCAAGCAATCCTCCCACCTCAGCCTCCCAAGTAGCTGGGACTATAGGCGCAGGCCACCACACCCGGCTGATTTTTGTATTTTTGTAGAGTCAGAGTTTCACCACGTTGGCCAGGCTGGTCTTGAACTCCTGAGCTCAAGTTATCCACATGCCTCTTCCTCCCAAATTGCTGGGATTACAGGTGTAAGCCACCTCGCCGGGCCTGAATTATTACTTTAAATGAGGGAACTTTAAGGTTTGTAAATAATATCTCAATACAGCTGTTAAAAAATAAGAGACAGGAACACAGAAAACCGAAAAATAAAATTGATTTAATAAAAACAACACAACACACACAAAGATGTGCATTATGGGCAGTCCTGCACACACTGCTGGAAGGGACCCCTGCACACGGCCTCACAGCTGGCATGGACTGGGCAGGAGGTTGCTCTCAGTTCCACGGCATTGCCTTCTAACTTGTGTGGTCAGTACATATGCCCTTAAACAAAGCCATCAATACATCAGCTGTTCTTCCCTGAGAGGTTTCTTTTATTGAATAGTAACTTCATCAAACCCCTGAGACATTTTTAAACATTTATTTTCATGTAAACACAAAATACTAACCATTCATCTCAAATAGCACAATGCTCACAGCACACACATCCCATGTGAAAGGTTACATCTGACACCACACACAGGGCACCCTCTAGGCTGTAGACTTCACTCTCCTTTTATGGTCTGTGCCACCTGCACAGAGAGCCCAAGTATAAGGGGCAGGGGGGAGGCAGGCTTCATGATGTCTCCATATGAATCTCTAAACTATATTTCTAGTCAATTGGACCCTTCCATCTTTGTAATGGGTGCAAGAGAGATGAAAACTCCAGTGGAACACTCCAGAAGAGATTCCTCCAAAGAGAAGAGAGTTTCCTGAGGCCAGTATCCATACCTCACTTATATCCCCTGTCCCCAGCACAGAGCATGTCCCTGAGAAAGCATGCTGAATATCTGTTGTACAACAGAATGGATGGATGGATGGATGGACGGATGGATGACGGATGGAGGATGGATGGATGGATGGAGGATGGGTGGATGGATGGATGGATGGATGATGGATGGATAGAGGATGAATGGATGGATGGAGGATGGACGGATGGATGATGGATGGATGGATGATAAATGTATGGATAGATGGATGGCTGGATGAAGGATGGATGGATGGATGGATGGATGGAAGATGGAGGATGGATGGATGGATGATGGATGGGTGGATGGATGGATGGATGGGTGGATGGATGGATAGATGGATGGATGGAGGATGGATGGATGGAAGATGGATGGAGGATGGATGGATGGATGGATGGATGGATGATGGATGGAGGATGGATGGATGGATGATGGATGGAGGATGGACGGATGATGGATGGATAGATGGATGAATGGATGGATGGAGGGATGGATAGATGGATGATGAATGGATTGAATAGATGGATGGTTAGGTGGATGGATGGATGATGGATGGATAGACGGATGGATGGACAGAGAGATGGACAGCTGGGTGCATGGATGAATAAATAACAGGTCCCACCATGTGTGTCCTTTGACTGCTCAAGGGAACAGACGATATATTCCCAGAACTTGGGACTGTTGGTAGTCTCCTCATCAGGCCACAGGAGGGGCTTTATTACATCCTAAAAAGGTAAAACCCTCTTCTTCTGTCAACAAAGTAACCAGGCAGCCCAGGGCTGATCCTGCAGCTGAACTCCAATGGCAAGGAGCAGAGGCAGCAGGGCCCCTGGCTTCTCCAAAGTCAGTGATGAGCACAGAGGGGTTTGGGATGTCCTCGGCAATGGGATTGGATTTGCATTTTCCCAAAAGCAGGGGCAAGAACTTGGGTCGTCTGCCTCAAGAGGGCCTGACCAGCTTTCTCTGGGAAAAATCCTACTGAAATCAGCAAGGCTGGGCCCAATAGCAGAGAAAGCACCACCCCACCTCTCGGGGAGCAGGCTTTGGGCTCCCTAAAGCAGCCTGGATTTGCGCCCCACCCTTGAGGAGGGCAGGCGGCCCTGGGACAACTCTGCCTAGCCCATTGGACCTGGGGCCTAAGAGCAGGTCCTTGTCTCTGCATCCCAAGAGCGGCCATACACTATAGCGACCAAACAGGGCTCCATCAGTATTTGAGAAGGGGGAAGCCAATGTCACATTCGAGCCAGGCTATCATTTTCAGTTACTTTTACTACCACAAGACTTTCCACTCAAGGCCACCAATATTCTAGAAGCACCATCTGCCCAAATTCCTACCCAGTACTTCCCATATGAGCTCTCTGAGTGCCTTCTGTATACCAGGCCAGAAGAGAGCTCCAGGCCTACAGTAGGCACCATCCAGCCACTGCCCCTGCCCTCAAGGCACTCATGTGCCTTGAGGCACATCAGCACTGATGTGGCTGAAGCCTCCCGGGAAAGGACACGTGTACCCCTGCAAACCTCTTTGGTGTCCGGAAAGGACACGTGTACCCCTGCAAACCTCTTTGGTGTCCGTGGTCTCACGGCAACAGCAGGGCTGGCATGCACAAACCTGCAATGGGTTTCTACAGCCCAGATGGAACGGGTGTGGCCCCTTCCTGAGCATCTTTAAACTTCTATAAGGAAAGAGGTACATTCAGTAAAACATCCCTGTGGTTCCGGTAAAGTCCCACCAATTTATCCTGAGAAACAGAAACCACATTAGTTTTAACGAGTAAGCTTCTGAAACGTTTAGGAACTGTCAACAATTAACTTAGGGAAATACTTCCTCACTGTGGCACGGTGTCGCATGCTGAGCGCAGCACGTTCTCAGGTACTCTAGAGCCTGAGCCCACCTCAGAGGTAGGTGGGGCCCGTGGGGTCACTGGCCCCTCAAAGATCCCCAGGGAAGGTACACTCCCAGACACACAAGTCTCAGACCCGAATCCTGGGAGCCCAGGCAGGCCTCTGGACCTGGCCCAGATGGGCGTCTGGAGACGTCAGGGACTGGACCTTGTAAGCTTGCCTGGTGGCTGCCCTGCCAGCCCGGCATCCTCCTCTTCCACTCCACACTCTGGATCATCCTTTGTGTCTTCCAGTTCTTCTCCACACATCCTCTCCTGAAGTCAGAAAAGAATCCACAGGCATTCCAATTAAACATGGCAATGGGGTCGTCCTGCACAGTCTGGGGCTGGACATTCAGGACATGGAGGTGTCCTGTCTGGCTTGTGCCTGCACTTCCTGCTGAGATTCAGAATAGGCCAGGTTCAAACGCTCCAGCCAGCCATGGGGAAATCAGGTTTTGTGCATAAGAGCACGTATTTACTGAAAGGAACTAAAGGACAGCCCAGCCTGGGGAGACCAGAGAAAGGGCAGGGAAGGAAGCACTGCTTTCAAAGCTGGCACCCCGTGCTCAAATGTGCAGAATTCCCCCAGGTCCACACCCATGGGCGTTACAGTACCTGGACATTTCTGCTTCCTCTAACAGGTTTAAAAGAAAAGTCAAGGATCAGCGGAAAAGGCCAAGTGCAACGCTCTCTGTTCAGTGCCTGTTGGGTCTTAGGTTAGCCCATCTTTCCATGGTGAACCAAAGAAAATGAAAGCCCTCATCTGCCAGATGGCTAGAGCTAATGTCAGACAGGAAGCAGCTTTCTAAAACAATCCAGCACTTACTGGGATATTTTCTGCTTTCATTGTTGAATCTTCTATTTCAGAGCAATATATTTTCCAAAATAAGCAGTATTTGTCCATGATGTACAAGCGTAAGTTTAAAGTAATTTTGGACTCTTTAGGGATTTGAAAGTAAAGACCCTTTGGCACCAGAGAATGGACATTTTCACAATACCCTGTTTGGTCAAGAGTCTGGTTTAGCCACAAGAAAACCAGGAAAACCTAAAATTTTATAAAATATTGAATGACAGCAAGCTACTAAGAAATATTCTTAATATTCCCTCAAGATTCTATTCTACAGTCACTCTGGATTGTACAAAAACCTAATACCTAATTCCACTCCATCCCAGCAATCTGGGCTTTTGCAGTGGAGGAGGAAAGAAAGAC
Source organism: Homo sapiens (assembly GCF_000001405.40). Lineage (NCBI taxonomy): Eukaryota > Metazoa > Chordata > Mammalia > Primates > Hominidae > Homo > Homo sapiens. The sequence continues at coordinate 98,440,688 of NC_000015.10, forward strand.
AAATTTGTCTTGCTTTTTGTTCTGCTTGACAGACACTGGTCCATGGCAAAATTTGAAATTCAGATTTTTCAATATTTCCTTAACGATGCAAGGTTACGGCCAATTCCCATGTGTTCTGTTCCATTTTGGTTTCGTTAGAGCTTGTCTAGTTAAGAGAAGAGAACCATAAAAAATCTAATTACAAAGGCCTCTCCACGCAACACCCCCCTCCCATGATAGCCCGGAGATTCTGAGCCTAGACCAAGGCCCTGCTGCCACGAGAAGCCCACAGCCAAGTCGTCTGGGAAGCTGCCTGGCAGGTTCAGACCACGGCTTCACTAAGCAAGGACAACCTGATCACTAGGAAAGTGAGAGGTTCATGGGGTGATATAGTATCACCATACCTTGCTGCCGTCTCCAGGGGCAGGCTGTCTGGGTCTGTCATTCTGAGAAGTCCTCGCATGACGGCTCACGTCCTCGGAATTTCCTGGGTGTGCTGCCCTCCCCAAGCAACAGAAAGAGGATAAGCAAATGAGGGTGGCTCCCAAGGGGCTGGACAATCAAAAGAGGAAATAGTACACTGGGGACCTTGCAAACATGTTGATAGCCATGACCCAATTCTATCTCTCTCTCTCTCTTTTTTTTTTTTTTTTTTTTTTTTTTTTGAGATGGAGTCTCCCTCTGTAGCCCAGGCTGGAGTACAGTGGCACCATCTGGGCTCACTGCAACCTCCACCTCCCGGGTTCAAGTGATTCTCCTGCCTCAGCCTCCCGAGTAGCTGGGATTACAGACGCCTGCCACCATGCCTGGCTAATTTTTGTACTTTTAGTAGAGATGGGGTTTCACTATGTTGGTCAGGCTGGTCTCGAACTCCTGACTTCAAGTCATCCTCCTGCCTCAGCCTCCCAAAGTGCTGGGTCAGTTCTATCTTCTTGACCTTCACTTTGCCATTTGCTGCAATGCTCTCCAGAAGACAGGAGTACCTGCCAGGTGTCAGGAGATGCAAAGTGAGGTTCCACTCAAGCATTTCTGAGCTGGAATTGTGATCTGTTCTTCCATCGATTCTGGCATTCAATGGACTCACATTTCCAGTTCTAGTCCTGGATCCTTCTTTTTGCTCACCGGTGGTTTTGCTCACAAGAGAGGTCATAATCACCCACGTTCAGTGAGTCTCCCTCCTCTCCTACCAAATCAGTACCGACTTGGAAAGGGATGACTTTCTTGTCCTCCTTTGCACCTCCACACCCCACGCCCCCAAATCCATATGTGTGTGTGTGGTGTTCAGATCCCTAAAAAAAATACACAGTTTTGCATTTCAGCTGAAAATACCTATGTAACACATTTTGTTTACTAAAGAACAAATGAATTATTTAGTTGTTATCTATATAAGTAAATTTTTAAATTTATTTACAGAACTGTATAAATTAGCAAAATTTGGTTTGGCAAAATTTAATTGTGGGCACTTAAAAATACCAGCACACTTGAGTTCTCTCGGCCATAGAGTTTTTATATCACACAGTAGTAGGTGCCCATGTAGTTAGCTGGTAAATAAGTTCAGAAGCCAGGTCAGCCCTGTTCATGACTGCATCCCTAACGTCTAGGACAGTGCCTGGCACGTCTGTAGATGCCCCATTGACAGCGAATGAACGAATAAAGGAATACATGAATGAATGAATGAGAAAATGAAGTAGATAACCCATTATCAGTTTTCCACCTTTCCTAATGTTTTTATGTGTTGTGAGCTATCAAATGTTTACTTGTATTTCATTCCTAATTGAGGTTCATTAAATCTTTAAAAATGAATGCACTAATTACTCATTTGGAAGCACACCTGGAGGTATCAGAGCACTAATCACAGAGGTAAGTTATCATCCAAGGCTGCAGTAGACGACAATGGCCACTAAGGGGAGCCACACAACCTGTCAAAGAGCAGCATTCGACAGAAAAAAACACACCCAGTATGGTGGTTTTGCCCCCAGCACTTCCCAGCACACTGCACCACCACAAAATTGCTGTTGCTATTGTACTCTATAACGTATGAGTCACCAGAACAAACTGAGAAAAAAGGTCAGAACTGCAGTTTGCTGGGCATCAAACTTTCAAAAAAGTAGCCCCCGCTTCCCTTCTCATATTTTTCACATCTCTTGATGCAAAGATCCTTCTGGTTTAAAAATTAAATGCAAATAAAAGTATTTGTGGATGACAACTGAATCCATTAAAAATTCAGCTGGAGAAAGAAAGCAAAAGTATGACTTACAGATTGAAAAAAAATTAATTTTTAAAGCAGTGGTCAATTATTTCCTGATCCCGGCAACAATTTTGTAAAAGAACATTTCACTGTTGACATATTCAGTTTCACTCTCTCTGGTAAAGAAACTTAAGGCATGTTCAGGCTGACCGGGAAATCACATCAGATGCAATTATGATCCTATTGGTCAAGTTTCAAAGGCTTTGTCTGTAACTGAGTGTAGGAAGAAAGAAATTTCCCACAAACTCCTTCCCTCAAAAGGTCTGCATAACCTGTAAATATTTTCAGGGCCATTATAAGCTGCAGATGTTATCAACAGCCAAGATCGCACAAACTTTTAAAGACCTGGCCCACCAATCAGGCTGCTTCAGAAATAGTCTTTAAAACATTTGCAAGGAGCACAAGTTAATTTCCCTTTGAAATGTTGTGAAATGTTCATGCCTTATTTAGAGCAAGAAGCAATTGATTCCACTGGGCTTCTTGCTTACAGTTCTATTTCTATGGCACATAAAATTATAGGATACCTCCAAAATAACCGTCAGGAAAAAGAAGGGAGAACAGATAAAACTTGAAAAAAACAGAACAAGTCAAAAAAGCAACTCTAAGAATCACTGACTAATTTAAGACTAACATCCAATTAATGGCCTACTGAGATTCCCAGGGAAGAGAAGGTTCCGGAATCTGCATTGTTCGGTGACCCATAAGAAGTTCTAATCCACTAACACTTGCTGATTTCCATGAAGAGAGAAACAGACGAGAAACTGCAGAGCACCGAGCTAATCTGTGATCACATTTGCAGCCCCAACTCACCAACTTGAAAAAAACCTGAGATGTCAGCACTAACTGTCATAATGGTTGCAAGCTGAAGCCGGTTGGCTGAAAACCTTCCTGAGTGAATTAAAATCCTGACTGCGGGCCCTCGAGGGGAAAGAAGATGTGGGTGAAACTGGGAACTAGCCATGATTTATACAGGCAGTGAAAAGACCATAACTTAGAATTTTTTTTTAAATAAAGAGTTTTAGTAATCTAATTATATCCTAATTATAATGATAACCCTTCTTCCTTCAAGGGACTCAAGCATGCTTCTGGAACATTCTCTGTGCAAGTCCCCTCATTTGCTGTTTTAAAATGAGAGTTGGTGAATCTCAGAGTGAATTAAAGTGACATGTTTGGCATCTGACTTCCAGCTCAGTTTCCTCTGCCCAGACCACACCGACTCCCAGCTCTTGAAACAGCCCCAGTGGGATTCTCCAGGAGGAGCCATCTCCCCAATTAGGAGAAAACATCCTCGTCCCTGCTCACCCCTCTGGCCCGTGCAATTTCCACATTTCAATATGCAATGCATTTTCTTTTTCCATTCCCAGCCAAGGAACTGAAACATCCAAGCACAGAGGCTGTGCGAGGCCCCACAGCCTCATTTGTGAAGCGTGTCCATAAACTCCAACAGCTAGACAGCTCAGTGCCCAGGGACCCGACCGGCTTCCCTTCATTCCTAACTCAGTGCCACAGGGCAAGTCACTTAACCGCCTCATTAGGATCACAGCACAGCCCCGCCCTGCCATGCCTCCTTCCCCGGTGCCTGCTCACCCCATTAATATCTGTAAAGATCCATTAAGCCTTCCAGCATAAAAGCAAAACTGATCACTATTATCATCAATAAACTCCAAGGCACGCTCACCTGTCGACACCTAAGGTGGATCAGTCACCACGTGGAGAGAAAGCCTGGCACCTCGGCTGCCTGTCAATCCCCTAATGAGCCACATGCAGCCGCAGAAATGGCATTCGACGCTGACGGGAGCACCCACTCCAGGAGTGAAGGAGAGCCAGGGCTTGCATTTTGGACAGTTAATTTAAATTAACTGTCCCCCTCACCTCCCACCCATGGCAGCACCTGAAGCCTGGAGGTGTCCGCTGCCCCAGCCCTGGCCTGGCCTCGCCTCTTAGTGCTGAGCTGAGAAGCGCTGAGCTGAGAAGCGCCTGCCATGGGCAGCCGTTCCCCATTTGTGAGAAGTAGAAAGTTCACTGTCAAAAAAGCAACTTGGGGTCGGGCGCGGTGGCTCACACCTGTAATCCCAGCATTTTGGGAGGCCAAGGAGTGCGAATCACCTGAGGTCAGGAGTTCAAGCCTGGCCAATATGGTGAAACCCCATCTCTACTAAAAATACAAAAATTAGCTGAGCATGGTGTCACATGCCTGTAGTCCCAGCTACTCGAGTGGCTGAGGCAGGAGAATCCCTTGAACCCAGGAGTCGGAGGTTGCAGTCAGCCAAGGTTGCGCCACTCCACTCCAACCTGGGTGACAGAGCGAGATTCTGTCTCAAAAAAAAAAAAAAGAAAAGCAACTTGGAAACCCAGACACTGCAAGCCTGCTTTCCCATCTGGCTGATCAAAGGATTTCCCACCTGCTGCCTCCCCTGGAAACCCACCACCAGAGGCTCTGTTCTCCTGCTTCCTCCACTAAACCCCACTGGCAAACTGCCACTGGGGCACTGTCTCGAGCAACCAGAAACTGAAGACGGAATGCGCATCTGTCAACAGGGAAATAAATGACATCACGTCCACGCGACATCATACTATGCTGCTGTGAAAAAGACCAGGCAGCGGTTTTGTAGAACGTTGTCTCTGTGATGCTGCCATGACGTGTGCAGTCCCCTCAGAGGTGAGGAGGATAGAAGACTTGCTTGTCATAGTCAACTCTTTTGAGTTTTCAACCAAGTGCACACTTTACCTTTCATCACCTGTTCAGAATCGTGTTTTCAACTCATCTTCAGCTAGGCAGAGGAAACCGATCTTCTTATATGTTTCAATAATCTATCTAATTGTAAAAGGGAAGTCCCTTAGTCCCAGGGAGCTCCTAACTGCTAAACTGGGGGTGATCTTTTTGAGCAAGAAGGATGGGAAGGTGTGCTTCACTCAGGAGGGGAACGTTGGAGGATAAGATGTCCTCACCCAGGTCCCACCCCTCCTTTGTTCTTGCCACAACAGAAATAACATCTATATGGGTCTCATTGGATCACTGTAAATCCACGCTAGTATTGAAACCAGAAATAAATAGACACAGTGCAGTGTTTCAGTCCTACTCAGTCTGGAAGCCTTGCCTGGTGAAGCTGAACCTTTAGCCAGATATTGGTGCACTGGCCCCAGGCCCCCCGGCGCTCCACCTCCCACAGGCGTCCTCGCTCCTCCAGACAGACCAGCAGGAACTGCCTGCAGACTGGGAGAAGAGAACGCAGCATGAGTCAGGAAGTCCCCCACCTCATCCTGGTTCACTCTGCACCAGCTCTCTGGGTCTCCGACACAGCCCACTCCAGTCCTCGAGCAGCCCTCCACCCCCTGATCTCTGCTGGAATCCCTGCTGCACTCAAACCACCTTTGCGACTGCCTACCATGGACAGGTCCACCTCCCGGCTTCTCCTGATGAGGAGCTCTCATCTCCACCCTTCCCATCTGCATTCATTTACTAGGGCTCCTCTAACAAAACACTGCAGACTGGGTGGCTTAAACCAGGAGTCTCCATCCCCTGGGCCACCGACCAGTGCCAGGACACACAGCAGGAGGTGAGTGGTGGAGGAGTGCGCGAAGCTTCATCTGTATTTACAGTGGCTCCCATTGCTTGTGTTACTGCCTGAGCTCCGCCTCCTGTCAGATCAGCGGCAGCATTAGATTCTCATAAGAGCGCGGATCCTATCGTGAACTTTGCATGTGAGGTTGCGCACTCCTTATGAGAATCTAATGCCTGATGATCTGTCACTGTCTCCCATCACCCCCAGATGGGACCATCTATTTGCAAGAAAATAAGCTCAGGGCTCCCACTGATTCTACATTATGGTAAGCTGCATAATTATTTCATTATATATTAAAATGTAATCACAATAGAAATAAAGTGCACAATAAATAAATGTAATGTGCTTGAATCATCCTGAAACCAACCCTTTGTCCCTGCCCCATCCGTGGAAAAACTGTCTTCCACGAAACCAGTCCCTGGTGCCAAAAAGGTTGGGGACCACTGGTTTAAACAACAGAAATTTATTTCACACAGTTATGGAGGCTGGACGTCCAAGATCAAGGTGGCCCAGGGTTGGTTTCTCCTGAGGCTTCTCTCCTTGGCTTACGAATGGCCATTTTCTCCCTGCATCCTCACACGGCTGTTTCTGTTTGGGTCCATCCTGGTGCCTCTCTTCTTAAGGACACCAGTCATACTGGACTAGGGGCCCGCCCTTAGGACCTCGTTCAACCTTAATTAGCTTTTTAAAGGCCCTATCTCCAAATGTGGTCACACCAAGGGCTTCAACATACGAATTTGAGTTGGGGGCCCAATTCAGTCCTTAGTACCATCCACCCTGGCCGCTCTTCATGCACCGTCCTTCCTCCCTCCCAAAGAACCTTCAAGCTTATCCTCTGCTCCCTCCCGGATTCCAGAGTCCACTCAAGGTTCCTAGACTTTTATGCCAACATTCGTGGGTGAACATTTTCACATGGCAATGTCCCGAATCCAGGTGAATGGGAAACTGCTCCTGGTTCTGCAGGTGCCCATGAGGACTCCATTAGGCCCTCTTCTTAACATTTGGGGGGCCCCGGGGAAGAACACAGATGGAAACCTACAGAGTGCAATGCTAAGTGCAGGCAGGCCTCGGAGATACTGTGCGTTTGGTTCCAGACCACCACAATAAAGCAAATATCACAGCAAAGCAAGTCACGCAAATTTTTTGGTTTCCTAGTGCATACATGTAAAAGTTATGTTTATACTATACTGTAGTCTAGTAAGCGTGCAATAGCATTTTGTCTTAAAAATACAATGTACATACCTTAATTAAAATATATTTTAATGCTAAACAATGCTAGTGATCATCTGAGCCTTCAGGAAGTCATAATCTGTGCTGGTGGAGGGTCTTGCGTCAAGGTTGATGGCTTCTCAGGGTGGGGTTGCTGTGGCAATTTCTTAAAATAACACAGCAATGAAGTTTCTTCCACTAATTGATTCTTCCTTTCACAATAGATTTCTCTGCAGCATGTGATGCTGTTTGACAGCATTTTACCCACAGTAGAACTTCTTTCAAAATTGGAGTCCATCCTCTCAAACCCTGCTGCTGCTACTTTCTCAGCTAATTTATGGAATATTCTAAATCCTTTGTTGTCATTTCAGCAATGTCCACTGCATCTTCAACAGGAGGAGATTCCAACTCAAGAACCCATTTTCTTTGCTCATCCATAAGAAGCAACTCCTCAACTGTTCAAGATTAATCATGAGGTTGCAGCAATTCAGTCCTATCTTCAGGCTCCACTTCTAATTCTAGTTCTCTCTTTATTTCCACCACATCTGCGTGACTTCCTTTGCTGAAGTCTTGGACTCCTCCCTCAAAGTTATCCATGAGGGTTGGAATCGACTTCTTCCAAACTCCTATGAATGTGGATATTTTGACCTTCCATGAATCATGAGTGTTCTTAATCGTGTCTAGAATGGTGAATCCTTTCCAGAAGGTTTTCAGTGTACTTTGCCCAGAACCATCAGAGGAATCACTATCTATGGAAACCTTAGGAAGTGTATTTCTTAAATAAGGTTTGAAAGCTGAAATTATTCCTTGATCTCCAGGCTTCAGAATGGATATTATGTTAGCAGGCATGGAAATAACATTAATCTCTTTGTGCATCTCCATCAGACCTCTTGGATAACCAGGTGCATTGTCAATGAACAATAATATTTTGAGAGGAATCTTTTATTCTGAGCAGTAGGTCTCAACTGTGGGCTTAAATTATTCAATAAAACACGCTATAAACAGACATGCTGTCATCCAGGCACCGTTGTTCCATTTCTAAAGCACAGACAGAATAGATTTGGCATAATTCTTGAGGGCCTTAGGATTTTCAGAGCAGTAAATGAGGACTAACTTCAACTGAAAGACACCAGCTACATCAACCCCTAATAAGAGACTCGACCTGTCCTTTGAAGCTTTGAGGCCAGGCATTGACTTCTCTTTTCTAGCTATGAAAGTCCTAGATGACATGTTCTTCTAGTAGAAGGCTGTTTCACCTACATTGAAAATCTGTTGTGTAGTGTAGCCACCTTTATCAATGATCTGAGCTAGATCTTCCAGATAACTTGCTGTAGCTTCTGTATCAGCACCTGCTGCTTCATCCTGCACTTTTATGTTATGGAGACAGCGTCTTTCCTTAAACTTCATGAGCCAACCTCTGCTAGCTTCAAACTTTTCTTCTGCAGCTTCCTCAAATCCCTCAGCCTTCATAGAATTGAAGAGAGTTAGGGCCTTACTCTGGGTTAGGCTTTGACTTAAGGCAATGTTGTTGCTGGTTTGATCTTCTATCTAGACCACTAAAACTTTCTCCCTATCAGCAATAAGGCTGTTTTACTTTCTTATCATTTGTATGTTCACCAGAGTCGAACTTTTCATTCCCTTCAAGAATTCTTCCTTTGCATTCACAACTTTGTTAACTGTTTGGTGCAAGAGACCTAGCATTCAGCCTACCTCAGCTTTTGACATGCCTTCCTCACTAAGCTTAGTCATTTCTAGCTTTTGATTTAAAGTGAAAGACATGTGACTCTTCCATTCACTTGAACATTCAGAGGCCATTGTAGGGTTATTAATTGGCCTAATTTCAATATTGTTGTGTCTCATGGAATAGGAAGAGAAGGAAGGAACAGCTGGTCGGGAGCAGAATCAGAACAGGCTCGTGTATTGATTAAGTTCACTAACTTACACGGGCATGGTTTGTGGTGCCCCAAAACAATTACAATAGTAACGTCAAATATCACTGATCACAGATCACCATGACAGATATAATAATAATGAAGAAGTTTGAAATATTGTGAAAATTACCAAAACATGACACAGAGACACGAAGTGAGACCATGCTGTTGGAAAAATATCCCCGATAGACTTGCTCAAAGCAGGGCTGCCACAGCCTTCAAAATGTAAAACACGCAGCATCTGCGAAGTGCAATCAAGGGAAGAGCAGTGAAATGAGGAACGCCTGTCTTCCAAAGGTACAAACCAAGTTAGCAAAGCGCTATATATGACACGTTCTGCCCTCCTATCTTGACAAATATAACTTCCTAACAACAGGAGAAGCTCGTTTCAAATTTAGAATTCTTGGACTCCTTGGAGTGTTGCACCAGAATGTGGCAATACCAAGCGAGCTGGCCCCCAGCCGGCAGTCCACCCCCTTCTCCTCCCACCCCAGCCCCCGATACCTCAAGGGGCCTGTGAGTACAAATGTGGCCGTCCTCCCCACACGCCATCCACAGCTCCCCAAGAGCCACCCCTGGGCTCTAAGGATGTGCAAACTAGCGGCATGGTCCACCCTCATGAGCCCAGACCATGGGATGAGGTCCACTCAGGCCCACAGTGGCCACTGGCAGGAATTCTGGGGTCCTGGCACCCTGAGCCAGATTAGAAGGAGCAGCATGAGCCAGGTGGGTACCTCCTCTTGGGCCCGTGGAGTCCTTGCCCCCCTGGAGGGAGATGCAGTTGAAAGAAGGCTCAAAGCATGGGGCCCAGGGCAGGAGTCCCTCCTGTCCAGTTGGAAGGCATCAGTGAACTCAATAAAAACCTGACAGGCACATCTGGGTGTCTGAAGCCCAGAGAGAAGTAGCGTGAGTCAGAATCAGCACGTTCAGATCTTTCTTTGCAGGCAAAGACAGTGGAAGGACGAGAGGGATCATAGGGCCCTACAGGGTCTTAGCAAGGCTGGCCCAGGCTCAGTAGCCAGCCCTTAGCCTTGGAGTCCACTGTTCCTTTGAGTAAAAGGCTCTCTTTCACTCCCTTGCCAAAGCCTCCTAAAACCGTGAGGTGGCCTGCACCTGAAACAAAGAGGAGAGGGCCTGGAAGGACATGGGTGTGGACAGAGGACCAGCTGCCTGGGCCCCTGAATGCTCCTGCACCTGAAACAAGAAAGAGGAGGGGGCCTGGAAGGACATGGGTGTGGACAGAGGACCAGCTGCCTGGGCCCCCGAATGCTCCTACACCTGAAAGTGAGCTACATGGTGCAGGAAGTCTCGAGCGCTCTTTGCAGAAATTCAAGGCTCTTCAGAGTTTTAGCAACAGACTAAGAGTTTGAAAATACAAAGAAACAGCCAGACCCACTTGAGGAAAAGTATGTTTTTACCTGCTTTTCTTTATGACTTCACAGCAACAGAAGCTTCCTTGCTTTTCCTAACTGTTCTCTCCTATCCCTTGAGCCAGAAAGACACCAGAAACTGCATACTAAGCGTTCAAAAACAGCCACACACCAAGAACAGGGGCAGAGCACAAAGTAGGGTGTGTGTGCTTCATGAGGGAGAAGGGGACTCAGAGACATGCTCTCCAGAGCCTCCCACCCTCATCACCTTAGAGTGTGATGTTTCACATCAGAGCTGTTTCATCCTCCTCTGGCAAACGTGGATAAAGAATATGGGAGGGAGGCGTCTTGTGCGTAGAGAGCTACAGAGACGCTGGAAAGCCCAGCCCATTCAGAGCTTGCCTTTCTACCCGGTCCCTGCCTTCCCTTCAGCTCCTGGGCTCTCCCGTGGCTTCTAGTTCAAAGGACAAAGTGAGGAACTACAGGCGTCAAGTGAAAGAGCACAGGCACTCCAAAGCCCCGCAGCCCGCAGCCTGGCGGCAGCTCTCCAGATTCCCTCCTCTCTGAGCTCGCTGATTTGTTTGTGATTGTTTCTAAATCCAATTATTTTCCAGCTTGGGAGAGTTCACTTCTTGTGATCAAACATGAAGTCTTGGTTTCTGCTGCAGCAACCAGAGATTTCTCAGAAGGAAGGAAAATCCCATGTGCGTGCCGCCGAGCCAAGGCCTGCACCTGCCCACGAGGGCTCCCCAGGGCCTCCTCCTGCAGAATCCCCTGGAATGCACGTGTGTTATCCATCACCTTTACCCAAATGCTTCTGCACGACACAAGGGGGGTTACCTTGGTACATGGCAGGAGACATCGAGCAGCTAACCCCCAGGGCCTCGTCCTCTGGGAATGTCTCACAGAAGTCCCGCAGCATGGCTGTTCCCAAGCCTCGGTGCCAGTGTTTCCTCCTGATGAACACGGTGTCAAAGACAGGCAGCAGGTAGCATGCACCGGTGCCATCACCACACAGTCTGCCTGCAGAGAAAGAAAGAGACACACACTGTCCCCTGGGCTCGCGGCTGACCCACTAGGACCCTGTAAGGCCCCTGCACAGCCAGAGTTATGGGTACCTCCTGGAAACATGGTCAGGTACACAAGCTAAACAAGTGATGCTAACATAGCAGATCATTCTCCAGTTGACTGATCAGCTTTCTTTACAAACTCACATGATACAAGACCACTGGACTGAAATGAAAGGTGAACCTGGGAGACTAGGCAGAGTGAGGCCACTCAGGCAGCATCCTCCTCAGATTCCTCCCTTCACTGCACACTGTTCAATGAGACCCTTGGAGCCAACCAGGAGTATCTGGCAACATCAACTATCTCCCTGCAGAAGTGAAACCTGAAGAGACCAATTCGACCCATCTCTAGGGTACGCACTTGTTTCAGTAACTCTAGCAAGGGCTCACCGTGTCCAATTATAGCAAAATGCACTTACCCCATATAGACACACCACCAGGCCCTGCTTCTCATGAAATATTGATGGCCCTGCTGCAGCAGAGCCAGAGAGGTGACAATTGGCACCCTCCCCACTTTTCACCCACAACTTAACTGTATCGCAACCAAAGTCAACACCAGCACAGTTGCCATTTCTGCAATGAGAACGTGGCCTTTCAGCCAGGCACCTCTGTCATCACCCTAACTAGAACACCAGTTCTACACTGGGCCTACTAGCTCACCTTCCTCACCTCCAAACTGCACAGATGCCCATGACCTAGATGCAATGGAAGAAGAAAACAAATATGGAGCATTTTCAGCTTCTGTTGGAAGTGGTGGTATTTGTCCCTGCCAAGATTCAGAAGTGGGTAATTTCCCAAACAAACAAAAATGACTCCGATTCTAATCAGCCAGACTGAAATGCAAAGATACACACTGCCATGGTGAACTGTTTGCAAAAATGGCCACGATTACTTCTTTCCTATGGCCATGCCCCTTTGCATCTGATTTTGAAGCTCCTCCCATCAAGAGATGGGATCAATTTCCCCTCACCTCTAATTCCAGCTGGCCTTGTGACTCACTTTGGTCAACAGAATGAGGCAGAGTGACAGCACCACCACTCTAAGCCTAGGCCTCCTGGGGTCCAGTGTACCTGTGTTCTCTCTCAGATCCCTGCAACACACCACAAAAGCAAGCCCAGGGTGACCTGCTACCATGAAAGGAATATGGCCCACGCACTGCTGCGGTCCCAGGGAATGTCTCGCCAGCCCCAAGCAGCAGAGCCACCTGACAGGCAGGTTACCATGGATAAACAGCAAGCCCAGCTAGACTAGAAAATCACCCAGCTGAGCTCAGCCTAAAATGCCAAGCAAAAGAATTGTTAGCTAAATAAGCAGTTACTATTTCATACCAAAAATGAATTTAAAAATAAATAATCTACAGCCAATAAGGAAGTTCATTTCTCTTGAGACAGTAACTATAAAATATTTGGGATTTCAAGCTTGATGCGCTTGAGATGACAGTACCAACTTGCTTGCAATTATATTATTTCAATATATAGAAGATGAGAGCAATGTTCTTGTAATTGTGAAGTCTTCCAAAACTAAAAGGCTTTAATATTAAATAAAGATGCAATTTAATTTACAATAGCATTAAAAAGAAGTAAATAATTAAGAGTATGTTTAACAAAAGAATCTTGAACACCAAAAACTACAAGACATTGTTGAGAGAAATTAAAGAAGAGCTAAATAAATGAAGAGAAATTCCATGTGCATGGATTGGATGACTCAATTCTTACAATAATTCTTCCCAAAATGATCTGTAAACTCAATGCTGGCTCTATCAAAATCCTCTTTGTAATTCTACAACTAAGCATATGAAAGGATGCTCCACATCATATGCTATTAGGAAATCACAAATTTAAACAATGAGATGCCACTACACACCTATTAGAATAGCCAAATTATTTTTTTTTTGAGACAGAGTTTCGCTCTTATTGCCCAGGCTGGAATGCAATGGCGCGATCTCAGCTCACTGCAACCTCCGCCTCCTGGGTTCAAGCGATTCTCCTGCCTCAGCCTCCCAAGTAGCTGGGATTACAGGCATGTGCCACCATGCCCAACTAATTTTTGTATTTTTAGTAAAGACAGGGTTTCGCCATGTTGGTCAGGCTGGTCTCGAACTCCTGACCTCAGGTGATCCGCCTGCCTCGGCCTCCCAAAGTGCTGGGATTACAGGTGTGAGCCACCACACCTGGCCTAGAATAGCCAAATTCTTTAACACAGACAACAACAAATGCTGGTGAGGATGTGGAACAACAGGAACTGTCATTCATTGCTTGTCAGAATACAAAATGGTGCAGCCACTTTGGAAGGCATTTTGGCAGTTTCTTACAGAACTAAACATACTCTTACCTTGTGATTCAGCAGTCACACTCCTTGATATTTACTCAACGGAGTTGAAAACGATGTTCACACAAAAATCTGCACACAAATATTTATTCATAATTACTAGAACTTAGAAGCAATCAGGATGTACTTCGGACGGTGAGTGGATAAACTGTGGCTTATCCAGTCAATGTAACATTATTCTGCACTAAAAAGAAATGAGTTATTACTATAAAAAGATATAGAAAAACCATAAGGGCATATTACTAAGTGAAAGAAGCTAACTGAACAATGACATTCCATTGGATTCCAACTACAGTAATGTGCTTCATAAAGACGTTTCAGTCAACAATGGACCACATGTGCAATGGAGATCCCATAAGATTAAAATACAGCTGAAAAATTCCTGTCGCCTAGTGATAGTCATAGGCATCATAAAGTCGTAATGCAACACGCTATTCATGTGTTTGTGGTGATGCTGGGGTAAACACACCTACCACACTGCCAGTCATATAAAAGTCTAGCACATACAGGCGGGCATGGTGGCTCATGCCTGTAATCCCAGCACTTTGGGAAGCCGAGGTGGGAGGATCACTTGAGGTCAGGAGTTTGAGACCAGCCTGGCTAACATAGTGAAACCCCATCTCTACCAAAAATATAAAAAAAATTAGCCAGGTGTGGTGGCATGCACCTGTAATCCCAGCTACTCAGGAGGCTGAGGCAGGAGAATTGCTTGAACCCAGGGGGCAGAGATTGCAGTGAGCCGAGATTGCACCACTGCACTCCAGCCTGGGCAAGAGAACAAGCCTCTGCCAAAAAAAAAAAAAAAGTCTAGCACATACAATTATGCACAGTACCTAATACCCAATAATGATAATAAATGACTGATACTGGTTTATGTATTTACTATACTATATTTGTATTGTCATTTTAGAGCGTACACCTTCTACTCATTATAAAAACAAAATTAACTGTAAAGCAGCCTCAGGCAGGTCCTCTAGGAGGTATTCCAGAAGAAGGCAGTTATCCTAGGAAATGATAGCTCCACGCATGTTACTGCCCCTGGAGACCTTCCAGTGGGACAAGATGTGGAAGTGGAAGACAGTGATATTGACAATCCTCACCCTGAGTAGGCCTAGGCTAAGGAGTGTGTTTGTCTCTTTGCTTTCAGCAAGAAATATTTTTAAACTTAAAAAAAAATTTTTTTTAATTAAAGCTTATAGAATAAGAAAATATTTATGTGCAGCTGCATAATGTATTTATGTTTTAGCCAAGTGTTATTACAAAAGAGTCAAAAAGTTAAAAAAATCAAAAAGTTTTTGTAAAGTAAAAAGGTTACAGTAAGCTACAGTTCATTTATTATTGAAGGAAAAAGTAGACATTTAGTGTAACCTACGTGTACAGTGTTTCTAAAGTGCACAGTAGTGCACAGTACTGTCCTAGGCCTTCACATTCACTCACCACTCACTCACTCCCTGAATCACCCAGAGAAACTTCCAGTCCTGCAGCTCCACTCACGGTAAGTACTCTACACGAGCATACTGTTTTTAAATCTCTTTACTGTACCTTTTCTATATTTACATATGTTTAGATACAGAAATACCATTATGTTACAATTGCCTCCAGTAATGAGTACAGTAACGAGCTATACAGGTTTGTAGCCTAGAGATGACAGGCCATACTCCACAGCCTAGGAGTGCAGCAGGCTCTGCCATCAAGTCTTATGTGAATACATTCTATCATGTTCACACAATGATGCAATTGCCTAACAATGCATTCCTCAAAACATATCCCTGTGGCTAAGTGACAAATGACTGTATATTACATTCTGGAAAAGGCAAAACTAGGGAGGCATGGTGACCGGGCGCGGTGGCTCACACCTGTAATTCGAGCACTTTGGAAGGCCAAGGTGGGTGGATCACCTGAGGTCAGGAGTTCAAGACCAGCCTGGTCAACATGGCGAAACCCCATCTCTACTAAAAATACAAAAACTGAGCCAGGCATGGTGGCTCATGCCTGTAATCCCAGCTACTTGGGAGGCTGAGACACGAGAACTGCTTGAATTGGGGAGGTGGAGGTTGCAGTGAGCCAACATCACACCACTGCATTCCAGCCTGTGTGACAAGAGTGAGACCCCGTCTCAAAAAAAAAGATCTGTGGTTACCAGGGCCAGGAGTAAGAAGGATGAGTAGACAGAGTACAGAGGAATTTTAGGCAGTGAAACTACCCTGTGTGATATTACAACAGTGGACACATGCCATTAAACATTTGTCACAACCCATAGAAGTTACAACATGGAGTAAGCTCTCATGTAAACTATGAACTTCAGTTAATGATAATCTATTCTTATAGGCTGAACCTTGTGTCTCCCACATTCGCAAACCCACAGTACCTCAGAAGATACTTTCTTTGCAGCTGGTTGGAGATAAGGCCTTTAAAAGAGGTCATGAAGCTAAAAAGGAGGCATTAGGATATGCACCACTCCAACCTTCTTACAGGGACTAGTGTCCCTATAAGAAGAAATCTGGACACACAGAAAGATACCAGCAATACTCAAGTAGAGAAAAGACCAAGTATGGACATAGTGAGAAGGCAGCCATCTGCAAGCCAAGAAGAAGCCTCTAAAGAAAACAAGCTTTCTGACACCTTGACCTTGAACTTCTGGCCTCCATAACTGTGAGAAAATTAATTTCTGTTGTTTAAGTCAGTAGTCTCCAACATTTTTGGCACCAGGAACCAGTTTCATGGAAGACAATTTTCCCATGGACCAGGAAACGGAGGGGATGGTTTCAGGATGATTCAAGTGCATTACATTTATTGTGCACTTTATTTATATTATTATGGTGTAATATATAATGAAATAATTATTATACAACTCACTATAATGTAGAATCAGTGGGAGCCCTGAGCTTGTTTTCTTGCAACTAGATGGTCCCATCTGGGGGTGATGGGAGACAGTGACAGATCATCAGGCATTAGATTCTCATAAGGAGCACGCAACCTAGACCCCTCGCATGTGAAGTTCACAGTAGGGTCCGCACTCTTACGAGAATCTGATGCTGCCACTGATCTGACAGGAGGCAAAGGTCAGGTGGTAACATGAGCAATGGGAGTGACCGTAAATACAGATGAAACTTTGCTCACTCGCCCACCCCTCACCTCCTGCTGTGCAGCCCAGCTCCTAACAGGCCACAGACTGGTACCAGTCCATGGCCCGGGGACTGGGGACCCCTAGTTTAAGCCACCCAGTCTGTGGTATTTTGTTATGGAAGCCCTAGAAAACTAGTGTATATGTCAATATTGGTTCATCAATTGTAACAAACGTACCTCACTAGCGCAATATGTTAACAATAGGGGAAATGATTGGGGGAGAGGATACATTGGAACTCTGTACTTGCCCCTCAATTTTTCTATAAAACTAAAAACTATTCTAAAAATAAAGCTTATTCATATTTTTTAATGTATCAGGTATTTTATAAAGTGAGGTTGGACCTTTACTTTACATCATACATAAAAAAATAATTCAAAATGGATCATAGACATGAATGTAAGAGCTAAAACTATAAAGCTTTTAGAAAAAGTAAAAATCTCCCCAACCTTGGGTTAGGCAAAGAGTTCTTAGATTCAACACCCAGAACACAATCAATTGACAAACCTAACTTCATCAATGTTTTAAATGTTTTGTTTCAAAAGGCACGACTGGGGAACATGGCGGACGGGAGGCAGGACTAGATTGCAGCTCTGACTGGGACAGACAGAGCAGTGTGTGGAGGCTCGCATTGTAAATTTTTGCTCCAGAACAACTGCAGGAATAAATCAGGAAACCTGAGAGGACCCACAGACTCCCTGAAGGAAGCAGATTGCTCCTGCAGGACCCAGGAGACACCCCAAATACTGTGCTGGTATCCATGACTGAGAGTCCCACAGACGGTTCACATCACAGGACTCTGTGCAGACAACCCCCAGTACCAGCTGGAGCCTGGTAGACTTGCTGGCTGGCTAGACCCAGAAGAGAAATAACAATCACTACAGCTTGGCTCTCAGGAAGCCACATCCACAGGAATAGGGGGAAAGCACTACATCAAGGGAACACCCCATGGGACAAAAGAAGCCTTCAGCCCTAGCCCTTCCCTCTGACAGAGCCTACTCAAATGAGAAGGAACCAGAAAACCAACTCTGGTAATATGACAAAACAAGGTTCTTTAACATCTCCAAAAAATCACAGTAGCTCACCAGCAACGGACCCAAACAAAGAAGAAATACCTGATTTACCTGAAAAAGAATTTAGGAGATTAGTTATTAAGCTAATCAGGGAGGCACCAGAGAAAGGCGAAGCCCATTGTAAGGAAATCCAAAAAAATGATACAAGAAGTGAAGGCAGGAAATAGATATTCAAGGAAATAGCATTAAAAAGAAATCAAAACTCCGGGAAACAACAGACACACTTATAGAAATGCAAAATGCTCTGGAAAGTCTCAGCAATAGAATTGAACAAAGAGAATAAAGAAATTCAGAGCTCAAAGACAAGGTCTTCAAATTAACCCAATCCAACAAGACAAAGAAAAAATAATAAGAAAATATGAACAAAGCCTCCAAGAAGTCTGGGATTATGCCAAATGTAAGAATAATCAGTGCTCCCGAGGAAGAAGAGAAATCTAAAAGTTTGGAAAACATATTTGGGGAAATAATCGAGGAAAACTTCCCCAGCCTTGCTAGAGCCCTAGACACCCAAATACAAGAACCACAAAGAACACCTGAGAAATTCATCGCAAAAAGATTATCACCTAGGCACATTGTCATCAGGTTATCTAAAGTTAAGACAAAGGAAAGAATCTTTAAAGCTGTCAGATAAAAGCACCAGGTAACCTATAAAAGAAAACCTATCAGATTAACAGCAGATTTCTCTGCAGAAACCCTACAAGCTAGAAGAGGTTGGTGCCCTATCTTCAGCTTCCTCAAACAAAACAATTAGCCAAGAAATTTGTAGCCGGTGAAACTAACCTTCATATATGAAGGAACGATGTAGTCTTTTTCAGACAATCAAATGCTGAGAGAATTCGCCACTACCAAGCCAAGCCACCACCACAAGAACCGCTAAAAGGAGCTCTAAATCTTGAAACAAATCCTGGAAACACATCAGAACAGAACCTCTTTAAAGCATAAATCTCACAGGACCTATAAAACAAAAATATAATTTAAAAAACAGAAACAAAAAACCAAGGTATACAGACAACAAACAGCATGATGAATGGAGTGGTATCTCACATCTCAATACTAACACTGAATGTAAATGGCCTAAATGGTCCACTTAAAAGATACAGAATTGCAGAATGGATAAGGATTCATCAGCCAACTACCTGCTGTCTTCAAGAGACTCACCTAACACATAAGGACTCACATAAACTTAAGATAAAGGGGTGGAAAAAGACATTTCAGGCAAAAGCAAGCAAGAGTAACTATTCTTATATCAGACAAAACAAACTAAACCAGCAGCAGTTAAAAAAGGAAAAGGGGGCATTATAATAATGATAAAAGGTCTTGTCCAACAGGAAAATATCACAATCCTAAACATATATGCACCTAACACTAGAGCTCCCAAATTTATAAAACAATTACTACTAAACCTAAGAAATGAGATAAACAGCAACACAATAATAGTGGGGGACTTCAATACTCCACTGACAGCACTAGACAGGCCATCAAGACAGAAAGTCAACAAAGAAACAATGGATTTAAACTATACCCTGGAACAAATGGACTTAACATATATATACAGAATATCCCATCCAACAATCACAGAATGTACATTCTATTCAACAGTGCATGGAACTTTCTCCAAGATAGACCATATGATAGACCATAAAATGAGCCTCAATAAATTTAAGAAAACTGAAATGATATCAAGCACTCTCTTAGACCACAGCAGAATAAAACTGGAAGTCAATTCCAAAAGAAACCTCCAAAATCATATACATATACATGGAAATTAAATAATCCACTCCTGAATGATCACTGGGTCAAAAATGAAACCAAGATGGATATTTAAAAATTCTTCACACTGAATAACAATAGTTTCACAACCTATCAAAACTTCTGGGACACAGCAACGGCAGTGCTAAGAGGAAAGTTCATAGCCCTAAACACCTACATCAAAAAGTCTGAAAGAGCAAAAAGACAATCTAAGGTCACGCCACCCCAAGGAACTAGAGAAACAAGAACAAACCAAACCCAAACCCAGCAGAAAAAAAGGAAATAACCAAGATCAGAGCAGAACCAAATGAAATTAAAACAAATAAACAAACAAAAAAACAAAAGATAAATGAAACAAAAAGCTGGTTTTTTGAAAACATAAACACAATTGATAGACCATTGGCAAGATTAACCCAGAAAAGAAGAGAGAAAATCCAAATAAGCTCAATAAGAAATGAAACGGGAGATACTACAACTGACACCACAGAAATACAAAAGATCATTCGAGGCTACTATGAACACCTTTACGTGCATAAACTAGAAAACCTAGAGGAGATGGATAAATTCCTGGAGAGATACAACCCTCCTAGCTTAAATCAAGAAGAATTAGATACCCTGAATAAACCAATAACAAGCAGCAAGATTGAAATCGTAATTTAAAAATGACCAACAAAAAAGTCCAGGATGAGATGAATTCACAGCAGAATTCTACCAGACATTCAAAGAAGGATTGGTACCAATCCTATTGACACTATTCCACAAGATAGAGAAAGGGGGAACGCTCCCTAAATCATTCTATGAAGCCAGTATCACCCTAATACCAAAACCAGGAAAGGACATAGCCAAAAAGAAAACTACAGACCAAATCCCTGATGAACATAGATGCTAAAATCCTTAACAAAATACTAGCTAACCAAATCCAACAACATATCAAAAAGATAATCCACTATGATCAAGTGGGTTTCATACCAGGGATGTAGGATGGTTTAACATACACAGGTCAATAAATGTGATACACCACATAAACAGAATTAAAAACAAAAATCATAAGATCATCTCAATAGATGCAGAAAAAGAATTAGACAAAATTCAGCATCCCTTTATGATTAAAACTCTCAGCAAAATCGGCACACAACGGACATACCCCAATATAATTAAAGCCATCTATGACAAATCCGCAGCCAACATAATACTGAATGGGGAAAAGTTGAAAGCATTCCCTCTGAGAACTGGAACAAAACAAGGATGCCCACTCTCACCACTCCTCTTCAACATAGCCAGAATCTGGAAATCCTAGCCAGAGCAATCAGACAAGAGAAAGAAATAAAAGGCATCCAAATCAGTAAAGAGAAAGTCAAACTGTCACTGTTTGCTGATGATATAATCATTTACCTAGAAAACCCTAAAGACTCCTGTAGAAAGCTCCTAGAACTGATAGAAGAATTCAGCTAAGCTTCCAGATACAAAATTAATGTACACAAATCACTAGCTCTTCTATACACCAACAGCAAACAAGCAGAGAATCAAATTAAGAACTCAACCCCTTTTATAATAGCTGCAAAAAAAAAAACTTAGGAATACACCTAACCAAGAAGGTGAAAGACCTCTACAAGAAAAACTACAAGACACTGCTGAAAGAAATCACAGATGACACAAACAAATGGAGACACATCCCATGCTCATGGATGGGTAGAATCCATATTGTGAAAATGACCATACTGTCAAAAGCAATGTACGAATTCAATGCATTTCCCATCAAAATACCACCACCATTCTTTGCAGAATTAGAAAAAACAATTCTAAAATTCATATGGAACCAAAAAGATCCTGCATAGCCAAAGCAAGACTAAGCAAAAAGAAGAAATATGGAGGCATCACATTACCTGATTTCAAACTATACTATGAGGCCATAGTCACCAAAACAGCATGGTACTGGTATAAAAATAGGCACAAAGACCAAAGGAATAGAATAGAGAACCCAGAATACACCCAAATACTTAAAGCCAACTGATCTTCGACAAAGCAAACAAAAACATAAAGTGAGAAAGGACAGTCTTTTCAACAAATGGTGCTGGGATAATTGGCTAGACACGTGTAGGAGAATGAAATTGGATCCTTATCGCTCACCTTATATAAAAATCAACTCAAGATGGATCAAGAACTTAAATCTAAGACCTCAAACTATAAAAATTCTGGAAGATAACATTGGGAAAACCCCTCTAGATATTGGCTTAGGCAAGGATTTCATGACCAAAAACCCAAAAGCAAATGCAATAAAAACAAAGATAAATTGCTGGGACTTAATTAAACTAAAGAGCTTTTGCATGGCAAAAGGAAGAGTCAGCAGAGTAAAAAGACAACCCACAGAGTGAGAGAAAATCTTCACAAGCTATACATCTGACAAAGTACTACTATCCAGAATCTACAATGAACTCAAACAAATCAACAAGAGAAAAACAATCCCATCAAAAAGTGGGCTAAGGTCATGAACAGACAATTCTCAAAAGAAGATATACAAATGGCCAACAAATATATGAAAAAATGCTCAACATCACTAATGATCAGGGAAATGCAAATCAAAACCACCATGCAATACCACCTTACTCCTGCAAGAATGGCCATAATAAAAATGTAGTAGATGTTGGCGTGGCTGTGGTGAACAGGGAACACTTCTACACTGCTGGTGGCAATGTAAGCTACTACAACCACTGTAGAAAACAGTGTGGAGATTCCTTAAAGAACTAAAAGTAGAACTACCATTTGATCCAGCAGATACCCAGATACTACTGGGTATCTATCCAGAGGAAAAGAGTCATTACAAAAAAAAAAAAAAAAGATACTTGTACATGCATGTTTATAGCAGCACAATTGGCAATTGCAAAATCAAGGAACCAACCCAAATGCCCATCAATCAACAAATGAATATAGAAACTGTGATATGTATATATGTATGATGGAATACTACTCAGCCATCATAAAAAGAAATGAACTAATGGCATTCATAGCAACCCAGATGAGACTGGAGACTATTATTCTAAGTGAAGTAACTCAGGAATGGAAAACCAAAAGTCATATGTTCTCACCCAAAAGTGGGAGCTAAGCTATGATGATACAAAGGCATAAGAATGACACAGTGGACTTCGGGGACTGAGTGGGAAAGGGTGGGAAGGGGGTGAGGAATGAAACTCTACAAATAGGGTGCAGTGTCTACTGCCCGGGTGATGGGTGTACCAAAATCTCACAAATCACCACTAAAGAACTTACTCATGTAATCAAACACCACCTGTTCCCCCAATAACTTACGGAAATTAAAAAAAAAAAAAGACACCACTAAGAAAATGAAAAACAAGCCATAGACTGCAAGAAAATGTTTACAAATCACATTTCTGATAAAAGAATTAGATTCAAAATATATAAAGAATTCTTACAATTCAATAAGAAGAAAATAGACAACGCTATTAAAAATGGACAGAAAATCTGAACAGACATTTCTTCAAAGAAAACATATAAATGGCTACTTATCAATTAAAAAATATTTCACATCCTAAGTCCTTAGGGAAATGCAAGTTATAACCACAATGAAATGCCACTTTTGGCCTACTAGAATGGCTATAATAAAAAAAAACAATAACAACTGTTGACAAGGATGTGGAGAAATTGAAACCCTCATCTATTGCTGATGGAAATGTGTTATGGTACAGCCACTTTGTGAAACAATTTGGCAGTTATTTAAGAAGTCAAACATAAGCTTACCCAATGACCCAGCAATTCTACCCCTAGGAACCTACCCAAAAGAAAAGAAAACAATGTCTATGCAAAGACGTGTTTGTGAATGTTTATAGCAGGGTAATTCATAATAGCCTAAAACTGGAAACAACCCATCAACTAATTTTGTTTATGATAGATGCATAAACAAAATGTGATATTCATACAATGGAATACTACTCAACAATAAAAAGGAACAAAATATTAACACATGTTACAATTTGGATGAACCTCGAAAACACACTGTGCTAAATGAAAAAGAAACCAGATGCAAAAGATTGCATATTTTATCATTCCATTTATGTGAACTGTCTTGGAAAGGCAAGTTGGTAGAGACAGAACAGATCAGTGATTTCTTGGAGCTGGGATGGAAACAGGCTGACAGCAAACAGCCAGTACTTTTGGGGGGGTGATGGAAATGTCCTAAAACTGGATTTTGATGATGGTTACACAACTCCCTAAATTTGCCAAAAATCACTGGCTTATACGCTTATAATTGGAAAATTTTATGGAATGTAAAAATTATTCAACAAATTGAATTATTCAATTAATAATTATTCAAAATTATTCGAAAATATCCAGTAAAATTGATTTCTTAAAAATACAATGGATTAATTTTTTTTAAAAAAGATTGTAACAAATCAATTATAAAAAAGAGAAAAGAGTAGCTTTACAGTGAAGAAATCTAGCAGACACTCCCTTAACTGTGATCAGGGTTATCACCAGTAGTAACATTCATATCGTGCACCCTACCTCTCTGATATGATGTGAGGAGAAAGGTACTTCCCTTTCCTCCCAAATTCAAAGCCCCATAGTCTAATAATGAGAAAACATCAGGCAAGTATATATTAAGGGACATTCTATAGATCACCTGACTGGTACTTCTCAAAAGTGTCCAGATGGTGAAAAATAAGGAAAAACCAAGAAAAGGTCTCAGATTGGAAGAGTAGACTAAAGAGACTTGAAGACTAAATGTAACATGTATGCTGGATCAGGAAGAGGAAAAGGACATTGGTGGAAAATTAGCCAATACTGACATCTTTGTTTTGATAATTATTCCATGGTTATAGAAGATGTTGACACTAGGGGGTTGGAGGGTGAAGGGTGAACAGGCACCTTCTGTACTATCTTTGTAACTCTTCCGTAAATCTAAAATTCTTTCAAAATAAACAGGTAGAGGAGGAAGAAGAAGAAACAAAAATCCTCCAGCAGCCTTTTATAAATGCTGATCACACCTTCAGATTGGTCAAATAAAATTCATCTTGTAACATCAACTCCCAAAGCCGATTCTTATTACAAACCCAGTCATGAACAGGGGCTGAAGCAATAATCCGGTTGTGCTCAAGTGGGCTTGCTACTCATAATCAGAACATAAAGTCCAAGGAAACCCTAGCAACATAGCACAGAATATTTGATAGGAACCATAGCAACGATCTCGCCCATACTACCCATTTTATAGACATGGCAACTGACAGGGTCAAAAAAAGGTTAAAAACAGGGAGGACGTGGGACTTGGCCCCAACTGTCCAAAGATGTCTCTCTTCAGCTCATGGGGCATCTTTTGATCCCAGAGCAAACCTAGACCAACCCATGCCGTGAAGTAGTTGGGGTCACAACTGAGCCAAGAACAAGATCTTCTGATGCCCTTTCTTTTTCTTCTACTTCACGCCTAAAATCACTTCCACTGACTACACAAGTTGTCTCTCTACCTAACAACACTTTGAAGACTAAAGCCTATTCCAAAATGTGCACTATCCAAAATCAGATGAAGCTGTGTCCCTCAGGTAAATGTTCAGAAAGGCCTGTTACATGAGGATAATTAGTCCTGGATAAAGGGTCAGGGGAACAGATCCAAAGAGACCACAATTCATAGCAAATAGTT
This sequence comes from Homo sapiens, assembly GCF_000001405.40. Taxonomy (NCBI): domain Eukaryota; kingdom Metazoa; phylum Chordata; class Mammalia; order Primates; family Hominidae; genus Homo; species Homo sapiens. The sequence goes on from NC_000015.10 coordinate 98,465,976, forward strand.
GGGGAGGGCAGGTATGGCAAAGTACAGACCAGTCAGAACATACAACCCATAAGACCACAGCAGGGTGAACCAACCAAACTGTCAGTAGCGTGAGATGGTTTTAACCATGAATGCTGATAGCAGAAAACAAAAATGGCTAAAAGTGAACATGCTAAGCATCAGAATTTACAATATTCAAAAAGAACAGAAGAAACTCAAAGAAAATAAAGGGAAAAAGACAAAAAGGATAGACATTAATGAAATAGAAAGGAAAGAAACAACAGAAAGTTTTTAAAAATTCAAGAGTTGCTAAAATAAGAAAGAAAGGAGAGACAGTATATCAAGTATATTATGAATTAAAAGAGATATCCCTACAGATGTGGCAAAAGTTTAAAAGAAAAGAAAAGATGATAATAAACTTGAAAACAAATAAAAAGGACAAATTCCTAGGATAAGACAACCCACCAAAACTGACTCAAGAAAAAACCAAAAAACTAACTTGTCCTATGAAGATTAAAACCTTAAATCAGTAGCTTAAAATCCTCCAGCACTGAAGACATCAGGCACAAATGATTTTAGAGATAAGTTCTATCAAACTTCCAAGAACACCTTCAAGAGAACAAAAAATAAAGAGAACATTCCCCCTCTCAGTCTATGAGTATAATATAGCCTTTGAGGGAAAAAGAAAAAGCCAAGGACAGGAAGAATATGTCAACAGTAGTCATTTGTGAACATAAAGAAAATAAAAATAAACAAATATTAACATACTGGATTCAACAAGGCATACAAAGCTAATTTAGGTCACCATAGGGGGCTAGTTTCTCTGCTCATTAACCTGGCTGCTCTGGAGGAGAGGCAAGACCAATAACCCACACAAAACAAAGAAAAGAAAAACTAGGGTTACTTTAATGAAGATACGAGTGATTTCTTGGAATACCTAAGACAGAATTCACAGATTGCCCACCAGGAAATGACAGGGGCAGACAGCTAGAAAGTAATGGAAGAAACTGTATCTACTTCAAAAAGGCGATTTGTCAGGAAGGAGGAAGATTAAAAAGACAAGTGGCGGGACAAATTCCATAATGTACGTCTCTGCCCAGCTGCTTTTGAGAATCAAGACAGGCCACCAGGAAAGTTATGGTGTGGATGTCAGAGCACAAAATAAACAAGTGCCTGGCCAAAGATGACCCAGCTTTCAGCAAATTTCCTTTTGCAGTATTTCTTTTGTGGAGCTGTGACGCACCCACCCAGGTCTTGTCCTGATAATTTTAAGAGACATTGTACTGATGGTGGCTGCTGCACCTGCTGTGGCTCTGTAGAGTGTTTTATGAAGAACTGCTCTAAAAAGCCAAATTCAAGTCAAGTAGTAACAGTTGCTAGTCCAAGAGAATGAGTGCAAATTGTGACGATATTTAGGATACTCCTAAACCACAGAAATCCAATACAGAGATGGCTAAGAGTTCAATTTTGCTAAGTGTTATTACTATCTTTTAGTTACAATCATGCTATTATGTCTGTCCTGGGCCCACTTCACGAGGTTAGAGCCAGACTCCCTTGGAACCTAGCACAGTTAAGCATCCATTGAAGATACTAGTAAGTGGTCAGAATGTTCCTAAATTCTGCCCACCAAGAACTACTACACCAATTTAGATTAAATAATTTTTTGGAAAAAAAATTGCATTCTCTAGAACAGGGGTTGGCAAACTTTTTCTGTAAAGATCAGAGAGTAAATGCTTTAGGCTTTGGGAGCCATAAAGTCTCTGTTGCAACTACTCAACTCTACAGTTGAAATGCAAAAGCAACCAAGGACAATATGAGTGGGCATAGCAATATGCCAATAAAACTTTATTTACAGAAACAAGCAATGGGCATGATTTGGCTCACAGACCACAGTTTGCTAATGTCTGCCCAGAAAAACATCATTTTTAACAGGAGGAACTAAGCTTTTATAATATCTATTTGTAATAATTATATGTTTCTCAAAAACAATTAAAAATAATGCATTCACATGAACCATCCCAAAATAGGACACACCTGGAGAAAAGCTTTAGTTATATTATTTTCCCTTTTAAAATTTCATTTATTTCTACATATTTTGCTATTATAACAGGAATGAATTTATAAGGTGCCACAAAATTTGATTTACTTTTTAAATATTCAAAAAAAGCTCAGGAAAAAAAAAAAAAAAAAAAAAAACTTGACCTAGCAGATTTATCCCAGGTAGTATAACATAAGAAAATCTATATCAGTAATGTACCTCATTTAAAGATTACAGGAGAAAGGCTGCTTCAGTTCAGCATTGTGCTGGACCCTGAACATTACTCAATCCATTAATCAGAAAACAGAATTTTTTTTTTTTTTTTAGACAGAGTTTCACTCTTGTTGCCCAGGCTGGTGTGCAATGGCATGATCTTGGCTCACTGCAATCTCTGCCTCCCAGGTTCAAATGATTGTTTTGCCTCACCCTCTGAGTAGCTGGGATTACAGGCGCACACCACCACATCCAGCTAATTTTGTATTCTTAGTAGAGACGAGGTTTCTCCATGTTGGTCAGGCTGGTATCAAACTCCTGACCTCAGGTATTCCACCTGCTTCGGCCTCCCAAAGTGCTGGGATTACAGGTGTGAGCCACCGCGCCCGGCCAGAAAACAGAAAATTTTAAAAAGCAAAAGAAACTATAAGAATGGGCAATCTTTTCAATGAATGGTGCTGGAAAAACTGGATATACATATGCAAAAGAATGAAGTTGGACCCTTAGCTGACACTATACACAAAAATTAACTCAAAATGGATCAAAGACCTAAATGTAAGACCTAAAGCTATAAAACTCTTAGAAGAAAACATATGGCAGAAGCTTCGTGACACTGGATTTGGCAATGATTTCTTGAATATGACACCAATGACACAGGCAATTGGACTTCATGAAAATTTATAAATTTTGTGCATCAAAAGTCAGTATCAACAAAGTAAAAAGGCATCACATAGAATGGGAGAGAAAAATTGCAAATAATATATCTGATAAGGGATTATTATGGTCTGAATGTGTCCCCCAAAATTCATGTATTGAAACTTAATCACCAAAGTGATAGTATTAAGAGATAGGGCCTTTAGAGGGTGATTAGGCCTTGAAGGCTCCAGCCTCATGGATGAGATTGGCACTCCTATGAAAGGGCTGGAGGGAGTGAGTGGAAGGAGGCCCTTTTCTCCCCTTTCCATCCTTTCACCATGTGAGGACACGGCATTCATCCCCTCAGGAAGATACGTTAACAAGATGCCATTTGGAGGCAAATGGCAGGATTCATTTGGGTCCTCACTAGACACTGAACCTGCTAGTATCTTGATCTTAGACTTCTCAGCCTCCAGAACTGTGAGAAATAAATTTCTATTGCTCATAAATTACCCAATCTGTGGTATTTTGTTATAGCACCACAAACAGACTAAGGTGGGGGTTAATATCTAGAAAATACAGAGAACTATTCAACCTCAACAACATGAAAACAACCTGCAAATCCATAGCTTACATCATATTCAACAGTGAAAAGCTGCAAGATAGTCCTCTAAGATCAATAACAAGGATATTCACTCTTGCCACTTCTATTCAACATAGTACTAGAAGTACTAGCCATAGCAATGAGGCAAGAGAAAGAAATAAAAGCCATCCAAACTGGAAAGGAAGAAGTTAAATTGTCTCTGTTTGCAGCAGATGACATAACCTTTACCTTGTCTTTCTCTTTCTTTCTTTCTTTCTTTTTTTCTTTCTTCTTTCTTTTTCTTTTTTCTTTTCTTTCTTTTCCTTCCTTCCTTCCTTCTCTCTCTTTCTTTCTTTCATTCTTTCTTTCTTTCTCTTTTTTTTTTTTTGAGACAGGGTCTCACTCTGTCGACCAGGCTGGAGTGCATTGACGTGACTGTAACTCACTGCAGCCTAAACCTACCAGGCTCAAGCAATCCTCCTGCCTCAGCCTCTCAAGCAGCTGGGACAACAGGCACATCATCACACCTGGCTAATTACTTTTTAATTTTTTTTGTAGAGACAGGGTCTCCCTATGTTACCCAGGCTGGTCTCAAACTCCTGGGCTCAAGTGAGCCTCTGGCCTTGGCCTCCCAAAGTGCTGAGATTTCAGCGATGAGTCACTATGCCCAGGTGACACAATCTTATATATAAAAAAATCCTAAAGACTATATTTAAAAAACCATTAGAACTAATAAACAAATTCAGTAAATTTGCGGGACACAAACTCAACATACAAAAATCAGTAGTGTTTCTATACACTAACAATTAACTATCCAAAAGAGAAATTAAGGAAACAATCCCATTTACAATAGCTACAAAAAAAATAACAAAATACCTTAGGAATAAATTTAACCAAAGAGATAAAATTCTATACAATGAAAGCTATAATACTGATGAAAGAAATTGAAGAAGACACAAATAAATGAAAATATATCCCATGTTCATGGATTAGAAAGATTAATACTGTGGAAATATCCCTGCTACCCAAAGCTATCTATAGATTCAACACATTCTCTATCAAAATTCCAATGACATTTTTCACAGATATAGAAAAAAAAATCCTAAAATTTGTATAGAACCACAAAAGACCCAAATACTCAAAGTGATCTTAAGCAGAAAGAATAAAGCCACAAGCATCACACTCTGTAATTTTAAAACATATACAAAACTATAGTAATCAAAATAGCATAGTATCGACATAAAAACAGACTGGTATACCAATGGAACAGAACAATGAGCCCAGAAATAAACCCACATATGTACAACCAATTGATTTTTGACAAAGATGCCAAGAACACACATTGGAAAACGACAGTCACTTCACTAAATGGTGTTGGGAAAACAGGATATCCACATGCAGAAGAATGAAATTAGGCTCTTATCTCACATCATATACAAAAAACAACTCAAACTGGATTAAAGATTTAAATGTAAGGCTGAAACCTGTAAAACTACTATAAGAAAACATAGGGGGAAAGCTCCATGACATTGGCCTGGACAATGGTTTTTTTAATATGATCCCAAAGCATAGGCAACAAAAGCAAAAATACACAAAGGGGACTACATCAAACTAAAAAGCTTCTGCATGGCAAAAGAAACAATCAACAGAGTGAAAAGGCAACCTACAGAATGGGAGAATATTTGCAAACCATACATCGGATGAGGGGTCAATATCTAAAACATATAAGGAACTCATACACCCTAATAGCAAGAAAACAAATAACCCAATTTAAAAATGGGTGCATGATCTCATTTATATGTAGATCTAAAAAAGTCCAATTCATAGAAGCAGAGAGTAGGATGGTGGTTACCAGGTGCTAGAGGTGGGGAGAAACTGGGAAGATATTGGTCAAAGGATATAAAATTTCATATAGACAGGAGAATAACTTAAAGAAATCTACTGTACAACATGGTGACTACAGTTAATAACAACATACAGTATACTTGAAAATTGTTACAAGAGTAGATTTTAAGTGTTCTCACTACAAATAACTGATAAATATGTGAGGTAATGCATATATTCATTAGTTTGATTTAGCCATTCCACAATCTATACATATTTCAAAACATCATGTTGTACACCAAAAAAATATACAATATTTACCTGTCAATTTAAAAAACTTTAAATATGAATAATGTTATGTAACCATCATCACCATCCATGTCCAGAACTCTTTCCATATTGTAAATGGAAACTCTGTACCCATTAAACAATAACTCCCTGTTTCCCTCTCCCTCTAGTTCTTGAAACCACCATTTTGCTTTGTATGAATTTGAGACAAATTCACAATTTGAATATGAGTATTTTTTAAATTAATATTTTTTAATTGACAGATAAATATTGTATATATCTTTGGTGTACAATATGATGTCTTGAAATATGTATAGATTATGGAAAGGCTTATACAATATATTTATTTGTAATATATTGATCACCATCCCCCAAATTAAATACTAATAAAAAATAAGACTTTGTTAAATAATGTTGATCTTTGAAAAGCCATAAACCACTGTAAATATCTAAGATTTTTTTTTGCTCCCCAAGAACAAATCACTGTCTTACTGGGGGCAATATCTCCTTGCTGAGAATGTGTGCCTTAGGTCAGTGGTTCTCACACTGTAGAATACACGAGAATCACCTGCAGGACTTGTTAACACAGACTGCTGGGCCCCACTGCAGAGTTTCTGATTCAGTAGGTCTGGGGTAGAGCCTGAGAATTCCTGTATCCTATACTACATGAGCAGCACAAAGCTGTGTCCTCTGCAGGGCTCTAAAAGTTAAGAGTTGTCAACAAAGGGCTGCCTGGTGGTCTTGACTAAGAGTATTACAGCCCAGGTTAAGGCCAGAATACTTTTAGGCAAGACCTCCAGGATTCCTCCATGGATTATTATGGGATGTCTGCCAAACCCATAGCTCTTTAAAATTGCCCCACCATAGCCTCAGTTAAAGAGACAGGGCTAGATGGCCATCTCTGATCCATAGCACCCAGCCTACCTGACCACAGCTGAGCAAAAGGTGGACCCATGATCCATCCATAAGAAACCAAACCACCGGCCAGCTGGACTAGCACTATAGTAGGTCCTGGCCCTTGAAAGCGGGTACAGTTAGAGGCCAGTCTGGCATCACAGCAAACTAAAGTCAACATTCTAAGGGAGCAAGAAACATAAGTAAGTAAAGGAAGCTGGTCTGCAAAGAGACTAGCAGAGTAGCACCCCACTAACAGCTGTGGGGTCCCCATCCCAGCCTTAGAAGCCAGGCAGCACCTCACGAACTTCCCCTGCCCTCTTCCAGTGCCCTCCCTTCTTGTAAGTCCAGGAGTAGACTTCTGTTCCTTGCAGTGGCAAGCCCCTTCTCTTTGGGTGGCAGACTCGGTACCCGAAACAACACTGCACTCTTGCCACTCCATTTTTTGCTATGCTTCTACTAAAGTCCAGAAGATGGCAAGGGGTCCCTGCTTGACGGGACAACAGTGCAGGAGGTCCCTGTGGGCCTGGTGTCTGGGGAAGGCAGAGAACAGAAGGCCCTGGTGACAGGCAGGGCTGAGGCCGACTCCACAGTGTCACTGTCATCTCACAGGTCCCATGCTTGCCTGGGCTCCAAACCACCTGGTTTAATATTTTTAAGTGTTGCCCTTGTATTTGTTCAAGGACTTTCAGAAATCATTTGTGTTGGGCTTTCAGGAATCTGAAATGCAAAAGTGTTCTTTTTAGGTTTTTATACAAAACCACAATACTTATTAGCTCTGCCTTAAATTGGCCGACTCTCCACTCCCCAGTGAGTATTTTCTTCCCTTGAATGCTAACGGTTTTGTGGAATGGTGGTTTTAGAGCAAAAGTTAAAGTAAAACCTCACAATTTTGATTACCTAGGGAAAATTTCAACGTGAAATAGTGAAATGGCTAAAGTGTCAATATTTTGTAAGAAAGACAATTACAGAACCATCAAACAAAGGGAGAAACTCAAACCACCCTACTAGCAAAATGTGTCCAAAGAGAGGTCTACCTGAAAATATCTTATTTGTTCTATATAAAGGCACTCACTTGTTTGAAAACTGAATGCGCTCTTCAGCAGTAATGGGACACAAACTACTGATACACACATTATGGTGGATGAATCTCAAAGGCATTATTCCGAGCGAAAGAAGTCAGTCTCCAATGGCTAAACACCGCCTGACTTCATGTACAGGATATTCTAAAAGAGACAGAACTGTAGTGATGGAGAACAGACCCGTGGTTGCTGGGGTTATTGGGAGGCGGGGATGAAGCGTATGGGGGAGGTAATGAAACTATTGTTTATTTTCACTGTGGTTGTGGTTATTCAAACCTATACATGGGTTAAAATTCACAGAACTGTAAACTCCCCCTAAAAGTGAATTTTACTCTATAACTTTTAAAAATTTAAAGTTACATGCAGACAGAAAAGATATAGCTAAAATGCTTAGAAATAATGTATACTCTGCCAGGCACGGTGGCTCATGCCTGTAATCCCAGCACTTTGGGAGGCTGAGGAGGGTGGATCATGAGGTCAGGAGTTCGAGACCAGCCTGGCCAACATGGCGAAACCCCGTCTCTACTAAAAACACAAAAATTAGCTTGGCCTGGTGGCACGTGTCTGTAATCCCAGCTACTCAGGAGGCTGAGGCAGGAGAATCACTTGAACCCAGGAGGCAGAGGTTGCAGTGAGCCGAGATCATGCCACTGTACTCTATTCTGGGCAACAAAGCAAGACTCCATCTCAAAAACAAAAAAAAAGAAAAAGAAAGAAAAGAAACAATGTATACTCTTCAATAGGCGTATTAGTCTGTTCCCACATTGCTATAAAGAAATACCTGAAACTGGGTAATTTATAAGAAAAGAGGCTTAAGTAGCTCAGGGTTCCACAGGCTGTATAGGAAGCATGGCTGGGGAGACCTCAAGAAACTTTCAATCATGGCAGAAGGCAAAGAGGAAGCAGGCACATCTTACATGGCCAGAGCAGGAGGAAGAGAGAGTGAAGGGGGAGGTACTATACACTTTTAAACAACTAGAACTCTTGAGAATTCATTCACATCATGAGAACAGCAAGGGGGAAGTCCACCCCATGACCCAATCACTTCCCACCAGGCCCCCACTCCACCACTGGGGGTTACAACTGGACATGAAATTTGGGTGGGGCCACAAATCCAAACCATATCAGTAGGTAAAACCTGGCCCCTGTGATCCTATTTATGCAATGAATTTGTACATTTTGTTTTCCTCACAGAATGAAATTATAAACTTCAGCCAAGCCCAGGCTAAATTAACAGACATTCTGAATCATATGGATCTAAGATTATGAAGAGAAACTGTTGTGCTGAAAAGTGGAGAAGCATGCCATTTGCTGTGCCCATCTCTCAAACATCAATACAACATCACCACAAAACACTGTGACAGGCACCAAGACAGAGCCAAGACTGGAGAAACATCATTAACTGTTCTGAACTTCTGAACTATAAACCCCTCCTATAGCCAATTAAACCACATGTACTCACTGGCAAATTTTCTTAACTTACATATGTAAAATAACAAAATAAAATATACCTAATCACCATCAAAATTACTTTTTGTTTAATTTACCTGCATGCATAGCAACCATTTTTTAATTCATCTAAATACATCCCTCTCTCAACTTATAGGAAGAGAGGGGAAGGCAAGGAACAAAATCCTATGATCTATACATGAATAGAATATTAGATAACGCTGGTGAGATGAAGTGGTCATGCAAATCCCTATATATAATAACTATTAAAAAAATAAATTTAATAAAACATTTAAAGACACTGCAAGGCATCCAAAAGCAGATAGAAGCCAGAGGAAAATTTACTTTCAGAAAACTGGAATAGGTAGAACCTGTGAGTTTTCAGCTTACCAGCCACAGGATTAATTCCACCTGCGAGGTTATAAAAAAACATTTGTAGGAAAAACCGCAGCCTTACCAGCTAAACATGTCAAATATCAGAATTCAGGATGGGAAAAAAAACACAGAAATTTAATGAGGAAGCCCTAGCAGCAAGAGAACCACAGAATTAGTGAGACCCAAATTCAGAGCATAAACTTCCGAAATCTGGCTTATAGCTAATCTGCGTATGAGTGGAGCAGACCCCAAGGGATCCGGCAAAAAAGAAGTCAGAGCCCAGAGAGATACCCACTCTTGAAAGATGGAATTGCACAGAATTAGACCTGTGACTTTGACACTTTCCTTAACCAAGGACATTCCTCAACTTGGGCAGCTGTAGTAACAGAAGACTGAAGTCAAATAAATTGTTTGAAGGGTCAGATTACGGAATCCAAATCTGGCAGAAGCAAGGAAATCACAGAGAAGGTAAGTCACATCCATGTCCAAATCTTTGTTGAACCACCAACTTTGCAGGTACAGGGAAGAACTCTACAGGGCCAGGCTAAAGAAGCAGCCATGGGAAGCCATACAAACAGATGTCAGCAGCTACATATCACAAGGGAGATGAAGTGTGCAGTTTAAATTCAGGCAAGTTCAATGCCTGCTAAAACAAAAATCTCAAAATCCTCGGAAATCAAAAAAGAATTTCAGTTGCTGCAACGACTAGTTTTCAACCAAAAATTACTAAATATGCAAAGAAACAGGAAAGTATGACCCTTACTCAGGAAAAAAAATAATGGTGGTCAGTAGAACTGAGTTTACATAGGCCCAGATATTGACAGACAAGGACTTCGAACCAGCTTTACAAATGTATTCAAATAATTAAAATAATTCCATGACTTCAAACCAGCTTTACAAATATATTCAAAGAATTAAAATAAAATAATCCCAAGAATTAAAGAAAAAGATATAATCAAATGAATAAATAGACAGGGAATCTCAATAAAGAATTGAAAACTCTACACAATAATACAAGTTTTAGCACTGAAAAGTACAATAACTAAATTTTTCAATAGACTTAGCAGCAGATTATAGATGGCAGATGAACCTGAATATAGATCAAGATAAATTAAACCAAAGGAGAAAGAAAAATATTCCAAGAAAAATAAAATTTCAGAGGCCTGTAAGACAATATGAAGCACCCTAACATACATATGGCTGCAAACCCAGAAAAAGAAGACAACTGGAACTGTGAGGAATAAATTTCTGTTGTTTATAAATTATCCAGTCTCTTGCATTTGTTATAGAAGCACAAATGGACTAAGATATAGATGTATCACAGTCAACTGCAAAAAAAAAGTCAAAGTTAAAGAGAAAGCCTTGAAAGCAGTCAAAGAAAAAATGACGTTTTGTTTATGAGGGGACAAGAATAAGAGGAATGGCTGACTTCTCACCCAAAATTATGAAAGCCAGATGATATTGGAACAAAATATTCAAAGTGCTGAAAGAAAAGAAGTGATCTCTAATAATTGTGTATCTGGATAAACTATCTTTCAAATATGAAAGTGAAATAAAAACATTTTCAGTAAACAAAAATTAATGGAATTTGTTGCCAGCAGAATGGCACTATAAGAAATACTAAGGGAAGCTGTATTAGTCTGTTTTGTGCTGCTATAAAAGAATACCTGAGGCTGGGTAATTTGTAAAGAAGAGAGGTTTATTTGGCTCCTGATTCTGCAGGCTGTACAAGAAGCATGGCACCAGCATCTGCTTCTGGTGGGGCCTCAGGAAGCTTCCATTCATGGTGGAAGGCAAAGGAGAGCAGCCATGTCACATGGAGAGAGAGGGAGCAAGAGAGAGATGGGAGGTGCCATACTTTTTTAAACAATCTGCTCTAGTATGAACTAATACAGCTAGACTCACTCAGTATCATAGGGAAGGTGCTAAGTCATTCATGAGGGATCTGCCGCCATGACCCACCCACTTCTCAGTAGGCCCCATCTCCATCTCCAACAATGGGGGGGTCACATTTTAACCTGAGATTTGGAGGGGACAAATATCCAACCTATATCAGAAGTATTTTGGCCTGAAGGAAAATTACACTGGATAGCAACTGTTTAAAAGAGCATGGCACTTCCCCACTCTTGCTCCCTTGCAGATATGAATGACATCACCAGTCACCATAACCTGACAGTTCTAAACACTACACCCAACAACCACCGAATATACTCTTTTAAGTCCCCACAGAATGTTCCCAAAGATAGACCACACACTAGGCCATAAAACAGCTCTCAGTCATTTTCAGAATATTAAATATAGCAGGCTATATTCTCTTACTGCAGCAGAATTAAATTAGAAATAAAAAAAAATCAGAGATAGCCCCCAAATATCTGGAAATTAAAAACTCACTTTTAAAGAACCCACAGAAATCACAAAGTATTTTAGAAAATATTTTCAACTGAATAATAATGAAAATTGATCAATTAGACTTCATCAAGATTTAAAACTTTTGCTCTCTGAAAGCCACTGTCATCAAAATGAAAATGTTTTCAAAACATATATCTGATAAAAAGCTCTTATCTAAAATATATAAAGAACTCTTGAAGCTCAATAATTTAAAAAACAATTAAAAATGGGCAAAAATATTTGAACAGACACTTCATCAAACAAGTTATATGACCATCAAATAAGCACATGTTCAATGTCATTCATCATTAGTGAAATAGTGAAATGTGAATTAAAACCAAAATTAGCCACCACTTCACACTTTATAGACTGGCTAAAATGAAAAAGATTGACAATACCAAGTACTGACAAGGATGTGGTGCAACTGTAACTCTCAGACATTGCTGCTGGTAATATATATATATATAGATTCCACAGAAATAGCCTCATTGTGTCTCCCTAAAAATGTTAATCCATAACAAGGCAGTAAAAAATTTTAAAGTTGGCAATGAAAACCTGAAAAATACATTTGCTTCATTTATTTTATTTTCTACAAGTTTGATACTTTTTTTTTTTATTTGAGACAGGGTCTCACTCTTTTACCCAGGATGGAGTGCAGTGGCATGATCTCGGCTCAAGTGATCCTCCCACCTCAGCCTCCTGAGTAGCTGGGACCACAGGCATGCACCACCATGCCCAGCTGGTTTTTGTACTTTTAATAGAGATGGGGTTTCACCATGTTGCCCAGGCTAGTCTTGAACTCCTGAGCTCAAGCAATCTGCCCACCTTGGCCTCCCAAAGTGCTGGGATTACAGGCGTGAGCCACCACGCACATTTGACACTTTTTAAACCCACTAAATTGCCAAGTAACTAACAGTCCATTGCCACTTCAAAAACCAGTTCATTAATGAAAATAATGTGACCTCACAAGCAGCTTCAGGGAACTTTTCACTGAATTTGTAGGATCCATCAGAAATGAAAAGGCAGAATTCAAGCACCCAGTCTGACCTGCCTCAGCTCAGCATCCTTAGGTCTTCCCTCTCCTCCAAGGCCCTGAATCGGCCTGGGGAAGAGCATAGCGGCTGCAGACAACCCCTGTGTCCCTCCCCGGAATCAGGACCCTTGGTATCACTGCCTCCAGGAATAGCAGCAGGACCAGGCAAGACCAAGGTCAAGCTCCTTCTGCCGCCTACCTGTGGTTTCACACATCAAGCTGGCATCTGTTAACAGTTTTTGTTAGTATTAGTAGGATGTCTACACCACAAATGATTTGGTTACAGACTCAAAAACAGCCATTTGGTAGAAAATGACCACTGATGAGTCTCCCAGGAAAGAGGAATTACAAAAAGCTTCCTTTTCATTTTAATTTTTCTCTAGGCCCCTTGGTCTATCTTAAATGGTGAAAGAACATGACCATTCAAAAAAGTGAAAGGGCATCAAAGTCTGAGGACAAAGGCTGTCGTGAGGAAAAGAGCTGAAAGACACAGGGGCTAAAGCTACGACTGACTTTGCAAATATAATTAACCAAGAAATGAAGAAGTGGTTTGGATGAGAAACTGCTGTATCTCACTGAGGAAAAAACAAAAAAGCGAGAAACACAAATTTATCGCATCCTGGACAGGTCAACCACACACACAACGTGAACGTGGCTCAGAACCAAACTCAGCCTCTTTAGCGCCCAAGAAAAACATCTAACTCGTAGTATATCCATGGCAGTTTACTGAGAAGATTAATTTTTGCTAAAATTGAGAACTTTTTGACAACCAAATGATGGGGCTGGAATTAGTTAGGTGAGAGATGTTGACAGCCTTTAAAAATTAAATAAAGAGGCCAGGTGCGGTGGTTCATGCCTGTAATCCCAGCACTTTGGGAGGCTGAGGCAGGAGGATCACTTGAGCCCAAGAATTGGAGGCAGCAGTGAGTTATGATCACGACATCGTACTCCAGCCTGGGTGACAAAGAGATCCCATCTCAAAAAAAAAGAAAAGAAAGAATGAAAAAAAGAAAGCAACTTTAAAGAAGAAAACCAGTGGCCAGGCGCAGTGGCACACACCTGCAATCCCAGCACTTTGGGAGGCTGGAGTGGGCAGATAGCTTAAGCTCAGGAGCTCGAGACCAGCCTGGGCAACATGGCAAAACCCCATCTCTACAAAAAATACAAAAATTAGCCAGACATGGCTGTAGTCCCAGCTACTCAGGAGGCTGAGGTGGCAGGATCACCTGAGCCCAGAAGTTGAGGCTGCAGTGAGCCATGATCGTGCCACTGTACTCCAGCCTGGGTGACATCAAGCAAGACCCTGCCTCAAAAAATTAAAAATAATAATAAAAAAGAAGAGACAAATCACTTCAGCAAAATGGTACTAGTCCCACACTTAGCACTGGTCACTGCCCTTCAAGTCAGAGACTTTCACCCTAACCTTGTTATCATGGCCGGACTCCCTCTCTTCTAATGTCTATAAATCTTGGCATCCAAGCTGCTTTGGCTCCACATGTCAGCTATTAGCAGTGGTATTTTTCCTGACAACTAACTAGTAACACTGAAAGAAAGAAATGAAATTTTATACCATTAATTACAATTAGTTATTTTTTAGAGGGGACATGGCACTGCCTGGAAATCAAAGGGACATGCTTTTCACCATGTTTGCCACTGAGATGAGAAATGTGGTGGAAATGGAATCCATACGTGGGGTTTATTTACACCCAACTTAATCCACGATACTTCCTGTGCTAGAAGATTCTCTCCACATAGCTGGTGCTGAGCAAGCCCTCCAGGCCAGGCAGACCCCTAGACAGCCCCACTCAGTCCAGCCTGAAGTGGTGGCCATGCATCCCTCACCTTTCATCTTGGTTGTGTAAAACCCAACAGCCGCTCCACGTCTCCACAGGATTTTAGCTTGTTCCTTCACAGAGTGAGGTAGAAAAAACATGTCATCATCATCCAAATTTCTCTCCAATCTTCCAAAAATAATGGCGTTTAGAATGAAAAGCACAACCCTTTCCCCAAACGACTGAACCTTTCAAGAAAAAAACAGAAAGAAAAAGAACAACAGTCAAGTGAGACAAGAGAGGAAAATCATGCGCAATAAATTCTGCGCTTGGATGTGACGCACACGTCGGGGCCAGGTGTGAGCTCCTCCACTGAAGATTCATTTTGTGCTCAAAGAGCCAAAACATGAATCACGGCATCTCACAGAGGCTTCCACACCACTGACCTTTGGCACCATGCAGCCTGCAGGAGCAGAGAACGCTGCCAGGGGCAGCCCCTGGTCCCCAGGGCCATGGACCAGGAATGTGAGACGACAAAGCACAATCCATCACATGGTAACAAAACAGGAAATTAACACTGGGGGGCTGCGGCAACCCATTTCAACTGACTTGCTGGATGTATCCTGAAATAAACCCGATTTGTCATTTTCATGACAGCAGGCCCCGGAATTCTGGCCGTCAGAAGGAGGGTAAATGATGTGGGAGATCAATTGCTACACCAAAAGCAAGTGAGTTTCAATGGCTTGTGACAGATTTAGAGCACACACTGGTGTCCTAATCCCAGAGAATTACGGGGACTCAGGGCACAGCCCGTTCTAAGGCTGTAAAATTGAACCATCTCTTGCCTGTAGCAAAGTTATCACAAGTGAGGAAATTGTATTGTGGTCAAAGTCAGGCCCACACAGTTAGAAGCTCCCCTTCGCAAGTCAAAATGACTTCACACTCCTGCCTGTTACAATGCTCTGCATTTGTGTAGCCCACGGATGGCAAATAGGTGGCAGAAACCAAGGTCTCCCACCCCTGGATTCAGAGCAGACCTATCTGTCCAGCTAAGCGTGGACACGGTCTCAGAAGCCTCCTTAACGCAGCCCTTCAGACAGCCACGAGCAACTGCTAAAATGTGGCAGGAGGTGAAACCAATCAGCTATTTACGAAGTGACAATGCTGTTGTATTGGAACTTACTCTGCAACACTGCTAGGTGACAGCCTCTGCGTGCGTGTTTGTCACTTTATCCTATGCATTACCTCCAGATCAACAAGGCCACTAACTGGTCCAGGACATCCACCCACATGCTACCATGTGATTCTCACCACCTGCTGGGGAGGTCTTGGTTCACAGGTGGGGAAATTGAAGCTCAAAGAGGGTGATTACATTTATTGATTTCCCCGCCTCATTTCAAAGAGGATTTGAGACAGCTGGGCGAGGGGTCTGTCAGAGGCAGGCACAAAACAACAGGCTGGGGCTTTCCAGTCCAGCCAGCGGTTTCATTCTTCATCTTCATCCATTAGAAATTAGATTTGGGGAAAGGGGATAATACAAATATTAATACTTTGTTTTATATTTAATACTTGACTCTTGGATTATCATCGTCATCATTTGCGGTTTGTGGGTTGTTACGCTGGATTTGCTGGGAGATCCTCAGCAACTCACAACCTCTTTGAGTCTTGGTTTCCCCCTCCAGTCAAGGGAGAAGATCCTTCATGTGGTCTCTAAAATACTTGCATGTTTTTCAAATGCTCTGATAATAAAAATAAGGCAGCTTGCAGCAAATGGCACGAAGTGTTCAGTGCCAACAAACTTACGAATTGGCCAGAATGTAAAATATTTCACCTTCATCTGGAGCTAAATCTTAAATGAGAAAAAGATTAGTGAAAACCACACTAGCTTGGCTCTGAGAAGCCATCACATTTTGTATCTCAGACAGCGGCAGCCAAATCAAGTTCAGACGTTGAGAATAACTAGCTAGTCACAAAACCAGATTGGTGTCGTGGAGGAGGTTATATTTTTCAACTTATAAAACTAAAAAGTTCAGAAGAAAGCCAGAAGACAAAAGCAGATTGCATCTGGCAGAAGGGAAATATCCAATCAAAAACTGGCAGGAGAAAAAGGAGGAGAAAGAAAATGTACTTAATTTGTCCAATTTCATTATGGGGGAGGAAAACGTGTGACATGTGATTTTGACTCAGAAATGTTTCTGAAAACACAAAGCTAAGTTCCAGTTCACATCCCTCATTAGGACCACTAATTAAGTTAACAAGAAAAACATTAAGAAATCTTGTGGGGGTTTTTTGGTAATTTGTGAAGAAGAGCTGGCTAGGAAACAAAATGTAATTAAAAGAAAAAGAAAAAAAGTCAAGATCTAAAGTTCTACAAACAGAGGGGAAATATTCCTATGTACAGCTGGGGTAGGATAGATCTTTACAACATGGTTAATTAAGTGGAAATAACACCCAAGTTTCTTTCTGTTCATAATATAGGCCACATTGTCAGAAAATGTGGGGGTTTTCTCATTTAAACTTAGAAGAAGAGATGACAAATGAAGGAAGTAACAACTCTTGTTCTGAAAAAATTATTTAAGGAGCCATCCACATTCTTCATAGCATTCAGAACAGTCAGTCATTAAGTGGCCACCTGGCCCACCTGCAGCACCAGAGCTGGGGCAGCAACGCAAAACAAGATGCCAAGCACCACACTGGGTACATCATGCTCACTTGCTGAATCTCAGGCCGTCTCTAATGTGCTGGAAGAAAAACCTTTTCAAAATAATATCTACTGAGTCGATTAAAACGAGACCTAAAAAAGACAACTCATAGAATGGGAAAAAAATAATTTCAAATCATATATGTGATAAGGATTATGCATATGAAAAACTCTGCACATGAAACCCTGCATATGAAAAACTCTCACAACCCAATAGTAAAAAGTCAAATAACCCAATTAAAAAGTGGGCCAAGGATCCTCATAAACATTTTCCCAAAGAGGATCTATAGATGGCCAATAAGCACATGAAAAGATGTTCACCATCCTTAGCCATCATGGAAATGCAAATTAAAACCACAGTGAGATTCTACTTCACACCTACTAGGATGGAGAACATTAAAAAGACAATAACAAGTGCTGGTGAGGATATGGAGTGACTGAAACCCTCAGACACTGCTGTTGAGAGTGCAGAATGGTATAGCTGCTGGGGAAGGCAGTTGTACAGTTCCTCAATATATGAAACATAGAGTTACCACATGACCAGCAATTCCGCTCCTAGATATATACTCAAGAGAACTGAAAATATGTATCCTCACAAAAATTTCCCTACAAATGCTTATAGAAGTATTATTAATCATAGTCAAAAAGTGGATACAACTCAAATGTCCATCAACTGAAAAATGGATAAATGAAATGTGGTATATCCATACAATGGACTATTATTCACCCCCAAAAAAAGAATGAAGTACTGATGCATGCTGCAATGGATGAACTCTGAAAAGATTAAGCCAAGTTACAGAGGCTGTTTACAAAAGACCACCTGTAATATGATTCCATTTATAGGAAATATCTAGAAGAGGCAAATCCATAGAGACAGAAAGCAGATTATGGTTTCCAGGGACTGGGGAAAGACAGGAATGAGGAGTGATGCTAGTGGGTAGAAAGCTTCTTTTTAAAATGATGAAAATGTTCTGGAATTAGTGGTGATTGATACAGAATGTTGTGAATATATTAGAAGTCACTCCATTGTACACTTTAAAAGAATGAAGATTATGATGTGTGAATTCTATCTTAATGAAGCTCTTGTTTAGAAAAAAATCAAGAACTAATTTTTTAATTGCTCAGCAGGAAAAAAAATAAAAATAAAATAAAACCTGGATTAACAACTTGGGAACATTACCTGAGACCCCTTATAGGGATTATCTAATTTCAGAACCTTCGAGGTATTTGTTGTGTAAATGAAGACATCGAGGCTGAGTCACACAGCCAGTAAGTGATGTAGCTGGGTACAAACTTCCATCTCCTTGACATCAGGCTGGAGATCTTTGAAGTGTTGTGCCTGGGACTATTTCCCCTCTCTGTTTGTAGAACTTTAGGTCTTGACGTTTTTTCTTTATCTTTTAATTGTATTTTGCTTCTTAGCCATTCTCCATACTGAACCGGAAAGAATACTGATATTTCATTCATTATTTACAGGGCTCTATGAAGGGAACCGAATGGCATTCCAGACAACTGTAAACAAGATCACACATTTCAAGACTGCAGGGAAGCATCATCCTTCTTCCCACCTATGGAATTAAGATAAATATACCAATTAAATGAAAATGGGTGAATGTGAGGCACACAGTCCAAACTCTCAGTTGGGTACTGGCTTCCTCCTTAGCCTCTGCCCCAGCCAAAGTTCAGCCAACAGGATGCCACCTGGACCTCTGAGAAGCTCCTCTGGCTCCTGCCTTCACACCTGCCATCCCAGGTCTCTGCTTTACAACTGCTCAACAGAGGCACAGCTCTTCAAAGATCACCAGGTCTGATGTCAAGGAGACAGATGTTTGTACCCAGCTAAATCACTTACTGGCTGTGTGACTCAGCTTCAATGTGTTCATTTGCAAACAAATACCTTGAAGGTTCTGACATTAGATAATCCCTATAGAGTCTCAGGTAACATACAGGATAATATCTGCTACAATTCTAACTCATGCTAAGAGCCAATAAACGTTACCTGAATGCACTAAGCAGAAGTTTCCCATTCAACAGAGAGATGGTGTATGTTAAAGTTTTAAAACTTAGACATGAGGGGCCACTCAGGAAAGTAAAATAGACTTATCAGTAGCCAGATATCTGTTATACATAGCACTGAGTGCTGTTTTCCTTGCTAGCAGGGTGTTATGGATTGAACTGTCACCCCCAAAAAGCTGTTGACGTCCTAACCCCCAGTTGTGTGAATGTGACCTTATTTGGAAAAAGAGTCTGCTGGTCAATCAACATGAAGGGATTCAGTTGGTCTCTAATCCAATATGACTGGTGTCCTTATAAAAAAGGAGGATTTTGACAGAGACGGAAACACATATAGAAAACAATGTGGAAATACAAGGAGAAGGTCATCTACAAGCCAAGAAACCCCTGAGGCTACTAGAAGCTAGGAGGGAAGCCAGGAACAGATTCTCATTTACAGCCCTCAAAAGAAAACAACCCTGTCGATTGCTTGATTTCAGACTTTCCAGCCTCCAGAACTCTCAGACAATACATTTCTGTTTTGTGGTACTCTGTGGTACTAGGAAGTGAAGATATGGCTAGACTGCTTTAAATTATCAAATTATCAAGGAGGCACTGTGACTTTTAGAACTTCTTTTACAACATTCATTTAGAATTGCATCAACTCACCTTCATCAACCCTTCTCTTGCAGGATCAGAGGTTCTTAGTGCATCTTCCGTGGAGCACCAGGATTCCTTTATGTAAACAGCCACAACTAGAGGGAAAGCCAAAAGAGGATGATGTGCACACAGCAAACTGGCCAACAGAGGGGCAGCTTCACAGCACAGAGCCACTGACAAGGTGCAAAGGGAAGATGATTTGTGGGGAAAGCAGGTGATATTTTTAGAGCTGAATTTACTGACCAGGAAAGAGTGACCGCTCTCACATGAAGGGGGCTTCACAGATGTTTCAAAGGTGGCCTGTTGTTGATGCCAAAACAGATTATAGCCCAATGTTTGGGGACACAATGGGATACACACCAATATTGACAAATCCAATGGGTAAGAATTACTTTTTTTTGAGTCAGAGTCTCGCTCTGTCACCCAGGCTAGAGTGCAATGGTGCAATCTCAGCTCACTGCAAGCTCTGCCTCCCAGGTTCAAGTGATTCTCCTGCCTCAGCCTCCCAAGTAGATGAGACTACAGGCGTGAGCCACCACGCCCTGCTAATCATTGTATTTTTTGTAGAAACAGGGTTTCACCATGTTGGCCAGGCTGGTCTCAAACGCCTGACCTCAAGTAATCCACCCACCTCGGCCTCTCAAAGTGCTGGGATTACAGGCATGAGCCACCATGCCCGGCCAACTCTTTTCATGTTAAAAACACTTATCAAAGTCCAACCATGTGCCACAGCACAGAATTTCCCCAATTGAGTAAAATTCAACATGGGCTAAGCGCGTTAAACAAACTGATTTAATACCTGTGTATTGAGCATCACCTTGGCCCTGGGCTTGGTGCTGCCTTCTTTTACATGAGTTTCTTTCATTCTCACCATGAAACTGTTACCAGCATCTTTCTAAGGAGGATGCTGAAGCTCTGAGAGGTGAAATGACTTGCAGGCAATCAGCTAGAAGGGGCTGAGGTGGGGTTCAGCCCTGGGCCACTAGACTCCTAAGTCAGTGCTCCTTCTAAGAGGCTCGAGATGGGTCTGGGGTTAAGAATGGGGTGAATCACATGGGGTGGAGGGGGTGTCTTTGGATGAGAAGGTCCCTGAGCTAAGATCTACAGGAGAAGGGTAGGGAAATCCTCCCCTCCTCCCCCCACCCTTACCCCAGGCATCTCCAAGCCCTGCTGACTCTGCCTCAGAAGCATCCCCAGAACCATTCCAAGTGTAGACATGGGTCCCGCTGCTCAGCAGGGGAGACCTGGACATGACTCCAACTTCACTAAGCCCAACATTCCTCATCAGAGTTGCCCAAACTGATCACCCCAGGTGGCTGGGAAGTTCCCATGAGGATCGGTACTGAAATGCCCAGCATAGGGCCTGGCACACGGGAAGTGCTCAGTGTCTACTAATCAATTAGTCGATTTCTCCTCTTCCCTTCATGCTGGCATCACAATGTCCCATCAGTTCCTCCAGCTGCCTCATAACAAAATCTGTCCTCTTGGTTCCAGCTCCAGATCGCAGCTGGGTGAGGCCACCAACATCTCCACTGACAGCTGAGACAGCCCATCGCCTGGTTCCCACCTCAGTCTCCCCTGCCAATCCATCCCTACTGACTGGTCACTCTAAATCCCACCATGGTCTCTGCCCCTTGTCCCAACTCAGCAACTTTCCTTTCCTTTCTTAAAAATTACATTTTTTTCTTTTAAAATTTTTTCCTTTTTAATTTTTTTCTATTTTTAATTTTTGTGGGCACACAGTAAATATATATATTTATGGGATACCTGAGATGTTTTGATTCAGGCATGCAATGCGTAATAATGGAGTATCCAACAGGGCACTTACATCTGTAATCCTAGCACTCTGGAAGGCAGAAGTGGGCAGATCGTTTGAACCCAGGAGTTCAAGACCAGCCTGGGCAACATGGCGAAACCCCATCTCTGTGAAAAATACAAAATAATTAGCTGGGTGTGGTGGCACATGCCTGTCATCTCAAATACTTGAGAGGCTGAGGCTGGAGGATCACTTGAGTCCTAGAGGTCAAGGCTGCAGTGAGTCATGGTTGCACTCCGGCCTGGGCAACAAAGTGACACTCTGTCTCAACAAAAAAAGGAAAGACAAAAAATGGTGTATCTGTCCCCTCAAGCACTACATCCTTTGTGTCACAAACAATCTGATTCTACTCTTTTAGTTATTTAAAAACGTACAAGAATCACATTTTAAACACCAAGGTTACTTTGGTTGTTTTCTGGTGTCTTTTTTATACTCCTTTGATCATTGTTTTTATATCTGCTTCTCAGGCCCAGTATCTGAACCTGAGGGTTCCAGAATCCACAGAATTATAAAAGAGGCCTCTTCCCAGTCAAACCTTCTTAGACGGAGATTTGGAGGAAAGTGTGAACATGGAGTAGAAAACAAAAGCAGTTGAACATTTCACATAAGCCTCGAGATTTTAAAACAAATGTTGTGGACCACTCGGGGTCAGCTGCCACAGCCTTTCTCCCTGTCCTCTGTGCTACTAAAGGAACTTTAGTAGAAAACTCTGTGAAGACCAAGCTACAGTGGTGCGATGATTAATAATGAGTGTCAACTTGATTGGATTGAGGGATACAGAGTATTAATCCTGGGTGTGCCTGTATGGGTGTTGCCAAAAGAGATTAACATTTGGGTCAGGGGGCTGGGGAAGGCAGATCCACCCTTAATCTGGTGGGCACAATCTAATCAGCTTCCACTAAATATAAAGCAGGCAGAAAAACATGAAAAGGAGAGATGGGCCAAGCCTCCCAGCCTACATCTTTCTCCCATGCTGGATGCTTCCTGCCCTCGAACATCCGACTCCAAGTTCTTCAGCTTCGGGACTCGGACTGCTTCTCCTTGCTCCTCAGCTTGCAGACAGCCTATTGTGGGACCTTGTGGTTATGTAAGTAAGTTAATACTTAATAAACTCCCCTTTATACATATATATAATACTTAATAAATTCCCCTTTATGTATATATATAAAATACTCAATAAACTCATATATATAGGATATATATATATCTCCCATATATATATATGGGAGATATATATATCTCCCATATATATATATATATCTCCTATATATATATATCTCCTATATATATATCTCCGATATATAGGATATATAGGAGATATATATATGATATATATAGGATATATATATAGGATATCCTATGGATATATATGATATATATAGGATATCCTATGGATATATATGATATATATAGGATATATAAGATATATAGGATATATATAGGATATATATGATATATATAAGATATATAGGATATATATATAGGATATCCTATGGAGATATATATATCTTATGGATATATATCCATAGGATATATATATATCCCATATATGTACACACGTATATACACATATATACACACATGTATATATATACACATATATATACACACACATATATACGTATATATATATACACATATATATACACATATACGTATATATATATACACATATATACACATATATACGTATATATATATACACACATATATACGTATATATATATATATACACACACATATATACGTATATATATATATATATATATACACACATATATATACACATATATATATCCTGTTAGTTCTGTCCCTCTAAGAGAACCCTGACTAGGCCAGGCGCGGTGGCTCACGCCTGTAATCCCAGTCCTTTGGGAGGCCGCGGCAGGTGGATCATGAGGTCAGGAGATCGAAACCATCCTGGCTAATATGGTGAAACCCTGTGTCTACTAAAAATAGAAAAAATTAGCCGGGCGTGGTGGCAGGCGCCTGTAGTCCCAGCTACTCGGGAGGCTAAGGCAGGAGAATGGCGTGAACCCGGGAGGCGGAGCTTGCAGTGAGCAGAGATCGCGCCACTGCACTCCAGCCTGGGTGACAGAGCGAGACTCCATCTCAAAAAAATAAAAACTAAAAAAGAGAACCCTGACTAATACAAGTGGCATTAGCCAGGTATTAAACATTAACTCTGCATAGCCAGCCCCTCCTCCCTAGAGACCAACAGCATCTAACCCACCTTGTCAGTTTCATATGGGTGAATTATGTCATCTCTGACAATGGCTCCAAAATTGATAGAGCCAGCTGGGAGCAGAGAGCCAATTAAATGTTTGACATCTGCCTTCATTTATTCAACTCAATTCACTTCCAAAATGGCACCTACTAGAACTTCCAGGAGCTTTATAAGCTATGATTATTTTCCTGCTTAACAAGGTGAATCAATAAAAGCTGTTGAATTTACTAATACACTGTATTGCTATAACACAGATGTTCAATTTGCTAATACAGTTTCAAACAAGAAATGTGTTATGATTCAGTGTTTATGTGGTACCTTGCAAGTTTCACAGTGCACTGCAGACCAGTAATTAGTCACACAAGTTGTCACAAATAAGACTGACCTGTTGTTGTTTTTTTTTCAAAACTCATCTTAAACTGCTAAGTATACATAACAATGAAACTGAAGTCCAATCACATGTAACAGTTAAAAACAAACTGCCTCAAAACCAACTCTTGAAAAATAGAATCAGCCTTCTGGAGAGCAGTAGCTTCTGATCAGTGAAGTCTAACACCTTGTCCAGAGAACACAGGAGGGAGACACAGCCCTTGGAGAGAGGCAGTCCCCAGCTCAGCAAGGACAAATGATGGCTCCTGGGGTGCTGACAGGTGCCACAGAGCCAGCCTCAGGGTATCACTGCTGAGACCCTGGAGCCAGCAACCTCCAAAGGTTAGAAAAAGGAAGTCACAACATCCTTGTTTTTAAAAAGGAAAAATATGGTCCTGATCAGTCATTTCCTCCACCTAAGGACTGAGAAGAGCCTGGACACCTGCGGAGAGAGATGCGCCGTGCTGAGAGCCATCGGGAGGGCATTGTGAAGAGCCAGCCTCACCACGCCAATTCAATTGCCCTGTCCCCGAGTGGCAGGTGACATGGACCACAAGGAAGATGTCAGTAATGGATTTTATTCTATGACACTCCAAGGTGTCCCAAAGAAGTAAAGACAGTGAGGTCCCGAAGGCTAATTCCTAGAGGCCTGGATTCACCCAAGGCTATGCATGATCTGCTGAATTCAACTCTCCATGGCTGAGTTCCCCACTGTGTGACTGGTGCTGTCCTGGGCCCCAGGAGCTGATGATTAAGCCTCCATCCTTGCCTCTTGGAGTTGGGAGCCCACTAAGAACAAGAGAGCTAAATAAGCTATTCCAGTACAGGGCAGGGAGTGATCAGTGCTGGAATCGAGTTTCACGAGGACCCAGAGGAGGAGGTCGACTCTGCCGAGGGGAACTGGGAAAGCATTCCCAGAAACTCCACCAGCTCCGCATCACTGGGTGAGGTTTCAACAGACAGAGACGGTGGGGAAGGCTGATGCAGGCAACCCGGGAGCAGAGGCACAGCACCCTGTAAGTCCCGGGCCATGTTCAGGGCATCCCAAGCGGCAGGGGTAGCTGGGCAAGGTCTAAATATGGAAGAGACTGGGCTGCAAACACCATCTCAGCAAAACATTGGCTTCATTCACTCGGAAGCCACTAGCCGACATCAGCGCCAATGGAGAGTAAGATGACTCAAGGCATTTTAGAAACGGCTCTACATACTGTCCATGGTATAGGAAAAGGAATTGGAACCTCAGAGCCAGACAGGGCCCAAATTCTGCCATCTCCAGTTACTAGTTGCATGACCTAAACCCATTCCCTCCCCAGCTTTGATTCACCCTCTTGTCAAATGGAGATCACATCCTCTTCTATTGTTATAAAGCAAAGTAGGTGAGAGAGTTCACCTCACCAAACCACTTCTCCTTAGGTGTTTGAAGCATTCCAGTAATTTCTAGAAAGTTCCTCCACCTGCTTCAAACATTGCTCTGGGATTACAATGAAGTATGAAAAGGCTGTGTAATATTTTCATTGTCAACAAGACAACGGAAAGTGTTCTGTAACTCTCCGTTTCTCCCTGGGAGATCCCCGTCCAAACCATCTTTCTGCTCCGGTTTGCACAGAAATGTCTGTCTTTCACATCTTGAGATCTGCCCATCCAGTGAGTATTTACATTTCACACCACATTTCCTCATGACCATCACCTTTTCTGTCAGGCAGTTAAGCTGACCACAGCTTTCCTCGCTTTGCCCTCCCAATGTAGTGGGCACGCATCAGTGCCGGATTCAGACACATAACAGGACCTCTGACAAGATTTTTTAAACTTCGTGTCTTGCCTAAGACTTCTTAAAGAAGCCGAACCTTTTTATCTGATTTTTTAAATCTATAAGTAAGCAAAACAATCCTTCGGACAACGTTAGCATGACTTTTTCACAGTACAGGTCAGAGAGACCTGGTTGTCACCTGTTACCTTGGATGGATGGGCTGTGGCAACTAAGAGTGAGTGGTGCCTTCAGAAGGATTTTGAGGCTGCAGCCAAATTCAGCAAGGAGGAGTCTACTTAAGGAATTAAACTATATCCTGGCTTAAGAAACTAACAATTTATTTATTTTTTTTTTTTTAATTTTTATTTTTTTTATTGATCATTCTTGGGTGTTTCTCGCAGAGGGGGATTTGGCAGGGTCATAGGACAATAGTGGAGGGAAGGTCAGCAGACAAACAAGTGAACAAAGGTCTCTGGTTTTCCTAGGCAGAGGGCCCTGCGGCCTTCCGCAGTGTTTGTGTCCCTGGGTACTTGAGATTAGGGAGTGGTGATGATTCTTAACGAGCATGCTGCCTTCAAGCATCTGTTTAACAAAGCACATCTTGCACCGCCCTTAATCCATTTAACCCTGAGTGGACACAGCACATGTTTCAGAGAGCACAGGGTTGGGGGTAAGGTCACCGATCAACAGGATCCCAAGGCAGAAGAATTTATCTTAGTACAGAACAAAATGAAAAGTCTCCCATGTCTACTTCTTTCTACACAGACACGGCAACCATCCGATTTCTCAATCTTTTCCCCACCTTTCCCCCCTTTCTATTCCACAAAACCGCCATTGTCATCCCGGCCCGTTCTCAATGAGCTGTTGGGCACACCTCCCAGACGAGGTGGTGGCTGGGCAGAGGGGCTCCTCACTTCCTAGTAGGGGTGGCCGGGCAGAGGCGCCCCTCACCTCCCGGACGGGGCGGCTGGCCGGGCGGGGGGCTGACCCCCCCACCTCCCTCCCAGACGGGGTGGCTGCCGGGCAGAGGGGCTCCTCACTTCTCAGACGGGGCGGATGCTGGGCGGAGGGTCTCCTCACTTCTCAGACAGGGCGGCCGGGCAGAGGCGCTCCTCACATCCCAGACGGGGCGGCGGGACAGAGGCGCTCCCCACATCTCAGACGATGGGCGGCCGGGCAGAGACGCTCCTCACTTCCCAGATGGGATGGCTGCCGGGAAGAGGCGCTCCTCACTTCCTAGATGGGATGGCGGCCGGGCAGAGACGCTCCTCACTTTCCAGACTGGGCAGCCAGGCAGAGGGGCTCCTCACATCCCAGACGATGGGCGGCCAGGCAGAGACGCTCCTCACTTCCCAGACGGGGTGGCGGCCGGGCAGAGGCTGCGATCTCGGCACTTTGGGAGGCCAAGGCAGGCGGCTGGGAGATGGAGGTTGTAGCGAGCTGAGATCACGCCACTGCACTCCAGCCTGGGCACCATTGAGCACTGAGTGAACCAGACTCCGTCTGCAATCCCGGCACCTCGGGAGGCCAAGGCTGGCGGATCACTCGCGGTTAGGAGCTGGAGACCAGCCCGGCCAACACAGCGAAACCCCGAGAAACTAACAATTTAAAGGAAGACACAGAATGGAGTTAAATCAGACCCAGGCTGTGTGGTGTGATGTAGTAACAACGTCCAGCAGGGATTGGTGGAGCGCAAAGTTGAGCTTGTGGTCCCTCTCCGCCTGCCTCAGCACAGAGATCAGCAGGAGGTACCAAAGCAGTGCACAGACCCTCCGGAGGTCACAAGTCTGTGGCACGTGTTGCTTATCCAACCCACACGTAGAGCAGCTATAATGTGCAAAAGACATATTACATCCAATCAAGGAATCAAACTAGACCCTGGCTTAAGAAACTTACAGTTTAGAGGAAGACACAGAATAAAGTCAAATCAGACCCAGGCTATGTGCTGTGGGAGGGCCAGAAGGGAGAAGAAGGTCATTTGGACCGAGGGATGAGGGAGTCTCCAATGGCAACTGACTTAACCAGGTGGGAAGAATGAGTCAGGCCAAAGTAAGGGGAGAAGGCCATGCCAGGTGAGGGAGGTGACAGAGATATAGAGATGTGACAGGCAAGAACAGGAACTGCAGCATGCCAGAGCCACCAGCGTTCAGAGTGGTGAGAAGGCAGGAGGAGGCCCATCAGGCCCATGAGGGCCAAACTGTGGACAGCTACTATGCTTCAGAAAAGGACAGGAACGTGATCCAGTCACTGCTTTAAAATAATAGCACTGACCACCACAGCACTCATCAAGCGCCTGGCGCAATGCCAAGGGCACATGCAGTATCTCTTTTTTTTTTTTTTGCCTGTATTATTTTTTTGACACATTATTTATAATTGCACATATTTATGGGGTACATGTGATATTTTGATACATGTACACAACATGTAATGATCAAATCAGGGTAATTAGCAATACTTATCACCTCAAACATTTATTCCTTCTTTTTGTTGGAGACATTCAAAATCCACTCTTCTAGCTATTTGAAAACATGGAATAAATTGTTGCTAACTGGAGTCACCCTGCAGTGGTATGGAACCCTAGAACGTATTTTTCCTACTGACCTGCACTTTGCATCCATTCACTAGGCCCTCCCTTTCATCCCCCAACAGCCTTCCCTGCATCTAGTAACCACTATTCTACTCTCTACTTGTATGAGCTCAACTACTTTAGCTTCTACATATGAGTGAGAACATGTGGTACTTATCTTTCTGTTTTGGCTTTTTTCATATTTCGACATAATGTCCTCCAAGCTCATCCATGTTGCTGCAAATTACAGAATTTTGTTCTTTTTTATGTCTAAATAGTATTCCATTGCATATACATTGTCTTTATCCATTCATCTGCTGATAGACACTTAAGTTGATTCCATATCTTGGCCATTGTGAATGCTACAGTAAATATGGGAGTGCAGATATTTCTTCAACATACTGATTTTATTTCCTTTGGATATATACTCAGAAGTGGGATTGCTGGACCATATAGTAGTTCTATTTTTAGATTTTTGAGGAGCCCCCATACTGTTCTCCATAATGGCTGTACTACTTTACATTCTCATCAACAGCATACAAACATTCCCCTTTCTCCACAACCTCATAGCATATGTTATTTTTTGTCTTTTTCATAATAGCTGTTCTAACTGGGGTGAGGTGATAGCTTACTGTGGCTTTGATTTGCATTTCACTGATGATTTGTCGTGTTGAGCATTTTTTCATATATCTATTGGCCATTTGTATGTCTTCTTTTAAGAGATTTGTATTCAGCTCATTTGCCCATTTTTTAATCGGATTATTTGTTTTTTTTTTTTTTTTTTTTTTTTTGCTGTTGAATTATTTGAGCCCCTTGTATATTCTGGATGCTAATCTCTTGTCGGATGAATAGTTTCCAAATATTTTATTTGATTCTGCAAGTTGTCTCTTCATTCTGTTGTTTATTTTTCTGTGCAGAAGATTTTTAGTTCAGTATAATCTCACTTGCCTTATTTTGATTTTGTTTCCTGTGCTTTTGAGATCTTCTCCATAAAATATCTGCTCAGAGCAATGTCCTGAAGCATTTCCTCTGTGCTGTCTTCTACTATTAATAGTTTCATAGTTCCAGGTCTTACATTTAAGTCTTTAATCTATTTTGAGTTGAATTTTGTATATGGTGACAAATAGGGGGACTAGTTTCATTCTTCTGCTTATAAATATCCAGTTGTCTGAGCACCATTTACTAAAGAGACTGTCCTTTCCCCCAATGAATGTTCTTGGTACATTTTTCAAAAATCAACTGTCTGTAAGTATATCGGTTTATTTCTGGGTTCTCTATTCTGTTGCATTGGTCTACATGTCTGCTTTTATGACAGTACCATGTTGTTTGGGTTACTACACCTTTGTAGAATATATTGAAGTCCAGTAGTTTGATGCCTCCAGCTTTGTTCTTTTTGCTCAGTATTGCTTTGGCTATTCGAAGTCATTAGTAGTTCCAAATCAATTTTAGAATTTTTTTCTATTTCTGTGAAGAATGCCATTGGTATTTTGATAAAGAGTACACTGAATCTATAGATTGCTTTTGGTAGTATGGTCATTTTCACAATATTAATTTATCCAACCCATGCACATGGAATGTCTATTTTTTGTGTATCCTCTTCAATTTTTTCATCAGTATTTTATGTTTTCCCTTGTGGAGCTCTTTGACCTCCTTGGTTAAATTTATTCCTAGTTTCTGTGTGTCTCTGTATGTGTGTGTGTGTCTACTGTAAATGGATTTCCTTTCTCGATTTCTTTTTCCACAAGTTTGTCATGGATGTATTGAAATACTACTGATTTTTATGTTGATTTTTGTATCCTGCAACTTCACTGAATTGGTTTATCAGTTCTAAAAGCTTTTTTGGTGAAGCTTTCATGGTTTTCTATATATAAGATCATGCCATCTGCAAACAGGGACAATTTG
This sequence comes from Homo sapiens, assembly GCF_000001405.40. NCBI lineage: Eukaryota > Metazoa > Chordata > Mammalia > Primates > Hominidae > Homo > Homo sapiens. Next base: position 98,496,510 of record NC_000015.10, read on the forward strand.
ACTTCCTCCTTTCCAACTTAGATGACCCTTCTTTCTCTCTTTTGAATAGTTGCTATAGCTAGGTCTTCTAGTACCATGTTAAATAAAAGTGTTAAAAGAAGGCATCTTTATCTTACTCCAGATCTTAGAGGTAAAGCTTTCAAATTTTCCACATTTGGTATGATGTTGGTTAGGGGTGTGTCATATATGGGCTTTATTGTGTTGAGGTAGGTTCCTATTATACCTAACTTGTGAGCTTTATCATGAGACAATGTTGAATTTTGTCCAATACTTTTTCTGTGTCTTTTGAGGTGCTAATATGGTTTTTATCCTTGATTCCACTGATGTATCACATTTATTGATTTGCATATGTTGAACCATCTTTGCATCCGGGAGATGAATCCTACTCGATCATGGTGAACAACAATTTAATGCATTGTTGAATTGGTTTGCTAGTATTTTGTTGAGAACATGTACAATTATGTTCATCAAGGATATTGGCCTATAGTTTCCCTTTTTTGTTGTTGTTGTTGTGTCTTTGACTAGTTATGATATCAGGGTAATTCTGATCTCATAGAATGAGTTTGGAAAAATTTCCTCCTCTTTAATTTTCTGAAAGAGTTTGAGAAGAATTTGTATTAGTTATTCCTGAAATGTTTGGTAGAATTCAACAGTGAAGCCATCAGATCCTGGGCTCTTCTTTGATGAGAGACTTTTTATTACTGATTCAATCTCATTACTCACCTATCAACAATAACCTTGATAGGTCTCTTTAAGTTTTCTCTTTCTTATTTGGTTCAATCTTGGTAGGTTCTATGTGTCCAGAAATATACATATATTGCTGCTAGCTTTTCAAATTTGTTGTAAAGTTGTTTGTAATATTCTCTAATGATCCCGTGTATTTCTGTGGTATCAGTTGTAATTGTCCCTTTTCATTTCTGATTTTATTTATTTGGATATTTTTTTCTTGGTTTTTTTTTTTTTTTTTTTTTTTTTTTTTTATGAGACGGAGTCTTGCTCTGTCGCCCAGGCTGGAGTGCAGTGGCGCGATCTCGGCTCACTGCAAGCTCCGCCTCCCGGGTTCACGCCATTCTCCTGCCTCAGGCTCCCGAGTAACTGGGACCACAGGCGCCCGCCACCGCGCCCGGCTAATTTTTTTGTATTTTTAGTAGAGATGGGGTTTCACCGTGTTATCCAGGATGGTCTCGATCTCCTAACCTCGTGATCCGCCCGTCTCGGCCTCCCAAAGTGCTGGGATTACAGGCGTGAGCCACCGCATCCGGCCTTTTTATCTTATCTGTTAAAAAAAAAACTAACTTTTATTTGTTGATCTTTTGTATTTTATTTAGTCTCAATTTATTTTATTTCTGCTCTACTCTTTATTATTTCTTTTCTCCTACTTATTTTGAGTTTGTTTTGTTCTTGCTTTTCTAGTTCCTTGAGATGCATTGTTGGGTTATTTGAAATATTTTTACTTTTTTGATGTAGGTGTTTATTGCTATAAACTTCCCTCTTGGAACTGCTTTTGCTATCTCCCAAAGGTTTTGGTATGTTGTGTTTCTATTTTCATTTGTTTCAATAAACTTTTAAATTTCCTTCATAGTTTCTTCATTGACTCCTTGGTCATTTAAGAGCATGATGCTTAATTTCCATGTATTTATACTATTTCTAATGTCCCTCTTGCTATTAATTTCCAGTTTTATTCCACTGTGGTCAGAAAAGATACTTGATATGATTTCAATTCTTTTAAATTTGTTTAGACTTTTTTTGTGGCCTAACATGTGGTCTATCCTGGAGAATGTTCCACGTGCTGATGAAAAGAATGTGTGTTCTGCAGCTGTTGGATGAAATATTCTATAAATGTCTGCTAAGTCTATTTGGTCTAAAGTGCAATTTAAATCTAATGTTTCTTTGTTGATTTTCTGTCTAAATGATCTGTCCAGTGCTGACAGTTTGGTGTTGAAGCACTCACCTATTATTGTATTATAGCATATATCTCCCTTTAGATCTAATAATATTTGCTTCATATATCTGGGTGTTCTGGTGTTGGATGAATATAGATTTATTATTGTTATATCCTATTGCTGAACTAACCTCTTTATCATTATATTATGACTTTCTTAATATCTTTTTACCATTTTTTAAAAGTCTATTTAATCTTCACATAGCTATTCCTGCTTGCTTTTTGTTTCTGTTTGCATGAAATATCTTTTTTCATCTCTTCAGTTTCAGTCTATATGTGTCTTTACAGGTAAAGTGAGTTTTTTGTGGGTACCATATAGTGGGGTCATGTTTTTTATCCATTAAGCCAGTCTATATCTTTTCCATGGAGAATTTAATCTGCTTACATTCAAGGTTATTATGGATAGGTGAGGACTTATTCCTGTCATTTTGTTAATTGTTTCCTGGTTGTTTTGTATGTAATTTGGTCCTTTCTTCCTCTCTTACTGTTTATAATTGTAGTTTGATGGCTTCCCATAGTGATAAGATTTTATTCTTTTGCCTTTCTCTTTTGTGAATCTGTTCTCCCAGTGAGTTTATTTTTGTGTGTTTTCATGATAGTGATTATCATATTTTTGCCTCCAGATATAGGACTCCTTGAGCCTGTTTTGTAACATCAATCTAGTGGTGACATTACAAAGTTTTTCTTGTCTGGGAAAGACTCACTTTTTGCTTGTCTGGAAAAGACTTTATTTCTCCCTTATTTCTGAAGTATTCTTGATGGCAATTTTTTTCTTTTGGCATTTTGAATACATTATTCCATTCTCTCCTGGCCTATAAGGTTTCTGTGGAGAAATCTGCTGTTAGCCTAATGAGAATTCCATCACATATGACTTGACGCTTTTCTCTTGCTGTTTTTGGAATTATCTCTTTGTCTTTGACTTTTGATAATCTGACTATAATATGCCTCAGGGAGGGACTTTTATGGCTGAATCTATTTGAGGATCTTTGTGCTTTCTAAATCTGGATGTCCATATCTCTCCTCAGACTTGGGAACTTTAGGTTTTCTATGCCTTTTCCCTTCTCTTTTCCCAGAATTCTCATAATACGAATATTTGCTTCCTTACTTATGTGTCATAAGTCTTGTAGGATTTCATCACTCTTTTTCCTTCTTATATCCTTTTTTTCCTCTGACTGAATAATTTCAAATGACTTATCTTCAAGTTCAGAGATTTCTTCTTCTGCTTGATCAAGGCTGCTGTTGAAGCTCTCTATCATATTTTTTATTTCATTCACTAAATTCTTCAGTGGTAATATTTATGTTTGGTCCTTTTTAATGATTCCTATCTCTGTTGAATTTCTCATTCATATTGTGAATTGTTTTCCTTATTTTGTTGAGTTATATTGTATTTTATTTTATCTTTTTTAGTTTCCTTAAGATCATTATTTTAAATTCCCTTTCTGGTAACTCATTACTTTCCGTTTCATTGGTGTCTGTTACTATAGAGTTATTGTGTTCCTTTGGTGATATCAAATTTCCTTGCTTTTTCACATGTCTTATGTTCCTATGTCAATGTCAGTATGCTTCTGATGGAAGAATCACCTCTTTCAAGCTTTCTAGAGTAGATTTTGTAGACAAAGACTTTCACTTGCAGTTGCATTTTAATGCACCAGTTGGGAAGGGTGTCGTGACTCTTTCCAGATAGGCACAATATTATAGCCTCCATGAAGGTTCTTTATTTGTGCACAACATCAGGAGTAACTGTGGGTGCCACAGTGGCCCAGGCTGTAGAAGTCTGTGGCGGCAGCAGCAGTGGAGTAGGTTGCTAATGTCCTCAGTGTCAAGGGATTTGGGGGTCCTCCTAGGCTCATCTTCCCTACAGTGTGGAGACTCAGCCAAGGGGATCCCTCCTGATGTCAGGTCTGACGTGACCTACAAGTAGCTTCAGTGGTGCTAGGTTCCAGATTCAGGTGCTTAAAGCAACTGTGGAGCCAACATCCTAGGCTCAGGGTCTCACGAACCTATTTTGGTACTCGGGTCTTGGGGTACAGGTTCACTTTCTGTGGCAGGGTTGGCTGAAGGTTGCCCACAAAGCCAGGATCTGTGAGTCTGAGGCATCTTCTAGCAGCTCTGGCCCACAAGGTTGCATTGTAGCTGTGATTCTACCCACAGGAGTTAGGGCACAGAACTGGCCCAACTCCAGGGAAGAAGAGGTGCTCTAAGGTTTGGGCCTGGGGAGCAAGGTACAGCTGCAATTTGGGAGCCTGAGCCAACCAACAGGGTTCAGTGGCAACTTGGGTCCCACAGGATAAGGCACCATGCAGTAGTGACTCTAGACACTGGGAGGGTGGGGCTCACCAGTATTCCAGACTTTATGAGACCAGGTGCGGGAGTAACAAGTACCCCAGAATGGTGGAACACAGCTGTCCTTTGGGCCCTGGGAGATTGGGGAGGCAAGGAGGCAGCAAAGCTGTAACTCCACTCCGCAAGGAGAAGGCTATCTCAGCAGCTCAGACTCTAGGAATCTAGTTCAGCTTCAGGAAAGCAGGATTCTGGAGTTATTTGGCCAGTAGAAAAGGGTGTCTGAGATCAGTCACTGCTCTGTTTCCCTGGGACATGGGATACTACATCAGCTCAGCCCTGGGATGTGGAGCTGCTCAGCTCAGCAAAAGCTCTAATTCTCCACAGGGCAATGTACCACTTCAGCTTAGGTCTGGGGGGTATGACTGTTCTGGGTGCCGAGGCACCGTTTCCCTGGGATGCAGGGCATCACCTCAGCTTAGGTATAGGATGTGTGACCACTCTGGATAACAAAGATATCATTTCCTGATGTAGGGTGCTGCTTCAAATTAGGCACTTGTAGGCATGGCTGCTCTGGGCAGCCAAGGTACTATTTTCCCAGGAAGCAGGGTACTGCTCAAGCTCCAGCCCAAGGAGGTAGAGCTGGTGGTAGGTGGAGCCACTTCACCTCTCCTTGGCCCCATGGGGATGGGTGTAACACCTGCTGGCAACTTCGCTTGGGGATATCAGGCCATCAGGCTGGGGTGGTTCTGTGGCAGCTTAACCTCAGAGATGAAGGGAAGCTGTGGCCACTCAACCCCAGAGCCAGACATACCCAAGCCATCTTTCCAATTCCAAAATAAGAGAATGCAGTAGCCATGCAAGGCATAGGGGCAGGGCACAATATTGGCTCCTACCCTGGCAGGAGCATAGCTGTGTAGACTCCAGGCAGACCCTTCAGTGGGGCTTAGTGCCTGTGAGGGCTGCAGGAGACCCCAGCAGTGATGTCTGTAGGTGTGATGCGGTGAGGTCCAAGGTGGTAATGGGGTTTTCTGGGATCCCCTTGCTTACTTCCCCACCATAGGAAAAAGCTCCTCCTGGTTCCCAGATTATCCCAGTTGGGAGATGAAGTGGCGGAGGCCCATTGTTCCATTCTCTATGTGGCCATCCCGAGTTTCTGTGCTCACCAGGGTTTCTCTTAAACCTCTGATACACTTTGGCACTCTCTCTCTCAGTTATTTTCATTAACAGGTGGTTGTTTGTTGTTCTGGCTGTCTTTGTAGGGGGTCAAGCACTAGGGGCTTTTAGTCAGCTATCTTGCTGACATCACACCAAGTTCTCCAGTATCTCATTGACTGGTTACTATAGCTAATTCCATTTTCCAGGTGAGGCTCAGAAGGTTAAGAAACCTGCTCAAGGGCTGGGCATGGTGGCTCACGCCTGTAATCCCAGCACTCTGGGAGGCCGAGGCAGGCGGATCACTTGAGGTCAGGAGTTTGAAACCAGCCTGACCAACATGGTGAAACCCCATCTCTACTAACAATACAAAAATTAGCCAGGCATGGTGGCGAGCGCCTGTAATTCCAGCTACTCGGGTGGCTGAGGCATGAGAATCACTTGAACCTGGGAGGCGGAGGTTACAGTGAGCCGAGACTGTGCCACTGCACTCCAGCCTGGGCAACAGAGCAAGACTCCACCTCAAAAAAAAAAAAAAAGAAAAGAAAAGAAAAAGAAACCTGTCCAAGGTTGTGTACCTAGAAATAGCAGCACTGGAATTGGATGTGAACCCGGGTGGGTCTCACTGACTCCAAAGCCCCTGTTCTAAGCAGTATGCCCCAAATGAAGAATGGACAAAAGACAAGAGGGCAGAGCTGGGCCAGACCCAGGCAGAGGCCAGCAGAAAGAGAAAGGAAAGGGCTAGATGAGGAGAGGACAAACCAAGGCACTGTGCTGAGAAAGGAGAGGCCAGCCAGGGAAGACCTTAACAGGGTGAATGCCTCATGCCTGTGTAATACTATAATGGTGGATACATGTCATTATTCATTTGCCCAAACCTGTAGAACATACAATACCAAGAGTGAACCCTAATGTAAACGATGAGCTCTGGGTGATAATGATGTGGCAATGTAGGTTCATCAATTGCAACAAATGTCCCAGTCTGATGGGAGATGCTGACCACAGGGGAGGCTCTGCACGTGTCGGGGAAGGGGGCATATAGGAAATCTCTGTACCTTCTTGAGCCTGAAACTGTGAAACCTAAAGCTGTGACCCTGAAACGGGTCTAAAAAGATAAAGTCTTAAAAGGGAAAAAAGAAAAAAAAGGTTCACACTGACTGAGGGTGGAGACTGGATTAGGATGGGGGTGAGGATGGAGGGAGAGAAAACAATGGGAAGCCGTGGGGATGCAGCCAGGAGAGGAGAGACGGGCTGCAGCAATCATGCTGACTGGGACGGAGGTACTGGGGAAGAGATACAGGCTGGGAGTAGACTCGTCTGCAGCAGAAAGAAGGCGGTAGCAGCCAGGCACGGTGGCTCACGCCTGTAATGCCAGCACTTTGGGAGGCAGGGGCGGGTGGATCACCTGAGGTCAGGAGTTCAAGACCAGCCTGGCCAACATGGAGAAACCCCATCTCTACTAAAAATACAAAATTAGCCAGGCGTGGTGGCGCATGCCTGTAATCCCAGCTACTTGGGAAGGCTGAGACAGGAGAATCGCTTGAACCCAGGAGGCAGAGGTTGTGGTGAGCCGAGATCGCACCACTGCACTCCAGCCTGGGCAACAAGAGCAAAACTCCATCTCAAAAAAAAAAAAAAAGAAGAAGGTAGCAGTGAGGGCAGCCAGCCCTCAAGCTTCAGCAGAAGGTTGCAGGTGCCTTAACTAGGAGGAAGCAAAGAGGAGGAAGAGGAGGAAAGTGCGGGCTGCAGTTTCCAAATGCCTGATAGAGATGGCAAAGTGAGCCTGGCCAGCAGGCAGCTGGATACATAGCCGGGAGCTGAGAAGAGAGAGAGAAGAAGGATCCATGTCCCATGCCATCACAGACACCAAGGAGGGACCCATTCCACTCGCACACATATTATCTCCTCAAACTACCTGCAAATTGGTCATGTCTGACCCCTGGTCTGGAAGGGGCTTCAAGTGCCCCTTCCTGCCCCTTTTTGCTCCCCCATCCATTACTCTCCTGGAGTCTAAGTCGCCACTGCCCCGTTACAAATCCAAGAAATATGTAGTTCCATAAAAAAAGAACACAGTTAAACCAAAGTGACAGGCCATCTTCTCAAAAGCAAAACACACGTAGGAAAAAAAAATGCTGAAAAGTTCTGGCAGAGGACAGCACATAAACACATTCCAAGGCATTGCACGACTTTTGTGCAACATTGAACTGGCCAATAATATAAGGGGAGGGGAAAATACGCGAGTCGACACAGCAACTGTCACATCGCATTACTCAGGCTACCACTTCCATACAGATGTCTTCCTTAAAGACAAACACTTCCCCAGATGCCCCATGAACTTCAGCGCCTCTTTGCCACAGAGAAGGAAACATCTGGTTTGCAGTAGATTTGCATCAGCCTCCCTCTGTTTCTCAGGCCTTTCTTGCCTTAAGCAATTTTGTTTTCATGAGTCTAGATTTTAACCAGAGGAAGATGGAGCGAGGTGGGGTGCCTGGATCCAGAGGTACAGCTGAACTGCAAGGTTTTGGGGACAAAAAGAAACCCACGCTAAAGCTGTACATCTAGGAAAGGAGTCTTAAAATCACCAGCCGGACCAAGGCAGGCTTGGCACGTTTCTCGGGTTTGGGGGAAGCAAAAAGAGATGCAGACAGCTCCCCAAATGCGGTGGTAAAACCTTCAAGGTGCCTCCCAGAAGCAACCCACCCCCACCACACCAAGCCCAAGGCTCCGTCCTTGACACTCGAAATATTTTCCATGGAGCGTCCCTGTCTTCCAAATACCATTAGTCCCTTGGTAAGAAAGTGGGATGCTGTTTTCCCCTATATTTAAATCCAGCTCACAGTAAGTGCCATAAAGAGGGAAATCCCAAACTCTAGCCAACATGCACTTCCAAAACATTTCGCTGTCCTTGTGAGTAGCCAGCCCTTCAACTGGCACCTTTTAGGGCCCAACGAAAACAAATCTCTCTGTTCCTAGCACGGGGCTCCTTTAGGTTGTATGAGAAGTGGCTTGGGTCACTACTCAACCTGGGGGCCACCTAACACTGGCCAAACATCCGTGGCCACATGGGCACCTCAGCTGCCCAGAGACGCAGGTATTTAAATAAAGCCTGAGTTTCTGGCCAGAGCTCTTTTCCCTCAAACTGTCAAACCTACTTCAGCAGGGTTCTGCCAATGTGGAGGGTGGGATTTGACCTGCCTCGGACTGACGTTTCCCTTTGCATGATCCAGAAAGAAAGCACAGACTAAAATATAAAGACGCTATGTCCACATGCTCATGGCAGGCATATTTACAGGGTGCCTCCTAACCAGGTGGTCCCTGAAGCAGGCTCCGGGAAATCTCCACTCTGCATCCTTCGTGTTCATGAGTCTGCGGGGCCATCACACTTCAAAGCCAGAAAAATTGCAATCACCGCTCCACACGCCAAAACCCAGACTTCACTAGGTCAGCGAGCCTCTCCCCATCTCCCACCACCCCAGTTGTTTTTCATTCTTTTCACTAGATATACACAAACTGCCCTCATCCTGCTAGTCAGCACTGCACTGCACCCATCCATCCCACCAGAGGGCCCAGCCCCTCCCTTCAAGGCCCACCAGCAGAGACCAGGAGCTGCTCTAGCTGGGCCCCCTTCTAGGAGTCCCAAATTCACAATCCCCACCCGCTTCCAGCCCTCCATCCCTGACCCATCCCCAAAATCTGGGCAGCCTGCACAGCAGAGAGGAGCAGCTCAGACAGGACCTCCTGGCCCCAAAGAAGTTCCCTGAGGTTCCCTCCCAACCACCACCTGCCCCCGGCACAGCCCAGAGAGGGTCTGGCCACAGCCCCACCATGTCGCAATCTCCCGGCCCAGGACAGCCATGCGGAAGGCAGGCTACACCAAGGCTCTGGTTTCAGCTGAATGTTTGCCTTGGCCCCTGCTGTCCCTGTAGGCTATAACGGGCATGCTTTTCCAGGAAAAAATCATCATTTTTTGATTCTCTGCTTGTTTTTCTCCGGGTGCACATGCTGTGCAATCACCAAAAACTGTAAATCAATTAGCAGCCATTTGAAGGGTTAGTGCTATGCTTGGTCACAAAACGTCCTGGGAGTTGGCTGGAGGGATAGATGTTCTAATCAGGGAAGGCAACAACTGCAAACACTATTGCTTCAGCCTTCCTTCTCCCTCAGTGTCTTGATTTCTGTTTCTTAGCCCAGCTGCCTCCCCATCCCACATCTCCCCCATGGAGAGACCTAACTAATATTTACAAACACCCTCTGGGGATGCTGGCAACCCAACAGAGCCCAGAAGATCTAAGTGGCAGGACCCCTCCCTTCAGAGAGGTTATAATCTACCAAAGAAGGTCAACCACAGGCAATGACCAGGGCTAGGAATAGCAACAGGTGATAACTGCAAGGTGCTATGCCCCACAACGCAGACACGCCTACGGCACAGGTTCCCACCCAGGTGGAGGATCCAGGCCCAGACTCCTCCTCCCGCTGCCGAATCTTACTTCCCCCTGCTTTTGCTATTCCCCAGACCCTTCAGATGGGAGCTCAGGTTGACCTTGCCCTGTGCTTTTTCTCCTAGATAACCGAGCATGGCTGGTACCACCACCTAGCCACGCTGAAACCTTCCTCACCATTGCTTTCAATCCACTCCATGTGTCTCCAACCTGTGCCCCCTGCCAGGCAAGCCCCCAGCATCTCTGCCGAGGTTGCCAGCAGCCTCCCCAAGATTCACTGGCATGTCCTTCCTTCCAATCATGGGCAGGGCATTTTGCCAAGGACTGAAGATACAGAGCCAGGATCCCTGTCCCCACCCCATCCTCCATAACATCACCAGGCTTCTTTGGAAATCTCCGCTTCCTTTCAGCACTCCTTCTGCATGCCCCCCAGGCAGCCAAGGGCTGAGAGCAAGCAGGGAGGGCCTGTTGCTGCAGGTCCACAGCCCCTAGTGCTGGGGACAGAGCCAGCCTCTGTGAGAGCCAAGCGCGGGCACCACCACTGAGTCTGGACGCCAGGAGGCAGAGCCAGAGGTCCTGAGGAAATGGGCAGTGGGCGGTGGATAACTTATCTGGTTTCACACCCCCGTACCGGCTAGACTGCCACTTCCCTGCCAAGAACCAGGGAGGGCTCCCAACTGCTTCCAGCAATACCCAAGAGCCTCCTTACTCCAAAACCTTCTGCAGCACTGTGGCATCATATCTTTGTCATTTTACTCAATTATAATTTTTTTTTCCTTTTTCTAAAACATTTGATGACAAAAGTTTTCAAACATTTGTTACAGTGGACACCCACACACTCACCACCTAAATCTACCATGAATATTTTATCATCCTTACCTGTCTGCCTATCTATCTATACCTCTCCTATCATAGGTTTAATTTTAATTTTCGGGTCTTTACTCTTTAGTCTGTACATGCTGAAGCTAATCAGTTGTGAATTCCTGTTGCCACAGAGGTTTCCAGAAACTTAAATCATGAGTAGAAAGAAATTTTGTATTCATTTTTATATTATGGGTGTGGATTTTAATTTTATCTCATTTGGTTTTTTTACATGTAATTCCTCAATCCGTTTGGAGTTTATTTGGGTTGTTGTATAAGGCAAGGGTCTTGCCTTTGTTTATTTCCCAAACAGCTGCATTTGACTGCATATCAATTACAGTTTGCCATTTTTAATCAGCCTCTGGAACATTCTTTGCCTTGCCCTCTGATCATCTGACTCCTGGGCTTCATATGAAAAAATAAAATAAAATAAAAGTTGTCAGAAAGAGAGCTGATAAGAGGAAATCTTACAAGACAAATCAGCAAGTTTCCTGACAAGTACAACAGGAAGACTCCATCTGGAACTAAAGGTGTGGCCCAGGAGCTTGCAGAAAAGAGGCCCATTCAGAAAGGGTCAGATGTTACGAAGGTGTTACAGTGGGGGATGGACAAAGGTGCCTGTAACTGAGTGCAGAGCCCCAGGCCTGGCACAATCCTTAAAGAATAAGGTGGGGAAGACCAGAGCACTGAGTAAGCTCAGGCAGGCTGGGAAACTGCTCGTGAAAACAGGGTGAGGGGCCCGGGTAGGCTGGCTGGACTTGGAGAGAACCTTGAGGAAGAACACGCATTGGCCAGATGCTCTAATGGTCACAGAGGACCATATTCACTGGAAAGCCAACTGGTCCCCAAATTAGGAATGGCTTGGAAACTGGAAATAGTGGATTAGAGTATAAGGCAAGGGTCTTGCCTTTGTTTTTCTGTTGTTGTTGTTTGGTTGGTTTTTTGTTTATTTTTTTATTATTATTATACTTTAAGTTCTAGGGTACATGTGCACAACGTGCAGGTTTGTTACATATGTATACATGTGCCATGTTGGTGTGCTGCACCCGTTAACTCGTCATTTACATTAGGTATATCTCCTAGTGCTATCCCTCCCCGCTCCCTCCACCCCACAACAGGCCCCAGTGTGTGATGTTCCCCTTCCTGTGTCCAAGTGTTCTCATTGTTCAATTCCCACCTGTGAGTGAGAACGTGCGGTATTTGGTTTTCTATCTTTGCGATAGTTTGCTCAGAATGATGGTTTCCAGCTTCATCCATATCCCTACAAAGGACATGAACTCATCCTTTTTTATGTCTTATCTTTGTTTATTTCCCAAACAGCTGCATTTGACTTCATATCAATTACAACTTGCCATTTTTAATCTGCCTCTGGGACATTCTTTTAGAGATTTGCTCCTTTTAGAGATGCTCAAGTCTCTAGACCCAGTGAATTCACATCCCAAGGAGCAGAACCTGTGAATGTGATGCTGAAGTTGAAATCCACTCTCTGTAATTATACAGTGACAGGAATGGCCAAAAAGACCAAACATGAACCAATGCTGCCCCAGTGCATAGGGGGATAACATCAGCCTTAGTATTAATGCCTGGTTCTCCTAGCATCCCCTCCTGACAAAGGTCCAGAGTGAATTGTGAAAGATGGTCTATAAGGACCAAGAAAAGAAAGACTGGACTTAAAATCAGTATGAATTCCCCAAAACCAGATGATACAAAACTGACCTCACCTCCTTTTCTCAGAGTGTTCCCAGACTAGTGTTAGGAGAACAATTAAACATAAGTCATCTTGGTTTCAGCAGCCAGGTTTCCCTCCACTCTAAATTTCAAGCATTCATTTCATAAAGTCTCTTGAAATCTTTTTGTGGATGAGCCAGCAATGTGTGCTAAATAATGGGTTGAGTGTGTTTTTAAAGGTATAATAATTGCATGAATAATGATCAGCATTTTTTTAGGTACTTGGATTACAAATAAAGAAAGCACACCATCAGGGCTGGGCATGGTGGTTCATGCCTATAGTTCTGGCACTTTGAGAGGCCAAAGTGGGAAGATCGTTTGAGGCCAGGAGTTCAAGATCAACCTGGGCGATATAGGGAGACCTTGTCTCTACAAAAAAAAAAAAATTAATTAGCCAGGTGTGATAGTGTACACATGTATAGTCCCAGTTACTCAAAAGGCTAAAGCTAGAGGATTGCTTGAGCCTAGGAGCTCAAGATTACAGTAAGCTATAAGCTCCATAGCCTGGAAAAGAGAGTGAGATCCTATCTTAAAAAAAAAAAAAATGAATGCATGCCTTCAAAGGACACAAGCTATACAGTCAGAAGAAAGAGCTAATATAGCTGGATGGAAGGACCCACTCTTTAAACACAATGAAATAATAGACCCAAGAAAAACATAATCAGAAAACACAGGCATAAATCTTCATGACCTTGGATTAAGTAATGGTTTCTTAGATGTGACATCAAAAGCAAACACAACAACAAAAAAATAGATAAAGTGGACATCATAAAAATTAAAAACATTTATGTGGCACATATACACCAGGGAATACTATGCAGCCATAAAAAGGGATGAGTTCATGTCCCTTGTAGGGACATGGATGAAGCTGGAAACCATCATTCTGAGCAAACTATCACAAGGACAGAAAACCAAACTCCACATGCTCCCCCTCATAGGTGGGAATTGGACAATGAGAACACTTGGACACAGGGTGGGGAACACCACACACCGGGGTCTGGGGTGGGGGGAGGGGGGAGGGATAGCACTAGGAGATATACCTAATGCAAATGACGAGTTAACAGGTGCAGCACACCAACATGGCACATGTATACATATGTAACAAACCTGCATGTTGTGCACATGTACCCTAGAACTTAAAGTATAATTTAAAAAATTAAAAACATTTGTGCTTCAAATGATACCACCAACAAAGTGAAAAGACAACCCACAGAATGGGAGAAAAATTTTGCAAATCATATAGCTGATAAAGAATTTGTATCCAGAATATATAAAGACTAGATTTTAAATCTCACAACTCAATACTAAAAAGACAAATAACCTGATTTTAAAATAGCAAAAAATAAGAATAGACAGTTCTTTAAAGAAGATATACAAATGGCCAATAAACACATGAAAAGATACTCATATCATTAGTCATCGGGGAAATGCAAATCAAACCCACACCCAGGGACACCACTTCACACCCACTAGAATGGTTATTGATTTATTGCCAATAATAAGTGTTGACAAGGATGTAGAAAAATCGGAATCCTCAAACATTGTTGAAGGAAACACAAAATGTTGCAGTGGCTTTGGAAAACAGTACAGATCCTCAAAAGGTTAAACATAATTACCGTATGATTCAGCAATTCATCCCACTCCTGGGCTCCCAAGAGAAATGAGAACACATCCCCAATGCAAAAACTTGTACACAAATTTTCACAGTGGCATTATTCATAGTCCAAAAGTGGAAATAATCGAAGTGTCCATCAACTGATGAATGGATAAACAAATGTGATGTATCTGCATAGTGGAATATTATTCAGCCCTAAAAATGAAGGAAGTACTGAAACATGCTCTAACATGGATGATCCTTGAACACATTATGCTATGTGAAAGAAGTCAGGCACAAAAGGGCATATATTGTATGATTCCATTCATAAGAAATGTCCAGAATAGGCAAATCCATAGAGAAAGTAGATTAGTGGCTGCCTGGGGCTGGGGAGGGTAGAAGGATCGTGATAGATGAAGGGAGTGGGGTTTGTTTTAGGGGTAATGAAAATGTTCTGAAACTGATTGTATGATGGATGCACAACTCTGTGTATGCTAAAAAACATGAACTGTAAACCTTAAATAGAGGAATTATATGGTATATGAATTATATCTCAATAAAGCTGTTATTTATATATAGTGGAATAAAGATAAGTTCCTATCTTTAGGTTTGAAACATCAACTACACAAACTTTGAAAGAGAGTGATGTCTTAATAACAAGTTCATGTGGAAAGCCCAGGGCCGGGCACGCAGGTGGTGAGTGAAGTGTCAGGTGAGTCAAACTTGGGCAGGAAATGCCCAGTTAAACTGAGGCTAGCTTTGTGGAAGCAAAATGTCCAGTCCAAGAAGAGTGAACACTTACCCAACCACCACTCTAATCTCACGGTTCTCTAGACAAGCATTTCGTAGCCTGCAGTGTGCCTGCAAATCGCCTGGGGATCTTGTTAAAGCCCAAGTTCTGACTCTAGGTCTGGGGTGGGGCTTGAGACCCTGTATTTCTTTCTTTCTTCCCTCCCCTCCCCTCCCCTCCCCTTCCCTCCCCTCCCTTTCCCTTTCCCTTTCCTTTCTTTTTTGAGACAGAGTCTCTCTCTTGTCGCCCAGGCTAGAGTGCAGTGGCATGATCTTGGCTCACTGCAACCTCTGCCTCCTGGGTTCAAGCGATTCTCCTGCCTCAGCCTCCTGAGTAGCTGGGATTACAGGCGCCCGCCACCATGCCTGACTAATTTTTGTATTTTTTTAGTAGAGTCGGGGTTTCACCATGTTGGTCAGGCTGGTCTTGAACTCCTGACCTCAGGTGATCCACCCACCTCGGCCTCCCAAAGTGCTGGGATTACAGGCGTCAGCCTCGGCACCCGGCTGAGATCCTGTATTTCTAACCAGCTCCTTGGTGATGCCTTGCTGCCGGGCACAGGCCACGCTACCGAGTCGCAAGGCAGGAAAATAAGGCTCAGAGACACTCAGGAACTTCACCAGGGCCACCCGCTCCTAAGGGTCAGAGCCAGGATCTGAACCCAGGACTAACTTACTACAAAACCCAGGTGCTTCCACAATGGCACCCATGACACAAGTTCTGACGTCGTGCTAAAAGAAGCCTAGACCTGAAAGAGGGACCCAGGGTGCGACAAGCTCTGCAGCCTGTATCCCAGGAGAAGCAATTGGAGACTGAGAGATGTGTGATCTGGTGGAGGGGAGGACTTTGAAAATGCAGCACACCTGAGTGGAGAAGCCATGCCCACCTACCTGGATGACCCCACGCGAGGCACAAGGCCAATGGAGAGGCATATGGCCCTATCAGTTTGGGCTCCTCATGAAGAATGTTCTAACAATCAGAGCTATCCCAGAATAGAACAGGCTCCTGGGGGTGCAGAGGCCCAGACCATAGGCCAGTGCCTCCCAGAAAACACTTGTGTGATTTTGACACATCTGAACACCACCTGTCCTCTTATTAGCCCTGCCATAAATGAGGCATCATTTGCTATAATTATAAAAATACCTTACAAAGACAAAACATAGCATTCTAGCTAAGGGTACTCAGCTGGGAGGCCTACTCTCTTTTTTCAAAAATAAAAAAGGTGATTAAAAAGTGTTAGTCAAGCACTAAAGGCATATTGGCAGGAAGCAAAAACGTTTTCCTCAAAATATTGAAAATTAAAACCCAAAAGATTATCCTTTTCCTCCGTCTGAAATTCAGCCGCACCTCCTTAAAATCATCTTGGAAAACACTGGACCTAATGACCTCAACACCCTTTCAAACCATGAGTTTCTAGACCCCTGCATTCCTTCTCTAAAGTGAAATAGCCCTAGTTTCTTCAAGCGTTGCTCAAAAGGTTCCAAGTCCTCTCATCCATCATCCCCATTACTCTCCATGGATAAGTGCTGTTTGCTTCCGTCACAGCCTGAGCAGCACCAAAGAAAACTGAGCTATAACTGAGCTGGACCTATCCTTCCATTAGTGCCACATCGCGCCTGCCTTAAGGCTCACCTGATGAGAGCCACAGCCTCTTGACCCAAGGGGCATCGAGACACATCCGCTCCAGCCCATCCCTGATCAGTCGGGGCTTTTGGATGGACTGCATGACATTTATACAAGGAGGCAGTTTGGATCAGTATAAGGAACAACTTTCTGACAATTAATAAGAATCCAAGAAGAGGCCGGGCGCAGTGGCTCAGGCCTGTAATCCCAGTACTTTGGGAGGCTGAGGCGAGTGGATCACTTGAGGTCAGAAGTTCGAGACCAGCCTGGCCAACACGGTGAAACCCCATCTCTACTAAAAATTAGCTGGGTGTGGTGGCACACGCCTGTAATCCCAGGTACTTGGGAGGCTGGGGCAGGAGAATCGCTTGAACCCAGTAGGCGGAGGTTGCAGTGAGCCGAGATCGTGCCACTGCACTCCAGCCTGTGTAACAGAGCAAGACTCCATCTCAAAAAAAAAAAAAAAAAAATCCAAGAACAGTAGCTCAAAAACAGACTCAGATTGTCCCTGGGGAAGTCCCCAAGCAGAATCTGCCAGGGTGGTGATTCCAACTGCCAAACTTTCACCAGAAGCTACAGAACAGGCCCCCCACTCTGAAATCCATACTTTTCTAGCACAACACGCAAAGACAGAGGAGGAACAAGCCAGGGTGCACTTCCTGGAGGAGCCCGGGAGTCCTGCAGATTTCATGCCTAGGCTCTGCCCTGGGATGGTCCAATGCATCAGATTTCCTGCCATAAATAATTTCATTCTCACGACTGTCTTGTGAAGTAGGTAAGCTGTTTCCATTTTGCAAATGATGAAACCGACTCTCAAAGAGGTTAAATAACTTACCCCCTCTGCCAGTCAGCTGGCAGAGCCAGGATTCCAAGTCAGCTCCATCTGACGTCAAAGTCCATATTCATCCTATTATGCTGCACAGGACACAGGAAGAAATGAGAAAAGCTGAACGTCATCATCTGATGTCAATCTTGAAGGCTAGGATGAGTGGTTTTGATTTTACACGGAAGATCAGAAAAAGGCCCCAACTTTTTTGATGAGAGAAGTTTTTTTAATATGTATAAACATTTGAGATCCATTAATAATTAACAAATGAGAATAACAAAAGGAAATAAATGAAGTAACAAATAAGGAGACATAAGTGGAAGCTGAAGTCCTTGCAAAGGCACGGGAGCAACCTAGGAAAGGGGGTTCCTGGCAGCCTTCAGCCATGTCCCCTCAAAGAATATAAACCAGCCTCTGTCCAGAGAAGCATCCAGAAAGAGCCCGCCAGGAGCCACGGGGACAAGGGCACCTGCTCTCACCCCTGCTCCATGGAAAGTGCAGTCACAGTTTCTTAAAGGGGAAAGGTGGAAAGCTTCATTACTTACCTCGTAACAGCAGACTGCCACCACGAACGATAACCACTTGCCACAGGGGAATTCACAATTCCAGGATGTTTTTCATTTGCTTGCGGAGTTATCGGAAGTGACTGTGATGGGTTCAACCACCTTATCAATAATTAACTCATACCCAGGGCTTATCAAACAGCTTCTGACTCCTTTAGCTTCCATTTAAACACACAAACACACAAACACGCACGGCCTTCACAAATAGAACTTCTCCAAGAAAGTGGCAAAGGAACTAGTGATAGCATTCTCCACGGTCACAGCTAAGCATAGAGGGGAGGTGACACATTTGTCAAAGCTGTGAAGAGGGTCCCTGATAGCATCGGCTGCTGCACAGTCCACATGCTTCAAGCCACAAGACATGCTCTGGAAATGTGCGATGTGTTTGGGAAAGAACTCGTGTCTGCTTCCAAATACCGGATTAAAGAGCGAGAGCGTGGGGCTCCAGGAACACCTGAGTGCTTTTTTTGAAACCATGCAAAATCACAGCCAACACAATTGAGCCCACAGCAGTAGGAAAACATTTTGAAACGTTATTTAAAGTGCTATTATATATAACGAATGGTCCATAGTGAGATGTCTTGGAGCTTATGAATATTTATTATAGTACATTCTTGAAAACAACAAAAAAAATTAAGTCCAATACAAATGAGAAACAGATTTATAAGAGTCAGTCATATGTTTACATTATGCAAATTGTAGTTAAAGACCTATAACCAGAATATTGTTAAATGCCTAAAAGGGGGTGGTGGGGCAGCTGATATGTGAGCATTTTCTTAAAATGGGCAAACAATATTCTTAGAGTTTTTGACAATCTGTGCACTGAAGGGTTCATGTGGGTACATCTTGGTACTTTCAGCGACTTGGTGGTGGAGTCACAAATCCAAGGCAATATCAAAGGCCTGAGGTTCTCATAGGTCCCCTGTTCACAACAGCCAAAGCTCCACCGGACAGAGGTAGGAAGCACCCTGAACCTCGACAGAAAGCTCTCACACACATCTCAGCCACCTCCAGCCCTGAAGCAATGAGGAGGCTTTGCCTGCATGCTGAAAACTCCCACACAGCTGGCTAAGCACACTTGAGTTTCACGTTTAGCAAACACAGAGGCCTTGAGGACGTGCAGAATAGCTTGCCCCAAAGATGTCACCTTGGGCTTTGTGACACGCACTATGCGGGGCATCCTCTGAGTACAGGTCCCAGACAGACATGCAGGTGACAGGCAAAGGTCTATGTCTAAGGAAGCTGGAAGCTGAAGGAGGCCCCCATTTGCAGATATAGTAAAAGATCCATAACCCCAAACTTTCACCAGATACCACATCATCGAAGGAGGGCGGACCAATAGCATTAGTCCGTTTTCATGCTGCTGATAAAGACATACCCAAGACTGACTAATTTATAAAGAAAAAGAGGTTTAATGGACTCACAGTTCCACATGGCTTGGGAGGCCTCACAATCATGGTAAAAGGCAAAAGGCCTGTCTTATATGGCAGCAGGCAAGAGAGAATGAGAGCCAACCAAAAGCGGAAACCCCTTACAAAACCATCAGATCAGCCAGGCAGAGTGGCTCACGCCTGTAATCCCAGCACTTTGGGAGGCCAAGGCAGTCAGGATCATTTGAGATCAGGAGTTCAAGACCAGCCTGACCAACATGGTGAAACCCCATCTCTACTAAAAATACAAAAAAAATTAGCCAGGCGTAGTGGCACACCCATAGTCCCAGCTACTCGGGAGGCTGAGGCAGGAGAGTCGCTTGGGCCTGGGAGGCAGAGGTTGCAGTGAGCTGAGATCACACCATTGCACTCCAGCCTGGGTGACAGAGCAAGACTATGTCAAAAAAAAAAAAAAAAAAAAAAAAAGGCTGGGCGCGCGGTGGCTCACGCCTGTAATCCCAGGACTTCAGGAGTCAAGGCAGTTGGATCATTTGAGGTCAGGAGTTCAAGACCAGGTTGGTCAACATAGTGAAACCCCATCTCTACTACAAACACAAAAATTAGCCAGGCGGTTGTGCCACATGCCTGTAATCCCAGCTACTTGGGAGGCTAAGGCAGGAGAATCGCTTGAGACCAGAAGGTGGAGGTTACGGTGAGCCAAGATCGTGATGCTGCACCTCAAGTCTGGGCAACAGGGTGAGACTCTGTCTCAAAAAAAAAAAAAAGAAAGAAAGAAAAAGAAATGCACACGTTCTCTGGGCCCTACAGGCCCAGTCTAGGCTCCCTGTCAGCCCTGGGACAGAGAAGCTCAACTCTGAGCACTTGTTTGTTATATGAGACAGAAACCAGTGTCTCTAATACTGAGATTGTCCCAGAGACTTCTCTGAAGTGCCCACATCCAAAGCCCTCTTTGTGGTCATCAAATGAAAAAGGTCAATGTGCTCTGGTACCAAGTCTGTTTTGAAAACCAAGAAAGGTATAAGAAAATTACAAAAGAACACATTGGCTGAGCTGGGCAGCCAGGTTGCTTGTTAAAAGTTGATAGCGGCCAGGCGCAGTGGCTCACGCCTGTAATCCCAACACTTTGGGAGGCCGAGGCGGGTGGATCACCTGAGGTCAGCAGTTCAAGACCAGGCTGCCCAACAAGGCAAAATCCCGACTCTACTGAAAATACAAAAAAAAAAAAAAAAAAAAAAATTAGCCGGGCATGGTGGCCAGCGCCTGTAATCCCAGCTGCTCGGGAGGCTGAGGCAGAGGAATCGCTTGAACCTGGGAGGCGGAGGTTGCAGTGAGCCGAGATAGTGCCACTGAACTCCAGCCTGGGTGACAAGAGCAAAACTTTGTTTCAAATAAGTTGACAGCAGGCCTCCACAGTTTTAGAGAATGATTTCTTAACAAATCTTGCAACCTATAAATGTCTTGGTCTTTGGCGTCACTTTAATGAAGAGTCCCCAAGCTGGCCCTCCCGAAAGGTGGTGTGCAACATGGTTCATCCACAAGCCAGCTGTTACGGGCCATTAAGCCCAAAATTTACAAAGCACTGGATCAACACAGAAAGACAGTTGAGTACAGTGGTTCATGCCTGTAATCCCAGCACTTTGGGAGACCTCAGTGATCACTTGAGCCCAAGGCTTTGAAAGCAACTTGGGCAACATAGTGAGACCCCATCTTTACAGATAATAAAATATTAGCTGGGCGTGGTGGCACATGCCTGTAGTACCAGCTACTTGGGAGGCTGAGGTGGGAGGATCGCTTGAGCCTGAGAGGTAGAGGCTGCAGTGGGCTGTGATCACACCACTTTACTCCAGGCTGGGCAACAGAGAGAGACCCTGCCTCAAAAAAAAAAAAAAGAAAGAAAAAGGAAAAGGAAAAGGAAAAGGAAAAGGTGCTTGTTATAAACCACATTATATTCAGAGAGTAATCTCACCCATGTTTTTTTTTTTTTTTTTGAGAGGGAGTCTCACTCTGTCGCCCAGGCTGGAGTGCAATGGTGCTATCTTGGCTCACTGCAGGCTCCGCCTCCCATCACCCATGTTTTAAGAAATGCAAAAATACAAAAGTCAAAAGCAAACACATCAAAATGCTCACAGCAGTTAACTATGGATGATTTTATTTTCTCCATCCTTTGTAACAGTTCCTAAATATTAAACGACGAGCATGTACTAGAAAAATTGATAAGTATTAATATTATTGTATCTTAAATGTGATAGGACAATTTCAAGACTGGAAAAGAGTTAATTATCAAAAGGAAATATTTTTAGGAGGACCAAAGTGAAATGACATGATGTATGTTCAAACCACTTCCTTATCTTTCTTTTTGTTTCGAAAAACTTCTCTGCATTCAAAAAGAAAAGTTAAACCTTCTTTTCTTCTTTAAGCAATGAGGAGGTCCAATATTACTCCAAATTAGACTATTTCAACATCCCGAGTGGCAGGAGACGGCTCCCATTTCTTTCTTTCTTTCTTTTTTTTTTTTTTTTTTTTGAGATAGAGTCTCTGTCTGTCGCCCAGGCTGGAGCGCAGTGGCGAGATCTCAGCTCATGGCAATCTCCACCTCCCATGTTCAAGCGATTCCCCTGCCTCAGCCTCCTGAGTAGCTGGGATTACAGGCACATGCCACCACACCCAGCTAATGTTTTGTATTTTTAGTAGAGCCGGGGTTTCACCATGTTGGCCAGGATGGTCTGGATCTCCTGACCTCGTGATCCACCCGCCTCAGCCTCCTAAAGTGCTGGGATTACAGGTGTGAGCCACCGCGCCCGGCCTCCCATTTCTTATTAACTACAAAAATAGTAAAATAGTAGGAAATCAAATGATTGTTTTCATGAAACTTTCTTTTTCTTTTTTTTTTTGAGACAGAGTTTCACTCTTGTTGCCCAGACTGGAGTGCAGTGGTGTGATCTCGGCTCACTGCAGCCTCCGCCTCCTGGGTTCCAGCAATTCTCCTGCCTCAGCCTCCAAAGTAGCTGGCATTACAGGCACCCACCACCACACCCGGCTAAATTTTTTTTTTTTTTAATTTTTAGTAAAGATGGGGTTTCACCATGTTGGCCAGGCTGGTCTCGAACTCCTGGCCTCAGGTGATCCGCCCGCCTCTGCCTCCCAAAATGCTGGGATTACAGGCGTGAGCCGCCGCACCCAGCCAAAACTTCCTTTTTTTAGAAAGGGAAAAAGGAAATAGGTATAAAGTCATTTCGCATTCCTATCACATTAAAACAACTTAATTTTAGTAGCTGTCTTATGCTGTCACTAATAACACTAAAATTCTTCACTCACTGAGTATTCTACATATTGGGGCGGGGTGAAAGTAATGTAATCCATAAATATGTGTGAAATACATGCAGATGATTGAAACTCCATCCTAAAGTACTTCAGGGCTAACTCTTGTAATTCTCCCCACTTCCGAGATGACCTAGCACCCCCACACTCCATGCAACTCTGCCCCTCACCACGCTGGCTCGCTAAGACAGCCGCTAGCCTTGACCGAGCTTTTAAAAGTCTTTTTGGCTTAATAGCCACTAGGGGGCGCTAGAAGCGTGTGAGGAAAGCGACCTCCATCTGCAGATCAAAAACGTGGAGGGTTTTGATCACAGATGAGCGCTGGATTCTTCAGGGAATGACTGCGAGCTAGCATCTCCAAAATCTCAAGGAAGCCACACAATAAACTGTACAAGTCATTGTTTTCATTAACTCAGGAACAACTTCAGTGCAGAGAAATAAAACCCTGTCTTTCTCAACCAACTTTGCCCACCAGATAACAATACCTGCTGTGAGTGAAATTGTATCCGTATAAAACAAGAAAACTTTGTCTCTTTCAACAGATCAGACTCAAATCTGAAAGAAAGGTAGCTGACATAGGTATTGACTAAAACTTACATATTCTTTTTACTTACTGCAGGGAGGGAAATAAAGATCTTAAAAGTAACACAATTTTAATATTTCACCCACAATCCTACTGTCCTAACAAATGGTTTTCATTTCTCTCTGTTACTTTTCAGTCCCTACTCAAAATGCATAGAATTGCATCAGTGCCAAAAATCAAAATTGATATAACTTCATTCCACATCACAAAGTTTTGGAACTGAATCAAACCTCGGAGATTGAAGACCAACCAATCCCCTCATTTACAAATGGGGAAACCGAGGTAGCTGGGCATAGCACACAGTATCTCACTTAATTCTCATAACAACACTATAAGATATGTGCTGTTATTGTCCCCAGTCTAGAGATGACAATACCGAGACCAGAGAGGTTAAGACACTTGCTCAAGGTCACACAGCTAGTAAGTTAGTGGTAGACATTCATACAGGCTTTCTGGCTCACTGCCTGGCAACTCTGGACGGACACTCTGGACTCCAGAATCCCAATGCAGGATTCATTCTGCCTCTGAGGGTGCACTTATTCTAATACTCACTCCAGAATGGTTTTTTTTTTAATCTATTATATTCTTTCAATAACATTCTACTCTGTAAATTAGATTTTACAGAGCTCTTCGCCAAGGAAGATCACGTATACCTTCTCCCCAGTGGGAAGACAGAAAACCTCAGCTGGGGCCCCAGCTCCTTCCCTAAGTGAGGCATGGTAAGCCAGAGCTGCTTCCTGTTGTGCGTCAGGATCATCTTCCAACACATCTACTGGATACATGCCTGCTGGGGTGAAAGAGGCAAGAAAGGACATTAGTTTTACTCTTTTGTGAAAGGAAAGTCACTTATTCCTTGAGGAGTTTTTTAAAAAGTGAACACTTGGGCCAGGCACAGTGGCTCACGCCTGTAATCCCAGCACACTGGGAGGTGGAGGCGGGAGGATCACGAGGTCCGGAGATCGAGACCATCCTGGCTAACATGGTGAAACCCCGTCTCTACTAAAAAATATACAAAAAATTAGCCGGGCTTTGTGGCGGGTGCCTGTAGTCCCAGCTACTCAGGAGGCTGAGGCAGGAGAATGGTGTGAACCCGGGAGGCGGAGCTTGCAGTGAGCCGAGATTGCGCCACTGCACTCCAGACTGGGCAACAGAGCGAGACTTCGTCCCCAAAAAAAAAAAAAAAAAAGTGAACACTTGCTCTAAAAATTATGTTCACCTATTTTTTTTTCTTTTTTTTAGAGACAGGGTCTGGCTATGTTGCCCAGGCTGGACTTGAACTCCTGGGCTCAAGTCATCCTCTGAAGTAGCTGGGACTATAGGCACATTGCACCTTGCCTGGCTCACCTATTTTTTTTAAAAATTAAAACAAACAAACAAACAAAAAGCAGCCCAGCAGAGGGTACCAAAGAAAATAGAAAACATTCCTGATGGCAGGGTTGGCCCCAACCCCAAGGAGATGAAGCGTGAGCCCTCTTAAGATGGCTGTAGAGTCAGCCTAGAGACCATGCAGACATGCTGGTACCCTGAGCATGAGACTAACGGGATAGAACTTGATGACTTGGTCAAAATCCAGCTTGAGTTATTATTTTGCTAGCTTACATTGGCCGTGCAGGTTCATAAGATTATGCCAATTCTTCTGCTTTAATTGGGCTAGTCTTTGTAAGACTCTGTAAGAACACTGCTAGTATGAATTATAAAACTACATGTCCACACACAGACGGGCTATCGTACATATTAATGTGCTGGTTATTCGTCAACTCTTCCTCTGCAGCTCTTTCCTCTCACCTTACTTTTGAAGGTAAATTATATCCTTGAATACTCAGATGATGGTTTTGTGTGTGTGACAGGTCTCATTCTGTCGCCCAGGCTGGAGTACAGTGGTGCGATCTTGGCTCACTGCAACCTCGGCCTCCGGGTTTCAAGCAATTCTTGTCCCGTAGCCTCCCAAGTAGCTGGGACGACAGACACGCACCACCATGCCTGGTTAGTTTTTGTATTTTTAGTAGAGCCAGGGTTTAACCATGTTGGCCAGGCTGGTCTTGAACTCCTGACCTCAAGTGATCCACCTGCCTCAGCCTCCCAAAGTGCTGGGATTACAGGCATGAGCCACCACACCCAGCCAGCTAAAACAAATAGATAGCATCCAACTTCAGCTGAGAAGCAGCAGTCTGTTTCCCACTCTGCAGAGACCAAAGATTCTGGCTGGCATGTCCCCAAGTGGGGAGGGGGCTGTATCCCCAATCTGTGGACCCCACCTCAGCCTCCAATTCACCTCTGAGCATCCCATAGGGGAAGGAGGCTGCCACAGCAACTGCCTCCTCCTCCTCCTCCTCCTCACCCCCGCCCCCCCAAGATAAGCCTGGACGTAAACACCTACTTGGTGCCCCTTGTGGAACAGCAGCTTCCCCTGCTTGTTTCGGAAGCACCATTCCCCCTGCCAATCACTATTCTGGAATCAAAGACTGCAATAAGTGGCAAAAAGTGTCAAGTCTTCAGTCCACCAAGTTTGCCTAGGAAGAATTTCACTGCTGGGAATAGCTCCTGGAGGGAAAGGCTCCTAACTTTGGGAGGATGTCAACAGCTTCAGTGGGCCAGAACTCAGCCTCTGCAGAAGCCTCACCTCCTTGTCCCCCACCTTCCAGGGTGAAAATGTCATGGGCATACAGAGTGGTAAATAAACAGCTGAGTAAACACATTCTTTCAGCCCCCTGGCCTGAACCTACAAGCCTTCCCTACGCCTTACTGGGCCCTCCAGGTGCACAGCTTAGGAGCCAAATGGATCCGCGATGGCACCCCAGTTCCTTCCTCAGGGACCATTCAGATCTGCCATAAACACCAAGCTGAGCCTGCACCCCCTCTCTCCCATCGTCCTGACACCACCTCTCTCCCATCGTCCTGATGTGCATCCCTTAGCTCAGGGCTGCAGCATCTTTTCTTTTTCTTTTTTTTCTCTCTCCCATCGTCCTGACATTCATCCCTTAGCTCAGGGCCACAGCATCTTTTCTTTTTCTTTTTTTTCTCTCTCCCATCGTCCTGACGTGCGTCCCTTAGCTCAGGGCCACAGCATCTTTTCTTTTTCTTTTTTTTCTCTCTCCCATCGTCCTGACATTCATCCCTTAGCTCAGGGCCACAGCATCTTTTCTTTTTCTTTTTTTTCTCTCTCCCATCGTCCTGACGTGCGTCCCTTAGCTCAGGGCCACAGCATCTTTTCTTTTTCTTTTTTTTCTCTCTCCCATCGTCCTGACATTCATCCCTTAGCTCAGGGCCACAGCATCTTTTCTTTTTCTTTTTTTTCTCTCTCCCATTGTCCTGACATGCATCCCTTAGCCCAGGGCCACAGCATCTTTTCTTTTTCTTTTTTTTAAGACAGGGTCTCACTCTGTCACCCAGGCTGGAGTGCAGTGGTACGATTTCAGCTCACCGTAGCCTCAATCTCTCAGGCTCAAGGTCCCCTCCCTCCTCAGCCCCCCAGGTAGCTGGGACCACAGGTGCAAGCCACTATGATCAGATAATATCTGGTGGTGGTGGTGATTTTTTTTTTTTTTTTTTAGAGATGGGGTTTTGCCATGTTGGCCAGGCTGGTCTCAAACTCTTGGACTCAAGCATTCCACCCACTTCAGCCTCCCAAAGTGCCGGGATTACGAGCTTGAGACACCGGGCCGGGCCCTCGGCATCTTGTAACAACTATCTGCTCCATCCGTCCATCCGCCCTCCCTCCATCACCAATTAAAATAACAGCAGCAGCTGATGTGCTTTCGGCTCCAGTTGCCAACACGATGCTGAGCACTCCACAGCCGTGACCTCACTGAATCCTGCTTAACGCATTCACAGAAGAGGAAACTGAGGCCTCTAGAGGATAACGCTTGGCCAGTAAGGGGCAGCACTGGGGCATGAGCCCAGGTCTATCTGATTTCAAAACCTGTGTAAAACATTCAGCTGGTGCTACTGACCGGATCAAAACAGTCCCCTTTACCAAGCTCAAATGCCATTTAAAAGTCCCAGGTCAGGCCAGGTGTAGTGATTCACGCCTGTAATCACAGCACTTTGGGAAGCCGAGGTGCGTGGATCACCTGAGGTCCGGAGTTCGAGACCAGCCTGAGCAACATGGTGAAACCTCATCTCTACTAAAAATACAAAAAGTAGCTTGGCGTGGTGCCAGGCGCCTGTAGTCCCAGCTACTCAGGAGGCCGAGGCAGGAGAATCGCTTGAGCCCGGGAGGCAGAGGGTGCAGTGAGTTGAGATTGCACCACTGCACTCTAGCCCGGGCGACAAGAGTGAAACTGTCTCAAAAAAAAAAAAAAAAATCCCAGGTCCCTCCTCTGCCGTACCCAGGGTGCCCTATGCCCTCCGCTGCAGAGCTCTCTCTGCCTGTCCATCCTCAAGGCCCATCTCAAATGCAGCCAGCTCTCTCCTGGAGCCCTAAAACACAAGGGCAAGGACTCTGGGGGACACTGAGTCCTGTGTTCAGCCCAGGATAGGATGAGCACATGTGGGCCACATCCTCTGTCTTGCCGGACTCCCTAACTCACAGCTCAACTCTGTCTCAGAGCAGTCACTCCCCAACTCACAACAACGAGAGGAGCTGGGGCATGCCGAGTACAACACAGCTTCCCTCCCCTCCCCAGCCCACCATGAAGACCCCTTCCCGTGCTTTTCCCATACAAAGCATTCAGTCCATTTGGGTGGTTGTTCAACTAAGCTCTCTGTTGAAACTGCTATTCATTTCAACTCACTGGGCAAGTGGCTTCCCACAAGTCTGAAAAAAGATTCACTGAACGTTCAAAGAAATTAAGAAAAACAAACTGGAGAGAGGGCTGCTTCCACCCTGGGGCCTGCACGCATGCTGCATGCTCCTCCCATGGAAACCAACTTCAATAGCGACCTTTCTCAAAACACACCCAGGAACTCCAGTGTTAAGGGGCAGGGACAGATCTGATCTTGATTTTTACTTTCTGTCGCTGGCCCTGTGTTCTGGGAAAGATGTTTGTCAGATCTGGACCACCCGTCTCCTACAGCAAGGTTGCAAGTTCAACGGAAGAGCATTGATTGACCAGCCCCAAGAAGATGCTGACCTTGGCCCTTTGTGAATTGACCTCCTGCCAGCGGAGTGCTAAGACACTGTGATCATTTGGATTTGCAGGGAGGGGGGCACCTCACCCAAGGCCGTCAGGTCTGAGGCCTGGGTGCTCAGGGTCCTGCCTGATTCTTGCAGGAAGCCTAGACTTGCTTGGCATCATTTCTGGTCACGTGTGATCAGGAGAAATGCAGTGAATGTTTTGCTCCTTCCACACCATGAAATCGTTTCCCCTACAGGTTATGCTGTGGGGGCTGTCACACTCCCTCAAAGAACTCAGTGGACTCTGTCCCAGGGCACCACTGCCCCAGAGCTCTAGTGCCTGGCCACCCAAGAGGCCACAGGGACAGGTCCCTGGGGGAGTGTTCTCAGCACTGAAGCCACCAGGATCAGCAGACACAGCCCAGCTCAATGATCCCGAGAGTGGGGGCAGCATCAGGCTCACCTCCGGAGAGCAGGGTCCCAGAGGCCACAAAAATTAACCCTCTCAGACCACAGCAAACTGGGGGAGAGCTTAATGCTCATAAAGTAACGTGGCACCCAGAGGCTTGGTTCCCTTTTAAAGATTGAAAGCAGGACGCAGTCCCCTGTTTCCCCAGGAAGAAGAGCCACAGAGCAGGCACCAGGGCCACCTCTCCTGGGCCGTCCCTCAACCCAGCCTGGGTGACTGGTGACAAGGGATGCCAGACTGAGGCCTGCAGCTCCAACCCACACCAAGGCCGCAGGCTGCCCAGCGTTTTTTGTTCAAATTTGTTCTCTTCCCTGAGGGATACTTCCCTCTCACACGGAGAATGTTTGGGTTGGCTTTCTGGAAAACTGGGTGGGAGTGAAAAATAGCTGCTTAAGGCATGAGGGGAGGGGGGATGCAACACTCACTAGGAAGAAAGATTCCCCTCCCCACCCCCAGGAGAAAGAAACCTCCCTCATTACCCAAGAGGAAGACCCCTCCATCTCCATCCCAGGAAGAATGAACACACACACACACACAATGAACACACACACACACAATGAACACACACACACACACCCACACACACACCCCTGCCCTGGGAGCAAGGAAGCGCCTCTCCCCCGCTCAGAACCCCCTCACTCCCCGAAAACCCGCAAGGCTGAGCTTTGGGAAGTAAACAAGTCCCGGCGCTTTACGCAGGCGCTGGGGGCCCAGCCAGGCCGCCACACTCGCTTCGCTGGTGACGGGAGGCACAGGCTTCCAGATGTGAAACGCTAACAGGCTGTAATGGCTTGAACTGAACAGGAAATATTTTTCCAAAGCCAAAAGAATGCAATCTTTTCAGTACAATGTAAAATGCTTTTATGAAAAAGGCACACAGTTAAAACGATAATTCACTGCAGACTGTAAAGAAACTGAAACCCCCAGCAAACCCCAAATTGAAGAATTCCCTTTAAGCATATGTTGACGTAGTTACCTTAAAAACAAACATAATGGTACGTCTTAAGGTGTCCTTTAGGGAAAATGCTTAAATCATTCAGAATCTTCGTATCAAAGCTTGGGTTCCCAGGGCTGCAGCAATAGATCCACTCCCTCGGTCACTGCCTGTCCCATCAGCCACGACCGCGGCTGGGTCAGCCACTGCTGATCAGTCCAGCAAGGCCTAATGTCCAAGGCCCTTCCTAGCACCTTTTGGTCCTTCCTATGTAAACTGCAAGGTCAACTAATGAAGACCTTGAACGGGATCAATGTTTTGCAATTAATCATTGATTTAGTATCACTAGCAAAATATTCTCTTCAAAGACTACCTTACCACAAAGGTTAGCAAAATCTTTTCAGTTTAACAAATGTAATTTGTATCATATGGGCCCATTATTTTAAGAAACATTACCGAAGACATTTTACATTTTACTAGCCTCACTCTTAGAAACTTGGACTTTGCCGAAAGCCACTACCTGGCAGCAACTATGAGGCAGTATGTCATGGGAAAAGCTGGCTGAAATCACTTGATTTTTTTTAGTAACGTGGGCTGTCATTCTTCAACTACAGTACGAACAATTCTTGCTCTGGATAATGTGAACACATTTTTAAGGACACAAAATTATGAAGTAGTATTCAAGTCTTTTTGTTTAGTTTTCTTGTTTTTTTGAGGCAAGGTCTCACTCTGTTGTCCAGGCCAGAGTGCGGTGGTGCAATCGCGGCTCATTGCAGCCTCCACCTCCCAGGCTCAAACAATCCTCCTGCCTCATTTTTTAATTTTTTTTGTGGAGACAAGGTCTCACTACAGGCTGGTCTCAAACTCCTGGGCTCAAGCGATCCTTCTACCTTGACCTCCTAAAGTGGTGGCTGGGCTTACAGGTGTGAGCCATTGCAGCTGGCCATCAAGTCATATATATATACACACACATATATATACACATATATATATACACATATATATACATATTATATGTATACATATATATATACACATATATATACACATATATATATACACATATATATACACATATATATATACACATATATATACACATATATATACACACACATATATATACACATATATATATACTTTTTTTGATATATATACTTTTTTTTGATATATATATACTTTTTTTTTTTTGAGACGGAGTTTCACTCTTGTCACCCAGGCTGGAGGGCAGTGGTGCAATCTCGGCTCACTGCAACCTCCACCTCCCCAGTTCAAGCGATTCTCCTGCCTCAGCCTCCTGAGTAGCTGGGATTCCAGGTGCCCGCCACCATGCCCAGCTGATTTTTTTGTATTTTTAGTAGAGACAGTGTTTCACCATGTTGTGCAGGCTGGTCTTGAACTCCTGACCTCAGCTGATCCACCTACCTCGGCCTCCTAAGGTGCTGGGATTACAGGCATGAGCCACTGCGCCCGGCCTCAAGTCCTATTTTTAAACAATAGTTAGGAATAGATACTGCTTATAGAAAACCTTTTTTTATTTTTGTTTTTCTTTATTTTGTCACATAGGTGGCCTGTTTCTTTCTTCACAAATCAATTTTCTTGTAAAAGGAATTTATTATAGAAGAAATCCTTATTAAATAAGAAATCTGCCAGAAGTGGGGGGGGGGTGTTAAATGACTAATTTTGGGCTCAGCAGAGAGCATGAAAACTAGTTTCTAATCAGAAAGAGGACAACATCAGAAAATATAGGAAGCTTGTGGCAAGAGCTCTGCAGGGGTCTGAACCCAGGTGTTCTGCACACCCGCGGTAGCGGTGAAGCATCCAAAGGGAGAAGAGTTCCAAATGCCACCTCAGCAGCTCAGAATCCAGAACCAGAAATGTAGCAGGGGTCCTGATTTCTAGGAAGGTATGTGCTTCACAGCACAGTCCAGTCCCCAGAGCTGCGTGTTCTTAAGTTGTATGCCTTAAGAAAACTCAATACTCACAAATGCAAACTTCCTTCTGAGCCTCCAAACCTCACCACATGATGTTTTAAAACTCAGAGCTACTTTTAACTTAAAGTATGCTTATGTTTAACTTTTTTTTTTAAGGAGGGCTGTTGGATTCAGTAAGGAATGCCCACAGTTGTGCAAGGCAGTGCCTGGCATTTATTTAATATCAAAGAATCTGAGGTTTTGTGCAGTCATCACCACAGCCTCCCTGGTATCATGCTGGCCCTTTCCCAAGCGCATCTTCGGAACGCTAGCTGCACAAGCTATGCTTCAGATATCCTCATGAAAGGGGGTTTCTGAAGTCAGCAAGATTAGAAAAGGGTGGCATGCTGCGCCTATCAGAAATCGAGGACTTTTGGAAATCCTGCAACAACAGAGTTTGCTTAACTCAGCATTTATTTCCCAAATGTACTTAACTAGAGACGCTTTGTCCCAGAACGTTGACAGGTAACAAAACCACCTTGGAGAAGAGTGCTTTGGAATGATGTCACAGTGGGAGGACCCATCACTGTCAGACAGAAGGCAAACAGGGAAGCACCCGGAGTTCAAGGTCAGAGTGTAAGAACTCATGGCCATTTGAAAGAGCCATGGTGACAGCAGCACATCCCTCTACCCAGAGGAGGAGAGAACAGAAGGTAAGGCAAATAAACACTTGGATATTTTTGTTGTTTTTTGAAGAGCATCTGATTGCCAAAATATTCTTAGCAAAGAATTTTTTTTTAAGTTGGAAGACAGAATGTAGAATATGTTAGAATTTCTTGAGCAGATGAGCAAAATTGTCAGGGAAGGAGGAGGCGCTGCTGGAGGTCTGCAGGTGGTGGTGGCGAAGGTTCTATTACCCAGTAATTGACAGGCAGCCTGTTGATCTGTTATCAGGTATTTAGTATTGGACAACTTGCAACTTGTCATTGCCTTGACTGAGAATAAATCACTTTTCCCAAATCTAAGAAGGTAAAATATGCAGATGCCTTTCTTTGCCACCCACACAAAGGTTTATATAATCCCGATTGCTTTTAATAAGAAGCTCTTGTAATCTGAGCATTGGTACCTCTTACTTTTAGGCAAAGTAAAACTATTTTTTACAAGATAAAACTATTTTTTCCCTTTGAATCAATCAAAAGGAGATGAGGTGGGACTAAAACATACTGTTCCTTTTGCATTCAAAGAGGTGTCACCTCTGGGGACCAGTGGGTCTCTACATTTGGGACAGACAGGAGGATATAACGCCTCAAATATCTGCTTCCTTTTGAATGGTAACCAAAGACAGGTCCTGACCTTGACCCCGTGCAGGAAGCTCAGGCTTCCCTCACCACTGACCATGAGCCACCCCATCCCTGTGGTCATGATGATGTTGCCCTATTTGTCTAACCTTTACCAGGAAGGAAGAGGGCTTTGGCACGTGCACAGGAAAACACGGAAAGCCCGACTCTTCGTATCCTGAATTTAATTGACCAAGAACTTGTAAAAATACCAAGTCCCAGTGTCAGTAATACCACAACACCATGCGGCGGTCCCAAAGCTGGTGGGAAAATGCTGTGGTGGAACAACTGTCCAGCACGGATCCGGAGCCCGAAACCACACAGCACACATGAGAAGAAAAATAACCCCTCGTCACCATAATGCGTTTACCCATTAGTCACAGAATAACATTTCTCAGAACTTACCCCCAAATTGTGTCTATTAATGGGCTTTATAAACTGTCGTCCAAAGATCACATCCTTACATGTTCATCTATTACATTTCAAACAATAAAACCTCTGAAAAGGAAAAAAAATGTTTTTGTATTTGGCATGCCTCGTTCTGTGCAAGTGATGAGGAGACTTGAAAGCACATTGGTCCTCGTCTGCACAGCCTAGTTCTGGGTTAAGCTGGTGCACACTGTCTAAGTACTTAGACTCCACATATGCTGCACTCGAAAAACGTATGGTGTTGAACGTGTTTATCTTGAACTTAGACAATGATTTACCAGGGAAAATGCAGTCACTTCCAAATAATTGAAAATGTATTAAGATGACTATATTTTTACAAGGGCACTGAACTCATTTGTGTAAAACTGAAAAGTAAATGAGGAAATACATGCAGAATACTAATATTTGTATCAAGGTTGCAATATTGGTGCCAATTCAGTTTTAAATTGAAGAAATAGTAAAGGAATGTAACATTCTGCCTTCCGCAAATAAACAATATTTCCGAAGTACTTACTGGGAGAAAATGTATGGTATTACAAAATATGGTGATAGGCTATATTAAAATGTACTCTTTTACATCTGTAATCTCAGCACTTTGGGAGGCCAAGGCAGGCAGATCACGAGGTCAGGAGATCAAGACCATCCTGGCCAACATGGTGAAACTCCCGTCTCTACTAAAAATACAAAAATTAGCTGGGCATGGTGGCAGGCACCTATAGTCCCAGCTACTCGGGAGGCTGAGTTAGGAGAATCACTTGAACCCGGGAGGTGGAGGTTGCAGTGAGCTAAGATCACAGAGCGAGACTCCGTCTCCCAAAAAAAAAAAAAAAAAAGTGATCTTTTAAACCTGACATTTGCATAGAGTTTTCCAGTTTACCAAGGGCTTTCACATTTCCTCTCTTGTGTGAAACTTACATCAACCCTGTGAAAGCAATGAAGCACGAAGCCCTAACCCCATTTTTCAGGTGTGGAAACAGAAGCTCAAAAACAAGAAGTTATTAGTAATGAGGCTGGGGCTCAAACCCAGGTCTTGAGATTTCTAGCAGAGCCTTCCCTGACTCACCTACTTACCAATTTCTATTGTTCTACCCACACACTGTGCAAACGGCAGCCAGGGCTCAGCATCACACTGTTGAAAATACCACTGAACTAATTTGCACACCCACTTTCATAGCAGCATTATTCACCATAGCCCAAAGATAGAAGCAACTCAAGTGTCCATTGATGGGTGAGTGGATAAACAGAACATGGTATACACATACAATGGAATATTATTCAGACCTAAAAAGGAAGGAAATTCTGACGCATGTTACAACATGGATGAACTTTGAGGACATTACGCTAAGTGAAATAAGCCAGTTACGAAAGGACACGTGCTGAATGATTCCACTTATATGAGGTACCTAAAATAGGCAAATTCATAGAGACGGCAAATAGAAGTTAACAGGGGTTTCGGGGAAGGAAGACTGGGGAGCTTTTAATGTTTAATGTTTGCAGAGTTTCTGTTTGGGATGATTAAAAAAATCCTGGAGATAGATGGTGATGAAGCTTGCAAAACAATGTGAATTTACTTAATGCCAGTTAAAAATGGCTAAGATGGTAAATTTTATGTTATGTATATTTTAACACAATAAGTAAAATGTTGGCTGGGCACAGTGGCTCATGACTGTAATCCCAGCACTTTGGGAGGCCAAGGCGGGTGGATCACCTGAGGTCAGGAGTTCGAGACCAGCCTGGCCAACATGGTGACATCCCGTCTCTACTAAAAATACAAATAATTAGCTGGGCATGGTAGCGAGTGCCTGTAATCCCAGCTACTTAGGAGGCTGAGGCAGGAGAATCACTTGAACCCAGGAGGCGGAGGTTGCAGTGAGCCGAGATCGTGTCATTGCACTCCAGCCTGGGCAACAAGAGCAAAACTCCATCTCAAAATATAAAATAAAATAGGCCAGGTGCAGTGGTCATGCCTGTAATCCCAGCACTTTGGGAGGCCGAGGCGGGCGGATCACGAGGTCAGGAGATCGAGACCATCCTGGCTAACATGGTAAAACCCCATCTCTACTGAAAATACAAAAAACTAGCCAGGTGTGGTGGCACGTGCCTGTAGTCCTAGCTACTCGGGAGGGTAAGGCAGGAGAATTGCTTGAACCTGGAAGGTGGAGGTTGCAGTGAGCCAAGATCACACCACCACACTCCAGCCTGGCAACAGAGTGAGACTCTGTCTCAAAAAAACAAAAGAACTAACTAAATAAATAAAACATAAAATGTTAAAAACACTGAATATCTGGCCCCTTCCTTCAAACGTTTTGTTTTATATGGAAAAGTATGACACATTATTATTTTAGATTGTTTTCACGGATGTAAAATACATGTAACATGAAGTTTCTCACTTAAACATTTTTAAGTATACAGTTTTGTGGCATTATGTGCATTCACACTGTTCTGCAATTATCATCACCACCTAGCTCCAGAACCTTCTCATTTTACCAGCTAAACTCTGTACTCCCTGTACAGAAGTGACTAACCCTCCCTGGCAACAGCCATCCCACTTTCTAACTCTATCAAGATCACTACTCGAGGTACTTCAGATAAGTGGAATCTTACAATATTTGTCTTTTTGCAACTGGTTAGTTTCATGTACCATAATGTCTTCAAGGTTCATCCATGTTGTAGCACATGTCAGAATTTTCTTCCTTTTTAAAGCTGAATAATGTTTTTTTCAGATTATTAGGTTTACTGAAACCATCCTCTTTTTATTATACGTATAGACCACATTTTGTTTATCCATTCTTCTAGCAATGGACACTTGGGTTGTTCCCACCTCCTGGCTATTGGGAAGAAGGCTGCTGTGAACACAGGTGTACAAATATCTGTTCAAGTCCCTGCTTTCAATTATTTTGGCTATATATCCAGAAGCAGGATTGCTGGATCATACAGTAATTCTATGTTTCCTTCTTTGAGGAACTTCTACACTGTCTTCTGCAGCAGTGACACCATTTTGCATTTCCATCATCAATGCACAAGGATTCCAATTTCTCCACATCCTCAGCAAAACCTGTCATTTTTCGTGTTTTCATTTGGTGGTTGTTGTTGTTATTTTGTTTGTTTATTCTGAGATGGAGTCTTGGTCTGTTGCCCAGGCTGAAGTGCCATGGAGCGATCTCCACCTCCTGGGTTCAAGTGATTCTCCTGCCTCAGCCTCCCAAGTAGCTGGGATTACAGGTGCTCACCATGAATCCTGGCTAATTTATTGTATTTTTAGTACAGACGGGGTTTCACCATGTTGGCAGGCTGGTTTCAAACTGCTGACCTCAGGTGATCCTCCCACCTCAGCCTCCCGAAGTGCTGGGATTACAGGCGTGAGCCACCATGCCCAGCCAGTTCTCATGCTTTGTGACTTGCATTTCTCTAATGATTAGTTATGTTGAGCATCTTTTCATAAGCCTATTGGCCATGTGTATATCTTCTTTAAAGACATGTCTATTCAAAGCTGGGCATGGTGGCTCACGCTTGTAATCCCAGAACTTTGGGAGGCCGAGGCAGGCAGTTCACTTGAGGTCAGGAGTTCAAGATCAGCCTGGCCAACATGATGAAACATGGGAGGCAGAGGTTGCAGTGAGCTGAGATCGTGCCACTGCACTCCAGCCTGGACAACAGAGCAGGACCTTGAAGGAAGGAAGGAAGGAAGGAAGGAGGAAGGAAGGAAGGAAGGAGAAAGAGAGAGAGAGGGAGAGGAAGTGAGGGAAAAAAGAAAGAAAGAAAGAAAGAAAGAAAGAAAGGAAGTAAAGAAGGAAAAGAAAGAAGAAAGATGTCTGTTCGAATCCTTTGCCCATGCATTCATTTTTAACATCAACTTGAAAAACTTCCAAGAGGGAGAAAGATAGATATTCATTCAGTAGGGGATAAGTGTGTGTGTGTGTGTGTGTGTGTGTGTGTGTGTGTGTGTGTGTGTGTGTATGCTGCTTCCTCTAGAATATACTGCAATAGGAAACCAAATCAGAGAATCAGAGTGCCAAGAGTTCAGGCAAGACACAGTGACAACTTCATCTAGTGATGGCATTGAAGATGGCATTGAAGAGAGAGATGGGAGACTCGAGCCAGGTTTTGGCAATGGACATGGCAGAACTTGCTGCTAAGCTGTAGATGTAGGATGAGGGCCAAGCTGACCTTCTCCTTTAACTCTTCCCCTCAATAAAATTCAACTGGCAGCTTCCAAACTGTGACAGACTTAGACTGTTTCCAATGTTACTTTATAAACCTATTAAGATCCTAGCCTTCCCAAAGGGTTAAACTGATGAACACACCAACAGAAGAATGACATGCACATTACTCTAAAACAACAAATATTTTTAAGGTATTTTAAACTGAACAAGTATGAAAAGGAAAATGAAATGCCCACAAGAGGATGGCTTTCATATATTAGATTGAAACCTGGAGAAACTCAAAGAATGATACCATGACTCTCCTCAACATTAGGCCACGCAGATGTTTGGACACGAGGGCAAGGGCACCCACTTCGAGGTCATTCAGACTTGATTTCAAAAATCCCTGAGCATATGATTAAAGAAATTGCCAGGGAAGAATCAGCATAAACTACAGAATTGGACCCATCAAGACCACAAATATTAAAACTATTTCATATAGAAGATAATGATACTAAATAAGTTTTAGGAAATTTAAATAAAGAATTTAAAGGGCCAAGATTTTTCAAATTGCCCAATAAGATTCCAGGGGGAAAGAACTTCTAGAAAGGGATGTCTTTAATAGCCAATAAACTGGAAAATGTGTCTGAAGAAATTACCCAGAATGCAGCACAGATGAACATACAGGTGGAAAACTTGAAAGGCAGGTTAAAAGAAAGGAAGAATAGAATGATAAAGCCCGGCAACTATCTAATTGAGGTTCCAGATGGAGAAATTAGAATGAGGAAGAGTCAAGATTTGAAAAAATAATGCTTGAAATTTTTCCAGAATTAATGAAAAACATCTACCCTAACATTCTGGAATTCCAACCAATCCCCAAAGCAGGGAAAATAAGAGAAAAGTCCCCACTTAAACACACTGTAGTCAAACTGCAAAACAATAAACACAAAAAGATGACTATAAAAAGAGCCAGAAGGGCTGGGTGTGGTGGCTCATGCCCGTAATCCCAACACTTTGGGAGGCTGAGGTGGGTGGATCACCTGAGGTCAGAAGTTCAAGACCAGCCTGACCAATATGGTAAAACCCCATCTCTACTAAAATAACAAAAATTAGCCAGGCGTGGTGGCATGCGCCTGTAGTCCCAGCTACTCGGCAAGCTGAGGCATGAGAATCACTTGAACCCGGGAGGCAGAGGTTGCAGTGAGCAGAGATCGTGCCACTGCACTCCAGCCTGGGCGACAGAGAGAGACTCTGTTTCAAAAAAAAAAAAAAGCCAGAAGGAAAAGACAGATCCTTTCAAGAGAATGGCAATTAGGGCCAGGCGCCGTGGCTCACGCCCATAATCCCAACACTCTGGGAGGCCGAGGCGGGCAGATCACCTGAGGTCGGCAGTTTGAGACCAGCATTGCCAACATGGTGAAACCTCCCCCCCTCTACTAAAACTACAAAAATTAGCTGGACATGGTAGCACAGGCCTGTAGTCCCAGCTACCTGGGAGGCTGAGGTGGGAGAATCACTGGAACCCAGGAGGCAAAGGTTGCAATGAGCCGAGATCTCACCACTGCACTCCAGCCTGGGCGACAGAGCAACACACCGCCTCAAAAAAAAAGAGAGAGAGAATGACAATTAGATCAACAGCTGCCTTCTTAAGAGCAACTGTGGAAGCCAGGAGACAATGGAGTACTATTTTTTAAAGTGCTAGAAGAAAAATAACTTTCATTCTCCATCTAGCAAAAGTAACTTCCAAGTATGAGGCAAAATAAAGCAATATTTTGAAAAATAAGACCCGAGGGAATTTGCTACCAGAAGATCCCCCTAACATCATTTCTACAGGATGCACATCAGGGAATAGAAAAACAGGCCAGATGCGGTGGCTCACGCCTGTAATCCCAGCACTTTGAGAGGCCAAGGCGGGCAGATCATGAGGTCAGGAGATCGAGACCATCCTGGCTAACACGGTGAAACCCCATCTCTACTAAAAAATACAAAAAATTAGCCGGGCGTGGTGGGCGCCTGTAGTCCCAGCTACTCAGGAGGCTGAGGCAAGAGAATGGCATGAACCTGGGAGGCGGAGCTTGCAGTGAGCCTAGATCATGCCACTGCACTCCAGCCTGGGCGACAGAGCGAGACTGCATCTCAAAAAGAAAAACGACTCCCGAAGAAGAGGTGATGGTTGCCATGCATGCATGAGGGCAGACCCCACTGCCACCACCCCAATGAAGCACTTTGGCAGGCACCCCCCACTGGAGTGTTGTGGCCAGTGGACGATGTGACACATTGGCCCCTGCAGCACAGCAGGTGCTTAACCTTGAGAGGCCAGAGAACAAAGCCATAGGCCTGGTCCCCAAGCCCCTCAGGGTTAGAGCACACAGCCCAGGAAGGCTGAGCTGTGCCTTTGGCCCCTGAAATCTTCCAGAAACCAAGCCAGTTGACTGAACCCACCTTATACCGCAGTCAAACCCTTAAGAGCATCAAAGAAGATAAAAGCAAAAAACCCATTGAAAGGACAGCAACTTCAAAGATTAAAGGAAAATCAACTGACACAGAAGAGAGAGAACCAGCAAAAGAACTCTGTCAACTCAAAAAGCCAGTGTCTTCTCACCCCAAATGATCACACTAGTTCACTCTAAACGGTTCTTAACCAGACTGAAATGACTGAAATGACAGTCGAGAGGAATGAATCTGGATAGGAATGAAGACCATCAAGATTCAGCAGAAAGTTGAAACCCAATTCAACGAATCTAAGGAATCCAATAAAACAATACAAGAGCCAAAATATGAAATAGCCATTTTAAGAAATAACCAGGCAGGGCATGGTGGCTCAGGCCTGTAATCCCAGCACTTTGGGAGGCTGAAGCTGGTGGATCGCTTGAGCTCAGGAGTTCGAGACCAGCCTGGGCAACGTGGTGAAACCCCATCCCATCTCTACAAAAAATACAAAAATTATCTGGGCCTGGTGGTGTGCACCTGTAGTCCCAGCTACTTGGGAGGCTGAAGTAGGACCTCTTGAGCTGGGGAGGCAGAGGTTGCAGTGAGCCGAGATCATGCCACTGCAGTCCAGCCTGGGCAACAGAGCCAGAACTTTTCTCAAAAAAACAAAGAAGGAAAGAAGGAAGGCAAGGTAAGGGAAAGGGAAGGGAAAGGCAAGGGGAAGGGAAAGGGAAGGGAAGGGAAGGGAAGGGAAGGGAAGGGAAGGGAAGGGAAGGGAAGGGAAGGGAAGGGAAGGGAAGGGAAGGGATAGGGAAGGGAGAAAAGAAAGAAAAGAAAGATCAGGCTGCTCCCATGAAAGGACAAGAGAACGTGGTCCCTTTGGTGCTGGCCACGGTGGAAGACCAGACCCCAGCCTCACTTCAGAGGCAGGGACAGCAAGGAGCATGGGACAGGGGGATCCAGTCTATGTTGCATCAAAGTTTTGTTTTGTGTTTTGTTTTTCATTTTCAGATGAATAATTCAGTGGCTATGCCAAGGTTGAAATATTTTCTGTTTTCAGTAAGATGTGAGAAAAGGAAATGAATTTTAATGAAATGTTTTGGTTTACTTTATCTGAGGTTTCCAGTGTAATGGGATTCCCACGCCCTAAACAGATGTCAGCTGTTTCATCCTCTTGCCTGAAAAAGGCAACAGAGAACTGGGGGGCTCCCCTGCTCAGCCCTCTTGCACTCGCCTCCCCCATTTCCCAGATGGGCAGGACTACCTGTGAGCGCAGCACTGGGAGAACTTTGAATGTCCCAGCCATTCAGAAAACTAAAAGTGCAAGTGATGATTATGATGTCTTCACAGATGCAGACCAACAGGTCTCCATAGGTGAGAGCAAAGCACCTGTTCCAGGTTCCTGGGGCCTGTGCATCCCTGCCCCGCCAGGAGGCTCAGACTTTGGCAGATGGCCCACGCTCTCTGAGCCAACGACTCCCAGGAAGAACTTGAGTGTCATAAAATTCTGAAAACAAGATTTAAGGAGAGGTGGAGAAATGTGGCAAGATCTCTAAGGAGAAGGCAGAGCTGTCGGGTGGAGGTGATGTCACAGACGTCTGAAAATCTGCCAGAGCATGAGCTAACTTATAGCTGCGGGCTCAGGACATGTTTCTGAGCAGAAGTTTCTGAACTAAGTTGGCAACTAACAGACCACATAAATTCCCTTAAATGGGATTACTGATGGGATTCCTTCTGATTCAGTAAAACACCTGCCCAAAATGAGCTGTCATCAATGGATCCATCAAAGGAATGATGCACTGAGCCCTTCCCAAGTGTTCGTGCAATTGGGGATGAAGAGGCAAAGATAACCAGACCCTGCCTGCAAGGGCTTATGAGAATATGCCTGTTGAGGCAGCGACCCTGCATGACAAACCAAAGAAAACCCAAAAAACTTCTGTAACCAAGTGCTCTTTGCCTAGATTCTCAGCTGCCACCACCCCTGGGGTGTCGCCATGTCTAGAGACCCGAGTGAATATCTGAAAAGAAAAAAAGAAGAGTAGTTGTTGAAAGAACACAGCTATAAAAGATTTATGTGGCCACTGGGGTGTCATCAGAATTCTCTTTTCATATCCTTTGCCAGTTAAGATTTTCAAATCACATTCTGTATCATTGTTCCCCTGGTATGAAAAGGGTGAAGGTCTTTGTCCTGGTTTTACTGGTGATTTAGAGCACTGGGATTCCCAATCCCAGCTTCCCAGCAGCAACTATGCTTGGCTTTCCCGTACTGTGAGGGGGTTGTCCAGCGGGCAGAAAACCCGAACAGTGGAGGACTCTAACGAAAGCCACACCAGAGCCTCCCTTGCTCCTTCTAGTTCTCCAACAGGGGAAATGTCCCAAGCCTTCCTAGTGGAATGTGACTGTGTCACCTACCTTCCCAAAAGTGGCCAGCAAAATGAGAAATGCTGTTAGTCAACTTTCAATGTCCTCTCTGCCCAGTGCTTTGATTCCAACAGCCTGTAAATGCTGTTTCTACACTGGATTAGTCCTTCAACCCCACCGCACACGCTGTCTGCTGTACTCAATTTCATCAATCCGCATTACCTAGAGGCCAAGCAGACACCATCGTCCTCCCTTGCGGGTGAGAGGGTGATGGAGGGACCCTCAGGAGCCCAGCAGGAACAATGTCTATCTCCGCAGGCTTTGCAGAGATCCTGGAATATGATAATATGGCGGGCAGAGGCAGGTGGGAGAGGCATGTGTAGATCGGGCTCGAGGAATGGATCTGGTTAGGAAAAAAGGGATCAACAGAGCAAACGAAGCACTCCAGTGTGTAGACAGCTGCAACTAAGGGATGAATGAATCAATAAAAGCCTGTAGGAATGTAATATAATCCAGAAAAACACAGCTACCCCTTTCTCTGCCATTAGACAAGCTGATTCTCATTTACATGAGAGCAACAAACAAGAAAGACTGGACAGAAAAGCTGTGAAAAAATACAATGAGAAGGAAAACTTCCCTGCAAATAGAACAGACTACAAAGCCTTCATAATTAAAACAGTGAGGAAATGGCCAAGTGTCCTCCAAAAATCCAGAAAGAGACCCAGAGACATACGGAAATGTATCTGGTGTCTCATTTCAGAGGAGGTAAATGTTAACATTTTAAATACATGGTGCTAGGACAAACGGATAACCATCAAAAAGACAGAGCTGGATCCATACCTCACACTGTACATGAGGATAAATTCCAAATGGATTGAAATTTAAACATGACAAATTAAATTTTAACAGTGTAGGAAGAAAACATGAACAAATTTATTTGGAACTTTGGTGTAGAAAGGCCTGTCTTGATTTTAAAGATCCAGAAGCCACATACAAAAAAAAAAAATTGATTATATAAAAATAAAAAGCTTCTAGAGAGGGAAAAATACCATAGCAAAGCCAAAAGGTAGGTAAATGAGAAAAAAACATTTTCAACTCTTACCTTCTTAATATATCAAGACTTCCTAGAAATTGAGAATATGAAAAACCTATAGCCCAAAAGAAAAGAGGCAAAAGATTGGAATAGAGAGTTCACAAAAAAGAAATACAAATGGCTCTTTTTTTTTTTGAGACAGAGTCTCACTAAGGTTGGAGTGCAGTGTCACAATCTCAGCTCACTGCAACCTCCACCTCCTGGGTTCAAGCAATTCTGCCACCTCAACCTCCCGAGTAG
Source organism: Homo sapiens (assembly GCF_000001405.40). Taxonomy (NCBI): domain Eukaryota; kingdom Metazoa; phylum Chordata; class Mammalia; order Primates; family Hominidae; genus Homo; species Homo sapiens. The sequence goes on from NC_000015.10 coordinate 98,540,007, forward strand.
CTGGGATTACAGGTGCCCGCCATGACACCTGGCTAATTTTTTGTATTTTTAGTAGAGACAGGGTTTCACCATGTTGGCCAGGCTGGTCTCAAACTCCTAGCCTCAGGTGATTCGCCTACCTCAGCCTCCCAAAGTGCTGGGATTACAGGCATGAACCACTGTACCCGGCCACTTTTTTTTTTTTTTTTTTTGAGAGAGGGTCTTGCTTTCATGCCCAGGCTGGAGTGCAGTGGCTCCATCACAGCTCACTGTAACCTCGAACTCCTGCGCTCAAGCAATCTTCCTGCCTCAGCCTCCTGAGTAGATAGGACTACAGGTGTGCACCACCACACCCAGCTAATTTTTAAAATTGTTTGGTAAAGACAGGGTCTCATTATGTTGCCCACGCTGGGCTCTTAAATTTATAAAAGATGTTTGATGAAGAAAGTTTCAGAACACCCTACAGGTGTCTGGACAAACGTAGCTCATGGAAAGACAAAATGGTTCCACTCTTGTGGAGGGCAATCTGGTACTTAAACATTTATCAGAATGGCTAATGTACTACTGTTGCCCGGTGATCCCACCTCTGGGAATTCAGTCACAGCTGCACATGGACAAAATTATGCATGAACAAGATCCATCATCGTAACATTATCACAAGGAGGAATATTGGAAACATCTCAAGTGTCCATCAATGGGACAGCGGTTAAATAAACCTTGTAACACTATGCAACTGTCAGAAAAAATGAATGAGGGGTGTTCTGTATCCTAATAAGGAAAATTCTCCATAGTATAGTCAGGGGGGAAAGCAAGTCTTAGAATAGTATGCTATCTTTTCTGAAAGAAAAGGGAGACATAAGATTGCATATTCATGTTGGCATGTATTTGCATAAACAACACAAGAATAATACACAGGAAACTAATAAAAGTGGTTATGGGGATGTGGGATGGAACAGAGTAGCCAGCGGTGGGGCAAGGACTGAGACTTTTGGTCTGCATCTGGTCCCGAAGGGGAATCCAAAGTCTTCCCAGAGGAACCAAGTGGATGAATTAAATTTCAAATTAAAAAAAAAACAACAGGGTTGGGCGTGGTGATGGTGGCTCACACCTGTAATCCTAGCACTTTGGGAGGCTGAGGCAGGAGGATCATTTGAGACCAGGAGTTCAACACCAGCCTGGCCTCAATATCAAATAGTGAGACCCCCGTCTCTACAAAAATAAAGAAATTAACCTGGCGAGGTGGTGAACCTATAGTCCCAGGTACTTGAGAGGCTGAGAGGGGAGGATCACCTGGGCCCAGGAGTCGGAGGCTGTAGTGAGTTGTAATCACACCACTGCACTCCAGGCTGGGCGACAGAGCAAGACCTTGTTTCTAAAAACAAACAAACAAATAAACAAAACAATAAAAACAACCAAGCAAGCAATCAAATTTAAAAAAGAAAAAGTCAGTAGGAAGAAATTCAAATGAGAAAGAACTTGCTCTGAATGTCTGCTCCATCCTCCAGATCTTTAATCTGAGTTCCATCCCTCATTCTGTCAAAACTCCACAAGGAGTTCCAAGTTTGGGGTTGGTGATTCCTGAGAAAATCGGTTACAGCTGATTTGCAGGTTTAGCATGGCTATTTGTGCAGTCTAAACGTCCAAGCCAGATTTCTACAAGACAGTAAGATTACACCACAACGGCGGGAGCACACGTATATGTCTCTCCTATTTCTGATGTTATGTTGTAAATATTTAAAATAAAGCAATCCAGCCGGGCGCGGTGTCTCATGCCTGTAATCCCAGCCCTTTGGGAGGCCGAGACGAGTGGATCACTTGAGGGCAGGAATTCGAGACCAGCCTGGCCAACATGATGAAATCCCGTCTCTATTAAAAATACAAAAATTCGTCAGGCGTGGTGGAGTGCACCCTGTAGTCCCAGCTACTCAGGAGGCTTGCTTGAGAATTGCTGGAGCCCGGGAAGTGGAGGTTGCAGTGAGCAGAGATCGCGCCACTGCACTCCAGCCTAGGCAACAGAGAGAGATTCCGTCTCAAAAAAAACAAAAATAAAAATAAATAAATAAATATCTAAAAATAAAAATAAAATAAAGCAATCCTTATGATGTTTTAAAAGACTATGAAAGGTGTATTTACAGGGTAGTTCCTGCCGTGTTTTCTGAGCCGGTATCGCAGGGAAGGCTCTGCGTCAGACCTCAGGGCCCCCTTGCTACTAGGAGAACCAGCAAAGTCCCCGTGGGCTGGGTCTTCCCCGGCATGCTCAAGCCACTCACCTTCATATTCTGTGCCCTGGCCACGCAGGTCTGTTGATTTCTTGCCTTCACCTCTGCTCTGCTAGATACTGTTCACGCTGTTGTCTCCCTTCCCTCACTACCTGACAAGTTGACTTCTGTCCACACCTCAGGTCCCAGCTGAAGAGCCTCTCTTCACACAAAGCACACCTGTGGTTGCCAGGGCCTGGGGTGGGGGTCCTGGAAAATGACTGCTCAGCGGGACAGAATTTCTTTCTGGGTTGATAAAAATGTTCTGAAATTAGATAGTACTGATGGTTATAAAACTCTGTGAACTGCAAAACTTTAAGAGGTGAATTTTATAGTATGTAAATAATACTAAATCATTCTTTAAAAATCCCTTCTTAACCGGATGCAATGGCTCACACCTGTGGTCTTAGCTACTTAGGAGGCCGTGGTCGGAGGATTGCTTGAGGCCAGGAGTTCAAGATCAGCCTGGGCAACATAGTAAGATCTCCCATCTCTACCAAAAAAAAAAACCATTAAATTAAATTAGCTGGGCATTAGTGGCATGCACCTATAGTCCCAGCTACTCAGGAGGCTGAAGTGGGAGGATCACCTGAGCCCAGGAGTTTGAGGCTGCAGAGAGCTATGATTGCACCACTGCACTCCAGCCTAGGTGACAGAGCCCTGTTTAAAAAAAAAAAAAAAAAAAATCCCTTCTTCAAGGAAGTCCTCCTAGGTGCACCTGGACCCTCTACCTCAGAGGACCCTGTGACATCCATTACAGCAGATACCACAATTATAGAGAGTAATGGTGTTACTGGTTACTAAATGCAGTAGGATACTGAGAGCATGGTAGGAGGGGTACACTGGCAATAATTTAAAAACAAGAATAAAACAAACCAAAAATTGATCTTCTCTTTACCATGCCATGCCCTGGCAGTTCTAAATAACATCAGTGATAAAAGTCACCTCCCCTCCTCAAATATTCTTTGGTTTAAGTTCTAAACAATTGCAGGGACTACTGTTGAGTTTGAGTGATATGCATGTAAGCTTCAAATTAACACATTCTAATTACTTATCCTTTAATAAGCATTATCATTCTACATGTAACTTAATTCAGAAAATTCCTAATTACAGCCAGTCCTCCACAGATGAACCCAAGCAATAGGGTTTGTTTGTTTGTTTTTGAGATGTTTGTTACTATAACAATGTGGAGTGGCTCAGCTAGCATTTCCCGCCCTGTGATACTATTTATGCCTGCTGCCTTTAAAGTGTAGAATCAAAGTAAACACTGATAGCACACTGATAATGGAGAAAGAAAACAGAATTTGATGTAGCTCAATTCTCTCACTCTATGTAACTGTGTGAGTTTTGATTTGTGTTTTAAAATTTGAAACAGTGAAACAGTGAGAAGTACAAGGTGTAATATTTTTGTTTGATGAATGCAAATTTTAGTCCATGCATAAAATATTTGACTAAATTTGACACTTAAGTTTATTCTTTTCTTCTAATTGTTGTTGGTTTTAAACTAAAGGACAAGGCCGGGCACAGTGGCTCACTCCTGTAATCCCAGCACTTTGGGAGGCCAAGGCAGGCGGATCATGAGGTCAGGAGATTGCGACCACCCTGGCTAACACAGTGAAACCCCATCTCTATTAAGAAATACAAAAAATTAGCCGGATGTGGTGGTGGGCGCCTGTAATCCCAGCTACTCAGGAGGCTGAGGCAGTAGAATGGTGTGAACCTGGGAGGCAAAGCTTGCAGTGAGCAGAGATAGTGCCACTGCACTCCAGCCTGGGCAACAGAGCGAGACTCTGTCTCAAAACAAAACAAAACAAAACAAAACAAAACTAAAGGACAAATTTTAAAAAATTGTTACATTAGTAATTGACTAAACTCTACCTTTTACACAATTTGGTTTTATTAAAATTCACTTACTAGTTACTGAACACTTACATAAAATAATATTACATGAGACTGTAACCAAAATATCAACGTTTAATCTTTAGTAAATATAAAACTGATTGAATAGCTGGATTGAGTTTTTTCCCTTTTTTTGCATGATAACTTATTTTTATTCATTTTATTGACAAGATTATGTAAAGATTCAATATAAGGAAATTTCCAGTGTTTGCATTTATTTTCTATTTTTGTTATTAATTTTGTTATGATTATTGCTAAAAAATAATTTAAGCATATAGAGATTATTTTCTAACACTCCCTTTATTAAACTGTAATATTCATGAAGAATATATTAATGAGCTACAAACATGCTTTACATTTCTAAATATTCTTAATGTATATCAAATACATAATAAGTACGTATATTTTGAAGAATATTCATATTCATTTAAAATATCTAAAAACTGGTTTAATGCAAGGCTTTGGTAAATTGCTAAGTTTGGTGAATTGTTTGGTGATTTAGCCATTCAGTGATTTGTTTTTTGCCCCGTGAGACAGATAGTTTTATCATTACTTCCAAGGGAAAACTGAGGTATAAGGTATGTAAACTATTTGTCCATGGTCAGAAAACCAGTAAGAAGAGCTATGATCTCAATCAAGATCTTCTGATTCTAGCCATTATACTATATTGCTTCCTCACATACCTCCCATTAAAACTAAAGTTGACCATGAAATACCATCCAGCTATAACTTCACCAGAAATGCTGCCTCGGTGAGAATGAATAGCCACATGGGACTACAGACCCCCGTCTACACACCTATGAGTCCAGCTCCCACTTCAGCCTAGTCATCAAGAATTAGAGATCACACGGAGGCAACCCATCAAATGCCCATCAAGTGTCCAAAGTGGTTCACTGGGTCCATGTTCTGAGCCAGGTTTTTGATCATGTTAGGTTCATTCCTGCCTCAGGGCCTTTGCACACACAGTTTTTGTTGTTGTTGTTGTTGTTTTGGTTGTTTTTGTTTTTGAGATGGAATCTTGCTCTGTCACCCAGGCTGGAGTGCAGTGGCATGATCTCGGCTCACTGCAACCTCTGCCTCCTGGGTTCAAGTGATTCTCCTGCCTCAGCCTCCTGAGTAGCTGGGACTACAGGAACACGCCACCATGCCTGGCTAATTTTTGTATTTTTAGTAGAGACAGGGTTTCACCTTATTGGCCAGGCTGGTCTGAAACTCCTGACCTTGTGATCTGCCCACCTGGGCGTCCCAAAGTGCTGGGATTATAGGTGTGAACCACCGCACCCGGCCTGTTTTGTTGTTTTGTTTGGGCCTGGCTTTCCCCTCTGGCTTTTGAAATAACTCTTCCTCATGTTACCTCCTCAGAGAGGCTTTCCTTGACTACAATATCTAAAGTTACTCCTCCCAACCACTAACCATTGTCCTAGTGCTTTGTATTATTTCTATGCACCATTCATCCATCTATATTTCTTTCTTTCTCTTTTCTTCTATGTTATCAGCGACTTGTATAGAATAGATTCCTAATAAGTATTTATTAAGTTATTGAAAGAATGAGGCCAGGCACAGTGGTTCATGCCTGTAATCCCAGCAATTTGGGAGGCTGAGGCAGGCAGATCTCTTGATGCCAGGAGTTGGGATATCAGCCTGGGCAACGTGGCGAAACCCTGTCTCTACCAAAAAATACACAAATTAGCTGGGTGTGATGGTGTACGCCTGTAGTCCAGCTACTAGGGAGGCTGAGGTGGGAGAATCACTTGACCTCAGGAGGCGGAGGTTGCAGTGAGCTACAGTGGTGCCACTGTACTCCAGCCTGGATGACAGAGAGAGACCCTGTCTAAAAAAAAAAGGAAGAAAAGCATGAAGAGATTAATCACAGTGCTAAGGACTCCTCTGAGGTCACATCCAGGCTCAGTGGGGCAGAGCACTGAGAAATGAGCCTGTGCTGTCATACGTAGGATGTGGGGAGGCCTGGCTCACCAGCACCTGAGAACCCTGACTTCCATATTATCCATAACGGGGGTACAGGCTAGGGCTTTCCCCCATCAGCACCCAGCAACACACTACCATCTATCCATTCACAGGTGGGAGTCTCCAGGAGGGGAAGCAGGTAAGGCACAGGCAGGGCCCTGCGCAGGTGGAGACTGGTTTTGTGTCTGGGGTTTGTTCCTTCTGGTGGGTTCCTGGTCTCGCTGCCTTCAAGAATGGAACCGCAGACCTTCACAGTGAGTGTCACAGCCCTTACAGATGGCACAGACCCAAACAGTGAGCAGCCGCAAGACTTAATGTGAAGAGCAAAAGAACAGATATCCCACAACATGCAACGGGACCCAAGCAGGTTGCCTCTGCTGGCTGGGGGGTAGCCAGCTTTTATTCCCTTATCTGTCCCCGCCCATGTCCTGCTGATTGGTCCATTTTACAGAGTGCTGATTGGTCCATTTTACAAACCTCTAGCTACAGAGCGCCTATTGGTGCATTTTTACAGAGCACTGATCGGTGCATTTTACAAACCTCTAGCTAGCTACAGAGCGCCCATTGGTGCGTTTTACAATCCTCTTGTAAGATATAAAAGTTCTCCAAGTTGCCACCCGACCCAGAAGTCCGGCTGGCTTCACCTCTCAGTTTCGTGTTCTACTCCAATACCATCTGTACACCTTCATGCGGGGATTAGGGATTTGACAGGTGAATAGGTTACTCAATAGCGTTCAGAGTTCATAAACCAAGACTCTACCTGCTTCCCACAGCCTGCGTTCATGGGAAAGAGGCAAGAAAATAAAACCAGCCTCAGCTATATCGAATCCTTTCCTTCCCCTCCCAAGTCATTAACAAAGACTGACACTGTAGTATTTATCAAAAAATCTTGTTCCCTAAGTGGTGATACAGAATAATTATCTCAGCATGCAATCAGCTCAGCGATCTTCTTCAAAGCAATTTGTGGCAAGGATATGCAGTTTTTAAATAGATTAAATTTTCAAGAGCTTGCCTCTGAAACCTGGTCAGAATGTATTTACAACTCACCTGGTGAGATGATGCGTATCTTAAGCTGGAATTCTCTTTCGTTAGGTCTTGCTTAATTGAATCAAGCAAAGTCATTTTGGGATCGTCCCAAAAGAAACCCTTTTATCTCAAGGCAAATGTGTTTTAACAAGGCCCTAAGGTGAATAAAAGCTAGGTTTCCACTCACCGGAGCTCTCTGCTCCTCCTTTCAAAAGCCTACCACTCTACTTCATTTGTTTTTCTTTTAAGTGAGGAAATTGCTTATGGAGTTAACTGTTGCCAGTGAAAGCAACAAGTTGCCTCTCCCCTCCTCTACTCTTAAGAAACACCTTGTTTCCCTCCCTCTCTTCCTTCCTTCTTTTAAAATAAATAAGTTATGCATAGCTGGAGCGTGCATGCAATGCTCAGGCGTGGTCCTGGTATAGCCAATAGCGTCATATTCAGCCCTGTTTAATTCCCACTGTCTTGGGTCTAGAATTTAGGCTTTTGAGAAATCTTTATTGAATTAATGAAAACTCAAAGACCACGATTCTGCATTCCCCCAAATCCTGAAGTGCAGTAGGAGCCCATGCAGGGCTTGGGACGGGCTTTTTGCCTCAGCAGCCAGGACAGCCTCTGCATCCGTGACCACCTCCCCGCCCCCCTCGCATTCCCCCCCATCCCCTGGTGATATCCTTCTAGCGCAGGCTCGTGCTCTGGAGGCGGGGTGGGGCCGGGATTCTGCAGCTGTAACCAACTCCCCCGCTGGGGGCATGGGGCTGGTCCCTGGGGCGCACAGAGAAGTTGTGACAGATAATTGACGTGATCGGGAGGGGCGTCCAGGCAGACCTCATGTGACTTCTAAAACCAACCCACAAATCTGAAGCGTGGCTTGCGTGGTCAGCCGCCTGCCTGGCACCCGGTGAACAGTTTCTCCCGGACTCTCTGCATCTAGCCCCAAAGAATCTAAGATTCTTTGTCTAGAAAAGTGCCCTGGTCTTCCCTGGCACCCTTCGCGGTGGGTTTCCTTGACTCCGCATAAACTCCCGTTCCAGCCCAAATCAGAGGCGGTCGCAGCAGCCGTTCCTCGTCTCCATCAGCATCCGCGTTGCCATTTCCCCGTCCTGAGCTGTTGCTCATATCAAATGTCACTCGGGGATGACTAAGAGCCGATGTTGATGAGGAGCCTTCAGCGTTACGGTAAAGGAGCTCGTGCAAACTTAGACCCCAGTCATCTGACGGTCACGTGGGCGGGCGTCGCGGCCCAGGCCCCCGCCTCCTCCGTCCTCCGCGATTCGGACATGACACGGTCCTCCGCGAAGGGCAGGCGTTACATAAACCCGGCGAGCTCACACCGTGCGGCGGGGAGCAGCGCGAACGCTCGACCCGGACACCTCCCTTCCAGGTCCCGTTCCGTAGGCGGGGCCGCTCCCGAGGCACAAGGAGGCCTGCGCGGCGCCCGAGGTGTCCGGATCCCAAAACAGGACCCCAGGAGTTTCTCACACTCAGGACTGGCCCCTAGTTGTCAATCCAGAAAAGGCATCCTCCGTCCTAGATCCAGCCTGTATTTCACGGAAAGCGTTTCCTCCCCCATCCCCAAAGCCGGCAGGGGTGGGGCGGAGAGGGGAGGCCCGGGGAGACTGACTCTATTATATAAACTTGTAATTGGCTCCGGTTCCTGCGGCTCGGGCGGCACTGCAGGACGTTTCCAACCAGATGGGTTGTGAGGCCCCGCGGCTTCCTCCTCTTCTTCCCTCCCCCTCCGCGCCCGTCCCCTGGCCAGCCAAGCCCCACCCTTCTGCCTTCCCAAGGCTACCAGAATTTCCCTGTCTTTCCAGTCCTCCCCTGCACAGGAGATGGCACCCAGAAAAGAAATGCATGATGATTTGAAAATGGTATTCCATTGTTAAACGAATGTATTCCCAGTCTGCTAGTCCTGGCTCCAGCTGACTCTTAGAATCAATCACCTCAGTAACTCAAATGTTCCAAGCTGGGAATCAGTCATCTCAGACCGGCATTCTCAAATGAGCTGGGCGTAGGGGGGTTGTCAAAACTCAGAGCGCTGAGCCCGACGCCCAGAATTATGTTCGATCGCTCTAGATTGGGCCCCAGAAATGTGTATTTCTTTCTTTCTTTTTAGAGGCAGGGTCTCCTTCTGTCGCCCAGGCTGGAGTCCAGTGGTGGAGTCATGGCTCACTGCAGCCTCCACCTCCTGGGCTCAAGCCATCCTCCTGCCTCGGCCTCCCTCATTATAGACATGAGCCACCACACCCAGCGAGGAAGGTGCATTTCTACAAGTTATCAAGTGATGCTGATGCTGTGGAATAGTATACACAGGAGCAGGGTGGTGGTTTATATAATTCTCCTTCCATTAAAAAGGTTTGCAAAACAAATTAATAGTGTGAACAGAATGTCAGGAAGACCAGCCTCCTCTCAGGGATTCTCTGGCAGTTTAGAAGTGAGAGGTGACAGCGTGCTGGCAGCCCTCACAGCCCTTGCTCGCTCTCGGCGCCTCCTCGGCCTTGGTGCCCACTCTGGCCACGCTTGAGGAGCCCTTCAGCCCGCCGCTGCACTGTGGGAGCCCCTTTCTGGGCTGGCCAAGGTCAGAGCCGGCTCCCTCAGCTTGCGGGGAGGTTTGGAGGGGGAGGCGCAGGCGGGAACCGGGGCTGCGGGAGGTGCTTGCGGGCCAGCGCGAGTTCTGGGTGGGCGTGGGCTTGGCGGGCCCGCACTCAGAGCGGCCAGCCGGCCCCACCGGCCCCAGGCAGTGAGGGGCTTAGCACATGGGCCAGCAGCTGCTGTGCTCGACTTCTCACCGGGCCTTAGCTGCCTCCCTGCAGGGCAGGGCTCGGGACCTGCAGCCCGCCATGCCTGAGACTCCACCCCGCCTGCCATGGGCTCCTGCATGGCGCGAGCCTCCCCGAAGAGTGCCACCCCCTGCTCCACAGCGCCCAGGCCCATCGACCACCCAACGGCTGAGGAGTACGGGCACACTGCACAGGACTGGCAGGCAGCTCCACCTGCGGCCTCCGTGCAGGATCCACTGGGTAAAGCCAGCTGGGCTCCTGAGTCTGGTGGGGATGGAGAACCTTTATGTCTAGCTAAGGGATTGTAAATACACCAATCAGCACTCTGTATCTAGCTCAAGGTTTGTAAACACACCAATCAGCACCCTGTGTCTAGCTCAGGGTTTGTGAATGCACCAATCAACACTGTATCTAGCTACTCTGGTGGGGACTTGGAGAACCTTTGTGTCCACACTCTGTATCTAGGTAATCTACTGGGGAGGTGGAGAACTTTTGTGTCTAGCTCGGGGATTGTAAATGCACCAATCAGCACCCTGTCAAAATGGACCAATCAGCTCTCTGTCAAAATGGACCAATCAGCTCTCTGTAAAATGGACCAATCGGCTCTCTGTAAAATGGACCAATCAGCAGCATGTGGGTGGGGCAGATAAGAGAAGAAACGCAGGCTGCGCGAGGTAGTAGTGGTAATCAGTGGGGTATGTTTCTAGGGTGTGCAAGGCTTTGGTCTTTCGCTCTTTGCAGTAAGTGTTGTTGCTGCTTTCTGTTTGGGTTCATGCTGCTTTTATGAGATGTAACACCGTGAAGGTGTGCAGCTTCATTCCTGAAGCCAGTGAGACCACAAACCCATCGGGAGAAACGAGCAACTCCAGACATGCCGCCTAAAGAGCTGTAACACTCACCGCGAAGGTCTGCAGCTTCCCTCCTGATGTAACAAGATCACGAACCCACCAGAAGGAAGAAACTCCGAACACATCCGAATATCAGAGGGGACAAACTCTGAACACGCCGCCTTTAAGAACTGTAACAACGGGAGGGTCCGTGGCTTCATTGTTGAAGTCAGACCAAGAACCCACCAATTCCGGACACAGAAGCACACATTTACAAACAACAAACATGTTCATTATAAATTGTAACATCTATACCTGTGCGTGATGAAGCAACTACAGGAAAACCTCCGATTAGTAACCAAGGTTTGCTCACTCCAGCAACTTGAAATTGAGCATTTTATAGCAGCAGGTGACTTCAGAGACTGGCCAAGCAAAAACCTCATCTAATAGGTGAGAAACAAATGATGGGGGCAGCAAGGTCGGTGGATTTGTGTGGTGAACTGGGAAGGCTGACATCCAGGCAAGCAGGTGTAACTCTGGATAGGGTCAGACCCCAGCCTCCACCTCTAGCTAGCTCTGTAACCTTCTTTTCCCCACTTCCCAATCTGTGGAATGGGATTAAAGTCCATCTTGCTGCAATGTTGTGAAAATTATATAGGATGTATAAAAACCACATAATTCAGATCAGACTTCCATATGTGTCATAGTATTGCTATTATTATTAATGGTCAAAGCCACTGTGCTCATTAGCAGGATCCCTCATTTCTCATCCAGATTGATTTTTTTTCCACTGCCCTAATGAGTAGGGAATGTTTCTTTAAAATATATATACTCATGGCACTTAGGGCTCAAGCTTCTCAAGTGAGAAGCATTTGCTCTTAATTAGTCCAAACAGATGCAGTGGGTTGAACTTTGTGGTTGTTTATGAGGCTGATGGAAGTAACAATCAGCCCAAGAACCAGGAGGATTCAAGATGCCACTTTGGAGTTTTTTGTGAAATGCATACCCTGAGTGGTGTGACTCAGTCTCTCCTGGTATTTATTTATGAGACGGAGTCTGCTCTGTTGCCTAGTCTGGAGTGCAGTGGCGCGATCTTGGCTCACCGCAACCTCCGCCTTCTGGATTCAAAGCAGTTCTTCCTGCCTCAGCCTCCCAAGTAGCTGGGATTACAGGCACCCACCACCACACCCGGCTACTTTTTGTAGTTTTAGTAGAGACAGGGTTTCCCCATGTTGGCCAGGCTGGTCTTGAACTACTGACCTCAGGTGATCCGCCCGCCTCGGCCTCTGAAAGTGCTGGGATTACAGGCATGAGCTACCGCGCCTGGCCTCTCCTGGTTTCCAAAACTGGTGTTTTCAAATGTCACAGGCCAGGGACAGATGTTGTATACGTTATTACTGCTGCCCCGAGGGCAAATACTCTGAAAACTAAAGAATCTTTGAAACTTCAGTCTAGAGTTTAATATTGCTCCCTCTGAGCTCCTAAACAGATGATATTAGTGCTGAAACTGCTTTGTCTGTATTTTCAGGAAACAGACTGTTACTCATACCTTTGCAGCCTCTCTCATTAACCCCCCTGAGAGACCTCTGCTGCTGGGAGAGTCCCAGGAGTAAAAGGGATGGGGGAGGAAGGGAAAGCAATGGAAGGATCCGGGTGGGTAAATTGGAAATACAGAACCTCCTGGTGTGGCCCTGAGCACCATCGTGGGTGCTTGAGTACGTGGGTTCGTGGCATTCACATTCCCACAAGAAATGAGATGGTAAATTGCTAATGGCTTCCCAGGGGTTTAGTTCCCTGCTGCTATGCCTTCCATGATTTCATCAGAGTTTAGGCGCATTAAAATATCACAATTTAGGCCCACATGTGCGGCATTCACTCATGTTCCTGACATTGATGCTGAAATCCTGTAAGGAAGAAAAACTTCTTTTCCTTGTAATCCGACTGCAATTGTCAGTGTCAACGGACAATTTCAAGTGGGATCCCTCTTACTCTAAGAAGCAGTGATATCTGTGGCTTAAGTTGTTGTAGTGATACACAGAACAAGTTTGGCTTGTTGCTTTTAATTCTCAGAATTTGTGTCTTTTCCACATTAATTTGTTTTCCATCTCTCCAACCTGACTAATTCAGCCTTCAGTTTTATTTCATAATTGCTCATAATATTTTTAATCCCCACCCCCCATCTTTGAGCCAAATGGTCTTTAAGATTTTGAATTTCTACTGTGATTCCCGTAACTCTTTGGATGATGAAACCCCAGGCATGGTTTTTAAATCCAATCAAGCATACTGAGATGTGCGTGTCTAATGTGTCTTCAGGTAGGTGGCATCTGTAACTAGGTAGAAATCTGTTTTAAATCAATATACTTACTAGTCTGCACATTTATTCTGGGTTTTTTCAAGTTGTTGTCATAGAGCAGTCACTTATTGTCTTTCATCTTCTTGATATTTTCCTTCTGGGTTGGTAAATTTTTAGCATGTCCTCAGGTACTGTAAGAGAAAGATTTTGATTTATCTAACCTTTTACAAATTCAAGAGCATGGCTCACGCTTCTTGAGATTGCAAGTGAGATTTTGATTGTTTCTCTGACAATTATTGATGTATGTAATATATCCAGACCTGTCGTTTACAGATCCCTTCTAGGAGGCGGAGTTGATATAAAATTGAAATAATTGCTCTCTTGGTGCCCTTTCAAAGTTGCAGTGAGATTGTTCCTCTTGGGTTAATGCTTGGGTGTTAAACACATTTCCTTATCTAGCAAACACACTGAGAACCCATTGTGCCAGCCCCAATTCCTGGTGCTGGGCATACAGAGGGAAGTCAGAGAAGGGCCTTTTTTGTGGGAATCTGGTGATGGTGCCAAAATATGGACAGACTTTATCCTTAATGGAGCATAATAAGAAGGGCCAGGGGCTATGGAAGCCAGAGGAGAGGGACAACTGAACTGCCTCTGGAAGGCCAGAATGGCTTCCGAGTGCAAGCAACACCTCGGCTGAGCATTACAGGAAAAACGGGAGTTAGGCAGACAGAATAGGCCAATCAGTTTAAATGGTGCTTGAGGCCAGGTGTGGTGGTGCACACCTGTAATCCCAGCACTTTGGGAGACTGAGGCAGGCAGATCACTTGAGGCCAGGAGTTCAAGACCAGCCTGGCCAACATGGTGAAACATTTGTCTCTTAAACACACACACACACACACACACACACACACACACACACACACACACACACATAAAAATTAGCCGGGTGTGGTGGCGCATGCCTGTAATCCTAGCTGTTCAGGAGGCTGAGGCATGAGAATCACTTGAACCTGGGAGGTGGAGGTTGCAGTGAGCCAAGATTGCACCACTGTACTCCAGCCTGGGCAACGGAGTAAGACTCTGTCTCAAAAAAAAAAAAGTGCTTGAAAACACTCTATGTAAGTTAAGATCTTGCTTGTTTACAAATAGCCAAGACCTAAATGAATAATTGCTGAAACAAGGTAGAAGCTCATTTCTTTCACATATAAAGACCAGACGTGATTTGAGGCTCTCTGTGCATCGGCAACATAAGGTCCTGCCATCTTGTTGCACTGCCAGGTGTGGCTCCATCTCCACATGACCTCTTGGTCTAAGATGGTTGCAGGAGCTCCAGCTGCAACAGCCTCATTCCAGGCAGCATAAACATAGAAGGGAAGGAAGAGAAGCCCTCGCCTTTTAAGGAGGCCTTTTGATGTGCCATACTTTCCTCATTGACCAAAACATATCACATTGTTCTACATAGCTGCAAGGAAGGCTAGGGTATGAGGTCTTTGACTGCATGGCAAGGTGTCCAGGTATTATAGAAGTCAGTGTCCTTACTGAAGAAGAAGGGGAACTACTGGGAAGCGACCAACTGTTTCTGCCCTAGTGATTGAGTGTGGGGAGAAGGCTGCCTGAGCAAGGGAGAGAAGGAAAGCTTATCTTGTTTCACAGAATAGATAAGTAAGTCAATTTGGTTTGCCAAGTGATAAGGCTGGGAAAATAAACAGATGCTGGGTTGTGGGAGGTCTTGTAAACTGTGCCCTGCAGGGGAGCTGAAGTTCTGTCCTCAGGACCATGGCGAGTGGTTGAAGGAGTGTTATCATTGAGGTGGAGGGAAAGGCACTGGGAGGTGAGAGCAGGCCCATCATTAGGAGGCACTCACAGTCTTTCGAAAGAAACTATGACAGCCTGAACTAGGTGGTGGAATCAGGGATAGGGAGATGTGAGCAGATTCCAGAGATATTAGAGAGGCAGAACTGGTCAGAAGTAGGTGAGATGTAGGTGATACATAGGTGTAAAGAGATTAATGATGGCAGACACCCAGGCATCTGGGTGGATGTGACACCTTCCATTGAGATAACAGGGATTCTGGAGAAGGTGGGTGGAGAAAGTGAGCGTGGTTTGGGCATTGTATCTACACATACAGATTAGGTTGACCCATTTTTTTTAGCAGCTTTGATGGGATATAATTTAGATACCATAAAATACACCCATTTTAAGTGTACAGTTGGACAAGTTTTAGTAACATACAGTTGTGCAACCCTCACCATTACCCAGTGTTGGAAGACTTCCACTGTCCCAGAAAGCTCCACTGTGCCCATTTGCAGCCAAGTTCCTCCCACCCTGAGCTCCAAGGAGTCACTGATTTCATTTCTGTCAGATCCACCTTTTAAAGTGTAAATTCAATAAAATGATGAGTGCAGTGATTCTCTGATGGGGAAGGTGTGGGGGGTTGTGGAGAGTCATGATCCCCCAGGACAGTGTACAAGAATCATCCAGGAGGCTTTGTCAGACTGCATATCTGTCCCACGCCCCCTCAAGAGTTGAGTTCCCTTCATCTCCCCCACCCTGCAGAGTAAGCCATTGTTAGAGTCCTGAATAAGAAGTATTCAAGTTTGCTGGCCTGGCACAGTGGCTCACACCTGTAATCTCAGCACTTTGGGAGGCCGGGGCAGGTGGATCACTTGAGATCAGGAGTTCAGACCAGCCTGGCTAACATGGTGAAACCCCATCTCTACTAAAAATACAAAAATTAGCCGAACATGGTGGCAGGCACCTGTAATCCCAGCTACTCGGGAGGCTGAGGAAGGAGAATTGCTTGAACGTGGGAAGCAGAGGTTGCAGTGAGCCAAGATCGTGCCACTGCACTCCAGCCTGGGCGACAGAGCAAGACTCTGTCTGAGGGGAAAAAAAAAAAAAAGGTATTCTTCAAGTTTGTTGGGGCAGACGATGGAGAACCTATAAGCGTGTGTTTTTGTTTTTTGTTTTTTGTTTTGAGACGGAGTCTCGCTCTTGTCGCCCAGGTTGGAGTGTAATGGCACGATCTCGGCTCACCACAACTTCTGCCACCCAGGTTCAAGCGATTCTCCTGCCTCAGGCTCCCGAGTAGCTGGGATTACAGGCATGTGCTATCATGCCCGGCTAATTTTTGTAATTTATTTTTTTTTATTTAATTTTTTTATTTTTATTTTTTAGTGGAGATGGGGTTTCTCCATGTTGGTCAGGCTGGTCTCAAACTCCCGACCTCAGGTGATCCGCCTGCCTCAGCCTCCCAAAGTGCTGGGATTACAGTCTTGAGCCACCACGCCCGGTCGTGTGTTGGTTTTTAATAACTAGCTTGATAGATATTTTGTTTTACTCTGTTGTTTTCAACTAGACATTGACACTCATAGAATAGAGCTCAGATTTCTGTTATGTCCCAAATACCAGATGAGATGGTGCTCAAAAGCACACACTGTATGACATGGCACTTTTTGAGGAAGTCTCCTTGATTCCCCGCAGAAAGTATCTCCATATTACCAATTGCACTCCTTGAATGAAGTTTTTCAAATGCAATTCAGCAATTTACAAATCCAAAGGGTGCCCCAGCCTCACTTGATACTATAACCATCTTTTTTGGCTGTGACTAATTCCACATGTAAACACAGATGGAGGATTCTTTTTTAGTGGCAATGCAACTCTGTTGAGTGGTTTGAGGACACACTGGTTTGAATGTCCCTGGTTTTCTTCAGGAAGACTGTTCCATCAGGGACACCTTTTCTTAGTACTTGACTTTGAACTAATTACAGATATGTGAAGCCTCTCAGACTCCATGTCAATTATCTCTATCTTTAGTAATATCAAGATTTCTTAATTAGTTGCTAAAACCATCAATACTATGAAGCTTGAGATTGCTGGTTTACAGACGAGTATTACACAGGCACTTTTTCCTCTGCTCTCTTGTCTCAAAGCATGAAGGATTCAAAGTGGCTTTTGGGTGGAGACCGTAGTTCTAACAGTTTTCCATTGCCCAAAAGGACTTTTCTACTGTCTCACCCTCCCTTGCATAGGTAGGCAAAGTGAAAATATTAAGCACCATACAACCCAAAGCTTTAAAAATCATCTTATCAAATACTCTTCAAATTCAACTTTCTTTCTAGCTTGGCAGTACTGGTATTGTAAGTCTTTGAAATCAGTGCACAGCTTCTCCAGGAAAAAAATGGCAAAGAGAGGTTACCAGGCATTTCTTCATCCCACACATATTTTTTGAGCATCTACTATGTGCTAGGCCCTGTTCTAAGCACATGGGATACAGCACTGAACAAGACAAGAAAGGTCTCTGCTTCCTGTGGTAGACATTCTGGTGGGACAAGAAACAATAGGTAGGATGATGTCAAAGTAGTAAAGTAAAGCAGACAGAATGCTGCTAAGTGATGTGAGGAGAGTCATCAGAGAGGCCTTCAGAGGAGGTGGGATTTACACTGCATCCCAGATAGAGAAGGGAGTAGCTGAGGCTGGGAGGACCATTCCAGACGGAAGGCCTGGCAGAGGAGAGGGCTTGGCATGCTCAAGGCATTTCCGGGAGGCTGGGGGTCTGCAGAAGAATGATTAGGGTGGGAGGAGACTGGTGTGTAATGGCGGGGTGGGGGGGGGGACCACAGGGCACCATTCAGATAAGCTGGCCTGTAGCCCACAGCAAGACATTTGGATTCTATGGTAAGGGCCATGGAAAGTCACTGGAGGAGGGGCCTTAAGCAGGCTAGAAGCATGGCGCACTTGGCTGGGTAGGAAGATTACTCTGATTGTGGAGTAAGGGCTGGACTAGGTGGGGCAAGAGGAGGCAGGGAGACAGGTTAGGAAGCCATTACATAATGGAGGTGAGAGATGACTATGGCTCTGAATTGGATAATGGTGTGGCAGGCGGAAGGAAGGAGTGGGATTGGGGGCATATTTTGGAGTTGGAGCGCTGGGCTGAGATGACACGGTAGTAAGGAAAGAGAGGAGTCAAACATGGCAAAAAGGCTGTTAGCTAGACGACAAGATGGCAGGGGTGCTATTTACCAGGGTGGGGAGGAGAGCGTGGGGGTATGGAGAGTTCTGTTTTGAACATGTTAAGTCTAAGATGTCTAGTCATTCATTCATTCAACTCTCTTAGAATGTACATTCTGTTTCAAACACCAAGCACTCTCACTGGAATCATAAAGATAAACAAGCCAGAGCCCTTGCCTTCTAGGCATTCCTAGACGACTAGAGGACGTGGACCTGCAGGAAGAGGGCTGTGATGGTCATAACAGAGGGGTGTCAATGGACCAGGCATGCCCACCTGAAGCAGAGCTTAGGGATACTTAGGAGACGGGAGCTCTCCGAGCTGGGTCTTGGGGGATGAGGCCAGTAGCCAAGTTTTCCCATAAGGGAGATTTCCTTTGGGCACTGGAGATGGTGGCTGTTGGGCCATAATCATCCAGCCCCAGAAGGGAGGACCTTACAGAGCAGCAATCAAACCACAGTGACTGTGGACCAAATTGAAATAGTTACAGCTACCAGATAGCACTGATTAAAAAAAAATGTACAAATATACTATATTACATTGGCCAAAAATAATTTTGAAAAGGAAAATGTATATTCTTTATTTTATTATTTTATTTTTAGACAGGGTCTTACTGAGTCATCCAGGCTGGAGTGTAGTGGTGCTATCATAGCTCACTGCAGACTTGGTCTCCTGGGCTCAAGTGATCCTCCTGCCTCAGCCTCCTGAGTAGCTGAGACTACAGGTGCGTGCCACCATGGCCAGCTAATTTTTTTTATTTTTATTTTTGTAGAGGCAGGGTTTCTCTGTTGCCCAGGCTGGTCTCGAACTCCTGAGCTCAAGCGATCCTCCCACCTTAGCCTGCCAAAGTGCTGAGGATTATAGGCATGAGCCACCGCGTCCAGCCAGAAAAGGTATTTTTCTATGTCTGGAGGTGTCTCTCCATGTAGGGGAATGTAGAGGAGTTAAGGAACTTGCCCAAGGTCACTCAGGTAATAAGTGTCCAGCCAGAATTTTATCCCAGTAGGTCTGGCTCCGATGCCCAGTCTTGCCCCTGCCCCTGTATGTGACATCATGGGATGATTAGCTGGTGAAAATTAGGACATTTCAGAGCAGTGCGTTCAGCATGATCATGATCCTTTTTATGTTTATGGGGGGGGCACTTCATCACAAACATATATTCACATATATTGTGTGCATAGAATTTTTCTTTTTTTCTTTTTTCTTTTTTCTCTTTTTTTTTTGAGATGGAGTCTCGCTCTGTTGCCCAGGCTGGAATGCAGTGGCGCGATCTCGGCTCACTGCAAGCTCCGCCTCCCAGGTTCATGCCATTCTCCTGCCTCAGCCTCTGGAGTAGCTAGGACTACAGGTGCCCGCCACCACATCCGGCTAATTTTTTGTATTTTTAGTAGTGACGGGGTTTCACCGTGGTCTTGATCTCCTGACCTTGTGATCTGCCCACCTCTGCCTCCCAAAGTGCTGGGATTACAGGCATGAGCCGCCATGCCTGGCCAGAATTTTTCTATTAGGATTTTTTTTTTTTTAACTTAAAGGTTACATTTGGGGAGTAGTAATGAGGTTAGAGGAAAAGGAAACTTTAAATGTTACATGTTTCTGCTGCTTGGATTTTTTTAAGTGAGAATGTATTAATTTGTCATTAAAATCGTAAGTTCAGGTCATCCAGGCAGGGCCAGGCCAGCATCCATGTTCCACCTGGCTGACCACCCCATTCCACCTTTGTGGAGTTCTTAGGATCCTGGGTCATTTTCCATCTGGCTGCTGCCCAAGACCATTTCGGGGCATACTTGGGTAGCAAGGACCCTCACTTTGGAGGCTTATCTTTTGTAAATTTAGTTCCTGAACCTTCTTACCTTCACCTCACACCAATCTCTATTGCCCTCACCTTGGAGCCTGAGGTCTAGAGAGAGGTCATAGAATTCTTTAATTGTTGCCCTGGGAGGAACATTCTCTATTGTCTTGCCCTGAGGGATTGCAATACAAGCCAGCAATCTTTTAGGAATCGGAACCCTAGATACTGGACAACCTGGAAGAACTAGAGGGTACAGATGGCCCAAGCGGGGTACCTCCCGGCAGCAATAAAGGGGAAAAGGGGTGATTGGGGTTCAGACATTTCTATATTATTTACCTGACACCATCTCATTGTGGTAAATACCTTAACCATAGATGTGGCAAATAGGTTTTTACCATGAGTGCCAAATATGTTCAATGATTGTTGGCTGCCAGGAGCACTAAATTGAGAAAACTTCTGAGACAGAGTCTGAGCTCTGCAGAGAAAAATGAATTAGTAATTGATTAGTGATAACTGCCATTGGCAAGACCATTGCCATTGCCATAGATGCCTCAAGTACGTGTGCTAGGTAGTTCTCATCCCAACTTGAGTTCAGTCCTGCCTTTGGTTTTGTCCTCAAATGAGATGAGTAATTCAGTCTCCCAGCTGATATGTCTCTCTTTCTTCCCCTACCCTCATAGCCGTTTGTTCATGTTTCTGGAACCACACTTGCCACAGCCTGCCTTGTGCCTGAGTTAGTCACACGTGTGTCTGTCTCTCTGGAGCTCACTGCTCCAGAGCGAAGGAGTGGTGGACAGGTTTTGCTAGAGGTGACGAAGAATGGGGAGAGAGGTGAGAAGGAAGAATGGGGGGAGAGGGGACTGTCTTGAGGATGAGGAAAGGCTTCTACTGGTCCTCTTGTTTCCAACCCCACTCCACTCCATGGCATTTTATGGGGAATGGCACACAGGGAATGCTTGTGGGATTGAACAGTGTGGAACTGAATATTCGTGGGGTCCCTGAGACATGGGCAAAATGGAGAGTCTGGAGGAAGCACAGCAAGAGAGGGGAGAAGCTGCGAAGCGGAAGCAGCCAATGTGTATGAAATATTCATTTCATTTAGTATTATCTACTTATTTATTTTTTGGTTTTGAGACAGGGTCTCTCTGTTGCCCAGGCTGGAGTGCAGTGATGCAATCAGGACTCACTGCAGCCCCAACCCTCCAGCGATCCTCCCACCTCAGCCTCCCGAGTAGCTGGGACCACAAGTGTGTGCGACTGTGTCTACATCTTTTATTGCTTGTAGAGACCGGGGTCTCCCTGTGTTACCCAGGCTGGTCTTGAATTCCTGGGCTCAAGAAATCCTCCTGCCTTAGCATCCCAAAGTGTTGAGATTACAGGTGTGAGCCACAGTGACTGGCCTCAATTTATTTCCATGGCTGCTGTAACAAGTCACCATAAACTTAGTGGTTTAAAACTCAGATTTCTTATCTTATAATTGTTACAAGATAAGAAATCCAACACCCTGGAGCTGTGTTCCATTTGAAAGCTCTAAGAGAGGATCTGTATCTGCCTTCTCCAGCTTCTAGAAGCTACCCACATCCTTTCCATCTTCAGAGCCAACAACAGAGCATCTTCAGATCTCTAGATCTCTAGATTCTCTTCTTTCAGCCACTTCTCCCACAGTTAGGGCCCCTTGTGTTTACATTGAGCCCACCAGGATGACCCCAGAGAGTCTCCCTGAATTTCCTTTGCCAGGTAAGGTGTGGTATATCCATAGGGACCGGGGATTCGGAATGGACATCTTTGAAGGAGCCACAATTCTGCCTACCACATCTTCAAAGAAGCCTACAGATGACTCTGAAGCTGCAGCCGGCGCAGTTGAGGGACGTTTCACCTGACTCAGAATCAGAGCTCCCTCCTTTGGTTTCACAAAGACCAGAGAGGCCCACAGGGCCCCAGGGGCATGACACTACCTTCCTGTCCATCATAGCAGCATTATGGTGGCATCAGTCAAGCTTCGAGGTTCCTATGGGGTGCCTTTCAGCTTTTTTTTTTTAAGCTGGAGTTTCGCTCTTGTCGCCCAGGCTGGAGTGCAGTGGCACCATCTCAGCTCACTGCAACCTCCGCCTCCTGGGTTGAAGCGATTTTCCTGCCTCAGCCTCCCGAGTAGCTGGGATTACAGGTGCCTGCCACTATGCCTGGCTAATTTTTGTATTTTTAGTAGAGACGCGGTTTGCCACATTGGCCAGGCTGGTCTCGAACTCCTGCCTTTCAGCTTCTGTAGCATTATCCAGTCTGGGAACCTCAGCAGGGGCATCCAGCTTCCTTGAGTACCAGCAGGAGCCTTTCTGTGGCCTGAAGACAGTCCCCTCTCTCTCAGCTCTTCTTTGGGACTTCCAGCAAAATCTGTCCAACAAGCTGAGAGTTTTTCAAGACAGGATCCTTTGCTTCTAGACAGACACACACACACTTGAAGCTTTTAGTGAAGCAAAATTCCCTGAGGTAAATAATTACAAAAGGCCCAATGAGATGCTTGTAAATAGGGCGGAGGAGAGAAACACAGAGAAGGAAATAGACATGAATACCTCAGAAATGTCTCAGGCCGCACCTTTTGCCCAGTTTTGCCTGGGGCCTGTCTCAGCTCCGTGAATGCCTCATAACAACTCTGCCTGGGGTGTGCTTCCCATGTGGGCCTGGGCCATGGGAACTGATCCTCTCCAAGCCCTGGGCAGGAGGCGGCCCCCCTGGCCACTGGCTGCGATGCTCATAAATGCCCAGGCCAGGCTGGGCACGTCAGAGCGTCCGCGGGAGCTGGCGCATGTCTATAGAGCTGGCAGGGAGGCCCGTCTCAGCGTGAGAAGAGGCCTGTTTATAGTAGAACGCCCGGAAGGATTTATGGAGGGCCGGCTGCTGAAATAAAGAGTAGTCACGAAGGAGAGGTGGGCAGCCTTTGGAAGCGGGAGTATTTAGTAATGACATGGGCACAAACATTGGCCAGGGAGGGCCTTCCTAGGATGTGCTGTTTTCTATTTGCTTTGTCGGGGAGGAGAGTCAGCTGCCTTTTTTTGGAAAACAGGGATAAAAAGGTGTGGATTTAATGCTTGTGAGAGGCAGAGGAGAGCCTTGAAAACGAAAATCCTTAACTCAGCCCCAGAGGCAGAGCTGGGCCCTGGCTGTGACCCTGGGGCTTGCTGTGGGGCTGAGACCTGGGGGAGAAGCCCCCTGAGTGGACAGGCCCTGGAGACCCACCCAAGCAAATCATGCCACCCCAGAGCTAGCTGGGAAAGACTTCTGGGTTTTCCATCTTGAGTGTACTTCATTTTATCTGCAAAGATCAGCAAGACAAGCTTTTACTCTTTCCCTTCTGGGATTCTTTTTAAAATTCCTAACGCTTTTGAAAGGACATTACCTTAGAATCTAAGGCTTAGATGGATATGTCTTTTGTTTTGTTTTGTTTTTTGTTTTTTGAGACGGAGTCTCACTGTCACCCAGGCTGGAGTGCTGTAGCGCGATCTCGGCTCACTGTAACCTCCGCCTCCCAGGTTCAAGCAATTCTTCTGCCTCAGCCTCCCAAGTAGCTGGGACTACAGACATGCGCCACCACGCCCGGCTAATTGTTGTATTTTTAGTAGAGACGAGGTTTCACCATATTGACCAGGTTGGTCTCAAACGCCTGACCTTGTGATCCACCCGCCTCGGCCTCCCAAAGTACTGGGATTACAGGCGTGAGCCACCGCACCCGGCCCACAAATACATTTTTTTAATGTAAAGACATTTTGTAAATTCAAATGAGCACTTAAAATAATACTGTTTTCCCAGTTTCTCCCTTTTGTTCATAATGGCTCATTTCTTCATTTGCAGTTTTTGTACCTAACTCATTACATCTTCATTGGTCCTGTAACCTTGAGAGAGCAGAGGGCCTGTTCTTGTCCCCACCTGCATCAGCAGGACCTTGCCCCAGGTCTTTTGGCCAGCTTATGCAGCTGAGGGGCCACCCTGTTGCTGACCGCGAAGTGCCTGTCATGAGAACAGAAGTCTACGCCATGGAGATGGTGCCCCAGTGCTCCCAGAGCTGCCTGAGAATGGTGCAAAGAAGGAACGTTAGTCACTGGGAGGCAGCATGGCGTAGTGGTTTATGGCATGGTTTCAGGAGCCAGAATAATCATAGTTCCATTCCAGAGCTACCACGTATCAGCTACATAAGGCTGGGACCTGCTCCCTAAGCTTTCTGTTCTCAATGGCCTTATCTACTAAATGGACCTGATAGTAATATCTAACCCATAGGGCTGGACTGGAGGAGTCAGCGAGTTATTGTTGCTAATTGGACCCCAGATCCCAGAAGCAGGACTGGTTAGGCCCAGAGTCTCACAAAATTGTTCATGAAACCCCAGGTTAGTATTTCCCAGCTATGTAACTTCGACGAGTCATTTACTATCTCTAAGCCCAGTTTTCCTGCTTGAGAAAAGAGGATAATAACGACAGCATCCTTATAGGAATGAGCGAGGACTGGATAAAATAGCACTTGTCAAATGCTTGGTACATTGTAGCTACTTGGGACATGTTCACTGTCATGGGGACAATCATAAAAGCTCTTTCCCGACAGATTAGAATGGGCCCACCTAGCTGTCTTTGCAAGCAGCAAACCTCTCCCAAGTGTGAGATGTGACAAGGGGCCATCAGCCTGAGCTGAGGCATCAGGGATTCTGCTTCTAGTACATTCTCCAGCTGTGTGCATACATGCTAACATACATGCATGTGGGCACGCACACTAGCAGGGACACCTTGGGCCAGGAAGTCTCAGCCTTTTCTTGGACAATAGGCAATTGCTGTGAAAATTGGTTTCAATACTTTCTATTTGCCAATTACCCATTTTAATTCCAATGGAATCTCCTTGGGCTGCATCACACAACACTGTCCTCTCCAATTTCCCAGGTGAGGAAATGCATTTCCTGGCCAGGCACGGTGGCTCACACCTGTAATCCCAGCACTTTGGGAGGCCAAGGCAGGCAGATCACTTGAGCTCAGGAGTTCAAGACCAGCCTGGCCAACATGGTGAAACCCTGCCTTTACGTTAAAAAAAAAAAAATTAGGTGTGGTGGCAGGTGCCTGTAATCCCAGCTACTCAGGAGGCTGAGGCAAGAGAATTGCTTGAACCAGGGAGGTGGAGGTTGTAAGCCAAGATTGTGCCACTGCACTCCAGCCTGGGCAACAGAGCAAGACTCCGTCTCAAAAAAAAAAGCATTTCCATGAAACTTTGCTCTTCTTTCAAAAGGTATTTATTTTAAAGGGTTCAATTTTCTTATTGTGTAGCAATAAGTTGATAAAAAAATTTATTTTAATGTAACTGGCTTTTAAGTCATCAAATTTTACCTTTAACAAACTGTGTTTTTGGTTTGTTACTAACTTGATAATGTAGACATTGTCTGGTTTTAAATGGACTGTCATTATACTAGGATGATTGGCATGGTATATTTTATTCTCTCTTTCAGAGAAATACTGATGCTCTGGAAACAAAAAATTGTTGAACTTTTATGTTTTTTAAAAAGAAAACCGATAGGCTTTTTGGTCACTTGAAAGCTGAAAACAAATTACGTTGATGTATTTAAACATGCCTCTGTGAACCATTATTTTCAAGAATGAAAAGTATGAAGAACTGGTATTTCTAAATCATCTTAGCTGAGAGGATGGGAAATCCCAGTCTAAACACAGCCTTGCAAAAGAACGGAGAGAGAAGTCAGTGGAGAAGGAGGAAGCGTTCTGCTTGCAGGACACAGTGCCCACTGTGGCTCCCCTGGGCACAGAGGAACCCTTTCCAGGGCTGGCCTCAAACTTGATGGGCAGGCAGACCCGCAAGTGAATGAAAGTTCCATTCATATGGCTCCTTTCATCCCAGAACCAAAAAAGACTGCTGAGCGCCCAGGTCAATGAGCCGCGGTGTAACCGCAGACGGGCAGCCACCTCTGAGACGAAACACAAACCCAGGTTCTTGCCAGAATATTCCACCAAGGGGATGGGCAGCCGCCACACACACCTCCAAGGAGCCACGTGCCACACTCTGTTTCCCTAGATAGGCCAAATGTTTTGGCCCGTTAGCGTTCAGCTTAGCATTTTTTCCTATCTGCCTGTGTTTGTCTCTAGTCCCACTCTGATCTCCCCAGCCTGCTTGGGGCATTATAACTAGCCCAGCTCAGGTTTTGTCTGTCTGTTTTTTTTAAGAGACGGAGTCTCATTTTGTCGCCCAGGCTGGAGTGCTATGGTGCGATCTCAGCTCACTGCAACCTCTGCCTCCCAGGTTCAAGTGATTCTCCTGTCTCAGCCTCCCGAGTAGCTGGGATTACAGGCCCGTGCCACCATGACTGGCTAATTTTTGTATTTTTAATACAGACGGGGTTTCACATCATTGGTCAGGCTGGTCTCGAACTCTTGACCTCAGGTGATCCACCTGCCTTGGCCTCCCAAAGTGGTGGGATTACAGGCATGAGCCACTGCGCCTGGCCCCGCTCAGTTCTTAAAACCAAACAGACCGGCTGGGTGCAGTGGCTCACGCCTGTAATCCCAGCACTTTGGGAGGCCGAGGAAGGCAGATCATGAGGTCAGGAGTTCGAGACCAGCCTGGCCAACATGGTAAAACCCCGTCTCTACTAAAAATACAAAAATTAGCTGGGCATGGTGGCGCATTCCTGCAATCCCATGTACTCAGGAGGTTGAGGCAGGAGAATTGCTTGAACCCGGGAGACGGAGTTTGCAGTGGGCCGAGATTGTGCCGCTGTACTCCAGCCGGGGCTACAGAGCGAGACTCCGTCTCAAAAAACAAACAAAAAACAGACCAGGCTCTGAATCCCAGCTGAGTGTCTTAACCAAGAATAATTTAACATATTTATTATCTATGCATTGGAAAGTTTTAATTCTAACATCCCTTCTGGGCCTCAGTTTCCTCATTGGTAAAATCACAATAAGTGCCTGCCATATAGGTCTGTTGTGAGGATTAAATGAGATAACCTGGAGAAGGCACTCAGGACAGAGGTTGGCACCTAGTACATTCTTAATACATATTAGTTATCATTTGTATTTTTATTATCACTGGAATATGTGGGTAGCCTTCCAAGGTTTTAAATGTCCTACTTTGAAGAACAGCTGTCACTCAATGACAAGCTTCTTGCATAATGTTAAAAAATAAGTTCTACATCATCACAATCCCACAACTTTAGGAGATGACACCTTCTATAAATTTGAACATGATTGGGGTAAAGCAATTTAAAATGTGGAAATGAAATAAATGTCAGCTCAATGATCCTACCCAGCCACATGAAAAAGTGGGGAGAGATGGCCTATGCATGGGAGGTTCTATTTAATCCTTTTGATCTCCTGCAATTTTTATTTCTCTCTTTAAAGTTTAATTTTAAGTTCCAGAATGCATGTGCAGAATGTGCAGCTTTGTTACATGGGCAAACATGTGCCATGGTGATGTGCTCACCTATCAACCTGTGACCTAAGTATTAAGCCGAGCATGTATTAGCTATTTATCCTGATGCTCTCCCTCCCCCAGCCCCCAGAACAAGCCCCGGTGTGTGTTGCCCTCCCCCGGGTGTGTCCATGTGTTCTCACTGTTCATCTCTCACTTATAAATGAGGACATGTGGTGTTTGGTTTAGATTTTTTATTTCTTTCCTGCTCATTGGAATTCCATCACAGGTGGACAGGTTGGTGCACTGCTTGGTTTTCTCTCTGGAAGGCTTCACTTTCCCAGAGGCTGACCCCGTACCTTTGTGCTGACTCTTAAGCAACCGACAACCCTAAGTCACAGATTAAAAGCATCCAGTCTAAGACATTAGTCAACATTTTAACTGTCACTCAAAGCTCAGACTTCTCCCCTTCAGGCAGCTGAGAACTGGATGCCCATACATCAGGGTTTGCCTGGAACACCCCCAGTTTACGTCTGTTGCCCTGACATCCTGTCCTTGTTGGTATCTGTCCTGGGTTTTCCAGTTTCCATGAAGTATTATTAATAATAGTTGCATTAAAAGAAGCTAGGATGGGTTTGGGGACCTCCACTTGGTACTTCCAGTGCTTCCAAGTTCTCTACTAGAAGCATGAAAATTCATGCACAATAAACAAGACTCATGCACAATTAGCTCAAATGTGAAAACTGAAAGATGAATGAAACTCTCCCTAGTTCTTTCCAGACCCAAAGTAACTCACACCTTCATTTCGGGGATGGCATGTCGGGTGATGGCTATAATAGAACAGTTTGCCCACACACAAGCATCTGGGGACAGCTGGCTCCTTTCAGTCTCAGTGGTGAGAGAATAATTGGCGCCTCTGGGCTGACCAGCCGCATGGTGTACCGGCCAGGCATACCATGGTCTGCGCTGAGTCACAAAGCTGCCAGGCTTCACTCGGCAGAGTTAGGATAATACAGGAAATCATAGGTTAGGTGTGAGTGAAATATGTGCAGAAAATAGAAGCTGCAATCCTGCTAACAGGCATTTAGAGAGTCATCTGAAAACCTTTGCTCTGGTGCTATTGTTACTTATTATATTATATAAATCCACAACTATTAATTGGTAATGATTTTTATTTTGTAATAGACCTGCAGCAGCAATGACCCATAAAACAATGTAGGTGCATGTTTAATGAGATACATTAAGTACTGCATTTCCATTTCTTAAAAAATTTGATGAAGAATACATAATTTGCACAAGATGTCTGTCAACATTTCTCCCACCAGGGGAGCTGTGACAATTTTACTGACCACATAAACAGAAAACAGCAATCTGCTGAAAATGCACTAACATCTATTATATATAATGCTTGCAATTGCAGACAGGGTTTTAATATATTACTCTGGGAAGCATGACTTTTCATTTAGATCAAATGTCTTTCTTCAAATTGAATTTTGCTCATTTTCTATTCCACGTTTCCTTGTGCACATAGAAAAGGGAAACCGTAGCTGTTAATATGCTGGCTCCACTGGAAGCAGAAGAATTTTGCATATGGTCAAGTCATGCCTGATTTATATCAGTGACGTCAGGTTCTTCAAACTCAAACAGTGAACTGTAATAGTAATGTAATGGTTTTCATCTAGTTCATGGTGTCAAAGTCAGGTTTTTGGAGGCTCACTGTCAACACTGAAACAGCTGATAGATGGATAATTTTGTAAATCCAAGTAAGAAGTTCTACATTAAAGATAAAATTGTTTTTATAGTGATAACAGAATTATCAACTTTAGTGGAGCGCATAGTATTGTAGTTAAAACATTGTTAATGCTAAATTAAGAAACTTATGGAGCAGAAATCGATTTAGAAGTGGTTGTGGTGCACAGATAATTTATTGCTTCTAAACAAGCTGATAAATTTTCTTTTTAAAGTGGAAGCAGTGGTTATCTGTTTATCTGCCTTTCTACCCACCTATTAGTAACTGAACTAAAAATTAGTAATTTTTTGCTGCTGAGATGATGGTGAGCACAAAAACATACTTTGGCATGGCAGTATGTCACGTCCTTGGGCTTTTTTTTTTTCCCTCTTAGTCATGAATAAGATTATAAACATATTGGAGCCTTTAAAGAAATATTTTATAAACCAACCAAAATATCCTGTAATGGAATTAAACATTTATGAAAATGAGTCATCCAAATGTTGGTTGCATTTTGGTTACATTTTGTTCCAAACAAATTGGTAGGAATATTCAATCAAATATTCAAAGAATGAAGCAACCAAAAAAACAATCAGCTTTTAAGGCTTTTTAGAGAATGGCAATTGCTGAAAACAAAGCTTGAAGTGGGAAAATATTAAATTTTTTTCTCCACAAAAGTAAGGAAGGCACAATGAAATACCATTTTCATGCCACTAGGATGGCTATAATAATAATTCATTAATCAAATAGGAAATAAGGCCAGTGTGTGGCTCACGCCTGTAATCCCAACACTTTGGGAGACCAAGGGAGATGGATCACCTGAGGCCAGGAGTTTGAGACCAGCCTGGCCAACATGGTGAAACCCTGTCTGTACTAAAAATACAAAAATTAATCAGGCGTGTGTAATCCCAGCTACTCAGGAGAATGAGACAGGAAAATCGCTTGAATCTGGGAAGCGAAGGTTGCAGTGAGCCAAGATCATGACACTGCACTCCAGCCTGGGTGACAGTGTAAGACTCCGTCTCAAAAGAAAGAAAATAAGTGTTGGTGAAGATGTGGGGAAATTGGAATCCTCGTACACTGCTATGAAATAGCAGTGGGATAGAAAATGGTGCAGCCGCTATGGAAAACAGTTCAGCAGTTCCTCAAAAAATTAAAACTAGGATTACCATATGATTTAGCAATTCCACTCCTAGGTAAATAAGCCAAATGATTGAAAACAGATCTTCAAACACTTGTACAGGACTATTCATGGCAGCACTATTCACATTAGCCAAAGGGTATGAATGATCCAAATGTCCACCACTAGATGAATGAATAAACAAAATGTAGTATATCCATACAACGGAATAGTATTCAACCATGAAAAGGAATAGAGTACTGATATACACTACAACATGGATAACCTTGAAAACATGTTAAATGAAGGAATCCAGAAACAAGGATCACATATTGTATGATTCCATTTATATGAAGCACCCAGAACAGGTAATTTCATGAAGACAGCAGAATAATGGCCGGGCGTGGTGACTCCCACCTGTAATCCCAGCACTTTGGGAAGCTGAGGCAGGTGGACAACTTGAGGTCAGGAGTTCAAGACCAGCCTGACCAACATGGTAAAACCCCATCTCTACTAAAAATACAAAATTAGCTGGGCATGGTGGCACCTGCCTGCAATCCCAGCTACTTGGGAGGCTGAGGCAGGAGAATCACTTGAATCCAGGAGGCGGAGGTTGCAGCGAGCCGAGATTGTGCCATTGCACTCCAGCCTGGGCAACGAGCGAAACTCCATCTTAAAAAAAAGAAAGCAGAATAGTGATTGCCAGGAGCTGGGGCTGAGGGGTGGAGAATGGAATCGGGAACGGCTGATCTGCTAAGTGGGTATAAGGTTTTCTTTTGAGGTGATGAAAATGTTTTAGAACTAGATAGAGAAGACGGTTGTACAACATTGTGAATATAGTAAGTGCGACTGAACTGTACACTTAATGATGAATTTTATTTCAGTTTTTTAAAAAGCAGGAGAGAAACAACATATTCAACTAAATCATCTGCAAGATTTAACTTTGAAATTCTGTAATCATGCTTTGAAATATGTTGATTTATGGAAGGACTATTTGGGTGGGGTTTTTTTTTATTAGATGTTTAGTATTATGTTCAGTCACAGAATAGAATGTAATTGAAATATCTAAAACATGGTGAAACATTTTTTTAAAAATAGAGAAAACATTTAATTAATTGTGTCTTGCACAAATATTTGTCAAGGAAAGGGTATCTGAATGAATCCAAAATGACAATACCTGTGAACATAGGTTGACTAAAATATTTGCATATTTCAAAGACTGAAGAAATAGAATACTCCAACAGAATTTGCTCTCTGGTTACCATGTACCTCACTCTGCACCTATCAAGAGAGGTTTTTGTTGTTGTTGTTTTGTTTTTAAGCGATGGTCTCTTTCTGTTGCCCAGGCTGGAGTAGAGTGGCACTATCGTGGCTCACTGCAGCAAGAGGATATTGTTAAAGTTATTATGGTCTACAGAGAAAACTCAGTTGAAAATGTTACCAATTTCAATTTATTATTCATAATAAATGCATAATAAAATGCATCTTTGAGGGTGGCTACAGCCAATTTTATTTTTTAAAAAAAGATGACTGCATTTTTACAAAATATGTTAGAACAAATAAGGCTAAGAAACTGATAAAAAGTATGTGAATATGCACAAGATTTATATTCTGCTTATGTATGTTTTGTTGTTGTTGTTTTGAGACAGAGTCTCACTCTCTCTCTCAGGCTGGAGTGCAGTGGCACAATCTCGGCTCACTGCAACCGCCTCCCCGGTTCAAGCAATTCTCCTGCCTCAGCCTCCCAAGTAGCTGAGACTACAGGCACCTGCCACCACGCCCAGCTATGCTTATGTTTTTTAATGTTCAGATTAATCATCATAAAGGCATTTCATTTTTCTCTTTAATGTACAGAGATATTTTTATTTTTAAAGAAATGTATTTCAAAAATTATTTTTGAATAGGACTATTTTAACAATATAATACACCAGGCTGGGCGCGGTGGCTAACACCTGTAATCCCAACACTTTGGGAGGCCAAGGTGGGTGGATCGTTTGAGTTCAGGAGTTGGAGACCAGCCTGACCAAAATGATGAAACCCCGTCTCTACTTAAAAAAAAAAAAAAAAAAAAAATTAGCTGGGTATGGTGGCGCATCCTTGTAATCACAGCTGCTTGGGAGGCTGAGGCAGGAAAATTGCTTGAACCTGGGACACGAAGGTTGCAGTGAGCCGAGATTGCACCAGTGTACTCCAGCCTGGGCAACAGAGTGAAACTCCGTCTCAAAAAAAAAAAAAATACATACATATATATACGTATATATATACATATTATATAAAACAACAAATGATTGTGTAATATATGTTTTAAAATAACATTTTATTTATGTTTAGTGCCAACTTTCACCCTCAAAAGTATCTTGTTTGGATAATTAATCATATGACCGCCCCAGGGGAGTGGTGGAAGGCAGGGAAGCGGACATGCCCCACGCCTATCACTTCTCTTTCCATCCTTCCCTCCCACAGTGGCTAAAGAAGGGAAGGGAGAAGGAAGGGTATTGGAAAGTCCACACCTGACTGGATGTTTTCAGCTCTCAGGGTCTGGAAGATATTTGAAGATGACTATCTCATGGGCACTCTCACAGGCTTTACGAAGGTTGTCTGCATTGGGAACCTCCACTGAAGATCCCAGTAAGTCGGCAATGCATCAACTTTGGGGACCACTCCCCACCAGGCTCCCACCACTGCCATTCGTTTGCTCTGATTCTGGCTACTGGAGTCATGCCATTCTCCAGGAGTTCCTGCGGATCGAGAGCAGAATTTAACATTAGCCTGGAAATCTCACACCAGAGAGTAAAGAAATGCTCAAAGACCACATAGTCATGTCAAACGGACATGAGACTTCTCGAGTTTTTGCTGGCCTCATTTAGACAATCTGTGCATCAAACTAATAATGAATATGATTGATTAGAACATATTGACTGTTTTTGTTTGTTTGAGAGTCTCCCTCTGTTGCCAAGGCTGGAGTACAGTGGAGCGATCTTGGCTCACTGCAACCTCCGCTTCCCGGGTCCAAGTGATTCTCCTGCATCAGCCTCCAGAGTAGCTGGACTACAGACATGCACCACCACGCCCGGCTAATTTTCTGTGTTTTTAGTAGAGACAGCGTTTTCCCATATTGGCCAGGCTGGTCTTGAACTCCTGATCTCAAGTGATCCACGCCTCAGCCTCCCAAAGTGGTGGGATTACAGGTGTGTGAGCCACCGTGCCTGGCCCTGATTAGAACATTTCGAATCAATAAATATTCATTAATGAATAAATAGAAAACAATGAGAATGCGGGGGGAAAAGCAGCTCTTCTTTACTGAAAAACGTCATCTGATAAATACACAGGCGTAGAATTAGAAAATTACCATTTTGAACCTTCAGTGTATCAACTGATTCAGGTAAGGGTCTTCTATAGGTGATAAAAGTATTAGATGAAAAATTATTGGGGGACTGGATATCTGTATGATGTCAAAGCACTACTCTTTTAAAAAAGATATCTTTGACCAGGTGCAGAAGCTCGTGCTTGTAATCCCAGAAGCTTGGGAGGCTGATGTGGGAGGATTATATTTGTAATTTTGTACGCTAAAAACCTTTTTTTTTTTTTTAAAGACCAAGTCTTGCTCTGTTGCCCAGGCTGGAGTGCCATGGTGTGATCTCGGCTCACTGCAACCTCTGCCTCCTGGGTTCAAGCAATTCTGCTGCCTCAGCCTCCCTAGTATCTGGGATTACAGGCATGCACCACCACGTCCGGCTAATTTTTGTATTTTCAGTAGAGACAAGGTTTCACCATGTTGGCCAGGCTGGCCTCAAACTCCTGATCTCAAGTGATCCACTGGCCTCAGCCTCCCAAAGTGCTGAGATTACAGGCGTGAGCCACCATGCGCAGCCTGAAAAAAGTTTCTTATACAGCTTCAGACGCTACAAAATCTGGGTCCCTTCAGGGGTGTCTTACCTGAACCCCAAGATTATTGAGATGATCCTATGAATGCCCTAAAGGCATGTCCTACTTTTGCTTGGTGGTTCTGACCATGGTTTATAGTTATACACTCATCATGGCATCTGCCTCCCCTCACACCTTAGCT
The DNA here is from genome assembly GCF_000001405.40 of Homo sapiens. Taxonomy (NCBI): domain Eukaryota; kingdom Metazoa; phylum Chordata; class Mammalia; order Primates; family Hominidae; genus Homo; species Homo sapiens. Next base: position 98,574,133 of record NC_000015.10, read on the forward strand.
TCTGAGAGGGCAAGGACCACATCAGGTGTTATTCCCAGTTATATTCCCAGTGCTCAGCACAGTGCTTGGCACATAGTAAATGCTCAGTAAATGTTTGTTGAATGAATGCATGAACAAATGAATGAATATATAAACATGCCTTCTCTCTTTATCAGCCTTAAGTAACCTGATAGTCTGTCGGTCTGATTCTCTGATTGTGTAGTGATTTCTCAATTTCAATAGGTGGCCTAAATTGTGAAGGTGGTAAGGTATTGCCTTGATGTGTTTTCTAGGTATTAGCTTTTTCTATGTATTTATTTTTCAAAAGACAGTTGATCATAAATCTTTATTTTATATCTGTAAAGTATTGTGCTGCAAAAGGTTTTCCTACTTTGTTACTTAAAAAGAAATAATGTTCTTTTTTGGTCTTCTCAAAAAAGAATGTATTTTCTCCCTCATGTACTAAACTTTCTATGCTTGTATAACTTTTGCTGTTAATGTCCCTGAAATGCTATCTTCCTGTATGAAAATTAGGTACCTTGGAGGAATTCATTCAGAAACCCGAAGGACTCTCAGTGGGTGTGGAGTACTAGGAGCCAGGGTAGTCCCAGCAGTGTCAGGTTAACCAGGAAACCACTCACTAAAATGGGGAGAGCAACTCTTCTCAGGGCAGTTCTGAGGATGGCAGGGAGATGCTGTGTTTGAAAAGTCCCCAAACCATAACGTATGTTGCATTTTTATTATTATTATTTTTTTGAGACAGAGTCTTGCTCTGTTGCCCAGGCTGGAGTGCAGTGGTGCTATCTTGGCTCACTGCAACCTCTGCCTGGGGAGTTCAAGTGATTCTCCCACCTCAGTCTCCTGAGTAGCTGGGATTACAGGTGCATGCCAGCATGCCTGGCTAATTTTGTATTTTTAGTAGAGACAGAGTTTCGCTATATTGGCCAGGTTGGTCTCGAACTCCTGACCTCAAGTGATCCTCCTGCCTCAGCCTCCCAAAGAGCTGGGATTACAAGCATGAGCCACTGCACCCAGCCCATATGTTGCAAATATTAAGCTGCCCCTTTCTCTCCTCCTCCTCCCCCTCCTCCCTCTCTTCTTCATCACAGTGTTTTACCATGGTTTTAACATTATTAAATAAATAACTTATACCAATTCAAGGTATTCACAGAAAAATATCTTGGGGAAAAAACATAATTCTATATATTTATTACTTCTATTGCAACATTTTAATGAAATCGTATTTTTGTTTAAATGAAATGTTTTCTTCCCTAAAACAAGGCTATGGTAATTTTGTATGTACTATAGCCCAGTTTTAAAATTTTTTAAATGGAAAGTTCTTAAGAATGATTTTCCAGAAACAAGAACCCTCTTATTTCAATTCACAGAATCCATTGCCAGTTTATTCTTCAGTAATTTTACATGAAGAGGAGGCTAGATTTCTTCCGATATCAGTTCATCTTTTGATAGCTATTACCATCTTGTGAGCTAAAATATAGAACTATTTTCTCAATGAAAAAGCGTCCTTTCATTGAGAATGCTCACAATGGAATATGAATTTCAGCCTTGTCTCAGTGCAAATAACAATAGGGGAGAAATGGGCTGAGTTCGGTGGCTCAAACCTGTAATCCTGGTGCTTTGGGAGGCCAAACGGGTGGATCACTTGAGGTCAGGACTTAGAGACCGATCTGGCCAACATAGTGAAACCTTGTCTCTACTAAAAATACAAAAAATTAGCCGCGTATGGTGGTGCAGGCCTGTAGTCCCAGCTACTCAGGAGGCCGAGGCATGAGAATCACCTGAACCCTGGAGGCGGAGGTTGCAGTGGGCAGAGATGACACCACTGCCCTCCAGGCTGGGTGGCAGAGCAAGACTCCATCTCAAAAAAACCCACAAACAAACCCTGTAGGGGAGCAATGTACATATGAATGCATGGAAACAAGGAACCTTGTTATTAACCCCCTTAATCCTATGTCAACCAGAAAGGGTTTTTAATGTGTTTCTTTCTAAAATTAAAAATAGGCTCGGCATAGTGACTCATCCCTGTAATCCTAGCACTTTGGGAAGCCAAGGTGGAAGGATCAGTCCAGCCTAGGACTTCAAAACCAGCTTGTTCAACATAGGGAGACCCTCATCTCTACAAAAAGAAAAAATATATTTTTTAATTAACTGGGCGTGGTGGCACATGAGTAGGTTGCAGCTACCCAGGAGGCTGACGCAGGAGGATCACTTGAGCCTTGGAAGGTCGAGGCTGCAGTGAGCTATGATTATACTGCTGTACTCCAGCCTGAGCAACAGAGCAAGATTCTGTCTCAAAAAATAACAAATAAAATTTGTTTTATTATTTTTGAGATGGAGTCGCCCTGTTGCCCAGGCTAGAGTGCAGTGGTGCTGTCTTGGCTCACTGCAGCCTCTGTCTCCTGGGTTCAAGTGATTCTCCTGCCTCAGCCTTCCGAGTAGCTGAGATTACAGGCATGTACCACCACACCCGGCTAATTTTTGTATTTTTAGTAGAGACGGGGTTTCACCATGTTGGTGAGGCTGGTCTCAAACTCCTGACCTCAGGTGATCTGCCTGCCTCGGCCTTCCAAAGTGCTAGGATTACAGGTGTAAGTCACTGTGCCTGGCCAAAATAAATAAAATTTAAAATTAATATAATAACATGAATTTGACCCAAGATACTTCTCTTCAGCTCCGAGCTTGCTTATGCATCATTACTCATAAAACCTACCCAGGACTGGGGCCATTGACAGACACCCACTCATACCTAAGATTCCGTCACCCTTACTGAAAGCTATCACAGGAATACAAGTGTTCACAGGTACTCTATTTTTATCTGAAACAAGACAAGTAGAGGCTGAGCTGATGGTTCTGCCGATTTACCAGTGACCTCTGTCACCTGACCCTCAGGTTGATCACAGTCAGCTCCAGCGGGAATGTGTACCAGCAGATGGTTCACTACCACAAAGGTCAAGTGTGTTCACTGAAGAAAATTCAGAGAAAAGAGAAATGGACACAAATCATATAATAAAAATTACTATAACCCTACCCCTGAGAAATAGCCTACTGTGAACATTTGTGTGGAAGTTCTTTCAGTATGTTTTCTGAGCATATATGATGATTTTTTTCATGATTGTCATCAATATGATTTGTAACTTGATGTAGTATATCATGAGTGGTATTTCATATCATTGGATATATCCTTTCTTTCCTTTTCCTTTTCCCTTTCCTTTCCGTTTTTTTTTTTTTTTTTTTTTTTTTTTAAGACAGAGTTTCGCTCTTGTTACCTAGGCTGGAGTGTAATGGCATGATCTTGGCTCACTGCAACTTCCACCTCCCGGGTTCAAGCAATTCTCCTGCCTCAGCCTCCCAAGTAGCTGGGATCACAGGCATGCACCACTACTACTACCAGCTAATTTTGTATTTTGAGTAGAGACAGGGTTTCTCCATGTTGGTCAGGCTGGTCTCGAACTCTCAAACTCAAGCAATCCACCCGCCTCGGCCTCCCAAAGTGCTGGGATTACGGGTGCAACTTTTTTTTTTTTTTTTTTTTAAATAACCTGAGAAGAGAGTCTTGCTGTGTTACCCAGGCTGGAGGATGGAATGCAGCCTTGACCTCCTGGGCTCAAGTGATCCGCCCACCTCAGCCTCCGAAAATGTTGGGATTGCAGGCATATGTCACCAAGCCCAGCTAAAGATATTTTAAAATCATCTTTAGAATATATCTTATGAGGCCAGGCATGGTGGCTCACGCCTGTAATCCCAGCACTTTTGGAAGGACAAGGTGGCTGGATTGCTTTGAGCTCGGGAGTTTGAGACCAGCCTGGACAACATGGCAAAACTCCATCTCTACAAAAAATACAAAAAAGTAGCCAGGCGTGGTGCTGCATGCCTGTGGTCCTAGCTACTCAGGAGGCTGAGCTGAGCTGATCACTTGAGCCCAGGGGGTAATGGCTGCAATGAACTATGATTGTGCCACTGCACTCCAGCCTGGGTGACAGAGCAAGACCCTGTCTCAAATGAATAAATAAAATATCTTCATGGTAGCCATTCTAATGCTTGTGCCATAACATGCTTGTTCAGTATTTAGTGACATTTGTATACAATTTTGAGGATACCCTTTCCTGTACTCAGAATGCATTCTAAAAGTAGAACTTTTGGGACAAAGGATAGTCATGTTTTTAAAAGCTTTTGATAAATATCTTTAAACTGCTTTTTAGAGGGCTTCCAATAAGTTGAACCTCAGATGTCGTTGCCAAACTTTGATATTATCATCAAAGCAACAATACGCTTAAAAAAACAATTGGCTGGGCACAGTGGCTTACACCTGTAATCCCAACATTTTGGGAGGCCAAGGTGGGTGGATTGTTTGAGCCCAGGAATTCAAGACCAGCCTGGGTAACATAGTGACACCCCATCTGATATGGTTTGGCTGTATTCCCACCCAAATCTCATTTTGAGTTGTAATCCCCATAATCCCCACATGTCTAGGAAGAGACCTGATGGGAGCTGATTGGATTGTGGGGTGGTCCCCCCATGCTGTTCTTGTGATAGTGAGTTCTCACGAGATCTGATGGTTTGCAAGGGGCTCTCCCCACTTCACTCCTCATTCTTCTCTTTCCTGCCGGTTTGTGAAGAAGGTCTTTGCTTCTCCTTCACCTTCTGTCATGGTTGTAAGTTTCCTGAGGCCGCTCCAGCCATGAGGAACAGTGAGTCAGTTAAACCTCTTTCCTTTATAAATTACTCAGTCTGGGGAAGTTATTTATAGCAGTGTGAGAACGGACTAATACACCATCCCTTAAAAAAAATAGGTGTGGTGGTGTGCCTGTAGTCCCAGCCTCTTGGGAGGCTGAGGTGGGAGGATCTCTGAAGCCCAGGAAGTCAAGACTTCAGTGAGCTGTGATCACACCACTGCACTCCAGTTTAGGTGAGAAAGTGACAAAGTGAGACCCTGTCTCAAAAAATAATAATAACATTAATTATATGTAATTATATGTTTATATTCATCATTTGCATAGATTTTTTGGCGAGGGAGTTGGGGAGAGGAAGAATCACTTCTCCATGTCTACTAGGGCGAGGAGTTGTCTTTTTGTCTTTCTTATTGAATTGTATGAATAAGCCTAGTTTTTACAAATGACAAATTTCCAGGACACCAGAATAAGTTACTTGGTGATGATCAGATTATGTTATATTGCACTAATATCATACTCATCTTTTGGATAAAACACTCAACAGGCACAAAAAATATTTTATAATGCCGATCTGCAGCTAAAGTGCCAAAGCTACTATAAACCCACCCTTGGCATTTCAAATTGGGGGTCCTTGGAGTGGGGTCCAGCCCCCATGCCCTCCTGGAGAGATGCCTTCTGAAGGCTACACCACCTCCAAGGGCACAGCTCCAATGTGCTACCATATTGCTGTGAGGGCCACTTCTCTGTGATGGTCTTGGGGAGGGGGCGGGTGTCCTTTTCTGTGTATGGGACCATGGAGCACATGGTGTCAGGTGGCTGGCCCCGGACACACCTGCTCTCAGGGCAGCCTGGGTCATTTGTGAGAAAAAAGACGCGTAGCCAGGCGCGGTGGCTCACGCCTGTAATCCCAGCACTTTGGGAGGCTGAGGCGGGTGGATCATGAGGTCAGGAGATCGAGACCATCCTGGCTAACACGGTGAAACCCGTCTCTACTAAAAATACAAAAATTAGCCGGGCGTAGTGGCGGGCGCCTGTAGTCCCAGCTACTTGGGAGGCTGAGGCAGGAGAATGGCGTGAACCCGGGAGGCGGAGCTTGCAATGAGCCGAGATTGCACCACTGCACTCCAGCCTGGTCAACAGCGAGACTCTGTCTCAAAAAAAAAAAAAAAAAGATCAGTAGTAGCATCTCACTCATCCGATTGTGGTGAGACACAAATGAACTAAGATCACTAAAGCACTTTGTGTAACACACACACATCTTGTCAATTTATAAGGAAAACCAGGCGGAGGTTGCAGTGAGTCGAGATCGCGCCACTGCACTCCAGCCTGGGTGACAGAGCAAGACTCCATCTTAAAAAAAAAAAAATATATATATATATATATATATATATATATATATATATATATATATATATATATGTATTTCTATATATATATGTATTTCTATATATATATGTATTTATATATATATATATGGAAAACCTTGTGTTTTAGAAACAGCAACCAAAACTAACTTTCCAGGATGGCTTAACTAGCTGGTTGCTTTCTGATGACTCAATTGTGGATTCACATGCACATAATCTCATACTCCTTTCTTGAATAAAACGTTCACTGAGCACCCAAAGTGATATTATTTCTATTATTTTTCTACAAGCCTGGCGGGAACAGGAGAGCAAGAGAGAGGAGAGGAAAGTGGGCTAAGATCTGGGCACTACGGAGCACCATTTTGGCACAGTTCGAGTTGGATAATAGCCCCACCAATCCACCCCAGACAACCCCTGCCACCTCCTCAGAGCAGGATAGTCCCCATGAGCCTGGTCACTAAGTACACACTTTGCTCTCTCCTCTTGAAAAGCAGGTATCTTAACGGGTGCAAGCCTCTCTGAGCTTCTAGTCCTATCCAATGTTGACTCTTACCCAACGTGGCAGAGCAGAAGCCACAAGGAAAACGTAAATGGAGCCCACATCCCCCGCCAGAATGCTCGCTGCAGCCAGACAGCTGGCCAGGACACTGTTGTCAGTGGGGGATGTGCGTGTCACTGAGGATTCCAAGGAATTTGGCTTGTTCTGCGCTCTGCCTCTCCAGCTAAATGAGTTCCACTTATACCCCGCACTACGGGCTCTGTCGATTAGGCAAAGTGGTGGTATCCCTTCCCGGCACAATTGACAACACTAATAAAAATAGATAACGTATTTTTAAAACTACAGCAGATTGTCATGGTAATAAATAATTGTATCATGTTGCTGTCATAGCAACGAAGTCTGTGTAACACAGGCAAATCAAGCCTATATGGAATTTTTCTAAATTTAGGTGTTTGAAAAGAGTTAAAATAGTCTATAGTCATCGGGAGGTGCATTAAGAGAAAACTCCTTAACCTTCATTGGAGAACATATTTTAGTCATTTTTTAAAAATCTGAATTGCTTGTTTTAATATTTCTCCATTCTCTTCAAATGATAAAACTCAACTTTCCTTTTTGTGATATATATATTTATATATCCTTAAGACCTTTCATAAACAGTAGAAGACTAGAGCTCTCTCCCTCTGTCTCTCTCTCTGTGTGTGTGTATCTCTGTATCTGTCTCACTCACTCTTTCACTTTCTCATCTTTAAAGTAATTTGCAAGGCAGCATATCATAACTCTTGTACTTTCCCTTGGTGGCTAACGACACAATATTAATGAAATAAGTTACATTAGCTAAACCACGCCATATCAAATTAATAGCTAGTTTCCATACTCTTTGCTCCATTTTTTAAAAAAGCATTCATTACTGCATGATATCCAGTGTGTCATTAACCACTATAGACTACCAGAGCAAACTATGATGATTTTCTGACACAGTAAACTTGCCTTCCTGACTTCAACTAAATGCTATTGAAATGACAAATAAGTGACACTGCCCAAAAAGGAGGGAAGGATTTTTTCACAGATATGTAATTATTGTGCCATTACGAGAAATCTCCAAGTCCAAAATAATTGCATGAAAAAATTCTGCAGTTTCCCGCATGATAAAACAAGACCTATGTCCCTTGATTTTTTTTTCTTATATTTGGTTTTGATGAAATAAAAATGTCTCTGTTTTCCTCTGTAAAGGTTTCTTCTCTCTGAGTCCCCACTAGGGGCTGTTGTACCATAGAAATAGGGTTTAAATCGGAGCTGAGCTACCTATATCAAGGTAACTTGCAGCACGGATGGGCAGTATTCATTAATTCTTTAAAACGTAAAGGTATTATTTAGAAAAAAAAATTAGATTATAAATTTTTAAAGATAAAATAATTAGGCAGGGTGTGGAGGCTCATGCCTGTAATCTCAGCACTTTGGGAGGCTGAGGTGGGTAGATCACCTGAGGTCAGAAGTTTGAGATCAGCCTAGCAAACACGGTGAAACCCCATCTCTACTAAAAATACCAAAAAATTTGTCAGGCATAGTGGCACACACCTGTAACCCCAGCTATTTGGGAGACTGAGGCAGGAGAATCGCTTGAACCTGGGAGATGGAGGTTGTAGTGAGCTGAGATCACACCACTGCACTCCAGCCTGGGTGACAGAGCGAGATTCAGTCTCAAAAAATAATAATTAAATGAGACAATATGTGCAAAGTTAGCTGCTGCTTTCAATTCAAGCCAAGCATTGAATTATATTCAACTTTAATAGGAAAGTAAAATGATGAGATCTTTAAACATATTCTATGATGTAAACATCTATGATGTAAAAAATGTAAGCATCAAAGTAAAATGTAAATCAGTGCCTCTAATGTTATTAATTTTTTAATGTGTTTTGTCCCTTTATAATTTTCATGACTTATTTTTCCCTGATGCACTGTATTAAAAGGTGACTGTCAAAGTGAACAGACACTGGCCTCAGGCAGAGAGGGAAGATGATATCACACATGACAGCATTACTCTACTGGGGGCCACCACTTTTGCTGCCTGGCACCCTGAGCAAGTGGGACTTCGTGGAAAGGGAGACACACCTTATGTTTCTGTGCCACCCCACGGCCCCTAGCTCTGATCCAAAAACTTGATGGCTGAGTATGTATTAATGCCTGCAGAAGAAACCTGGGAAGGAATTATAGAGATTACAACTTGCCAAAAAACCAGAACTGAATATATTAATAATAAAGTACGCAGCAAGCCCGGGAAAGGAGGTCCCATCTCCTTGCAGATTCCTCCCCCAAAGCAGATGCCTGCCTGTCCGTGGCTGCAGATGGGAGCTTTCCTCTTGTCAGCTATATGCAGGCACAAGGGAGAACTCAGTGTCTTTGCAGAGAGAAAACTTACTTTGGGGTGGTGCTGACTTCTTCTCTTCTACTTCTTAGAGGATTCCTTTTTCCCTTTACTCTCTGGGGTTTTGTTTGACTTATTTCGTTTTGTTTTTAAAAACATTCAAACTTTTGGATAATATTTTACAAGCAAGTCATCTCTTTTAAAGTTGTACACCCATAAAAACCTATCACAAGTGCAAAAAATCCTTCACCAAACACAGAAGGATGCGTGGCTTTGCCGTTTTCCTTACTGCAAAAATTGATTTCACAGAATTACAAACCCAGGTATATAGAATGTGAATTTTAATATACACTTCTAAAGACAGAAGAAAAAAGAATAAAATTGTTACCTGAAGAGTAAAATTAATTTGTCATTTCTAGATGATGTTACTATGGATGATTTTTATTTTCCTCTCATATTTTACCCCATTTCTACAACTAACATTTTTATCTGGAAAAAAAAAACCTATAAGGGAAATAAAATTCATCTTCATGTGTATCAATTGCCCTAGCAATTCTGTGACCCCTTCAGCTTTTACAACCTGTGGGTTCAATTTCCACAATTACCCATGCGAACTGAGAAGAGGTGACACAGATAAAGTCATCCTGTTTTTTAATTGTTATATTTATTGTTTTGGAACTATCATTAATATTGTCATTGCATTGCATATGAATTTTTTAAACAGTTTCAAATTGTTTTCACATTAGTTATTTTCTTCTGAGACTGTGACATAACTTTACCCATTTTACAAAAAGAAGATTGAATCACCTCATACCCAGTTTTTCAGAAGCAGTTTTATATTGTCTCTCTCTAGGAAATCCAAAAGCCACTTAGAGTTGACATTGATTTATATGTGGTATATGATTGTGTGTGTGTGTGTGTGTGTGTGTGTAAGACAGGGAGAGAGAGGTGGCAGCAAATTCATCTTCCTAATTATGTTTTGCTTAGGCAAACATAAAAGTCGGCTTGCATTCTCTGAGCATTCACCAGCTGGGAAGTGGAGAGTGTTTTGTGATGGTGGAAGTTGCCTTGAGATTCAAACTTGGCTGTATTTAAAAACAAACAAACAGGGAAAAACATTCATAGCATGTGACCAAGCACGTGTAGAATGTGTACATGGGTAGCAAGAGTTAATATCTTTATTATGTAATGAGCTTAGGCAAATTGATAACAGCAACGCTAAGATCTAACAAATAAAACAGGCAATATTTTTTGTTTCTAATATTTTCCATGACTAGGAAAAGAAATATTTCTAGTTGAAAATATAGAAATGTTTGCTCGAACATTGCATTTTTGTTCAACTCTCTAGGAACCAAAGAAATTAAATTTAGACCAAATTGGGGTGAGACACGTTCTAAAATAAGCATTTACAATGTGAAATCAATACACTAATTTTGAATATTATCCTTTTCAAACACAAATCTGTCAATACTGATCAATATGTATTAAGAGCCATCAAAATGTCCAGAAATTTTATAGTTTTAAGGCAATTTTATATATATATGTGAAAAATGCAAGAAGATGTTTGTGATATGTAAGAGGACTATGCAGCAATGTGAAAAAAAATTCCTGATAAAATATACACTGGGAAAAGGAACACAAAATTGCAAGTACCCTATGGTTATAATGACTTAAAAATAACCATGGGCAAACATTGGAAAAGAAAGACATCTGAAAAACAGTGATTGTGGAGGTTATTCTTGTTACTTTCTTTCTTTTCTCAAATAGTGATTGTTGGGATTTTTTGTCTCTTTTATTTCTTTCTTTCTTTTTTTTTTTTTTTTTTAAGACCAAGTGTCTCTCTGTAGCCCAGGCTGGAGTGCAATGGTGGGATCTCAGCTCACTGCAACCTTCGCCTCCCGGGTTCAAGTGATTCGTCTGCCTCAGACTCAGAGAGGAGCTGGGATTATAGGCGCCTGTCACCATGCCCGGCTAATTTTTTTTTTTTTTTTTTTTGGTGAAAGTCTTGCTCTGTCGCCCAGGCTGGAGTGCAGTGGCGTGACCTCGGCTCACTGCAAGCCCTGCCTCCCAGGTTCACGCCATTCTCCTGCCTCAGCCTCCTGAGTAGCTGGAATTACAGGCGCCCGCCACCACGCCCGGCTAATGTTTTATATTTTCAGTAGAGACGGGCTTTCACCGTGTTAGCCAGGATGGTCTCGATCTCGTGACCTCGTGATCCGCCCGCCTCGGCCTCACAAAGTGTTGGGAGGAAAGGCGTGAGCCACCGCGCCCGGCCATTTCTTATTATCTCTATCCCTGTCTCAATTCTTTGTGTGTTTTGTTGTTGTTGTTTGTTTGTTTTGTTTGTTTTTGTTGTTGTCTCGCCCGGGCTGGAGTGCAGTGGCGCCATCTTGGCTCTCTGCAAGCTCCGCCTCCCAGGTTCAAGCAATTCGTGTGTCTTGGCCTCCTGAGTAGCTGAGATGACAGGAGTGCACCACCATGCCCAGCTAATTTTTGTATTTTTAGTAGAGATGGGTTTTCGCCATGCTAGCCAGGGTGGTCTTGAACTCTTGAGCTCAAGTGATCCACCCACCTCAGTCTCCCAAAATGCTGAGACTACAGGTGTGAGCCACCACGCCTGGCCCCTTTCTCAATTCTTTAATGAAAAAAATACAGCCGTGGACCATACATACCTGAAAAGCTGTGGGTGGGTCCACGACACCAGCAAAGTGATGGAAAGCAGACCAGTGTCTCCCTCGAGGTCTAAGAATATATAAATGTCATCCTATAAACCAATGGGAACTTGAAATGTTTTTATATGGAATGATGTCTTTTTGTACATGTTTTTATCATCAGGACTACAGAATCTCAGAAATGCCTTTACTCAGTTACCATTTCAGGCCTTTTCTAAAGGGTGATTGTGAGAATAATCTATTTGAACAGAATTTTTCCCTCTTGTAAAACCATACTTCAGAATGGTATTCTCTGAACCACTCCCTCACTCTCTTAACAAGGACCTATGTCATAAATTCCTGCTTGGTTTAGTTCTAGGAAAAGTGTTTTTTTGTTGTTTGTTTTGTTTTTTTCCAGAGTGGATTAATTTGGAAGCTCTCTTCTCAAAAACAAAAACACTCTTCAGCCTCATGGCCTGGATGAGAACTCTTTTCTGTTACTCTGGGGTTGCCAGGGAGCCACGAGCCAGAGTCTTTGCCTTGTTCACTGTAATCACACCTTTGCCTATTTGACTGTAATCAATCACGCCACATGTCTCTAGCCTTGGTTTCCTTCAGGTTGTCTGTGTTCTGTGGTTTTGATGCTTTGATGTTTTATCTTGAAGTTCTCTCAGAAGTAGATAGGCGCAGAAATTGAAAATAAACAAATGAAGAAAAGAATTTTGTTATACAAACAGAACATACTAATTGTTTTTATTTGAAGATGCAAACCATCTAAACAAATAGAGAGAAAATCAAAGTGTGCCTCTACCCAATCCTGTGCTGGGAAGTAACCCAGTCTGAAGTGTATCTTTTCATATTTATAATTAGACAAACTTATTTTTTTCTAAGAAAAGAAAGACACGTGGAAACGTGTTTTTAACAATGGGTTTAATGTTTTAAACATTTAAACTTTTTCAAAAGTGTATGCTTTTTTGAAACATAGACTGTGACATCCAGGTCGGGCAATTGCTCACAATTGCACGTATGTGAGGCATGCTGAGATTCAGGTGTGTTTTCCAAAAATAGAAGAATTGTGTTTTGTGTGGCAGAAGGACTGCAATTTTACATATAGATTAAGAAATCACTCATAAATCCAAATAGTTAATCAAACACCTCTCTGAAGAATCTGAGCCACTTAGCTTTGCAAATTCAAGTGAAAGCTCTGCAGAAACACAAGCGGGGAAGCCCTCGGTTGTTGTTTCTGGGTTTCATTGTTGGGCGTGTTGTTTTGATTTTGTCTTTTCCTCTGGTAGGAATGGAACTTTTGTTCCGATATTTCAGACGTGTGACCAAAAGTAGTGCTTTCCAAAGGCTGCTTCGGGTAAGTGTCACCATGGACCCTCTTTTCTGAACAGGAAGCTCTAGGACACCTGGAAAAGATTGGCCAGGCATGGTGACTCATGCCTGTAATCCCAGCACTTTAGGAGGCCAAGGTGGGTGGATCACCTGAAGTCAGGAGTTCGAGACCAGTCTGGCTAACATATGAAACCCTGTCTCAACTAAAAATACAAAAATTAGCCAAGTGTGGTGGCACATGCCTGTATTCCCAGCTGCTTGGGAGGCTGAGGCAGGAGAATCGCTTGAACCCAGGAGGCAGAGGTTGCAGTGAGCCAAGATCATACCACCGCACTCCAGCCTGGGTGACAAAGCAAGACTCCATCTCAAAAAAAAAAAAAAAAAAAAGAATTCTTAATGATTTTAGTTGTTGTAGAAGATATAAAGACAGCTGGGGCCAGGCACGGTGGCTCAAGCTTGTAATCTCAGCAATTTGGGAGGCCGAGGTGGGTGGATCACTTGAGGACAGAAGTTCAAGACCAGCCTGGCCAACATGGTGAAACCCCATCTCTACTAAAAATACAAAACAATTAGCCAGGTGTGGTGGCAGGCACCTGTAATCCCAGCTACTCAGGAGGCTGAGGCAGGAGAATTGCTTGAGCCCAGGAGGTGGAGGTTGCAGTGAGCCGAGATCACGCCATTGCAATCCAGCCTGGGCAACAAGAGCGAAACTCTGTCTCAAAAAAAAAAAAAAAAAAAAAAAGGATAGCTGGGATGTGTATCACCCCATCTCACATTATAAAAATTGGAGGCTGGGAGCCACAGCTCATACCTGTAATCCCAGCACTTTGGGAGTCCAGGGCAAGAGGATTGCTTGAGCTCAGGAGTTTGAGACCAGCCTGGGCAACATAGGGCGATCCTGTTTCTACAAAAAAATTAAAAATGAGCCGAGTGACATGGCACATGCCAGTAGTCCCACCTTCTCAGGAGGCCGAGGTGGGAGAATTGCTTGAGCCCAGGAGGTTGAGGCTGCAGTGAGCCGTGATCATGCCACTGCACTCCAGCATGGGCAATGGAATGAGACTCTGTTTAAAAAGAAAACAAAATTGGAGTCAAGTTAAAAAGTATAAAGAAAATTTTAAAATATCATAAACAATAAAATACCATCAGCAATGAAAGGTTTTTATAAATATTAGCATACAAAATAGCCTGATTAAAAAAATATTTTTGGAAGTATTAAAGAGAATTTAAAATCAGAATTATTTGTTATTTGCATGGCTTTCTTTTAGATCTAGTATTTATTGGCAGAGAATATGCTTGCAATTTCCCAAAAATGGATAACTATGTCATTACGAATTAATGAAAATAGAAAAAATTGAGGTGGAGTTATATTATTTAAATGACTATTGATCCTTTAAAATTATTTTTAATGAAAAGAGACAGTGTAATTCCTGTTAAAATAAGAAATTATACTTAATCGTTAATTTATTCTATCTACAAGCAAGCTGGAAAGTCTATATTACTTACAAAAGACATGTTTCATTTACTTAAAAGGCTACATTTTTTTAAGATGGTTATTAAACATAATAAAAATTTTTTTGGAAGTCTGGCTGGGCATATTGCAGAGGATGACTAAGGAATAGGGTTAGAATACCCTATTTCTTTTTACTGACAGGAAATACACATCCCAAATCAAGAATATTTGTATAAGAAAAAGCAAAAATATTCACTCGAAATATTCATGTGAACACTACACAATTCCCGTGTGGCACAAAGACAATCTCTTTGTGATGTACCATGTTTTAGGTGGTGATCAGAAATAGTACCACCCTGCCATGATTTACAGAAACTTCCTCCAAACCACAAAATCTGAGGGGAAAAAAACTACACAGACACATTCTCTCTCTCTCTCTGTCTCTCTCTCACACACACACACACCCCTTAAAAGCAAAGTTTTCTTTTACATTCAACTTTAAAAATTTGGCAATTGGCCAGGCACCGTGGCTCATGCCTGTAATCCCAGCACTTTGGGAGGCTGAGGCAGGTGGATCACTTAAGGCCAAGTGTTCAAGACCAGCCTGGCCAACATGGCAAGACCCCCTATCTCCACTAAAAATACAAAAAAATGAGCCAGGCATGACAGTGCATGCCTGTAATCTCAGTCACTCGGGAGGCTGAGGCAGGAGGATCGCTTGAACCCAGGAGGCAGAGGTTGCACTGAGCTGAGATCGCGCCACTGCACTCCAGCTTGTGTGACAGAGAGAAACTCTGTCTCAAAAAAAAGAAAAAAGCATCAGGAGATTTCAAAAATACGTTTGATTTTTAAAATTCAGCATATTTTACTCTTAAAAGTTGTATTTTAGGGTGAATGGTTAAGCAAACAATGGTATATTCACATGTTAGAATAATATTTAGCAATAAAGATGAAGGAAGTAATGATACCTGCAATGACTTGGATGAATCTCAAGGAAATTATGCTGAGTGAAAAAGCCAATCCCCAAAGGTCATATTCTATAGGATTCTATTTCCATATCATTCTTGAAATGACAAAATTATAGAAATGGAGAACAGATTGGTGATTGCCAGAAGTAAAGGAGGAAGGGAAGGGTGGGAGAGAAGTCGGGGAGGCTGTAAAAGAACAGTGATGGATGATGGAGCTGAGGTGCTAAAATCTCATACCTACACATAGGATCAAACTGTAGAGAGCTAAATACACACGCAAGTGAGTACAAGTAACAAGGGGGAAATCTGAACAATATCTTGGATTGCATCAATGTTAATAATTTCATTGTGATATTTTATTACAATTTTGCAAGAGGTTACCACTGGAGAAAAGAGTAAAGTGTACATGGGGTTTCTCAGTATTAGTTCTTACAATTGCATATGAATCTACAATTTTTTCAAAACAAAAAGTTTAAATTTTAAAAAGTCACATTGTTTTGGGATTATACCTTCTAACTTGAGTTAAAACAACATCTTACCTCTCAGAAGATGAATATAAGATATATATGGCTGGGAAACAGCAAAAAATGCTCACTTAAAATATTCAAGTGGGCTGGACATGGTGGCTCATGCCTCTAATCCCAGCACTTTGGGAGGTCGAGGCGGGTGGATCACTTGAGGTCAGGAGTTTGAGACCAGCCTGGCCAACATGGTGAAACCGTCTCCACTAAAAATACAAAAATTAGCCGAGCATGGTGACAGGCATCTATAACCCCAGCTACTTGGGAGGCTGAGGCAGGAGAATCGCTTGAACCCAGGAGGGAGAAGTTGCAGTGAGCCGAGATCATGCCATTGTGCTCTAGCCTGGGTGACAGAGCAAGACTCCATCTCGAATAAATAAAAAATGAAAAAGTAAAATATTCAAGTGAATATCATCCCCACTGGTCCTGTATCTTTCAGGGATCCTAATGACATATTTAATGGAGCTGAAGGGTCCTTTCACCCTTGGAACAACCCAAATGCTTCTGAACAGTTGGAAGCTCCAGGTATGGCCCTGCTTCTCCTGGTCTCAGTAGATGTTCAGAGAAGCTCTTTCAGATTCTCTAGAACAAAATTCTGATCTTGTTACCACATATAAAAGCATCAAGCTTCAAAAAGCACATGTTGTCTAAAACATTTTTCTCCTTCTGTATAGACTTCCCTCTTTCCTCAGCTGGTATTGTGTTTAGATTTTTTTTTCCTGAGACAGGGTCTTACTCTGTGGCCCAGGCTGGGGTGCAGTGGTGTGACCAATAGCTCACGACACCCTCAAACTCCCTGGCTCAAGTGGTCCTCCTCTCTCGGCCTCATGAGTAGCTGGGACTACAGGCGTGTGCCACCACACTGACTAATTGTTTAATTTTTTGTAGAAACAGAGTGTTGCTATGTTGCTATGTTTCCTAGGCTGATCTTGAACTCCTGGCCTCAAGAGATCCTCTCACCTCTGCCTCCCAAATTGCTGGGATTACAGGCAGGAACCACCACACCCAGCCACTGTGCTTACATAGAACCAGAAGAAAAGCTCCCCCCTTCCAAGTGTGTATTTTCCCAATCCTTGGGGTTTTATATGTATAGGAAGCTTGCATTCTAGCTTCATGTCCTCATTCATTGTGGCCGCCAGAGGCTGTGTGCCTCCACACCCACCTTGGGTTTCTCTTGCTTCTTCCTTTTTTCCCAAGCCATGGAATAGGTCCAAGAAAACCATTGTCTGGAAAAGCTCAGAGCTGCCCCCTGTTGCGGAGCCCTCAGATCCTCCTTGCTAAGCTTTACAACTACGTTGTGATTCTCCAAACCAGTGGGTCTTTCTGGGGAAGCTGTTAACAACTGCTCTAGAAGGAAATAACTCTTACTGTTTCTAAAGTCAAATATTTTAGCCATTAACACACGGAAGAGTTCTCCTGATTCAACCCTTTCTGTCTCAGAACCTGTCCAACTCTTGGCCCTGGTTTGGTTTTTGCTGTCACTTACCCCTGTTCTTTTCTGCTTTCTCCTGTGTTTGTCTCCCAGAAAGCACGCCTGTATCTTTTCCCCTTCAAGTCTGTCTAGCCCACATATCTCCTGAGCCACGAACCCAACAGGTCCCTCCAAGAGGATGCCACTTTCTCTCTCTCGTCATAGATGAAGCCCAGGAAACAGGACTGCCTTTTGCTGTTGTTGTAGGGGGTGAAGCCCTGAAGGAAAGAATTGCCACGATCCTTGCGGAGGAGTTGACACGGGAAATGTTAACGTTCTTATCTGTTTGGAGGAGGCACCGTGTACTCCTTGACAGCAATGCTTAATAGATTGTCTCCCAATAAAGCCAGGGTGAAACAGGATTTACTAATTTCAGGGTGACCATAGTATATGTTATGTAAAATAGTTTTGAAACACTCCCTTCTTTGGTTTGCCTGCAATGATAGTCTTGAAACATTTTTAAAAAATGAATGAGAAACCTTCTTGATGCTAAATACAATGAGGTGGGGAAGGCTCGTGCTCCGCTCTCCAGGCGGTTCCCATACAGCCCTGCCTGGAGGGAAGGTGTGAAGATGCCCACCGTTCTCTAGGCTCTGTCACCTGCCTGCACATTTGCAGGTCGCATGGTTCCCTCAGAAAGATGACAGTCAACATGAGCCACCCGGAGGTGACAGACACACCATAGTAGGGAACAGGTTAGGCCACCCGCCTCAATTTGGTTTAAAAGACTTCCTTCTCTCCCTGTGTCCCACCCCCCCCGCCCCATCTATGGTCCACCTTGTGGCAAGCTAGCGAGGCAGATGTAGAGAGCCCCAGGTGAGACGAGCAAGGCAGCGGAGGAGCTGCCTCAAGAGCCAGCTGATGCCAGCATCCCCGCTCTACACGGCACTAGCTCAAGTCTGCAAGGCCAGTCCCGCTCACCTGACCGACCACGGCCCGCTCCGCCTCCACAAGCCCCTCCTTAAAGGCTGTCTGACTTGGTCACTCCATTTCCCCACCTCCACTCTCCCTGCCAGCCCCTTGAGCTTCATGAGAAAGGGTTGGACAGTTGAAAGTTCTATTTGATTTCCCAGCTCTGTTTTTAGCTTTTCTATGCCCACATTGTAAAAGAAACAACAACAGGGCTGGGTGCAGTGGCTCACGCCTGTAATCCCAGCACTTTGGGAGGCCGAGGCAGGCAGATCACGAGGTCAGGAGTTTGAGACCTGCCTGGCCAACATGGTGAAACCCCGTCTCTACTAAAAATACAAAAATTAGCCGGGTGTGGTGGCGGGTGCCTGTAATCCCAGCTACTTGGGAGGCTGAGGCAGGAGAATTGCTTGAAACTGGGAGGCAGGCGTTGCAGTGAGCTGAGATCGCGCCACTGCACTCCAGCCTGGGTGATAAGAGTGAGACTCCTCT
Organism: Homo sapiens; assembly: GCF_000001405.40. Taxonomy (NCBI): domain Eukaryota; kingdom Metazoa; phylum Chordata; class Mammalia; order Primates; family Hominidae; genus Homo; species Homo sapiens. The sequence goes on from NC_000015.10 coordinate 98,592,831, forward strand.
CGGGGAAAAAAAACAAAAAGAAAACCAAAGGAAGTTAGTTAGGCTCAATCGCTCCTGCACCTGGATCCCTGGCTGCTGGTGGGGTGGAGGTGGGAAAATTGCTTGAGCGCAGGAGTTTGAGTCCAGCCTGGACAACATAGCAAAACCCTGTCTCTAAATAAACGAATAAGTAAATAATAAAAAGCGAATTCCTATAAGATTTTGCGCATTTTCTGATGTGAGAGGCATAAACATTGGTCATCTGGGGCTTCGAAGACCTAATTAAAACAATCCATGTGAAACAAAACTTTGGCTTCTAGTCCTGTCGGACCAGTAGCCTCAGTAAAGTCACTCTGCTTTTCCAGATCTCAGTTTTTCCTTTTGGAATACAAGGAAATTGAGACACATTATTTCTGATGTTAGTTTCAAAGCTAACATCCTATGGTTCTAGGAAATATATATATGAATTCTTTTGAAGGAGGGTCCTAAAAAATGCAATGCCATTTTAATAGAATTAGCAAATTTAGGCTGAGTGCAGTGGCTCACGCCTGTAATTCCAGCACTTTGGGAGGTCAAGGCAGATGGATCACCTCAGATCAGGAGTTCAAGACCAGCCTGGCCAACATGGCAAAACCCCATCTCTACTAAAAATACAAAAATTAGCCGCACATGGTGGTGCATGCCCGTAATTCCCTGGCACATGCCTGTAATTCCAGTTATTGGGGAGGCTGAGGCAGAAGAATTGCGCGAACCCAGGAGGTGGAGGTTGCAGTGAGTTAAGATGGCGCCACTGCACTCCAGCCCGGGCAACAGAGCCAGACTCTGTCTCAAAAAAAAAAAAAAAAAGGAATTAGCAAATTTGTATATTTTTTAAAAATTCAAATTAGATTTAAATATTAAAGGTCCTTCTATCAGTATTTATATCCAAGAACTAACGGTCACGAGGTCACATAGAGAGGTCAGAGTGACCACAACATGGAATATTGACTGAGAAACTGATCACTTTTTTTTTTTTTTCTTATTGGAGACGAAGTCTCACTCTGTCATCCAGGCTGGAGTGCAGTGGCGCAATCTTGGATCACTGCAACCTTCACCTCCTGGGTTCAAGCTATCCTTCTGCCCTCTGCCTCCCAAGTAGCTAGGATTACAGGCGTGTACCATCATGCCCGGCTAGTTTTTGTATTTTAAGTAGAGACAGGGTTTCACCATGTTGGCCAGGCTAGTCTTGAACTCCTAACTCAACTGATTCGCCTGCCTTGGCCTCCCAAAGTGCTGGGATTACAGGCGTGAGCCACCACGTCCAGTCCAAACTGATCACTTTTAATATTTATTCTCAATTAACTAGGCTTCCAGGTGTAAGAGTAACACCCACCCACACCTATCACATCACTATTGTTTCTTTGTTATCATTTGTTTTTTGAGACAGGGTCTCACACTGTCACCCAGGCTAGAGTACAATGGTGCAATCATAGATCACTGCAGCCTCAAACTCATGGGCTCAGGTGATCCTCCTGCCTCAGCTGCCCAATTAGCTGGGATTATAGGCACACGCCACTGTGCCTGGCTAAATTTTTTGTTTGCTTGTTTGTTTGTTTGTAGAGACAGGGTCTCAATTTTATTGCTCAGGTTGGTCTCAAACTCCTGGCTTCAAGTGACCCTCCCACCGTGGGCTCCTGAAGTGCTGGGATTATAGGCATGAGCCATTAAATCTGGTCTCACATAAATATTATTTTAGGTCAGCCTCTTTCTGATAATGACACTATAAATATCTAACAATACAAGGCAAAGAAAAACCAAATTGGCCATAAAATGAGAGTATGAATTGTAAAAAAAAAAAAAAAGCTACAAAGGTCAGCCCTGATGAAAAAAATCGCATTATTTTATCACTGGAACTGTTTTGGCAAAACCCTACTACCAAAGACAATAGCTGAGTCACCCTTTGTTCTTACTTAAATTGGTACATGGTTTTCGTTATGGCCTAGATAATTTTCGTTAAATTTTAGTTTATGTTTTTGGTATTAAGCTCCAGTTATACTGTTTTTCCCATCATTTGCTATACAATTTGGTTCCTGCTTTCAATGTTTTGTTTGTTGGTTTGATTGGTTAGTTTTGGTTTTGTTGTTGTTTAAGTAAGGGATGATTCCTCCAGTATTGATCATCAGGCAATGAGAACCCATTAAACTTACTGAAGAAGACCAAAGAGACTGCCAATTTAGAAAGAGTGGGCTGGGCGTGGTGGCTCACACCTGTAATCACAGCACTTTGGGAGGCTGAGGCAGGCAGATCACCTGAGGTCAGGAGTTCAAGACCAGCCTGGCCAACATGGTGAAACCCCGTTCTCTACTAAAAGTACAAAAGTTAGCAGGGCGGGGTGGTGGGCACCTGTAATCCCAGCTACTTGGGAGGCCAAGGCGAGAGAATCGCTTGAACCCTGAAGGCAGAGGTTGCAGTGAGCCAAGATCGTGCCACTGCACTCCAGTCTGGGCGACAGAGCGAGACTCTGTCTTGAAAAAAAAAAAAAAAAAAAAAAAGAAGAAGAAATAGTGGCCAATACTCAAGTAAATTGCCAAGTATAATGGATCACCAAAAACTTGCTCCATAGTGTCAATACTGAAGGGACTTGGGACTGAGTGAGAAGAGGGCTGTGGGGGACTTGTTGCAAATCCTGTTTGGATAATAATAGGTATTGTTTATTGAGGGCTTACTATACTTCAGAGTTTATACATACCATCTCTTTTAAACTTCACAATGATCTTACGAGATAACGACTATTATTTCTCTGATTCTGTAGACCAAGAAGCAACCATAGAGCTGTGCCAAATGGATACATCTACTAAGAGACTAAGGAAGACACAGACCTAGTCAGTCTGGCTCCAAAGCTCAGACTCATATATGTCAATAGTTCTTAAATCACATGGGGTCGCTAGAGGAGGGCCAGGGACCTGGGTCCTTTCGAAAGTTTCTCAGATATGGCTGAGTGCGGCGGCTCACACCTGTAATCCCAACACTTTGGGAGGCCGAGGCAGGTAGCTCATTTGAACCCAGGAGTTCCAGTCCAGCCTGGGCAGCATGGAGAAACCCCATCTCTACAAAAAAAAAAAAATACAAAAAATTAGCTGGGTGAGGTGGTGCACGACTGTAGTCCCAGCTGCTCGGGAGGCTGAGGTGGGAGGGTCACTTCAGTCCAGGGAGTCGAGGCTGCAGTGAGCCATGATTGCACCACTGCACTCCAGCCTGGCTGACAGAGTAAGACCCCATCTTAAAATAATAATAATGACAATAATAATAATTCCCAGATGCTCCACTGTGCCACGAGAAAGGAGACCATTGGCTTAGAGGAGCACTTTGATTCCAACGTGCACATGAATTCCTGGGGAATCTTGTTAAAATGCTGACTCTGGTCAGGAAGTGCTGCAAATTCTGTGATTCTACGGTTCTAATAAACTCTTAGGAGAAGCTCGTGTGGATCCATGGCTACCGTCTGAGGAGCAACTAAGAAATTCTTCCTCTTTAGGGGTTGGGGGGTCATTTTGAAAAAAGTTCTGGGGGTGGTAACCCCCTGCCTCATCTGCAAACCACCCCTTGGTGGCATCACTGCAAGGGACCCTTGAAAACTCACCATCAACCAATTTTCCACAAGCAGGTGGTCTCCCTTGCTTCACAGGGAGGGGAAGTAAAGGAAAGATTAATCTTTCATACTCTGAGCCACAGCAATGCCAACTTGATATGGGTAGGAGTGAAAGGAGAGTCACCTCTAGACACCCTCTCTAGCCCCTTCCATCTTCGGTGGCTTTAACATCAGCCTGGGCAGCTGCTCACTAGTACCCAGGACTGAAGCAACTCCCTCTGTTCTGGCACTTCAAGGACAAACCTCTACTTTGCAAAGGGATCCTGAAGCCATTTTGGTTTCTTGTGGAGCACCATGATCAGTGCCAGTGGAGGGGGAATAGACGTGCTCCACCCTGGTGCCTGGGAGAAACGGAAAGCTTTTTTCTGAAAAGTGTTGCAACCCTCCTGCTTCTAGCTCCTGCTGCCCTCCAGTCGTCCTGTCCCCCAGGGACACACATTGCTGATATCAAATAACTTTTATTGTTTAAAGGTAACTGAATACATTGTGTACAGAAAGATACCGTCATTACCAGATGGACCTAAAATCTACATGATGCAAACAGGCACTAAAAGACACATAGAGAAAGTGAGTGTGCCAGAGAATTACATAAGGCTAGGGTAGACAGGGAGTCACGAGGATGGTGAGATGTTTATTGTCATGACCGTATGTGTGTAAAAAAGGAGCTGTGCCGTTTAACTTCAAAGTGGATGTGAAGAGCAGTGTATACATTTGAGAGCTGCTGAGACAAAGCTCAAATGCCAGGAAACTCCAAGCATTTGGCTTCTGCCACTTCCAAAGAGATGTGCGCATGTGTGTGTGTATTTAAGAGGGAGTGATGAAGAGGGAGCTATTTAAAGGTAATCAGGATGATACAATATTTCCTTTCATTATGTTGCATTGTATCTGGAACTGGATCACGTGGTTTCCACATCTTGGCCATGATGCTTGGGCTTTTTCACTTACCAAGAGCAACATTGAAGTCCCCTGCGAATATGCCCCAGAGGGACCCCAGGAAAGAATGGCGCTGCACACTACTCCCACTCTGAAAACTTCTCCAGGTCTTTAAAATGTCCAGACCTGGGTGGGAAGGAGTCTTCTCTCTCCAGAAGTTATATCTCCAAAACAAATTATTGGTTCGTTTTGTTCTTTGTTTTTGCTGTTGTGTGTTGTGTGAGTTGGAAGGCTCCTGAGCCAGACATGGGAGGGGAACATGCAGCTTGGCACCTGCGTCATTGTTGACACCCAACTGGTTCCTGTCCCACATGTACCACCTCACCAAACCATCACGTATCCTTTGCACATGCAACTCCTCCTTTCTAGAAGCAACAGCCTGTGTCCAAAGCTACTTGCTTTGTGGAAGGGCCCCTCAGCCACACCCGGTTTGATCAGTTTTGCTTTCTTAGCACTCCCCACTCCCAAAGAGTGTCTTGGAGCAGGATCTATGACTCACTGGTTTACCAGGAGTTCACAGCCCCGAGTCATTTAGGATCAGAACATCAAGAACAAAGAAAAGCCCCAGGATGCCTTCTAGGAATCTTATGGCATCCAAAAGGAAAAGTGAGGGTTCCCTGGACTCTCTAATAGCCTCGTGAAACACCAAACATACATTTTAAAAGACCAGAACATCTTCCATCCACTGCTACATCATGAATCCTCATTAAGATGACACTTTGCTCCGAAAATATTCCAGTTGGCATTTTAAGATATTTCCTTTTTAAAACTACTTAAATATCTGATGTGTGAAAAACATTGAATTTTACCATTTGTAATTGGAACCAACATTAAGCAGAGTTTGTCAACAAGGTTTGTGTAGAAATGTATATATACAGACTTTTCATGTACATATATAGCATATGTTGGATGAAGAGATTTATGAAAATACACAACATATAATTCCGTAAAGCAATAATTTGTTAAGCAAAAGAAAAAAATACATTTCAGGGTAAATTTTAGAAGATTTTTTAAAAAACTTTACATGAGAGTTGACTTTATGAGAAAGCATTCCCCTCTGGTAGGTCTGATTGTATCATTGGTGTCTTTCCCACTAGACTGTGAGCTCCACAGTCTGCAGAATGGGAATGTGCAATCTGTGTTTTCACTACCAAATCTCTAGCTCGCACTCAGCACAGCACTTGGCACTACAGTACGGTTCTACAAGCATTTGTTGAATTAACTAAGTTATATTTGACTGCTAGGAAAGCCCACTCTTGCATTGAAAGAGAGAGAGAGAGGAAGGAAGGAAGGGAGGGAAGGAAGGAAAGAGGCTTATTGCTTTCAAATTGATCTATTTAATTCAACACCTGCGAAAGCAATCCTGTAGCTTGGTGTTCCAGCTCTGGTTGTATATGCAAGTCTTAGTCATACTGGCTAATATTGACGGCTTATCACACATCACAGGTCATCTTACCAGATCTTAACAACACTTTTTTTTTTTTTTTTTTTTTTTTTTTTTGGAGACTGAGTCTTGCTGTATCGCCCAGCCTGGAGTGCAGTGGAGCAATCTCGGCTCACTGCAACCTCCACCTTCCAGGTTCAAGTGATTATACTGCCTCAGTCTCCTGAGTAGCTGGGATTACAGGTGCCTACCACCATACCCGGCTAATGTTTGTATTTTCAGTAGAGACAGGGTTTCACCATGTTGGCCAGGATGGTCTGGAGCTCCCGACCAAGTAGTCCACCCACCTCAGCCTCCCAAAGTGCTGGGATTACAGGCGTGAACCATTGCGCCCAGCCACAACACCTTTCTAAGTAGGTAGAATTACCATCATCACTATGCCCATTTTACAGATAAGGACAGTGAGGTTAAATTGTTGCCCAAGGTCACAGAGCCAGCAAGGGGTAGAGCCAGGATTCAAACCCAGGTCATCTGGCTGCACGCCCCAGCCTGAATTGCTGTAGATGCAGTTCTGCAAACCCATTCCTGGGAAAGAATGCTTTATTTTTAGGTGATAAAGACAAGCCATCTACTTCTGCAAAATCTTACATTTTAAATTTGAAATTCAAAGTTAGCAAAGCTCCAAATCAGAACCTACTGAACTCAAATCCAAGCTCAGAAGATGTGACTTCCAGCAAATTACTTAACATCATTGAAGGCTGAAAAAATACCTGTCTCCAAGAGATGATGTGCGGAAATTCTCTGGCTCCTGGTAGGCATGGAACTAATGATCACTAAGTGCGTTTAATGTCCTTGCTAGAGTAAAGAAAGCACTGGGCAAAGCTCATGGCTCCTAGTAGGTCCTCCGTGTCTGTTTTCTCCTTCTCCCTTCTTCCGTCTTTCATACACGTCGGGAGAAGAGTGTGGATATTATGTCCACATCATTGAGATAAAAGATATTTATCAACAAACAATTGCAGTTGCAACGGGAAAGCAAGACAAGAGCATGGGATCCATGGTTTGTGTGAATGCAGATAGCAGGGATGCGATAGCATACATATGGCAAATATTATGTGCCTAAAAGCTGGAGAGCTGCAAAACAGACCATTCCTATTTATAGTGAGAATAGACAGCCCGCAGGCTTTGCCACCACGTGTTCCTCTTGCTGCTCAGGATGAATGGGGGCTTCAGACCAAGTCCCAAGTTTTTAGTTAACAATCCACACCAAGTTTTAGATATAACATTTCCAGGGCCCCTATGTCATGAACTAAATATGTGAGGTTCAAAAAACTGGAATGGAATTTAATTTGCAGTGGGATCAGGACCTTTTGCGAGTAGCTGATGACCTAGGGTGGATGTAACGCATACACATGTGCAGGAGAGAGCTTTAAGCACCAGGGCAGAGCTGAGGCCTTCTTAAAAAAAAATGGTAAATACAATTCTGAGAAAAATCAGGCCCCTGTATTTCTTGAGCTGGAGAGAATTGGGCATACAGGTATGTTTACAAAGACTGAGCTCGCGGAAGAGGTTTTAAAAGACCAAAAAAAAGTCTCAATGGGAAAAGATACCTTCTGCCCTGCCTCCGCCACCTCCTGCTCCTCCTCCTCTCTCTCTCAGCTCATGCGCATGTACACACACACATACACACACACACACACACGCACACTTACACACACTGCACTGACGCACACATACACACACTGCACTGGCAAGGATCCCATCCCCAAGGCTCCTCGCTCCGGAGGGTGGTCACTCCCCAAAGAATGTGCTCTTTGGGGTTCCCCTGCGAGGGAGCCTGCAGCCCTCTCTCCTGGCCCTGCCTGCTCTCTGTCGGTTGCTTTCACTCTCACTTTCTCTTCCTGGAAGCCGTTTCCTGATTTACACTGATAGCCTGAAATCCTATGAATTCAAAGCTGCCACACTGTGTTCATAGCAAACATATAATATATTATTTAGTTCGTTTTCAATTACAAAGATATTTCCTTGAAAACAATCATTCACAGGAACTTGGCCATGTTTTAAATATGGGAAATAACAAAGTGGCCAAGGAAAGCCTTAGTAAACACGCAGGGAGAGCACACCAATCAGTCTTCTTATAGACATTTTTGTTTCCTTACAAAAACTTGAACCTTCATAACTTTTCACAGTAGAACACTGAAAGCCAAGAGACACAAATCATTCTAAAATAGTGAGTTAGCCATACAAAATTACAGAAAAGTCTAGATAAGTTGAATCGTTGGTTTCACTTTTTCCTTTCAAAACACCTTATTGTTAAGAAAGTAAGGCCAAAAAAAAGGAAGAAAGTTAAAAAGCCAAATTGGAAAACAATGGGAAAAAATATTTGAAGGACCTTTTTTTTTTTTTTTTTTTTTGAGATGGAGTTTCTCTCTGTCCCCCAGGCTGGAGTGCAGTGGTGCAATCTCAGCTCACTGCAACCTCCACCTCCCGGATTCAAGCAATTCTCCTGCCTCAGCCTCCCAAGTAGCTGGGACCACAGGTGTGCACCACCATGCCTGGCTAATTTTTTTGTATTTTTACTAGATACGGGCTTTCACCATGTTGGCTAGGCTGGTCTCGAACTCCTGACCTCAAGTGATCCACCCACCTTGGCCTCCCAAAGTACTGGGATTACAGGCGTGAGCTACCACGCCCAGCCAGATCCTATGTTTGATAAGGGACTAACATCCAGAATACATAAAGAATTCTTTCTTTCTGTTTCCCGGCCCCACCAAGGCAGAGTCTCTCTCTGTCTCCCAGGCTGGAGTGCAGTGGCACAGTCACGGCTCACTGCAGCCTGGACCTCCTGGGCTCAAGCGATTCTCCAACTTCAGCCTCTCAAGTAACTGGGACTACAGGCATGTGCCACCAAGCCTGCCTAATTTTTATATTGTTTGTAGAGACAAGGTTTCACCATGTTGCCCAGTCTGGTCTCAAAATCCTGGGCTCAAGAGATCCCCCTGCCTTGGCCTCTCAAAGTGCTGGGATTACAGATGTAAGCCACTACACCCAGCAGGAATTCATATAGCTCAATAACAAAAAAAAAAGACAAATAACCCAATTGTAAAATAAGCAAAAGATTTGATTAGATATTTCCCCAAAGAAGGTATACAATGACCAATAAGCACAAGAAAAGATGCTTTGCATCAGGAGTCCCCAAGCCTGGGCAGTGGACTGGTACCAGTCCATGTGGCCTGTTAGGAACCCAGCTGCACGGCAGGAGGTGAGAGTCGGGCCAGTGAGCATTACTGCCTGAGCTCTGCCTCCTGTCAGATCAGCTGCAGCGTGAGATTCTCATAAGAGCATGAACCCTTTTGTGAACTGACATGCGAGGGATCTAGGTTGCACACTCTTTATGAGAATCTAATGCCTGATGATCTGAGATGGAACAATTTCATCCCGAAGCCATGCTGCTCCCTCCACACCACATCTGTGGAAAAACTGTCTTCCATGAAACTGGTCCCTGGTGGCAAAAAGGTTGGGGACCACTGCTCCACATCATTAGCCATCAGGGAAGTGCAAGTCAAAACCACAGTGAGATGCCACTTCACATCTTCTAAGATGGCAATAATAAAAATGACAGATGAAAGCAAGTAGTAGTAAGAATGTGGAGAAATTGGAACCCTCATATGCTGCCGGCGGAAATGTAAAATAGTCCAGCCACTGTGGAAAACAGTGTCACAGTTTCTCAAAATGTTAGACACAGAGTAGCCATATGACCTGGCAGTTCCACTCCTAGGTGTTTACCTAAGAGAAATGAAATCTGGCCAGGCGTGGTGGCTCACGCCTATAATCCCAGCACTTTGGGAAGCCAAGGTGGGCAGATCACCTGAGGTCAGGAGTTTGAGACCAGGCTGGCCAACATGGTGAGACCCTGTCTCTACTAAAAATACAAAAATCAGCTGGGTGTGGTGGCACATGCCTGTAATCCCAGCTACTTGGGAGACTGAGGCAGAAGAATTGTTTGAACCCAGGAGGTGGAGGTTGCAGTGAGCCAAGATGGTGGCATTGCACTCCAGACTGAGCAACAGAGTGAGACTCCATCTCAAAAAAAAAAAAAAAAAAGAGAGAGAAATGAAATCTACATCCACAAAAGCTTATACATAAATGTTCGTAGCAGCGTTATTTATAATAGTAAAAAAGTGGAAACAACTAAAGTGTTTATCAACTATGAATAGATAAAATGTGGTATATCCATGTAATGTAATATTATTCAGCCATAAAAAGGAATGAAGTGCTGATATATACTACAGTGTGGATAAATCTGGAGAACAGTATCCTAAGTGAAAAAAACCGTGAATAAAATAGCACATATTATATGATTCTGTTTATATAAAATGTCTAGAATAGGCACATCTATAAAGATAGAAAGTAGATTAATGTTTCTCTAAGACTAGGGGTGGTGAAGACGGTAGGGAATGACTGCTAAAAGGTTTGGGGTTTATTTTTGGGGTGATGAAAATGTTCTAAACTTAGGCTGGGTGCAGTGGTTCACACCTATAATCCCAGCAGTTTGGGAGGCTGAGGCGGGTGGATCGCTTGAGGCCAGGAGTTCCAAACAAGCTTTGGCAACATAGTGAGATCCTATCTCTACAAAAAAAAGAAAAAAAAAAAACCATAAAAATGAGCTGGCCATGGTAGCACGTACCTGTAGTCCTAGCTGCTCTGGAGGCTGAGGCTGGAGGACCGCTTGAGCCCAGGAGTTCAAAGCCGTCGTGAGCTAGGATCAAGCCACTGCACTCCAGCCTGGGTGACAGAGCAAGACCTTGTCTCTAAAAAAAAAAGAAAGAAAGAAAAGAAAAATCTATGCTTTAAAATTAGATCATGGCGGATGATTGCATAACTCTATGAATATAGAACACCACTGAATTTAACACTTTAAATGGGTGAATTTTATGGTATGTGAATTATATCTCAGTAAATATATTTGAAATATAAAATTAGTACATAGTTAACATCTCTGTAACTCTGTGCTAAACACCTTAATTTATCATTTTGTTCATAACACACCATAGCACACCTGTTAGACTATTTCTATCCCTAATGGTTAAAAAAAATGTTTTGACATTAAATTGGAAAGAAATGACAATGGTTAGGAGTTAAACTTTCCACTTTTCTCAATATAAGTACTAGAAAATGTCATCATGCAAAGAACAGAATTCATTTACTTCATAGAACAACAACGGATGTACTTTTCAAGGTCCTTCCTACTGAAGAATGCTAAGCACTTAAAAAAAAAGTAATTCTTTTGAGAATTAGAAACACCACCTAAGTATTTTTTTCAAAACTTTCAAATAAACACACCCTAACAATTATTTTATTTTCTCAGGCACTAGCTAAATATCTCAAGTGGGGGCTTTTTTGGTGGTATTTCCCACCCCCCAAGCCCTTGCGTGCAGGTAGTGCCTCATAAGTGTTAAGAAAGTCTATGCACAAAGTAAATGACATCTGCCTACAGGATAGTGGTCCTGCTGTTTACAGTATTTCCACTGGATACACGAAGAAAATATGGAATGATTTTCACACAATTTCTCTGAGTGTTAGGCCATGTATTCTCCTGCTCCTTCTGGAGATTCCAATTCAATACGTGCTCACCCACGAAGCATCTGGGACACACAGGGCATGTGACAAGTGCTTCCCAGGGAACAAAGGTGAGGAAGGTGGCTCCCATCCTTGTGGCACCTTCCATCCACGTGGAGATGAGAAGATCAGCCAACCAGGAGCATCACAGAGCAGGGCCTGCCATCAGAGTGGGTGAGCTTCTTGGGGAGCCTGGGTTTGATATAGACCTGGGAGAAGGAGAGAAGGCAGCAGAAGGAGGGAGGAGTGCAGGGAGCAGGAGGGGGTCTTTCCAGACAAGAGGAACATCATGAATAAAACCTGGATCCTGAGAAGAAAAGGACCAACCTGGGAGAAGAGTTTGGGGGAAGGTGGAGATGACTCAGGGAAGCAACAAAGCCCATTTTCTTTTCTTTTGTTTTCTTCTTCTTTTTTTTTTTTCTTTTTTTTCTTTTTTTTTTTGACAGAGTCTCGCTCTGTCACCAGGCTGGAGTGCAGTGGCGGGATCTCAGCTCACTGCAACCTCTGCCTCCTGGGTCAGCCTGCCGAGTAGCTGGGATTACAGGCACGCGCCACCACACCCAGCTAATTTTTGTAGTTTTAGTAGAGACGGGATTTCACCATGTTGGCCAGGATAGTCTGGATCTCCCGACCTCATGATCCGCCTGCCTCGGCCTCCCAAAGTGCTGGGGTTACAGGCGTGAGCCACCGCACCCGGCCTCAAAACCCATTTTCAGTGCCACTGGATGAGCAGCTCTGCTGGGAAAAAGTGAAGGAGAGGGAGCCAGGAGCACCTGTGGAATACGGATTTGGCAAAATGCCACCCAAGGAAATGAGGACATTGGCTGCTGATTCCAAGGGACTCTCCTCTGCACATGCGCGCTTAGCAGGGTAGATGCAAAAGGCCCTGTGTTAGGGAAGGAGCTCCTGTGTCAGCTGATTGACTTCTCCAGTGATGGTTGGTTCTGCCGCGGGCCAGGACGACCAGCAACAGTAGCAAAGTCCGAAGTGTTGCACGTACGCTTGCTGTTTTTATGTTGGGTCTCAACGGACTAATAATTTATGGAAATATTTCATCATAGTCCAAAACAGAAGCAGAAACTTCCAAACAGTATTTGTTTGGAAGTTTGGGAAGGACCTGAGAACACAGAAATGGCAGTTAAAAACTCAGCATGAACCCAGCAGCAGAGGCTTAGAGGCTGCAGGCAGCGGGAATTCCATTTTCTAACAATCCCAGGAAGGATGAGAGTTAGTGGGGAAAAGAAAGTTATTGAACAGTGGCCGGGAGCAGTGGTTCATGCCTGTAATCCCAGCATTTCGGGAGGCCGAGGTGGGCGGATCAGAAGGTTAGGAGTTCGAGACCAGCCTGGCCAACATAGTGAAACCCCGTCTCTACTAAAAATATAAAAATTAGCCAGGCATGGTGATGTGTGCCTGTAGTCCCAGCTATTCGGGAGACTGAGGCAGGTGAATTGCTTGAAGCTGGGAAGGGAAGTTGCAGTGAGCCAAGATGGTGACACTGCACTGCAGCCTGGGTGACAGAGCGAGACTCCATCTAAAAAAAAAAAAAAGTAATTGAACAGCTTCTGTTTCTCCTATCTGTTTCCTAGGGCCCCTCCCACGTGGCAGATGGGTAGTTTCTGGTATTTACCTTGACTGCTAGGTGAGCTAGTTGGGGCAGGAAACAACACTGAGGTTCCAATGGTCTCAGGAGGAGATTCCTTCCTCCTCATTCATTTATTCCTGGAAGGAAATCATTTCATCCTCTTGTACTTCAGGGAACTTTCTACAGCTTTTCACAGAGTAGTGGACTAAGGATTTTCTCATCACCAGTGAGAGAAAGCTAAATGAGAAAGTTGAAGAGGGGTTGGGAGATGAAAACACAGGGGCAAATTGCATGGAAGATGCCTGCTCTTCACTCCTAAGATGCATGGGCCTCTCAGTCTACCAGGTAACCCCAACCCTCTCTGCAAGGCCATGCTTTAGCCTCTGCTCTTCTAGAACCTTCCTTGGCACCCTCTCCACGGCCGCCAAGATGGCAGCAGTTCTCTCTGGAACCATGGAATCTCACCCATCCTCCCGCCTGACCTCCCTGAGCTGGTTCTGAATCACCAGTCTCTCTCTTGGACAGAAGGAGGAGGCTGACCCAGGCATTGTCTGTGGGTCTGTAGCTTCTAGAGTGATACCGGCACACGGTAACCCCAATAAATGTTTGCTGAGTAAAAAACCAACGGTCTCTTTGGTATCTGATGGTAAATGCAGATGGAAAAGGTCACCACGGACATCTTTTCTTCTTGCTTTGCCCTCAGTGGAGTCTACCTGGCCAGGGACCTGATCTCTTGACCTTTGAAATGGAGCAGAAAATAAAAACGTCTCAGGATTTAGGGATGCCCAAAGGTCACCTGATCTAAACTCCTACTTTTATGGATGAGAAAACAGGACTTTCCAGTGCTAACCCCAATTTAACCTGTCCCCCAAGTGCCCAGAACTTGCTGTGAGATCCTGTTATACATGGGAACAGACAGGGAGGGCGTTGGGTAGGAACAACTCCTACAACTGCAGGAAGTAACATACAGATGATTGGCTCTAGAAGTGGGGGACCTTGGCTCAGGTCCTAGCCCCTCTGTCATTTGGGCAAATCCAGTAAATTTTCAGCCTCAGTCTCCTCATCTAGAAAATGGACAAGAATCATTGTAACTATATGGTTTTCATCACAGGACTTTCGTGAAACATTTGGTCTGAAGGCTCTTGGAAATCTGTAAATGCCTTCTACATGTTAGCTATGGTTTCATTTGTTGTTATTTTCCATAAACCCAAGCCTATTTAAGAAGGGAGAAGACATAATTGCAGTGTGGCAGTGAATTTTATAAATGCTGAGAGATTCTAAAGATGGGACACCTGAGGATGCTCAAGGTTATTTTATTTTATTTTATTTTATTTTATTTTATTGAGATGAAGTCTCATTCTGTCACCCAGGCTGGAGTGCAGTGGTGCAATCTCAGCTCACTGCAGCCTCCGGCTCCCAGGTTCAAGCAATCCTCCTGCCTCAGCCTCCCAAGTAGCTAAAATTACAAGCATGTGCCACCATGCCCAGCTGATTTTTGTATTTTTAGTAGAGATGGGATTTCATCATGTTGGCCAGGCTGGTCTCGAACTCCTGACCTCAAGTGATCTGCCTGCCTTGGCCTCACAAAGTGCTGGGATTACAGGCATGAGCCACCATGCCTGGCTTTTTTTTTTTTTTTTTTTTGGCAAGGTCTCACTATGCTGCCCAGGCTGAGGTGCAGTGGTGCAATTTTGGTTCACTGCAGCCTTGGCCTCCTGGGCTCAAGTGATCCTCCCACCTCAGCCTCCTGAGTAGCTGGGACCACAGGCATCCCCACCACACCCCACTAATTTTTGTATTTTTTGTAGAGTCGGGGTTTCTCCATGTTGCCCAGGCTGGTCTCAAACTCCTGGGCTCAAGCAATCCACCTGCTTCTGCCTCCCAAACTTCTGGGATTTCAGGCGCATGCCACCACACCCAGCCGGGTTAATTTTCAATGGATCCAGCCTGTCCCTTCAGGACAAATGTAGTCCAAGTCAACTGTCTGGGGCCAAGTCCTGAAGTCTCTCATTTACCTTCCTTGGCTGGCATTTTCTGCCCTGCTGTAAAGAGATAGCAAGGCCCCCTTCTGTCATTGTCTTGGGTGATAGATGGGTGAGGAAACAGGGGTGGTTGTGTGGTCAAGGCCCCAGGACACTAAGGAGACCCTCCACTCCTGTCTTCTTCCCTATTTGGAGAATACACAAAAGCATAGGACCCCAGACCTGCCACTTGGCACCTGATTCTATATTTTCCCTCATGAATAAACTGCACATCATTTTCACACACACATCGTTTATAAATTAGTAGGTTCAATGGCTGAGATGTCTGATGATTTTCCTGGGTTTATTTATATAAGAAGAGAATACTTCTTGATTGATATATATCTACATCTATATCTATCTATCTATATATGTATCTGTTTAGAATGGATTCCTCCCAAATACAAAAGCAATGCATGCTCAATTCATACATTTACTCATTTATCCTCAGATTTTTTATCCTCTGTGTGTTAAGAGCTGTCCTAGACACTAGAGAAAGAGTAGTGAGCTAAAGAGACAGAAATCCCTGCCCTCGCTAAGCTTAGGTCCTAGTGAACTCTAGATGCAAAAAAATAAAAATTGAGGAAAAACGCAAAACATCCTCTTAATTTCAATTCCTAATGGTTTAGAAATGCCCATCCATTGCTTCTTTTATTTATCTCTTCATTCTGAGATCTTAATCATTTTTAAATAATAAATAATGTAGTCCATTCTCGCTACTTCTCTGTATATTTGAAATTTTTGATAAGAAATTTGTTGCTGTTGTTTTTTGAGACAGAGTCCTACTCTGTTGCCCAGGCTGGAGTGCGATGGCGTGATCTCAGCTCACTGCAACCTCCACCTCCCGGGTTCAAGCGATTATCCTGCCTCAGCCTCCTGAGTAACTGGGACTCCAGGCACCTGCCACCACGCCCAGCTAATTTTTGTATTTGTAGTAGAGACAGGTTTTCCCCATGTTGGCCAGGCTTGTCTTGAACTCCTGACCTCAAATAATCCACCCACCTCAGCTTCCCAAAGTGCTGGGATTGCAGGTGTGAGCCACCGCGCCTGGCTTTGATAATAAAAATTTTAAATCTGGGCAATCCAGGCACTTGAGCCCTCTCCACCTGTGTCACCTTTCTAGAGGGAAACAGGTTGCCCTCTCAGTCTCCTGCCTGTTTTTCCAGAATTATTCTGTGGATGTTCAGGCACATTTCTGTGCCAGCTTGGATTCCTACCTGTGAAACCCAAGAGGCTGTGCTCCCTGGACAAGCCCAGCCCACTCAGCCTCACCCCCAGATGATGAGGCCATGACGGTGGAACACTTCCTCGGGCTTGGGCTGCCTCTGTTCCATCCATTGGCCTGTACCCATGACCTGGGCCAAGGCTGAAAAGGCCTGGGCTCTAGGCAGGATGTGCACCTCCCACCAACACTGTGCAGTCCAGGCATAGAACCACGACCTCCTGAGCCCCAGCGTTCACACTGGCAAGAGTGGATGATGGTCTCTATCTGGCCTCACAGTGGTCTCTGTGGAGTCAAGTCAGTTGGGACAGCACCTCACAGTCCTACTTGCAGTGCATTCGTGTAGTAAAAAACGACCTCAGAGCAGAGGTGCTCCCCTTGGTATCACATTAGGATCCCCTGGGGAGATAAGAGATACATCTACACAAATGCCAGGTCCCACCTGGACCAGTTAAGTCAGCCACACTGGAGGTGGGGCCCAGGCACCACCAGTTTTAAAGCTCCCCAGCTGGCTCCAGCAGGCAGCCAGGCTGTGGACCAGGATTCAGGAGCACGTTGACTCCCGGTGGAGTTTTGCGGAATGAGTCATATAGGCAGGAATGCCAATTAAGTTGTGGTATGTGGGCTGTTTTTACAGTTCTGATTTTGGGAGAGCATGGTCGTTACCAGATTTGTTTTTAAGATCACAGGTGTTTCATAAAAGTCTGAGAGGACATCCACCAAAGTGTTCCCAGAGGTGATAAATAAGTTAGCGTTCGTGGTTGGGGGGTATGTATTCGTGGAGGGGGCACCCTGTGGGTGCTGGCTCTACGGCGGTTTTCAATTTGCTGTACACAGAAGTGTGCATCCAGCAGCACACGGATGATTTGTGCACTTTGCTGCAGGTGTGCTATGCTCTGTTAAAGCTTTATTTTGTTTTGTTTTTGAGACAGTGTCTCGCTCTGTCACCCAGGCTGGAGTGCAGTGGTGCGATCTCGGCTCACTGCAACCTCCGCCTCCTGGATTCAAGTGATTCTCCCACCTCAGCCTCCCAGGTAGCTGGGAAGATAGGCGCGCAAGCCACCACGGCCGGTTAATTTTTGTATTTTTAGTAGAGATGGGGTTTCACCATGTTGGCCAGGCTGGTCTTGAACTCCTGACCTAAGGTGATCTGCCCACCTTGGCCTCCCAAAGTGCTGGGATTACAGGCATGAGCCACCGCGCCCGGCCTGTTGTTAAAGCCTTAAAAGTCACACACACACACACACACACACACACACACACACACACACACACACACACATTCTGCCACAAAAAGGTTAACAGTAGTTACCCTTCAGGTGATTAGAATTCAAGCAATTTAGGCTTTTTTCCTTTGTACTTTTCAACGTTTTTTGAATATTTTTCTGTGAGCAGGTATCATTTCACAAAAATAAAGCATTTATCTAAAAGAAAGTCAATGGAAAAGAGAGGGCAAAGGAAGAGAAAGGGAGAAAGGGGAGACTTTTTTGTTTTTGAGACAGAGTTTCGCTGTTGTTGCCCAAGCTGGAGTACAATGGCGTGATCTCAGCTCACTGCAACCTTTACCTCCCGGGTTCAAGCAATTCTCCTGCCTCAGCCTCCTGGGTAGCTGAGATTATAGGCATGTGCCACACACCCGGCTAATTTTTTGTATTTTTAGTAGAAACGGGGTTTCACCATGTTAGCCAGGCTGGTCTTGAACTCCTGACCTCAGGTGATCCACCCACCTTGGCCTCCCAAAGTGCTGGGATTACAGGCGTGAGCCACCACGCTCAGCCTGGGGAGACATTTTATTGCTTATCAGGATAGTTCTGTTCTTGTCTCATAGTTCAGTAAAGCAAATAGTCATGATGTGACTGCTTCCTATTTGAGATCTGTTCCCCAGCAAGTAATCTACCTTGGTATCTTCAGCTCCCAGCATCCCAGAAATATTGGCTACCTGGGCCCTGTCTGACCTTGGGCAAGGCCTCTGTTGAAGG
This sequence comes from Homo sapiens, assembly GCF_000001405.40. Classification (NCBI taxonomy): domain Eukaryota; kingdom Metazoa; phylum Chordata; class Mammalia; order Primates; family Hominidae; genus Homo; species Homo sapiens. Next base: position 98,611,178 of record NC_000015.10, read on the forward strand.
TTAAGCAAGAACCCGGGCGTGCTCACCCCAGACGCCTACCCAGGGGATGTCGAAAGGGGCTGGGGAACTCCAGGCACAAGCTCCAGCAAGAGAGGTCTATTATGTGTGGACAGACTAACTCCACTGGGTGTCTGCATGAATGCCCCAAAATTCCTCCAGCTAGACTAACTGAAAATTCATTTTCCCTCTTGGACTTTATGCTTCTCTCAAAATTTCTCTGCTGGATAGAGAGGGGAAGGAGCAAGTGTTAATCAGTCCACTAGTGTGATCTGAGAGCATGATAAACACCAACTATCAGCCCGTTGTAAAGTTACTCATCCCCTAAATAACTTTATTGGACTCTTATTGGTGACTGTTTTTATTGGACTGTAATTGATGAACTTTTTTTTTTTTTTTTTTTTTGAGACAGGGTCTCACTTTGTCACCCTAGGCTGGAGTGCAATGGTGCCAACACAACCAACTGCATCCTTGATTTCCTGGGCTCCAGTGATCCTCCTACCTCAACCTCTGGAGTAGCTGGGACTACAGGTGCACCACCAGACTTGGCTGATTATTATTATTATTTTGGTAGAGACAAGGTTTTTCCATGTTGCCCAGCCTGGTCTCAAACTCCTGACCTCGAGCAATCCACCTGTCTTGGCCTCCCAAAGTGCTGGGATTATAGGCATGAGCCACCGTGCCCCGCCTGTGACCCTTTTATTATTGCTTGGTCAATGGAAGAGGAAGAAAATGTTATTATCTGCCAATATATCTTGTAGATTCAAAAATAGTATTTAAGTACACTATTGACTATTGCCCTGTAAACAATGAACAGGTCTCTATTTCAAGGAGAATTGTCCACAGCTGTGTCAACAAAGGTTTCATGCTCCCTGTCCACCAGTGGGAGTGCACATGATATTTTGAAAAACAGGTGTAAAATCCCCATTGCTCAGTCTAAGAGTGGTTGTGGATTTCTCCTGCCTCCTTCAGAGCTGGAATCATATCAGGTGGAAATGGTCCTGGCTGACATCTCACCAAGCACCTACTCTGAAGGCTGTGATGAGGTGGGTGGAGGAGTGGAACCTGCAGAATGGGAATTTTCTTTTTTTTCCTTTTTTTTTTTGAGACCGAGTCTCGCTCTTGTCGCCCAGGCTGGAGTGCAGTGGCATCTTGGCTCACTGCAACCTCTGCCTCCTGGGTTCAAGCGATTCTCCTGCCTCAGCCTCCCAAGTAGTTGGGATTACAGGCATGCGCCACCATGCCCAGCTAATTTTTGTATTTTTAGTAGAAATGGGGGTTTCACCATGTTGGCCAAGCTGGTCTCGAACCCCTGACCTCCCACCTCAGCCTCCCAAAGTGCTGGGATTACAGGTGTGAACTACTGCACCTGGCCAGAATGAGAATTTTCAACTCCCCTTCCCAGCAAAACACATTCTGAGAAATGGAATTCTGTGTAGAAGCAGCTTTCTTCTGGAGCATGCCCTTGGTTCCTGGGACTGGAAGTAATCATCTCGCAGGGCTCTGTCTCCGCCCTTTTGAGTGAGTTCAGTGGGAACAATATCAAATGAAGAAAGGACCTCAGTTCAAGTGCAGGCTCTGTGTAACCTTGAGCAAGCTTGAGCCTTGAGACCTTACCTCTGAAATGGACGATAACACACGGGATGATGGTTTTCTCTCAGGGTTCTTGGGAGGCTTCCATGAACTGGGACAAGTGAAAGTACTTTGCAGCTAGTCAGCCACCATGCAGCAAGAGACAGCTTTGCTGCAACCACAACTTCATTTCCTGTTTTCACTCTATCTTCTGTTCTCCTTGGAGTCCTGGCCACCAGTTGCATGGCACTTCCCATTGAGGAGGGGCCCAGGGTGAGGATTTACTTTACCAGGCTTGGAGGATAAAGGAGAAGGTGCCAAATCGTTTGCTTATTTACATGCTTATTATTTGTGTCGTGACATTACAATGCCGGTTCCTTGAAGACTGTCTGCTGGGTCGATTGCAGTATCATGGCAGCCAGGGCAATGCCTGGACCTCTTTACCAATATATCAGTTATCAATCTTATATTAACATTATCGTTGATATTTATCATCAACTTATTATTATTATTATTTTGAGATAGAGTCTTACTCTGTTTCCCAGGCTGGAGTGCAGTGGCATGATCTCGGCTCACTGCAACCTCTTCCTCCCTCGTTCAGGCGATTCTCCTGTTTCAGCTTCCTGAGTAGCTGGGATTACAGACGCCCGCCACCACACCCAGCTAATTTTTTTCTTTTTTTTTTTTTTCAGTAGAGAAGGGGTTTCGCCATGTTGACCAGGCTGCTCTCAAACTCCTGACCTCAGGTGATTCATCTACCTCAGCCTCCCAAAGTGCTAGGATTGCAGGCATGAGCCACCATGCCCGGCCTCATCAACATGTTATTAATTATATATTATTTATTACTTCCATTATATAATATTATCAATTATATAATAATATACCATCAATATTTTAAATTATAAACTCCCCATCAAGGGGCAGCCCCTGGGAGACAATGGCATGGATGATCCCACGCAAGAAAGAACTTGATGTCAGCTCTGTTGAAAGGGTCACAGCAGGCTGGGCATGGTGGCTCACGCCTGTAATCCCAGCACTTTGGGAGGCCGAGGTGGCCAGATCACTTGAGATCAGAAGTTTGAGACCAGCCTGGCCAACAAGAGGAAACCCCATCTCTACTTAAAAAAGTACAAAAATTAGCTGGGCGTGGTGGTGGGCACCTGTAATCCCAGCTCCTTGGAAGGCTGAGGCAGGAGAACTGCTTGAACTCAGGAGGCGGAGGTTACAGTGAGCCGAGATTATGCCACTGCACTCCAGCCTGGGTGACAGAACGAGACTCCATCTCAAAAGAAAAAAAAAGAAAGGGTCACAGCACTTTTGAGAAATGCCACCGGGACATTCAGACTTCAGGCCTTAGTGCTTTACAATGCCTCAGTGATGTGCGAGCTCAAGCCTTATCAGCCACTGGGGTTGCCCTCCCCCTGGCCATCTGACTAAGCTAGAATATCATGATTTACACATGTCCTCACCAGAACCTAGAAGCTTCCATGACACCTCCAGGAGACTTTCCTTCTTGCTTAATATTTCTTTTTTATGAACTCCAGAGAAACTTTCTATTCTGCATGAAATGTTCAAAGCCTTATTAAAAGAAAAAAAAGTATACTGTTCTCAATCCCATGTTGCACAGTTGGATGCGTTTCCCCTGAAGGGGAAGCTTCTGAGGGCTGGAAGTTCCATGAGCTTCTTTAGTTGAGGCCCCACTCATAGAGAAAAGAAAGAGTTGACTAGGTGCAGTGGCTCACGCTTGTAGTCCCAACACTTTGGGTGGCCGAGGCGGGTGGATCACTTGAGGTCAGGAGTTCAAGACTAGCCTGGTGAACATGGTGAAACCCCGTCTCTACTAAAAATACAAAAATTCGGTGGGTGTGGTGGCGCTTGCCTGTAATCCCAGCTACTCGGGAGGCTGAGGCAGGAGAATTGCTTGAACCCAGGAGGCTGAGGTTACAGTGAGCCGAGGTCGTGCCACTGCACTCCAGCATGGGCAACAGAGCGAGACTCCATCTGAAAAAAAAAAAAAAAAAGAAAAAGAAACAATTATCTCAGGAAGGTCTGGGAGCCAGGTACATTGTCCAGGCATGCAACTGGGAAGGCATTTTACAGGCCTGGCATGTGGTGAGTGCCCCTCACATTTTAGTCGGATGACTAAACACAGAACATTTGATTTGTTCTTTCCAGAACCTGGAACTCAATAAGAGGCTTACAGAGAGCATCAGAAACAGAATAGGAACAATGGAGTTGAGGTTTGGCCTTGAATACGAGTAGCGGGGAGGCTACCTGCTGGAAAATCAAGGGACAGCAGACCCAGGCCAGAGGCAGAATAAAAAATATTGCTGGGCCAGGCGTGGTGGCTCATGCCTGTAATCCCAGCACTTTAGGAGGCCAAGGCAGGCGGATCACGAGGTCAGGAGATCAAGACCATCCTGGCTAACACGGTGAAACCCCGTCTCTACTAAAAATACAAAAAATTAGCCAGGTGTGGTGGTGGGCACCTGTAGTCCCAGCTAGTCAGGAGGCTGAGGCGAGGGGAATGGCGTAAACCCAGGAGGTGGAGCTTTCAGTGAGCCGAGATCGTGCCACTGCACGCCAGCCTGGGTGACAGAGCAAGACTCTGTTTCAAAAAAAAAAAAAAAAAAAGTGCTGCCAAACTAGAATCTAGGTGTCAACTAACCAGGGACTTTGTAACCTGCACTTTGTGAACTCACTCTTTTCTTTTTTTTTTTTTTTTGAGACAGAGTCTCTCTGTCACCCAGGCTGGAGTGCGGTGGCGAGATCTCAGCTCACTGCAACCTTTGCCTCCTGGGTTCAAGCAATTCTCCTGCCTCAGCCTCCCGAGTAGCTGGGACTACAGGCACCCACCACCGCACTCGGCTAATTTTTTATATTTTTTAGTAGAGACGGGATTTCACCATGTTGGTCAGGCTAGTCTTGAACTCCTGACCTCAAGTGATCCGCCCTCCTCAGCTTCCCAAAGTGCTGGAACACAATACAGGCATGAGCCATCGCACCTGGCCTGAGCCATCGCACCTGGCCTGAGCCATCGCACCTGGCCTGAGCTCACTCTTTATTTCCATCATCTGTGTCCTTTTTCTTTTCTTAATTTTTAAGACAGTCCCTTGTGAAAAAGCCTCCATCCTGTTCCAGCTCTTCCAAGGGAAGACGGGGACAGGCCTGGGCTCTGTGTCTGGAGCCAGAGAGACAAAGGAGGCAAAGAAGGGACCCTGGCTTGGGAAGGGCTGTGACCACCCAACCTGTATTTGTGCAGCTTCTCCAGACCCAGGGAACTCTGTTTTCTGTTTTATCCTTACAACTGTGATATAGTCAAGGTTGCTGGAGAGAATTTACATAGAACCCTACTGGGGTGGAGAAAACTCGAGAGGAGCCAACTAGGGCAGCCCTCCTCCTATAAATGCAGACAGCCCCTCGACCAGAACTTTCCAGAGTGGATTTTTGGGGCCAGGGTTCTCTGGGTAATGGCAGGCGTTTCTCAAAGAGAAGGTTTCAAGGTCAAAGCAGAAAAGCAGTCATTACCACAGGACATTCAGAGCTGCATCCACTCGTAGTCAGCTGAATAATAATAATGATCTCCAAAGAGATCAGGCCCTAATCTTTGGAACCACATATGGTAAAGGGGTCTTTGCGCGTGTAATTAAATTAGGGATCGAGAAGAGAGATCATCCTGGATTGTCCAGGCAGACCCTAAATTGCAAGATACGTTATGAGTGGCAGGCTGCGGAAGATTTGGCACGGATGGGAGGGGAGGAGGCAGAGATGAGCGTAATATGGCCACAAGTCAGGAAATGCTGGCAGCCACCAGAGGCTGGAGAAGGCGAAGAAGGGACTCTCCTGGCACCTGGGAGGGGGCGTGGCCCTGTGGACCCTGGCTTTTGACCTGGCCTGTGTGCTTCGGACTTCTGGCCTCCAGAACTGTGAGAGAACAAATTTCTGTTGTTTTAAGCCATCAGGTTTGTGGTCATTTGTTATAGTCCGCACAGGAAACAAATATGTTCATTTAAAACTGTAAATTGGCCGGATGTGGTGGCTCATGCCTCTAATCCCAGCACTTTGGGAGGCTGGGGTGGGCAGATCACTTGAGCCCAGGAGTTTGAGACCAGCCCAGGCAACGTGACAAAACCCCATCTCTACAAAAATACAAAAATTAGCCGGGTGTGGTGGCGTGCACCTGTAATCCCAGTTACTCAAGAGGCTGAAGCAGGAGGATTGCTTGAGCCCTGGAGGTCGAGGCTGCAGTGAGCTGTGATGGTGCCACTGCCCTCCAGCCTGGGCAACAGAACCAGACCCTGTCTCAAACAACAACAATAAAAACCTTGTAAATTTCCTGAAGGTTTGGGACTCTGTCTGATTTGTTTCCTGTTTCATCCTGAGCCCCTAAATAAGACCTGGCTTTGGTAAATGCTTAGTACATATTTATGGAATAAATGTTGGGTGTTCACGGGTCTCCAAGAGGAGGATAATAATTTGTGGTGCTTCCCAAACTTATTTACCAAAAGAACCCTTTTCCAAAAAACATCTTTTGGTTCAAGGGTTTCTCACTCTGGGAAATACTGATTTTTGTTGTTGTTGATGCTGCTGCTGAATCTTAGGAAAAATGTAGAGGGAGTTGTTTAAATGGTAGAGTCTACAGTGCTGGCTTTTTGCTTTTTTTTTTTTTTTTTTTTTCCCTAGTAACCTGGTTTTTACCCTTGGAATGCTCAGCACTTTACAGTGTCCCATTTTTCTTGGGTGATGGGACATGCTTGTGGCTGCCGATGCTCTGATTGTGAGGCAGAGTATTTATGGGAATGAATGGCTCTGATCACACATTTGTATTAACAAAAATGTGATGCTTTGAAATGTTTAAATGCCACACAGTCATTATTTATATATTGTCCATTTAAAAGGAGAGGCAGTCAGAAATGTCACGCCTGCCCAGCTTTACAGTAATAACACTATTTATTGCAGAGATACAAATTGTCACACTAGCGATATTTAGCAGTGGCATCCAGCTTCCCATCTTCAGCCTGTGCTGGCACTGTATGTTGTGTGTCAACTGCAAATGATCAATTACAGTTCTTCTGAAGGGGGCCCCCTTCTTTTCTTCTCCAAGGTGATTGGCGGTGTCTACAAGCATGAGAGAAGCCCTTACTCTCATTGCCTTTGCTAGTGTGTTTATTTAGGGTTTATAAAAGAAAAGTGCACACAGGTATTACTCAGATGTGTAAGACTCCGGAGCCAGAGGGTAGGTGGATGCAATCCTTTTTTTTATTTTTATTTTTGAGATGGAGTCTCGCTGTGTCGCCCAGGCTGGAGTGCAGTGGCGGGATCTCGGCTCACTGCAAGCTCCTCCTCCCGGGTTCACGCCGTTCTCCTGCCTCAGCCTCCCGAGTAGCTGGGACTACAGGCGCCCGCCACCACGCCCGGCTAATTTTTTGTATTTTTAGTAGAGACGGGGTTTCACCGTGTTAGCCAGGATGGTCTCCATCTCCTGACCTCGTGATCCGCCCGCCTCCACCCCACAAAGTGCTGGGATTACAGGCGTGAGCCACCGCGCCCGGCCGGTGGATGCAATTCTTTCACAGCACACGATAACACATAGCAGTGGGTCCTGCTGAGCCCTGTGCACGGGGTATGTTGAATTCACTCACAAGATGCACTCCTGAGAAGGAGGTCGAGAAACACAGGAACAAGCTGGTGAAAGTCCGGGCGAAAGGCAGGTAATAGTGGTGGCTGTGTTGAAACAATTTCCAGTCTGTTTTTTTGTTTTGTTTTGTTTTGTTTTGTTTTGTTTTGTTTTGTTTTGTTTTGTTTAATGGGGTCTGGCTCTGTCGCCCAGGCTGGAGTGCAGTGGCACCATCTCGGCTCACTGCAAACTCCGCTTCCTGAGTTCAAATAATTCTCCTTCCTCAGCCTCCCGAGTAGCTGCGATGGCAGGCGCGCTCCAACATGCCCGGCTAATTTTTCTATTTTTAGTAGAGACAGGGTTTCACCATGTTGGCCAGGCTGGTCTCCAGCTCCTGACCTCAGGTGATCCGCCCGCCTCGGCCTCCCCAAGTGCTGGGAATACAGGCCTGAGCCCCCGCGCCCGGCCTCCAGTCTGTTTAAGAAATATTTTATTTCTTCCCCCCCACCCCACCCCTCCAAGAAAAGATAACTGTATTATAAATTCTAAGAAGTTCTGGAAGAGAGGGTATTACATACCCAGGTGGCAAGAGGTTGCTGAGAAGCAGAAGTATGTGTAAATGATTAGTAATGGGAGATCAAACTTCAGAAATCAAAACATCCCTAAGAGAAGAGAGTTTTTAAAATCTAAGATCATAGGATTCAAAGGATGAAGTAAGTTCTCAAGTATGTCTCCCTTTCTAGAAGTCAAGAAGATTTAGTTCTGTTTTGTTATCAAGGTCAATTACAGTAATGGATACTATCTGTTGTTTCTCAAGATAAATTTGCATTTTCTGCAGGTTCTTTTGGAGAAGTCAGGTCACTTGGAAATAATGTTCTGGGTAGATGACTGAGCAAGAGGTTCTGTATGATAATTCTTCTCTGTTAATACCATCAAGATATCAATTTAAAAAAACAGAAATCTAGAGACTATTTAGTGAATATATTAATACTGAGAGAGAAAGAAATTAGCCCTTCTTAGGAGTTAGGTTAAAAAAAAAAGAAGAAAGGTAAACACTTTAAAAATAAGTGAAACCCTTATTCAGTACACACCATTAATAGCAAGAAAACCATTAAAGCTCCTGTCCCTTCTAAAAATAACAGCTAAAAGAATCACAATGAGAATATAGATGACCTTCATTCTCAAATACAGAGGAATGGGACAGAACAACCACTGAATCTGTTGGAGTTTTAAAACCATAAAATGTAGTGATTGCTTTAAACAGAACCATTTAGAACATTCTAGAAGCAGTAACAAAAGAGAGAGAGAGAATACTCCAGAATATTGAATTACTAAACTAAAGAATAACCTGGAAAATCAAGTGTATGATAAAGAAGGATTAACCCTTCCATAGATAACATAAAAGAAAAACCATACATCCCGGTTTTCCAACCTGGCAGCCAGGGCCCAGAGGTCAATAAATGTTAGCCACTGTTGAAACTATTCCTCCTAAGAAACAATTAAATTATGGCTCCAGCCCATAATTTAAACCATAAGCCAATAAAATTTCCAGAACTGATTAAAGAGGTTAGATTGGAAACTGAAACAGACAGTGGTGAATATATATATTTGATTTTATAGGCATTTAAAGTATTCCACATCTCATTCCAAAAAAGAATCTCAGCTCTATGGGGCAGTTACATAACAGACAAGCTATAAATAAAGAATGAGATCAATCGATATGTAAATAAATGAACTCAGCGATAATGAAATCGTCACCAGAGGCTTGGTCCCTTTGACCACTCTCAGCAACTCTCTGGGAGTATCTCAGTGTGTAGGAAAAGATACTGCAGTCGGTGGCAGAGTTAAAACTCTAAACTCCGTGCTCCTCCCAGCAAGGGCCCGCCCGTAAAGTCTGACAACCGCACAACAGCAGCCAGACAGTAATGCTCAAGTTTCCCAGTGGAGAACAGAGAATGCAATCATGTTTTCTCAGTGTTCAGTGTGAAATGAATACAAGTGACTGGCATGATTTTACCTGTTCTATTCATGTTCTTATTTAAAATGGAATCAAGATGGGTGGTTTTCTGCTTTTAAAAAGTGCTTTACTGTAGCAGTTGAGACTGTAAGCTTCCTAAAAGCAATGGAAAACTATATATAGTCTTCCTAAAAAGGACAAAAAAAAAAAAGAGAGATTCTCACAGATTATCTACCAGATTTGATCTCAGAAAATGCTGCAGATACTCCCTGACCATACACTCCCCTCCGAATAGCATTTCCAGAGCCATAGCAATGAATGATCAGCGTCAGTTACAGAAAAGTGTAAGAATTATTTAAAACTATTTTACAAGTTATGAGGAATGAAAAAGGAAAAGAGAGGGCAGGTGTAAAGTTAAACGTGCAAAATTCTAAATGTCAGATTTTTATGAGAAGTCATTATTATGTATTTAAAAAATACCAATGTTTGTTTTGTATTTCTTTTTAGAATTAAGTGAAGTAAAAGAAGCTTAAATATGACCCTTTCCCAAGTGAAGAAACAAAAAAGAAAAATGACAGAAAACAAAATAATAAAAATATGGTTAAAATGGTTTAAATACAAAATTACAAGAGCATGCCAATAGATTAAATTTCAGTATTTTCTTAAAAAGAGTTTCAGGTTGAATTCAAGAAAAAAACCAAGAATATTTTATTTAAAAGAGAAAGAAGATGAGATGTGGAAAGAACAAAAATAATTGGTTAGGTAAGAAAATATCAATTAAATATATTATGATATCAAAGCAGTATATAAAGCAAAAAGGATTATGTGTGAGTTTGTGTGACAACAAAAGGCAAAACAATCACTAAAAACGAAAAGTATTTATATGAACTACAACACATTGCAACAAAGTACATAAAAAAACTTAGACCTGCAAGATGAAATTGAGAGAAACAAAATATTAGCAGAAATCCTTATCCCACCATAAAAATTAGATGGATGAATTAGGGAAAAAAAAAGAAATAAGACTTTGTAAAACTGAAAACTACAAGAAAGAAGGCCGAATGAGCAATTTTATGGTGAGAATTTAAAGAGAAAATGCAGAATATATAAAACTTTCAGAGAAAAGAAATGAATGGAACTTTTCAATAAAGGAAAAACACTGATAATTGTATGCACTGTATTATGTGACATTGCTGCAAAAATGTTCATAGTTTATTTTAAATAAACGAAAAATAACTAAATATCAATGAAACAAAAATTCTATCACCTGGTCAAAGAAATTTAAAATATAACAACAAATCATTTTAAAATATGAAAAATGAAGATACTATTTAATAAATATTTGAACTTAGAGAAAAGATATATTTAAAGAAAATGTATTGTTTTACATGTTTTATTAATAAAGTAAAATTTAAAAAACTAGAAATACACTTCTAGATACAGGACCAAGCAAAACCCTCAAGACAAAAACACCTACAGCAGTAAACAAATTGATTCTGTGAAACTGTCACAAAACATTCTGCGAAATGCTAAAACAGAGAGCTCTCTTACTTTGAAAAGACAAAAAAAATCAAATTCGCTTTCAAAATTAATGAGATTAAAAACTCTAGAAAGTTTTGAAAATCAATGAAAAGAGACAAAATCATTAGAGATTATGGTGTCCATTTACAATGGTGATGCACTTAGAAATTTAAATAAGATGGATGATTTTACAAAAGTTAGAGAATATAAAATGGTATCATGAGAGACAGAAATGTGAACAGTCCAGTTGCTAAGGAAGAAATTAAGAAGGGTAGCCAAGAGACTGCTTTCCTTGCCACAAGGAATTAGCTGGAAATTTTTTCAAAATTTCAAATAAAAGTTAATTACACCTAATAAAAATTTTTCTTAAGTTAAATAGTTCCCAGTTTATTCTAGCAGGCAAAAATGATTCGGTTCTTAAAAAGTGTAATACTACAAAAGAAATCTGTCTCTAATGAAAACGCTTGTAAGTGTGAAGATATCTGCAAGTAGAATGTGATCCTATTTTTAAAGATTTGTTTACCATATATTTATGATAGGGTTCATCACTATAATATGTTTAGTTTAAAAATGTAATGAATAAAGTACACAATTTAAATAAATTCAGGAATAAAATTTTTATGATCTTCCTGATACAATAGTTAAATATTTGATAAAAATTTAATGCTCCTTCCTGTTATAAATTTAAATACAGAAATAGGAAAATATTTCTTTAACATGAGATAATTTATCAGTCTGTAACAGAGAAACTTTTGAAGGACTCCACTTAAAAACAAGCAAAACAAAGATTTTTTTTTTCTTAAAATTATTTAGCATATCAGTGGAGATTCTTGTCATCCTAACAGTGCTTCAAAAATGTGCTAGAGAATCAATATTATAAAATAGAAAACAGAATCATTAAGTTGAACCCAAAGAAACTAAGAATTCCCACTAAAATATTAGAAATAAAAAGAGAAGTCAGGAAAGTGTCCAGATAAAAGTGAAATCCACAAAACCCTAAAGCATTTCTACTAAAAACCAGCAAGTAACTGGTAATTGGTTTGGGGCAGTCTCATTCACAATGCTGACAGAAAATATGTAATATCTGAGAATTTTCCTGATACGAAATATGCAAACAAAACTAGAAAATGCTAAACTTTAAAAGGAGATGTAAAGAAAGATGAACAAATGCTTTATATTAGGTGATTAAATATAAAAAAGAATTTATTTTATCTCAAGGTAATTTTTAGATCTGATTTATTTTTAATCAAACTATAAAAATACTTATAAAATCTAATAGCAAAAGCTATTCCAAATTTATAGCTGAAAAATAAATAGGCATGAATGGCAAATGCAATTTTTAGAGATTTTTCCTCATTATGAAATACCAAAAAGAAAATAAAATGCATGCTCATTGAAAAATTTTAGAAAACACAGAATAGTGTAAATGTGAAAATTAAAATCACCATGGGCTTGGTTTAAATGCAGAAACAAATTAAAGTACAATAGAAAATGCAGAAGTAGATTGTGGTATGTGAGAAACTGGTGAATCATAAATATTAACAAAGCAAAAGGAAAAGTAATAATTATTTAATAAATGCTCTGGGGATACTTAGAAATCAGAATGAAGAAAAAATTAACCTGACCTAGACCTCAAATCCATTACCATAATAAATAGCGGGTAGATTAAATGGTAAACTAATAATAATAGTAATGACAGTAACAATAGAAAAACTAGGAGAAGAATAGAACTATGTATGAAAATAATTTTGATTACTCAAGAAACGGAAAAAGTAGACTGATATAATTAGATTTCTAAAAAATCATATAAGATAATGAAAAATATTTGAAATAAATTATAGGCAACTGTTTGCCTATAATCAATATCTAAAATTGATTAAGGATTTATACAAATTGATTAGAAGAGAAGCAAATACCAGTGCTCAAGAGACAAACGTTAAAAGCAAAGGGATGGTTTAAACAAAACAAAACACAAATAGAAAACCAACATCTGACAAACCAAACACCTTTTCTAAAATTTAAAGAAATTCAAGTGGAATCAATGTGTTTTCATTTCACACCCATGAAATTAAATGAAAGGAAAGAAAATGATAAAACTCACTGATAGCTGGACTTTGGGGAAAAAGAGGACTCCTATTTTGTTGATGGCAATAAAAATGGGTTCATCTCTTCTGGAAGGAAATGTGATGATCTGTGTCACACACGCACATAAAAGTTCCACCCAGAAACATTCATCTCTCAGACTTTATCCTAATGAAATTAGTTTTTTAAAAAATTATATACAGAGATGCTTATAATGGCATTGTTTAAAATTTCAAACCCTGAAAGAAGTTTAATAGCAATTTAAATATTACAAGAATAGTTGTAAATGTTAAAATCAACTTCCAAAATGGTTATGCAGGGCAGGGAGGGCACCCACCACACTATGGATGATTTTGTTTGATCAAAGAATTATTCTGCTAAAGAAAGTTTAAAAGTAACTCCTTTCCAGGACAAAAAGAATTTAAAGATAATTGCAGATACATTGGAAAACATGTAATAAAAAAGTGGAAAAGCAGAACATAAAAGTGCAGGAAAATGTGTAAAACTATGGATAATGGTGGTGTAAAATCCAGTAATATAGGGATAAAAATCAGAAGAAAGGCTTAAAGTAATAGAAATAAACAATTTAATTAAAGAAGGTGAATATTGTTTTTAAATTGGTTTACTAAAAAATGAAATTAAAATCTTAGGCTTAAGAGTAGAAAAAGAAAGGATGAATCCTTAAATTCCAACTAGTGTACGAATAAAGTGCTTTTGGGTATGCATTTTTCAAATCTCAGCTTAGCAAGACCCCCTACTGGAGTAAGTGGTGGTGGGGCAAAGCAGAAGAAAATTATTTCAGATCTGGGATCTTTATCATTGCCTGGGGATCATTTTCCTTCAGCAAAAAATGCTCAAAGAAGAATTGTGAGTTATTTAAGCAACTTAAAGACAAATCTACTGACTTATTGGTGTTTATAATGTACCCGCGTATGTATTGTTTTTTCTAGTATCAATTAATATAATATCGGGTAAATATCTTTATGATATTTTGTTTAAAATGTAAAACATATTTCCATCAAAAACAGCACCATTCTTCCACTTATTGATGTTAAGTGTGTGTGTGTGCACGTGTGTGTGTGTGTGTGTGTGCATGATTCTAGGAACACATGGAGGAGGACAGGGGTCTTTGGGGCCAGTGATCCTTGCTTGCTCAGCCAAAGGAGCTTTCGAGGACAAGGACCATGTGAGTTTCATGTCTATATGACCATAACATAGCCTAATCCAATTTTGCTCCTATATAGATCATTGTTGATAAAAATAACCAAACCTAACAAAAATACTAAAATAATTAGAAAGGAATGTAATAAATTAGAATGATGGACTAGACAACAGTAAATTAATCAATAAATATGAGTGAAGTATATGTGTCCTTTAAGAGAATTTATCCTAAACCATTTGCTGTTAAAATGTGTTCTAAGCCTCTTATTATTAAGATGCCATTCAAATTTTCATCCTTAGAGCATCCACAACATCAGCATACAGTATCTTTATGCGTTTTTAATCCCGTACTTCCAAAAGGGCACACAAGCCCTTCCTTATATTTTCAGAAAAATTGTTTGCATGAAAGCCCTTTAGTTCTCTCTCAACTTTGCACCTTGACCTGACGTCTTAACATCAGAAATGCTGCAAATCTGACAAAGAGTGGCCGCATTTTTGGAAAATCAGCTTGGGCTATCATGGAGAGCTCTCTGGACATGGGGACAGAAGACTTTGGCGTGAGTTGCTGCTTTGTCCAGTTTTCCCAGACCTCAGAGTCCTCACGTATAAAATGGGGTAATAGGCTGGGCGTGGTGGCTCACGCCTCTAATCCCGGCACTTTGGGAGGCCGAGGCGGGTGGATCGCTTGAGACCAGGAGTTGGAGACCAGGCTGGCTAACATGGCGAAACCCCGTCTCTACTGGAAAAACTAGCCGGGCGTGGTGCCACGTGCCTGTAATCCCAGCTACTCCGGAGGCTGAGACACGAGAATCGCTGGAACCCGGGAGGCAGAGGTTGCAGGGAGCCGATATCGCGCCGCTGCAGCTGCACTGCAGCCTGGGAGACAGAGCAAGACCCCGTCTCTAAATAAATAAATACATACATAAAAATAAAATAGAGGTAATAATCATGACAGGGTATGCACTACCAAGTTTACACATTAGTTCTTAAAAATTTTTTAAAACTAGATAACATATGTAAATGTTAAGGTGTTACACAAACACGTTATTCTTTCATAATACCTGAAGACTATATTTCTTATATTTGAGAATCTGAGCACTCTTCAAGAATTGCGCACTCAGTATAAAAGGTACCGTGTTCCAGGCAGTGGGGTTGTCTGTCCATGCCATCCTGCCTCCCTGTCCCCACTCCCAAGCCTGGCCCACATACTCATATAAAGCACAGAATTCCAATCTGGTGCATCAGCCGCCCCCACTCCCCATTCACTCCCAGCTTGCCTCCTCCCAGGTCCGAGCATCCTCACCCCTGGCCTCCTGCTTGTTTCAAATGATTTTGTGCCTTTGGCAATCCCCAGGCTCTCCTCAAAGCCTATTTTAGAAGGAGCTCACCACTCCTGCCCATTTGTGGGTTGACTTTGCACCTATGATGTTTCTTCTCCCTCATGGCCCCAGGCTGCTCACCTCTGGCCCACAGCGTTTAATTAGATGGATATTGAGGATTGAATGGGTCTGTACTTGAGGAAGGGCAGAAGTATTTCATGGCAAAGAGAATGACAGTAGCAAAAACTAAGAGGCTGGAAAGAGCTGCGCACGCTTCTGCATGTGATTTGGGGAAGGCTTGGATGGCTAAGGACAGCAAATGTAACTTCCTGGGCAAGGTAAATTCTCAGGGCATCTAGGTACAGATGATAGTGTTAGAGAATGGCTCAGAATTCGAATGTGACGAATTGCTACTGATTTCTTCCATCCACTTTTAATTTATAAAAGTTAATCTTTTTTCCTTTCTATACCATCATTGGTCCAATGTCATATTTCTATGGAATTTATTCTGATCAATTTCAGAGACTTTTATAAGATGTAATACTCAGTGAGGATGCAATAAAATCTCATATTTGGCTGCTGAAGTATAAATAACAAAACTTCCTGTGGTACAAATTAATAGTACATATGCATTAAGAGATTTTTTAAAATTCATATTCTTTGATCCAGCGATTTTAATTTATCCTGAGTAAATTATCAAATGCTTATAAAACTTTTGTACAAGGATGGTCACTACAAAATTATTCAAAATTGAGAAAAAATGGAAAACATTTTACATATCCAACAATAGTTGATAGGTTTGAATAAATTAAGGCTCACGGATAAGATTGAATTCTACTGATTGTTACAACGAGTAACAATACAGTGAGAAAAGCAGGCTCTGTGTAATCCTGTGTGTGTGTGTGTGTGTGTGTGTGTGTGTGTGTGTGTGTGTGTATGTGTATCTGCATACATCTATACAGATCAGAAGAGGAAACTGCACCACACATTAATCACATGTTATCACTACTTGGTGGAAGAACAGGTGGCTTTAATTTCATTTTACTTTTCAAAGTTTTCCTAGCTTTCTTCAAGGAGTATTTGTTGCTTTATTGGAGGAGGAGTTTGAAGAAACCTCGTTTAAAATTTTTTTGTGGTAAAAGACACATAATATAAATTTTGCCATTTTAGCTATTTTTTAAGTATACAATTCAGTGGCATTAATTATATTCATAATGTTATTCAACCATCACCACTACTTATTTCTAAACTTTTTCATTTTCCCCAAACAGAAACTCTGGACCCATAAAACAATAACTCCTAATTTCCTCCACCCCCCTACAGTCCTTGATTACCTCTAACCTACCTTCTGTCACTATGAATTTGCTTATTCTAGATATTTTATATAAGTGTAATCATGCAACAATTTTTCTTTTGTGTCTGGTTTATTACACGTATAAAGTTTTCTAGGTTCATCCATGTTATAGCATGTATCAAAATTTTATTTTAAAGGGTGAATCATATTCCATGGTATGAATATACCATATTTTCTTTATCTCTTCATCTGTTGATGGGCACGTGGGTTTTTTCTACCTTTCAGCTATTGAATAATGCTGTAATGAGCATTGATGTATAGGTATCTGAATCCCTGCTTTTAATTCTTTTGGGCATATACCTAGGAGTGGAGTTTCTACATCATATGATAATTCTACAATTAACTTTTTGAGGAGACTGCTGCTTTTCATGAGAAAAACACATATTTTAAATTTCACTGTGATTCAGCTTTCAAGAATATAGTGTAGATATTCTGATGCTGTCAGCATCTATCAGTTGTAAAATTGAATGCCTCAAAATGTTCCTGTGTTTTACACATGTCCTCACCAGCTAGAAGCTTAGGCCAACTTTTAGAAAATGTCAATATAAATTTAATTTATCCAAATATCCGTAAGAGCTTTATGTATGCCAAGCATTTCAGGGCTAGAAACTAAAAGAAACTTTGTGATCAGTAACTCTTTTTGGAATGTTTCAAGTTGCAAAATCACCCCTGAGAAAACCACATCATTTACTTTATTGCAATCTTTTGCCAACACTTAGATCTTTTCCTCACATTTCCACATGCAAAATTTTCAGTTCCAGGCAAACTCCAAGTATTTTCATTTAGGAATTGCTTTTTTTTTTTCTTTATAATCAGAATGTCACTTTAAAAATTTAGTCTGAAATTCAATACTGTTTAGTTTAAAGAAAATTTTCTTAGGTAACTTGTCAGAAAAGGATGATTGATTGTGTACGGGTTGAATGTTTTAAAAATGAGAATCATGGAATTTAATAAAGTATATTGTTTTCTCTTGGGCTTAAGACATCCACAAAGGATCCAATTCCAATATGAAGTTTAAGCTTCTCTAATTTTTTCCAAAAAAATCTTTTTCTTATTAATCTGACAAAAGAGGTCTGGCCAACAGTTGTCAGGACAGGGGATATCCTTTTTTTGTCTATTTAAAAAACTCTTGTCTACAAAGAGAAGTCTCTATAAATAGGAGAATGGGTCAAATATCCTTAGAGAAACAAGAATCTCTATAAATATCTGAGTTTCAAACTTTTCTAGTTATACCATCTATTTGTGTAATCTAAAACCACAGGTACCTAGGATATATTAAAAAAAAAAAAAAAAAAGCGACCCAGTGTGTTTTATAGCAGAGTAGACGTATTTTTCTAAATGGGCTTATATGGCAAGTGGGGACATTATGAAGAGAACATAAAAGTAGAAATTTAATAGACAAAGGATTCATATCTAGAATGCATAAAGAATTCCTATAAGTCAATAAGAAAAAGACAAACAATTCAGCTTAAAAAAAGACAAAGAGTTGAACTGGTAATACCCAGAAGAGAAAGCTGGCATGGCCAATAAGCATATAAAAATACACTCAGCTTCACTAGCAACTGGGGGAAAGAAAATTAAAACAACCATGAGAAGGCATTTTATATGGATGATATCAGTCAAAATAAAAAGATCTAATGACATCAGGTATTAGTGTGGAAGCAGGGAAATAAGGGCTCTCGTCTCTTGGTGGGAGTATAAATGGTAAAACCACTTAGGAGAGTAATTTGAAAAAAACAAACAAACAAAAAAAAAACCTAGAACAGTTGAAAACATGCATCCCCTGTGACCCAGCTATTCCACTGCTTGGCAAACACCCTAGAGAAACTCTTACACGTGTGCTTAAGGAAACAAGTGCAATATCCTTCACTAAAATTGGCAAGTGTATAGGGGAAATACAGTTGGAGCATGCTGCTCAAAACCTATAGAACTTTGTCACCCCAGCACTAACAAAAGCTACCATGTTTTAAAAATTATGACACAAACAGAGTTGGTCCCATGCTGGCATTGTTCCCAGCATCCCAGGTGCCTGTCCTTTTCAGCCTTCAACCCGAGGCTCCTCCTTCTGGGACAGGTAGGTAGAGAACATTTTCATCAAAATTAAAAATATGGCCCCTGGACTGTATTTTTTAAGGTCCGAAGTTTTAATACAAGGAGAAATGCTTCCAATTTCTTTTTTTGTTTGTTTGTTTTTGAGACAAGGTCTCGCTCTGTCGCCCAGGCTGGAGTGCAGTGGAGAGATCTCAGCTCACCACAACTTCCACCTACCAGGTTCAGGCAATTCTCCTGCCTCAGCCTCCTGAGTAGCTGGGATTACAGGCGCCCGCCGCCACGGCCAGCTGATTTTTGTATTTTTAGTGGAGACGGGCTTTCACCATGTTGGCCAGACTGGTCTTGAACCCCTGACCTCAAGTGATCCACCCGCCTCAGCCTCCCAAAGTGCTGGGATTACAGGTGTGAGCCACCACCCCTGGCTGAAATGCTTCCAATTTCTTAACGTTATTCTTCTGCACCCACAGCAAAACCATATAGCTTAATAGCTCTATGGAAAACATAGTGCTCCTCGAAGTCACTAACCCTGTAAGTATTCGCTCCGAAGGAAGACATTTTAGTAGATTTTCAGCTCCAGGTCTGTATTCATTGCTACGACTTTTTTTTTTTTTTTCTTTTTTTTGAGATGGAGTCTCCTCTGTTGCCCAGGCTGGAGTGCAGTGGCGCGATCTTGGCTCACTGAAACCTCTGCCTCCCGGGTTTAAGCGATTCTCCTGCCTCAGCCTCTGGAGTAGCTGGAATTACAGGCGCCCGCCACCGCGCCCCGCTACTTTTTGCAGTAGAGACGGGGTTTCACCATGTTGGCCGGGATGGTCTCGATCTCCTGATCTCGTGATCCACCCGCCTCGGCCTCCCAAAGAACTGAGATTACAGGCGTGAGCCACTGCGCCCGGCCGACTTTCTCTTTTAATTGCTTTAAAACAGTAACATGTTGTGGAAAATCATGTGTAAGCTAACATGACTTCCGTGTTCTAACATCCTCCCCTTATTTACCAACTGTGTGTTAGGTAATTTGTACAAGAAGTAACCCGAGTTGTAATGAGGATGTACATTTCAGCATTGTTTGTTATAGCAAAGAGCTGGGTAGGGAAACTCTGAAAGTCTCTCACTTGGCAGTGGTAAGTACAACCCTGTATATTCACATCATGGGATAGTATATAATAACTAAGGCAAATGAGCTAGATCCATGTCTATCAATATACATTGGTCTTGAAAACATAATATTAGTTTAAAAAGCAAGGTGCAGAACATGTAAAGTTAGAAAAATAATGAAACAATACTAAGGATTATATGCAGCAAAAATATAAAATGCAAATCAGAAAAATACATACCAAAATAATGGTCATAGTTTTCTCTGTAGTGGGCAAGAGGAGGATAAAATCATGGAAAGGGACTTCTACTTTATCTCTAAATTTTATTTCTTTTTTGAGATGGAGTCTCATTCTGTTGCCAGGCTGGACTGCGGTGATCTCGGCTCACTGCAACCTCCGTCTCCCGGGTTCAAGAGTTTCTCCTGCCTCAGCCTCCCGCGTAGTTGGGATTACTGGCGCCCGCCACCATGCCCGGCTAATTTTTGTATTTTTAGTACAGACGGGGTTTCACCATGTTGGGCAGGATGGTCTCAACCTCTTGACCTCGTGATCGGCCCGCCTCAGCCTCCCAAAGTGCTGGGATTACAGGCGTGAGCCACCGTGCCCGGCCTCTAAATTTTATTTCTTTTAAACCAACAAAATTCAAGGCAAAAATGAGAAAAATGTTTTCATTTGCTAAATCTGGCTCATGGGTAAAGCGTCTCTTCAATACTTTTCTCCTTAATTTTCTGTGTCAAAATTTTTTCCCAATTAAAAAAATAGGAATTTAACTCAGTTTGGTAGACATTTACTGAATGCCTAGTATGTGCAATCACACCCCTAAGTAACACTGGTGAAAGAAATGACAAACTCTGCTGACACATCATTTACAAGGAGTGGAGACAGTAAAGAGGTGTGTGAGAATAGGAAGAAGGAAAAGCTAATTCCACCTCTGGGGAACCAGGGCTGCTCCTCCCTGAAAGACACCAGGCTTCGTAGAGTGAGTGAGTGAACAGCGTTCAGGAAGGAGTTTTTTCTTTGAGGGATGACATGTAGATATAGAAAGGTTTCTTTCTAATGGAAAACCCAAGAAAATGAAACAAAAGAACCCAATGATTTCATCATAAATGGCACAAGAAACCCAAATTCCGCTTTTTTTTTTTTTGAGATGGAACTTTGCGCTTATCACCCAGGCTGGAGTGCAGGGGTGCAATCTCGGCTCACTGCAACCTCCACCTCCTAAGCTCAAGCGATTCTCCCACCTCAGCCTCCTGAGTAGCTGCGACCACAGGCACACACCACAATGCTCAACTAATTTTTGTATCTTTTGTAGAGATGCTGTTTCGTCGTATTGCCCAGGCTGGTCTTGAGCTCCTGAGCTCAGGTGATCCACCTGCCTCAGCCTCTCCAAGTGCTGGGATTACAGGTGTGAGCCACCATGCCTGGCCTTAAATGTAATTTAAATAAGACGGAATTTGAATTCCCCACCCATGGAAAGAAGTTAACTCCACTTTGCTCAATAAATTCATTTTGTAAAACGTATTTTAAAAATGATCACTATGTCTGTGTTTAAGGCAGACTTTGTAACGCTATAATACTGTAAGTTGCATATTTAACACTATAATACTGAAAGTTGCATAAGTTCTTGGGAACTTATGCTCTCCTTTGACTTCAGTTTCCCCGTCTATAAAAATGGGTATGAAAATAACGACTATTTCTGTTTGTTAAGGAAATGGAGGTGGTGCGTTGTGTGCAATGTCTGGCTAAGAGCTGGTACTCAACAAAGTTACTTTCCTCTTCTTCTGTAAGAACCTGTTTATAGATAGAGCGAGACTCCATCTCAAAAAAAAAAAAAAAGAACCTGTTTATACGAGCAATGTCTACATTGCACTAGTTACAACAAATATTTCTTATCGATTCATTAATGTACATTCTCTTTTATCACAATTTTTTATTTTAATAATTATTTTTATAATTTTGAAAATAACGAAAGCTACAATCTGTTTAAAGGATTCTGCAGTATAAATCCTTCCCTAGTTCTCAGAGTTTTCTTGTAACACAGAGGCAGTGAACACTTTGGTGTTCAAAGTACATCTGCAAAAGGCCTTAGAGGTCTCTGAACCCTAGAAAGTGTTTGCAAAATTGTGTGTATGAATAGAGACAGATTTTTCCAGGGAGAGGACCCATGACTTTTATTAGATTACTCCCACTTTACTCCAACTGCTACTATAACCTTATATTGTGTGTCTTTTACAATAACTCAGCTTTGCAACTATACAGGAAATTGAAAACTACTTGCCCACCTTTATGTTAATAAAAAAATTAAGCTGGTGAATTAGACTGGGGTATGAGGATAAAAGAGAATATATTAACTTAGAAAAGAAAAAGAAAGGAGCATGCTACAGACCAATAACAAGGAAGATGAGGCAGGGCATAGTGGTGCACGCCTGTAATCACAACATGGAGGTTACTCGGGAGGCTGGGGTGGGGAGGATCACTTGAGCCCCAGAGGTGGAGGCTGCAGTGAGCCATGATCATGCCACTGCACTCCAGCCTGAGCGACAGAGTGGGTACCATGGCTCACACCTCTAACCCCCAAATTTTGGGAGGCTGAGGAGGGAGGATCTCTTGAGCCCAGTAGTTTGAGAATAGCCTGGGTAACATGGCAAGATCCTGCCTCTACAGAAAATTAAAAAATTAGCTGGGCATGGTGGTGTGAGCCTATAGTCCCAGCTACTCGGGAGGCTGAGGCAGGAAGATCACTTGAGTTCAGGAGAACAAGGCTGCAGTGAGCTATGATCGCGGCACTGCACTCCAGCCTGGGAGACAAAGCAAGACTCCATCTCTAAAGAAAAATAAAAGACAAGAAGTGAAAAGAAAATAGAAGTAAACAGCAGCTCAGCGATGGCATCTAATAAAGTCTTCTTCTCCTCTCCTTTTTCCTACTACCCTAGTTGTAGACCAAGAGGAAATATTTAATGAAAATTCAATGCCTTTATTGCAAATAACAAAATTTGGAGAGTGAGGAAACGTTTTTTTCTTTTCTTCCTCTTCCCCTTCCTCCTCCCCCTCCTCCTCCCTCCCTCCTCCTCCTCCTCCTTCTTCTTCTTCGTTTTTTTTTTTTTTTTTGAGATGGAGTCTTGCTCTGTCGCCCAGGCTGGAGTGCAGTGGCATGATCTCGGCTCACTGCAAGCTCCACCTCTTGGGTTCATTCTCCTGCCTCAGCCTCCCGAGTAGCTGGGACTATAGGCGCCCACCACCACACCTGGCTAATTTTTTGTATTTTTAGTAGAGATGGGGTTTCACCGTGTTAGCCAGGATGGTCTTGATCTCCTGACCTGGTGATCTGCCTGCCTCGGCCTCCCAAAGTGCTGGGATTACAGGAGTGAGCCACCGCGCCCGGCTTCTTCTTTCTTCTTTCTTTTTCTCCTTCTTCTTCTTTTTCTTTAGAGACAAGAGCCTTCCTGTGTTGCTTAGGCTGGTCTTCAACTCCTGGGCTGAAGCAGTCCTCCTGCCTAGGCCTCCCAAAGTGCTGGGATTACAGTGCTGGGATTACATGCCACCTGCACATTTCTATCTTTATGCTCTAAGTGCTGCAGATTTGGGGGAAGCTCTAGCTCTGATGGGAAATGTCCGGACCTCTTTAATTTTCTTCACCCTGTTCCACAGGTCGGCGTCTTTATGCCTTCATGCGCCCTTCTCTCTTCGGTCTCTCAAGAGTAACTTGGTGCTTTCTTCTCTGTGGTCTTCGGAGTTCTGCTTATTCCTCTTCCTGAGGCCAGGAGACTGTTGGCTGTCCTAGTGATCTGATCGCATCAACACCCACTTTTTCTTCTTGGAAGTGGCCATGGTCACTTTTCCCATGGGCAGGGAAGAGCAGCTTCTGAGGATTACACGGAGCACAAAGGCCACGGAAGCTCCCCCCCAGTATAGGGGTGGGATCTTAGCACCTACCAGTAGGTTTTAGCTTCAGAAGGAGGGCCTTGGGTGCTCTGCCTGTAGGGAGCCCTAAAACCCCATCCGCAGCATGGCAGGACAAGCCAGTCCCCAGCCTCCACTGTCCTGAGGCGTCCCCTCCTCTGCCCGCGCTCTCTGCCTCATTCGTCCCCACCCCACCACATGGTCTCCTCTTAGGGGATCTCATGATAGGCAGTGGTTTTCAAACTTTTCAGAAAAAGTGGTGGAATCATTCATTTCAAATTAATTTTTCATCCAAAATCTAATGTATAAAACAGCTTGAAGCCAGGCAGAGCTTGGATGGTGGGATTGGTCATTTCTTTACCTCCTTAACTTCCTTTGACTCCTCCACAACCCCTTCTTTTGACAACCCCCAGGAGGGGCTATATAGCACCCCTCAGATTCCAGGGACACCACTGAGGAGCCATTGATGGAAGGAAGCAAAGCAGTCACTGCTGGCCGGGCACGGTGGCTCATGCCTGTAATCCCAGCACTTTGGAAGGCTGAGGCAGGTGGATCACTTGAAGTCAGGGAGTTCAAGACCAGCCTGGCCAACATGGTGAAATCCTGTCTCTACTAAAAATACAAAAATTAGCACACCCGTAGTCCCAGCTACTCGAGACGCTGAGGCAGGAGAATTGCTTCAACCCGGGAGGTGGAGGTTGCAGTGAGCCAAGACCGCACCATTGCACTCCAGCCTGGACAACAGAGCGAAACTCCATCTCAAACAAAAAACAAAACAAAACAAAACAAAACAAAAACAGTCACTACTCACTATTCCTGTCAAAGTTCTTGTTCACAAACAGCAACATCCAACTGTAGGCCCTTGATCAGTACAGGAATTTATTGGAAGACTACACTACTGGATAGCTGAGAATTATAAGGAAGGCTGGGAGAACCAGGCTCAAAAAAAGGGGAAAGGACCATGGGGGACTAGATCAGCTGAGCTCTGGCCACGCAGTTTATGTTCTGTGCAGTTCCAGAGCATCAGTCACTATATTTGTGCAGTGCCACCCGGGTAAGTTCCGAGCAGGGTCCTTGTGACCCCCTTCAGAGGTCCGTGGTGTGCGGATGCTGGGCAGCCCAGAAGGACAGTGTCCTTCCTGCTTCTTTGTGCCAGCTCCTTTATTTATTTCAGCTCCTTTCATCCTCTCCAGAGCCCATCCTAAAATCACCGGGGGAACCTCGTTAAAATGCAGATTTCTAGGCTCTCTCCCACGCCACCACCTACCTCCCCACCCCCAGGATCCTGTCTGATAAAAAAGTTCTGGGTGGCAGCCTGGGAAGTTCCATTTAACAAGCACCTCAGCTGATTCTGATGTGGGTGGCACAGGAAACACATTCAGAGAAACACTGCCCTGCATGCTAAGCTTTATGATTGCTATTTTATAAAGGGGTAAAGTTTCACTCACCCAGGATCACATAGCTGGCAACTGAATTCAGACCCTTCTGGCTCCAAAGTGTATGCACTTTTCACCATAGTCAAGACATCTCTCTTCATACCGGTTTCTGAAACTTCAGTTTTTTTCCTGTTCCAAATGTCACTTCATATGTTTCTTTAAATTGATTTTATTAAAAATAAAACTGGCCAGGCACGGTGGTTCATGCCTGTAATCTCAGCGTCTTGGGAGGCTGAGGTGGGTGGATCACTTGAGCCTAGGAGTTCGAGACCAACCTGGGCAACAGCAAGACCCCGTCTCTTAAAAAAAAAAAAATCAGCCGGGCATGGTGGTGCATATCTGTGATCCTAACTACTTGAAAGGCTGAAGTAGGAGGATCGCCTGAGTAGGAGGATCGCCTGAGGCTAGAGTTTGAGGCTGCAGTGAGCTATGATCGTGCCACTGCACTCCAGCTTGAGCAACAGAGCAAGACACCATCTCAAATAAAAAATAAATAAAAATTGGCCGGGTGCGGTGGCTCACGCCTGTAACCCCAGCACTTTCGGTGGCCGAGGCGGGCGGATCACGAGGTCAGGAGATTGAGGCTATCTTGGCTAACACGGTGAAACCCCGTCTCTACTAAAAATACAAAAAATTAGCTGGGCATGGTGGTGGGTGCCTGTAGTCCCAGCTACTCGGGAGGCTGAGGCAGGAGAATGGCGTGAACCGGGGAGGCAGAGGTTGCAGTGAGCCAAGATCGTGCCACTGCACTCCAGCCTGGGCGACAGAGTGAGACTCCGTCTCAAAAATAAAATAAAATAAAATAAATTTTAAAAAAACCCTAGATTCATTTTTTAAAAAAAGTTATTATTTTCATAAATAGAAAACCATTATTACTTGCTATTCGCTATAAATAGGAGGTAACCATAAAAACAAACTGGCAAACTGAGTGCAGTGGCTCTTGCCTGTAGTCTGAGCTACTCAGGAGGCTGAGGCAGGAGGATCACTTGAGGCAAGGAGTTTCAGGCCAGTTGCCCAGGCAACTGGTCTTTTTTTTTTTTTTTTTTTTTAAATCTTTTAAAATTAGTCGGGCACGGTGGTGTGCCTGCAGTCCCAGTTACTTGGGAGGCTGAGGTGGGATGATTCCTTGAACCTAGGAGTTTGAGGCCACAGTGAGCTATTTTATTTTAAAGAGACAGGGTCTCACTCTGTCACCCAGGCAGTGGTGCCATCATAGCTCATTTTAGCCTTGAACTCCTTGGCTCAAGCCATCCTCCCAACTCAGCCTCCTAAGTAGCTAGGACTACAGGCCTGAGCCATTTTGTCTGGTTTATTTATTTAGTTTTTTGTTAAGATGGGGTCTTGGTACGTTGCCTAGGCTGGTCTTGAACTCCTGGCCTCACATGATCTTCCTACTTCAGCCTCCCACAATGCTGGGATTACGGGCATGAGCAACTGTGCCTGGCCTGCAGTGAGCTATGATTGTGCCACTGCACTCCCGCCTAGGCGACAGAGCAAGACCTGTTTCTTTTTTTTCTTTTTTTTCTTTTTTTTGAGATGGAGTCTTGCTGTTTCCCAGGCTGGAGTGCAGTGACACGATCTCGGCTCACTGCAACCTCCACCTCCTGGGTTCAAGCAACTCTCCTGCCTCAGCCTCCTGAGTAGCTGGGATTACAGGTGTGTGCCACCATGCCCAGCTAATTTTTGGATTTTTATTAGAGACAGGGTTTTGCTATGTTGGTCAGGCTGGTCTCGAACTCCTGACCTCGTGATCCACCCGCCTCAGCCTCCCAAAGTGCTGGGATTAGAGGCATGAGCCACCGCGCCCAGCGACCTTGTTTCTAAACAAACAAACAAAGTGAACTGTTAGTGACAGATCCTGACCATTCTGAAAAGAACAGGGCTGAAGTAGTGTAGCCTTCAGACTTGGTTACCCCTAGTCCTACTCCAAACACACACACACACACACACACACACACACACACACACACACACACGGCATTCATGCAGTATACATGAAGCTTTCTTAACCTGAGGCCCAAGTATGGGCTCAGAGGAGGGAACAGTTTTTGTGCTGTTTGATCTATTGGAATGTTTTCCTGAGCTGAGCATCCATTGCCCACATTCGAGTCT
Source organism: Homo sapiens (assembly GCF_000001405.40). Classification (NCBI taxonomy): domain Eukaryota; kingdom Metazoa; phylum Chordata; class Mammalia; order Primates; family Hominidae; genus Homo; species Homo sapiens. The sequence continues at coordinate 98,638,349 of NC_000015.10, forward strand.
CAAAGAGGCTCACTATTGAAAAAGGTGAAAAATTGCTGTTTGAAGTGAATGTTTCCAATCTCGCTTTTCTCTTTAGCTTATGTTACGTGATTCCTCCTCCCACCTAATTTTCTTCAAGGATCCCCTCCCACTGTGTCCTGGACTTGGTGCTCTTTATCCCTCACAACTGGGTTTCACAGACCTGTTCTGAAGGGACATTTGGCCTGTGTTTCCATGAATGCCCCCTGGAAGGGCACAAGACAAGCATGTCCTGGCCCTGTAGAGAGGTCTGTGCTGGGAATGGATCATGACATGAAACTTCTTCTCCCTGCAAATGTCTGCTTTGTAAATAGTCTGCACCTTTGGTCTGGATGCTGTAATAAGTTGAAGCATTTCTTAGCAGCATTTATTTTTCTTCTTAAAAAATTATAAATTGAGGCTGGGCACGGTGGCTCACACCTGTAATCCCAGCACTTTGGGAGGCTGAGGCAGGAGGAACACCTGAGGTCAGGAGTTCGAGACCAGCCTGGCCAACATGGTGAAACTCCATCTCTCCTAAAAATACAAAAATCAGCCGGGTATGGTGCCAGGTGCCTGTAATCCCAGTTTCTTTGGAGGCTGAGACAGGAGAATTGCTTGAACTCGGGAGGCAGAGGTTGTAGTGAGCCGAGATCACACCACTGCACTCCAGCCTGGGCAACAGAGTGAGACTCGATCTCAAAAATAAAAAATACAAATTATAAATTGAACAATGAGTAAATGGATGGCAGATGGTGAGAACCAGGGTTCTCACTAATGGATGGGAGCAAGGGCAAGGGGAAGGAGGCTAGGATGATCCGTGTGCTAATGGAGCAGTTGGAAACTTCAGTAGGAACTTCGTTTGGCTTCACAGAGATACAGATGGTTACATATTGAAATATTTTCAGATATGTGTAAATACACAAGTTAGTATGCACAGATGTGTTTCCTTATTTCGTCAGCTGAGAGGACCTAGAAGCAATGACACCCCAGTAGCAACAAGCACACCTGGCAGCTGGCTTTTGGTTTCTGAAAGCGTTTTCCAGTTTCCACTGGAACCAGGGCTCCTTGGAGAAGTAACTGATTCTAGGGCTGAGGCAGGAGATATATGAGATCAGCCTGGAGTATCTTGTAGTGCCGGAAACTAAAATTGCTAAAACCAAAACAAAACCCAAAATGATGGGGGTATGTCAAGTGGACCCAAGAGGCAAATGAAATTACTCCCAATAGCCAAACCTGGAACAATCTGAGCAACATAATAAATAAAGTATTACTGGGTTATAACCCAAAATATGAAATAAATATCCACAAGCCTGTACTGATATAAATAAAAAGTTATTATATAAATAAAGGAGAATAGACAAACCTGCTGTGCAGAAGAATTGTAGATAACTTACACAGATATGTTTCCCTTACGGAGGTGGAGCATAAGTGTGGGATAGGCAGAGTGACTTTCTTTCAAAGAGTACAACATATAAAGAGAGAGAAAAATAGAGATAACTTTACAGTAGAAAACTTGATGAACATCACCTCAGGCAGGTGATCAATGTTAACATCATGTTGATAGCATGTACCCTTGTTATGATGTGATGAGAACAGCACTGTACCTCTGGAGTCTTTCTCCCAGAAACACATTATCCAACATGGTGAAACCCTATTTCTACTAAAAATAGAAAAAAAAAAGAAATTAGCCAGGCTTGGTGGTGGGCGCCTGTAGTCCCACTTACTCGGGAGGCTGAGGCAGGAGAATCGCTTGAACCCGGGAGGCAGAGGTTGCAGTGAGCCGAGATTGCACCACTGCACTCCAGCCTGGGCAACAGAGTGAGACTGTGTCTCTGAAAACAAAAAAAATCATCATAATAACGATGTCTTAATATTGGTTCATTAGTTATGACAAATGTCGCATAGCAGTATGTTAATAATATGGGGAACTGGGTGTGGTTATATGAGACTCTCTGTACTACGTTTGCAACAGTTCTGTAAATCCAAAACTATTCTCTACTAAAAAGTTTATTTTAAAAAAGACAAAGGAAAAATTTATAAAACAGTTCAAGCCTACAAAAAATACACAAAATAACTTACAGACACACATGTACCTGCCATCCAGGTTTAACAGATATTAACATTTTGGATCATTTGCTTCAGATATCTTTTGTCTTTTAAACAAATAAAAGGTTGTCAGTATAGTTAAAACTATTCTCTATTTTTTATCTCTTCCTTCATCCTGAGAGATAATGTCTCACTGACGTTATTATCTCTTCCATGAATATTTTATACTTTTGATACATATGTATGTATCCATAAACAATAATGCTATTGTTTTTGTATTGATAGTTACATAAACAGTAGCATATCATTATTTAACCTTTGCAAATTGCTCTTTCACACCATATTGGCTGTTAAATCTATCTATGTTGATTCGCTTAGATCTAGTTCATTCATTTTAACCTCTGTATAGTATTCTCCCTATTCTACCGTACAAGTAAAGCACCATTATTCATCCTTCCACTGAAGGACACTTAGATTGTGTCTAGTATTTTACTATTGAAAACAATGTTCCAATTAACATTCTTGTTTGTGTCTCCTGGTGCATATATCAAGAGCTTTTGGGGTATCCTCCTTATGAATGGAGTTGCTGGGTTGTGGAGCAGGTGTATCTTTAACCTTATGGATATTGCCAAGCTGCTCTCCAAAGGGTATGTACTAATTTATTTTCCCAGGAGCAGTGAATGAGAATGCAATTCTCCCCATTCATCCTTGTGAACAGTTGGTACTGTCCAATTGTTAATTTTGCCAACCAGGTTGCTGAGTATATTTTCATGCTTATTGGACGTTCTGGCTTCTTTTGTGAATTTTATGTTTATAGCTATTGCTATTTTTGTACTGGTTTGCTTATAATGTTCATATGAATACATATTTAATTTCTTACAGAGGCAACACAAGGTTTTCAGCTATCTTAGCCCAGCGATGTATCGGAGCAGGCTCACACTGTCTTACAAGAGACAACTGTGCACAACTTTTCAGACTTCTGTATCCAGTGACCTTACATTGGTAGCTCAAATTGGCCATGGTGGGAATATTTCTACAAGGGAAATTGGGAAACTGCAGATCTTGGCTTTCCCCACCCCATAGTCCATGTTAAGCATTTACCAGCGTACCACTATCTTAACCTCCACCTTGGCCCAAGCATCTCTCACAATATGACTGACTTGAAAATAAATCTTGATCTAAGTTGGCTTTTCAGTCTGTTGGAACTGGGCCTTGGACCTCTTTCAGGAGCGATTTCATCAGGGTTTCTGTAATATATGAGAAATTCAATATCCTTTTGAACTAATGCATCTTCTACTCTGAAGTGGATCACTATTCATTTAAAGCAAAGTGAGGGTCCTTCGGCAGCTCATCAGTCACAGTAATCCAAGCACAGAGTAGAATCCAAGTATCCAGTGATCCTGGAACTGGAAGGGATGGCAAATGTCACCCCCCACCACACACACCCCTACCATCTTCTCAATCTTGTTTCTTTGGACAATTTCCACAGCAGGTATCAGTTCAGTCTCTGCATGGACATTCTGACGACAGGGATTTCTCTCACACCACGTAACTCTCCAAGCAGAGACTGCAAAATAATACTGACTTTTTGTTTCAATTGGAAAAGAAGAAAAATTCTTTAAAATAAATGAAATCTGTTTTCCTTCCCGTTAGTCTAGTTCTGCCCATTGGCATTACCTGGATCAAGTCGAATGACCAATGGGCAGAGCTAGACTGATGGGAAGGAAAACAGATTTGAAAAGTCTAATGACTTCTTCAGGTATTTGAAACCAGAAATCATATACGACCTCTCTTAATGTCTATGTGTCTTAATAATTCCTCATGGATGTAGGAACCAGCCTTTTCCAGGTTCAGGTCCCTGTGGTCCCTGTTCAGTTCTCTGGTTGATCAATGGTACTCCAAGAACAAATATAAACAACTTCATTCTGCAGCTGATTCTCCAAATTGCAGAGCTGCAGATATCTGCATAACTTCAAAATCACCTTATTCTGTAGCCTGTTCATGAGGCCAGAAATAGAGTTTGCTGCTAGTAAGGAGCCTGACACAATGATGTTGCATTTAAAAATGTACTGAAGAAATGTGCAAATATATTCTACAGAATAAGGTTCCACTAGAACTTAATATCCCAAAGAGAATGTTTTGCAGGAACATTCTCAATGATCAATTGAAGGATCCCTTTTGTGGGTTACCTGTGACCACTTCCCCCTGCCTTGCTGATGTTTCTGTTTGTCTTTCCATACTCACATTCTTAGGAGAAAATATATTGAAATTCAAAACTGCTAAAAAATATTTTATGCTATACTTTAAGAAACCCTGGCTGGGCATGGTGGCTCATGTCTGTGATCTCAGCACTTTAGGATGCCAAGGTGGGTGGATCGCTTGAGCCCAGGAGTTTCAGACCCACCGGGGCAACATAGTGAGACCTTGTCTCTATTAAAAACAAACAAACAAACAGCTGGGTGTGATGGCACACTCCTGTAGTTCCAGCTACTCAGGAGGCTGAGGTGGGAGCCAAGATTGCACCACTGCACTCCAGCACTCCAGCCTGGGTGACAGAGTGAGATCGTCTCAAAAAAAAAAAAAAAAAAAAAAAAAAAAAGAAAAGAAAAGAAAAAAAACCTCTAATGTGTGAAAAATCTGTATTAATAAAACAAATTAGGAAGCGTTTATTCCCTGAGCCTGGCTGCTGTTGCCTGTATTAATTTATAGATTTATTAATTACTTGACAGAGAAGGCAAAAGTACAAAATGTACAACCAAAGTATGAGATATCAAGGTACCACTGTCAATTAAAAATCAAAAAAAGAAGTCATATTTTAGAGCGGAATGGTCAACGTCAACATGATCATTTCATAGAGGAGAAAAGAGAGAGGTGAAGCCACTTGCACAGAGTCACACAGCTTTGCAGAGTAGGGCGGGGTAGGGCAGAGGAGCAGCTTGTCTCTTCCTGGCATGCTGCTGATAAAACATCTCAGAGCTGGTGGCATTAATCAGAGGGAACAGAAATTTTGATTTAACCCCACTTTTCATGTACATCTATGATGCATTTCAACAACGAAGAAGCATCTTTTGTACTGTCTGCCAGACAGGGATCCTTACTATTGATATGTTTGAAAGTTAATTACATGGAGGAGTGAAGACGGCACACCCATCTCAGAGACTAACCACCGCAAATGACAAGTGAAAAAGACAGAGCCGTTACAGCTATCCTGGTCGGGTTTATTTTCCCAGACTACCATGTGGGGAGTTGAACATACCCACCCTCAGGTCGGGGACAGGCTCGTGACGATGCTCAGGGTAGTGGTGGAGCCCCAGAAGCCTCCAGTTTCCATTTTGGACCCACGGAGATCTCCAGGGTGCCTATCACTCTTGGCCCAGGCCTGGGCTTTCCAGGAACTTCCCCGATTGATGTTTTACTGAACGTGGTGCCGAAAGTTAGTCACAGGAAGACATTATCTCAGCTGTCTCTGCGCAAATGCTCTCTGAAACCTCCACGTTGCTTTTAAAGCATCATGGAGAAATGTAGCATTTATGCCTTGGGAGCCAGCTATCTATGCAGAGCTAAAATAGAAAATCTTCTCAAGTTGAGTATAAACAGATCCTCAACAAGACTGAGACTCTTGTTGCTTGTGGCTGTGTGGGGATAGGAATCAGCTACAGCATCACTTGTATTTTTCCTGCCCTTGGGGTGCTCTGTGGAGACCATGTGATGCCTTCCACAGCTAATGCCCCTAAGGAAAGACCTTAGGCAGATACACACTGAAAGTATACACATCTGTAGACAGCTGTGGGCAAGGATGTTGGAGTTTAGCATCTCTACTAACTCACCTAATAGTAAAAACGGGAAGCATTGTGCTAACATTTTTTTTAGAACAGCTGCAACTATCTAAATTATAATACAATCTTAACAATTTAACATTCAGATACAATTATGCAGAATGAAGTGCACCCATCTTAAGTGTACAGTCTGATGTGTTTCTGCTAAATGCATATACTAGCATAGCCAACACCCCATCAAGATATAGAGCATTGCCATCACCCAAGAAAGTTCTTTATGCCTCTCCCTAGTCATTTGAAACTTTCCCTCTCTACCCACCCAGGGCAGCCATGATTCTGATTTCTAGCTCTAGATCAATCTTGCCTGTTTTTGAGCTTTACATAAATGAGCTAATACAGTATGTACTCTTTTGGCTTATACATTATGCTTTGGAGACTCATTTATGTTTTTGCATGGATTAGTAGTCCATTCCTTTTTACTGCTAAGCAGTATTGCATTGAATGGATATATCATGATTTGTTTATCCATTCTCCTTTTGATTTACATTTGGGTTGTTTTAGTTTTTGCTATTATGAACAAAGCACCTATTGACATTCCCATAGAAGTATTTTTGTGGAATTTTCATTTCTTTTGGGTAAATAACTAGGGCTAGACTTGCTGGATCGTAAGTTAGTTGTATGTTTTACCTTATAAGAAACTGTCAAACAGTTGACATAATGCACTCTTAATGAAGCTTATTACCTGTGAAGTGAGGTCTTTTAAATTTTTTGTCTTTTGATTTTTGTCTTAAATTGCATCGATATTAGATGTGTGGACATTCTTCTGAAATATCTTAAGGATCAGACCTTGATTAACTGTGTTATTTTAGTAGATCTTTAATGCTTCTGAGTTATTTATACGGACAGCTCGAAATCTGAACGACTCCCATTGGAAAACCAGAATGATCTCTTTCATGGATCTCTCCCATATTTTTATTTATCTTCTTTAATGTTTTATACATACAAAAATATGTAGAACATGTGTTAGTTATTAAGCATACTTATAAAATGGAAATTTGTAAATCCGTCACTCAATCCAAGAGTGAACTCATTTCCAAATTACAATGGAAACCCATGTGCCTATGGGCTTCTCATCCTCTCCAAAGGAATTCACATCCTTCATTAATTCTTTTGCTAAAACAAAAGCAAAACAAAGGAAAAATATTATTTTATTATTTAAAGCAAAAAAAATTTTCTGTAACTTTTAAAGTTTTCCTTGCTTTTTAAGAGCTTTATCAAAATGGTGTTACGCTGTGTGCGTTTTTGATATTTGTATATTTTTACTCAGTGTGTTTCAAAGATCTGCCCATGTTGTGTGGGGCTGTAGTTTATTCACTTTTGCTGCTAACATTCCTTTCTGCGAATACATCACAATATACTGTATTACTTGATACTTGTCAATTGTTGTGCTGTTTCTCACGTTTGCACTTGATGTATATGATATACATTACATTTTTTGGGGAGTCTGGTACATTTAGCAGAATAATTTGAGATGAAACTGTTATCAAGTAAACGGCGTTTTTAAAAAATGAAAACAAGCAATCAGTTTCTGCTCCAAAAGAGGGAGAACCTATAAGATACCTGAGTAAAATGGTATAAAATAAAAAGTTTGGTGCATTGTCAATGTGGGTATAAAGCAAAGACTCCAATTAATTTTTGTCTACATGATTTTATTTCAAGGTTGAAAAAATAAGTTTGACTTGTGTATGTAAAATATAATCATTGAAGAAATACAAATCACCTCCTTTGTCCATGTGGTCAAGTTAGAGCGTAAAGACAACCTAAATTTTTGTTCCTTTTTTTTCCCTAAATATTAAGCTATATAATGATACATCTCCCACTTCACTGTTTAAAATAACTTAATACGATTGATTTCCTACTACTTCAGGAAAACACAAACATTTAAAAAATTCACAAATAAAAATCATTTTAGTAAAAAAAAAACACACAAAAACAAATCCTACAACCCCTACAACAACCTATATACATTTAAAAATTCTATAGACCTCTTTATGTTCTTGGGGACAAATAAACAGGCATATTTATTACTAATACTAAAAATACATTGGGTAGTATTTGAAGATTTTATATTAGCACTAGCCTTTTAAAAATCAGCTCTAAATTTTTGTCTTACAAGTATGTATTAAAAATTCTGAAATCAAGTATAATGAAATTATATATCAATATTCCTTTGCATTTAACTCCAGAGTGGATCTGCAGGAATCAAGACCAACCTCATGCAGAGAACTTAAGAAATATTTAAAAATTAGTAGACTGGACTTTAATTCTTCATGTGTAGTGCCTAATTTTTAAATAATACATTTTAAGATTCTAATAAATTTATTTCACTGTTAAATCTAGGAACATCCAAAACTGAAACTCTTTATTTAAAAATCAAGCTGAATTTCAGTTAAACAAAACCATCCCATCATATGAATAACTTTCTTAGGTAAAACAAGGTTTATTTTCTTTCTATACAACTGACTCTGAATTGAGCTAGAAATTTCCAAGGAGGAAAATGATCTAGGAAACAACTTTAGAAAAAAAGGGCTAAGTTTCCGTTATGATAGCTTTTGACTTGTTTTCAGCTCTTAAAAAATTATTTACGAACGATGGATACACGTTCTAATGCAGAAGTATTTTAGAATTAGAGAGTAAAAGAAACCTACTACCTTCCTTTACATCAGGTCCCTTCTACCATCCTACCCGATTGTTTGAGACAACCACTTCTTATCTCGACAATTCACAACTCTTTTATTAGCTATCTTAAAAAAATTTATTACTGGCATCAATTAGCCTGAGTCATGAAACCGGACCACATTAAGGGCGACACATGGTCCAATCACTGTTTGTAAAAGTCCACGTATTTCAAACTCCTCTCTCCTGCCACTGCTGGGCTGTTTCCCTCTTTGAGGACCTGGTCTCCGCAGCATTTATTCATTAGATGGCAGTCCTAGGGGAGTCTCGCTTTGGGGAAACCTCTCCTCCTGCACATTCAAGAAAACAACCGCGGAGACTTAGGGTCGGTACTGGTTTCCAGTCACTTACGTAGCAAACGAAGCAAGAGGAACGTGCCTGGGAGGACCCGAGACAGGTGCGGGTGGGTTTCCGCAGTAGCCGCTGATCCCGAGTGCATGCGGCGTGTTCCCGGGTCGGGACCGCGGCCAAGGGAGGCTTCCCGGCCCCAGCCTCCACCCCCTCCTCGGCGCCCCGGGACCCGGACACGCCCCCCGAGCTTCGGAGACCCGCAGCGTGCACGCGCCCCGGCCGCTCCCCGCAGCCGCCCACGTGGTGGAGCCCTGAGCTGCGCGAGGCCGCGGAGAGCGCTCAGGGCGGGCGGCTGGTCCGGGAGGCCACGCCAGCGCGACCCAGCCGAGTCGGCCCCCAGCCCGGGCCCCCACATTTCCTCCCCCGGAGGGAGGGAGGCGACTCTCCGCGGGCTGCCCTCCCCAGCGCCCGCCGCGCCCTCTGGCGGCCGCCGCGGGGACGCGCCCGGGGCACGCGGCGCTGCCTGTCTGGGCCCCCCTTCCGGGGCGCGGGGCCCGCGAGGGGCGGCGGGGTCCTCTCTCCTCGAGCCACTCTGGGCCGAGCCACACGGGCCGCGCCCTTCCCCCTCCGCTCCCCCTGAGCCCCCAAACTCCGGGCTCCACGGTCGCAACGCCGCGGGCACCCCAGCCTGGCGTGAAAGTGCCCGGCGTAGTAGCCTGGGGGGGGGGTCCCCTTTCTCCCAGGTGCGCCCCTTCCGCCACGTTCGGGCTTTCCAGTACGCAGCGAAAAAAATGCCGCATGCACGCATTTATTTATTTTGCAACAGCTGCAAGAAACAATGAAGCTTTTCAAGAACCGGGGAAACGCGCTTTCCAGCCGCGCTGTTGTTGTTTTCAATGAACCTCTCCCAGCCCCGCACTCCCCGCCCACCCCTCCCCTCTCCTGCCCACCCCTCCCCTGCCTAGCCTTTCCCTGGCTACCCACCCCTGCCCCGCCGAGACCGGACCGGCGGCGGGGGCATTGTTTTTGGAGTCGGGCGGGAGGGGAGGGCGCGTGCGGGGTGGCCGGCGCAGTGCGGTGGGGGCGGGAGCGGGTGGGCACGCGCGCGTGTCTCTGTGTGCGCGCGGGAGGCGGTGGGGCGGGAGATGGGGGCGGCGCCTCGCAGTCTCGCGCCCCACGCCCGGGCTCCGCTCCGCACGTCTTGGGGAACCGGGCTCCGGTTTTTTGCGCGCGCCGGCCTGGGCCGGGCCCTCGGCGCGCCGCTGCTGCGGCGGTGGCCGCTCGAGTGTGCGAGCGGGCGCGTGTGCGCGGGCCAGGGCGCGCGCGCGCGCGCGAGCCCCCAGTGTGTGGCAGCGGCGGCGGCGGCGCGGCGAGGCTGGGGCTCTTGTTTACCAGCATTAACTCCGCTGAGCGGAAAAAAAAAGGGAAAAAACCCGAGGAGGAGCGAGCGCACCAGGCGAACTCGAGAGAGGCGGGAGAGCGAGAGGGACGCCGCCAGCGAGCCTGCCCACGGCCGGCGCTCGCAGACCCTCGGCCCCGCTCCCCGGATCCCCCCGCGCCCTCCACGCCCCTCCCGCGCGGGGGCAGCTCCACGGCGCGCCTCGCCTCGGCTGTGACCTTCAGCGAGCCGGAGCCCCCGCGCAGAGCAGGCGGCGGCGGGCGGGGGCCGGGCGGGGGCCGGCGCGGGGCGGGCGGCGGCGCAGAGCCGGGCGGCGCGGCGGGAGTGCTGAGCGCGGCGCGGCCGGCCCGCCGCTTTGTGTGTGTCCTGGATTTGGGAAGGAGCTCGCCGCGGCGGCGGCGGCGCTGAGGGAGGAGGCGGCGGCGAGCGGAGCCAGGAGGAGGAGGAGGAGGGGGAGCCGCTCATTCATTTTGACTCCGCGTTTCTGCCCCTCGCCGGCCTCGCCTGTGACCCGGACTTCGGGGCGATCTTGCGAACTGCGTCGCGCCCTCCCGCGGCGGAAGCTCGGGCGTCCGGCCGCCTCCCGCGCGGCCAGGGCCGGGCTTGTTTTTCCTCGCCTAGGCAGATTTGGGCTTTGCCCCCTTTCTTTGCAGTTTTCCCCCCTTCCTGCCTCTCCGGGTTTGAAAATGGAGGCCGACGACGCCGACAGCCCGCCCCGGCGCGCCTCGGGTTCCCGACTCCGCCGAGCCCTGGGCCGCTGCTGCCGGCGCTGAGGGGCCGCCCCGCGCCGCCCGCCCCGTCCGCGCACCCGGAGGGCCCCGGCGGCGCCGCCTTCGGAGTATTGTTTCCTTCGCCCTTGTTTTTGGAGGGGGAGCGAAGACTGAGTTTGAGACTTGTTTCCTTTCATTTCCTTTTTTTCTTTTCTTTTCTTTTTTTTTTTTTTTTTTTTTTTTGAGAAAGGGGAATTTCATCCCAAATAAAAGGAATGAAGTCTGGCTCCGGAGGAGGGTCCCCGACCTCGCTGTGGGGGCTCCTGTTTCTCTCCGCCGCGCTCTCGCTCTGGCCGACGAGTGGAGAAAGTGAGTATGTGCCCGCCGCCCGCGGCCACTGCGGGAACTTTTCCTCCGAGGGGCTGCGCCCTGTTTGCGAAACCCGAGTTGCCACCGTCGCAGCTGTCGGGCCCCCGGGCTCGGGAGCGGCGGGGTGGGGCGCAGGGCGGCTCTGCCGGGAGGGAGGCTGCAGCGGACCCGGGACCCGGGCTCGTTCGTCTGGAGCCCCGCGGGCCCTGGCTCCGCGCATCCCCGCGCGGGAAGGGCTTTTCTCTTTCTCCGTCCTGACAGCCCAGCCGTGTTTCCCGGCTAGGCGCGAGGACTCGGTAGGGAAGTTGGTGCCGGGGCGGGCTCCGCGGTTCCCGGGCCCCGCGACCCGCACCTCGCCCCTTCCATGCGCAAGAGCCTCTCCGCACACAGCGCTGATCCCCTGCGGCGCGCAGGCAGCAGCGACAGCACCCTGGGCCGCACCGCGTCTCCGCTGCTGGGGCTGACCGGGCAGTGGGGAGCGGGCAGCCGCCCGGCCCGCGGGGTGCGAGTTGCCCTCGAGGGGGGAGGTGCCCTGCGGAGAGGCCCCGAAGCCCCAGGACACGTCTCCAAGCGCCCGTCGCTGCCTCCCGTCGCCCAACGTGCTTTTGCCCCTCGGGCTCCTCGGGTTCCTGGCCTTGCCCGTCACTTTGGCCCGCTCCTCGTTGGGTTACCTGCCCCCGGCGTCCCGGGGCTGGGCGGTGGGGTGAGGGGAAGCGCTCTCTGGGCAGCCCCCCGGGAAGTGCGAGGCCGGGAGTCTTCCTCAGCTTGTCTCTTCCGGGGAGCGCCACTGGGTCCCCAGTTCAGAGGGCTCTGGGATGGTCTCCCAGTTTCTCCCGGGCCGGGGGATGGAGGGGTACTAGGGCCGCATCCGAGTGTGCGTTGGTGGGTGTGTGGTCGGAGCCGACGTGCATTCCGACACACGTGCTCGCAGCGCGGGGTGTAGTCGCCGCCTCACGGGGACACCTAGACGCCCGTCCCTGGCGAGAGGTGTCGTACGCTGTGGTTTCAGCGCCAGGGTCTGCGGCGGCGCGGGGAGGGTGTTGTGTTTTGCGAGCGCGGAGCCCTGGCCTTGGTTTTGTTGTGGTCGGCGTCGTGTCGCCCTCTCTTCTGCCGCCCCGCACTTCCTTTGTACGTAGTTAATAAGCAGTGTCGCTCCACATTCGCTGTCTTTTGCAATCTGATAGCTTTTGTTTTGGTGGTGTCGGGTGGGGGTTAGTAGGGAAGCGCGGGGATGCGGGGAGCGAGAACTCCCCCCGGTGTCTACGGCCGGAGGAGGTGGGGGTTTTATTCTTCTGAAAAAGTTGAAAGTGTGGCTTACTGGTACATTCAAGATGGTAGGGTAATTTGAACACGATTAAAAGTTTAAATGTCGCAGAACTGGGACTGGGAACGGTGAGGGCGTGTTGGTGAGTAATGGTTGCCGAGGGTATGCAGGTGGTGCCGATTAACTTTGAAAAAATCACGACTGAGCCTTCACGAGTGAGGCGGGGAAGGAGGAGGCAGCGGAGGTTGTATGGCCCCATCACCGGGGCAATTCAGAAAGGCTGTTTCTATAAACAAATCCTTAAACGTCTGGTAAGAAATGAGTCCGCGACGGAACGAGAGCAGATCGTGGTTCGCGTGTTTACTGCCGAGTGGGACGCGGACTGGGGCCGGACCTTCCACAGATCTGGGCTCTCCTGCTCTTTGTTTTCTAAACTTTCAGCGGACTCGATTGGGCGAAAGCCTTCCGGCTCCCTTTACTAAGTCGTTTAGGTGGTGGCTGGGGGGACAAAGGAGGGTTTTTATCTTTAAAAGATAAGTACGGTTTAGAAGACACGGGAGAAATAATCCATTTTGTTATGTTATGCAGTTGAACTGTATAGCTTCTCTAGTTTTGTGTTTTTAATGTTCTGAAATTCAAAACAGCAGGGATGGCCTTCGCCGACGCAGGAGTCGGGCATTTTAAAATAGGCTGTTTTTCTTTTGGAGCGTTCTTCTTGAAGGATATTCTTTGTGCAAGACGGCGATTTTTGAGAACACAGGCAGGAGGGAGGGGGTGTTTTAATGTATGTTTTTACTCCATGATACCAAAGCTTCCCCCCAGGATCCCTTTACAGTGGTTAGTTCCTGGAAACCTGATGGGTGGTCAGAAGGCACCCCAAATCTCGATTATGGTTTGCTGAAGTCTTGACTGACTCAGTACCTGCCCCTCCCTCCATCTCTGAAATGTGGAGAATTAAAAGCTATGCCTGTGAACGGGCGTTCAGTTTTTAGCCGGGAAGGTGCTAGACCACTTAACTCTGATAGAAATAAGCTGCTGAGCCCTATCAGGGAGGGCGTTCTTTCAGCTGTTGTCTGGTGGAGAAATAAAGACAGGGTGTTGGTTCAGTTGCAGGTATTTTGCTGGCGTATTGAGAGATTAGAGTTTCCTCTTTGAGTGTGATGGCAGTAGAAAGAGTGTTGTTTATCTTAGAAAACTTAGTTTCTGAAGCAGAGGCAGTCATATGGATGTGTTTGTTTTGTATCACCATAATGTGAACAGAGCATCTAAATGAAGGCGGTTCGGAGGTTCTGAGTGATAGCCAGATAATCTGAGGGCTATTTTGTTTTTAAAAAGTCAGCATGCACTTTAAATTTATTGTACCCATCTCCTTAAAAGGATTCAGTCATCTTTCTACCCCAGGCATCCTGTTGTCACAGAAATGTAGGTATGTGAAATGTTGGTGTTTAAAGAAGTTAGTGTTTTATTACCAGAAGGAGAACCCAGAAAAAGAACTTCTGAAAGAACCTAAACAGCAAATTATAGTTTAGATCCTCTGGAGAGACATAGCAAGCAAATGGTGTTTTGTGGAAGGGTGGGGTTTGTGTCAGGATTTGAAATGTAAAAGGTCATAATGTTTGATTTGTCGAAAAAGATTAGAAAAGTTCAACTCTAAGAAATATGCTAAGGTTGAATAGATGAAGCTTAAAAATATCACAAAAAGTGAAAGAAGTCAGTCACAAAAGACCACATATCGTATGATCCGGTTTATGTGAAATGTCTAGAATAAACAAATCCATAGAGGCAGAAGGTAGATGAGTGGTTGCCAGGGGCTGGGGGCGGATGGAATGGGGAGTGACTGCTGGTGGGCACAGGGTTTCTTTTTGGGGTGATGAAAATTGTTCTAAAATTAGTTTGTGGCGATGGCTGCATAGCTCTAAATATACTTAAAACCATTGGATTATGTACTTTAAATCGGGGACTTTAATGGTATGTGAATTATATCTCAATAAACCCTTTTTTTTTTTTTTAAAGAAATGTGATCAGGTTGAAAATAACTTGTTATGCTACCTTAAATTACGTTAAAATTATTACATACATTTGACAGGCTGATGTCTCTCTCTCTTTTCATTTATGAGTTTTTCAGATCCGTGAGTTGCAGCAATACAACAAACTGATAATTGAAGCTTAGCAACAGGGATTCAATCCCGCAGTAGAAATGGGCAAGCAGGAGAAAAAGAATCTTGGTTCTATGTAGCTTCAGTTAGGGATTGAGGAGCTGGATTTAAAAAACACAAATGCTGGTGGAGGGCAGATTTTTGACAATAGAAACCTCAGCTGAATCTGAAATGATGGTTTTTTTCAGGATAGAGTTTAGGAGCTGAGTCTGAAGGGCTGTTTGTATTTCCAGTTTTATTATGTTTTCCAACAAAGAAAGACATTGCTGTTTTAAGATGTTTTAAACACTCATTTTTTGATATGCCACATTGACCACAAGTGGTAGTAAGGACTGAGGATGAACAGAACAGTTCATTTTAATGCAGTATTGTTGTTTCTTTTCTTTGCAGTTTTATTTTATTTCTTACATAGTTCCAGGGTCTGAGCAGGAGAAAGAATCTTTAGGATGCAGTAGTTTTAGGATACACTGTTTCAAGTATACAGTGATTTTTATAAAATTAAAATTCCTTACAGAACGAAAGGTTTTAAAATGTGGCAAAGGCATTTTTGTTTTGAAACTGTGTGCATTTATCCAGATTTACCCTGGCCTTTCAATAGGAAAAGACCTAGAGAATAATTGTTGTTTACATTTGCTTTTGGTCTTTGTCTAAGGCTTAGTTTACTAATAAAAATGTTTCCTGCCCTTCCTATTGTTGCAAGATCAGGGCAGTAATGAAAATCAACTGTATCATTTTCACTTGTTGCCTTAGAGTTTTTGCCAAGAGGAACCCTCAAGGGACGGTGGTTTCCTTTTAAATCTGGTTTCATTTGTTTTGTAAGAATGTGCTGTAAGAAGCAACTGAATCCAGCCTGCACTTATTGTGCACCTACTGTATGAAAGCTGACCTTGTGCTACTCAGTGCATGAACCTGCAGAGTCTTGCATGAAACCACCTTTCTTGAAATTCAGATTTTTTTTCAGACTCAGTATAGGGTGCAGTTTTCAAGTAGACAGTAGTTAGCATTTTAAAGGTTCTTTTAAAAATATTTCTGTAGACTTAGGACTCTAGTGTTGTTCATCAGAAGCCTTTACCCTATACCTTTTTTGCCTCATTGGTGCTTTCCGTTATATTGGGATGTCACTGTAGACTGTGACATACAGGTGATGTTAACCCATCTTGACTGGCGGCACTGTCTTCTTTATAACATTGGATATGGCAATTGTGATTTACAAACTGCAGTGTTGTAGTTGCCTTTTTCCAAAAATTAGGAGTCACAGGTGTGTACATGAACGTTGCATAGCATGTTTTGAGTTGTAAGAAAGATGGAACTTATTTCAGAAGTTTTCTGGATTACATATTGCTTAGTTAGCTTTCTAGAAATCAGGAAGCATTCATAATTTCAGGGCATTTTATAATTTGTAAATAACTTGGTGTTTTTAAAAGCGTGAGGGAGTAAGAGTGAGGAGACAAATCCTGAAAGTTTTTGTTTTTTAATTGTAAAGCATACAAGATACATTTCTTTATAGGTTGTGATTTTCCCCAATTTGTTTTCAAAACTCATTTAAAAATCAGACCTAGTTCATGGAAGAGGTATTTGCGCCTGTGGGCGAACTTGATTTGAACTGCTTTTCTTAGCCAGCTTAGGACAGGTGCTGAGTCCAGGGGATGAGCTCTTCTCAATTGTACTAAATATATAATAGTTGCACACATGTTACGGATATAGTTTCTTGATTTCCAGTCTGAGATGTTCTGAAGGAAAATTCTGAACACTTTAGAGACAACAAAGTGCCTAATGAGTGATGCACTCTGATCCCTCCTGGAAAATGGTGTTTGGCATCAGCTTAGCAAGAGGAGGTTTTCCAGTTATTTGTAAAGATGTGATGTGGCTTTAAGTGGGGATGGGGGAGGGTAGCAGCCCCAGTGTTTGTGGACATTGAGACCTGTTGACATTTGGGAAGCATAACTGAGTTCCACTATTTGAAAAGATTAAAACTTTGATATATGTACACATCCCCTCATGCCTGCACCCCCATCCCCGAGGGTCTGGAAAAGAATTGATTTGTTCTGAGGAAGGAACATATATTTGGAATATAAAATGGTTAGTAAACAAAGGATCTTTAAAACAAGTTAGATTGTTATCTCAAGAGAAGCATACTTCCTCGGCATGATGTTTTCTTTTGTTAAATTGCTTTGGTTTTATTTGACTCAAAGTATTAACAATACCTTTGATTTTGAGACTTTTGGACTTTTGAAGACTAAGTTTTTAAATGGTCAATTTTACTCGTTTGAAAGTCCCAGATACCATTTTTGAAGATTTCTCTCCCTTTTTTTCCACTGATGCCGGCTTTACTTATGTTTTATTTTCAAATCTTAAGGAAAAACTGATATTTCCTTACTTGAACTGAGAAATAGTCGTTTTCCCTCCCTCTTTTCTTCCACAGTAAATACATGTTGAGTACTTACTGGATGCAGTTCTTTAGGTTTAGAAATTATTTGATACTGTAAAATGTCTTACCATAAGTTTTTAAAGATACCCGTCAAACTATAGATGTTACTGCCATGTTTATTAAAAAAAAAAATAAAACGAAACAAACTAGTAAGCAAGCTTAAAATTTTTCTTTTTCCTGCCCTGGACTACAGATTTTTTTTTCTTTTTTTTTTTTGAGACAGGGTCTCTGGTCACCTAGGCTGGAATGCAGTGGTGTGATCACGGCTTGATTCTGCCTTGACCTCCCAGGCTCCAGTGATCCTCCCAAGTAGGTGGGACTACAGGCACACACCACCATGCCTGGCTAATTTTTTGTATTTTTAGTACAGACGAGGTTTTGCTATGTTGCTCAGGTTGGACTCAAGCGATCCACTCACCTCGGCCTCCCGGAGGGCTGGGATCACAGGTGCGAGCCACCGCCCCCAGCCTACAAGAATTTGTAAACTCATAGATTGCTCTTCTGTTTTCACTGGACCACAACAGAAAGTAGTTTCTTTTATGGTGAGGGATGAACACCTACGATTGCAATATAAGTTGTTGGGCCTTGTGTCCATGGAGCTCACTTGGTGGTTGGTGGTCTTGAAGCATTCACATTCTTTGGAGTAGTGGGGCGGCTGGCTAGTCACATGGGGAAGATGTGCACACCTGTGGATGGGGCCATCACACACTGCAGCGATAGCTGGGCCTACCTTACTGCTCACCTGGCTGGGCACAGCGGCTCCTGCCTGTAACCCCAGCACTTTGGGAGGCCAAGGTGGGCAGATCACTTGAGGTCAGAAGTTCAAGACCAGCCTGGCCAACATGGTGCACCCCCTTTCTACTAAAAATACCAGAATTAACCGGGCGTGGTGGCCCGTGCCTATAATCCCAGCTACGTGAGAGGCTGAGGCAGGAGAATTGCTGAAACCCAGGAGGCAGAGGTTGCAGTGAGCCAAGATGATGCCACTGCACTCCAGCCTGGGTGACAGAGCGAGACTCCATCACACACACAAAATACATATATAAAAATAAATTGCTCACCTGGTAATAGTCTGGAAAACATTTTTTTTTTGTTTTTTTGCATATTTTAAAGACTTTAGAAAGTAGTCTTGCTAATCCAGAAAGTTCTTGCGGGGAGGAGTTTGAAACTTTGTTTTATCTCACTCCTCAGTCTTAGCCCCCTTAATACCATAGGTCTCTACTTCAGTAAGAGTTACATAATACGAATGCCGTTTGTTCAGAATTGTGTATCTCCATCCATCCGTCCATCGTCCAAATTCTGCGAGTTTGAAATACATTGTTGTTGCTGTTTTGTATACTTTTGTTCAACCATTTTCTTTTTAACATGGCACTAGCTTTCTCAAACTGGCTTTGGAATTATTTGTCAGTTTAAAAATAAATACCACTTTAAAAATTACTCTTGACATGGGAGAACAAATATATTTTGATAGTTGTTAGAGCATAAATATTTTATAGAGCATAACTTGAAATTTTTCCTGATACATTGTGATTGCTTTCAGCTTGTCCTCTGCTGTAAAAAATATAGTCGTGGTTAGTCTCTGTAAAGTTGGTTATTGGGAATATGTGCTTGATTACGTAAATGAGACATCACCAATTTAAGTCAGCCAAAGTTTAGTCAATAGAACTTTAAAGAACAGAAGTCTAATGGTAATTAGGGAGAGATGAATTTATTTGTAGGAGTTTTCCCCAAATTCAAAGCGTCTTAGTGACCTTTGATAACTTCCTGGAAAAAGTAGGAAGCATGGAGAGAAATTCCAGGTAGGAGCCCATGATCCAATTGACTGCATCAGCTTACAAAGTGTTTTCTAAGTCATTAGCTATTAATTCTGTCTAGATTGTAAAATCCCTCTCAGTTGTGTCCACATTTATCTGTGTTGTCCTGTATTTATTCTCTTTACCTAATTTCCCTGAGTCTCATTTTAGTGGGATAATACACAAGCTTACAGACTCAGGACTTTAAAGAGAAGCACAGATTGCCACGAAAACAAATGAACACAGAGACCAGTAGCAGCAGAGGGAGATCTGCTGTGAGGCTTCCCTTAGTTCTGTTGTCTGATTTCTGTGGATAATGAGTTCACTGCATATGTTAGGTCACAACATGATATCGTGTAGTCGTAGGTACAGAACTTTTGTTATGGTAGCCTTTCTTCGTCAGGTGATACAATTGGGATTTTCTTTCTCACATGCACCTCAGTAAAATTTTCAGCAACAGAGATTGGCTCAGGATGGAATTTGTTCAGTTTCAGTTCTGCAGCCTGTCCTTTTCTGGGGAGACTCATTAATTGAATGTTGCCTTTCGATCTCACTGAGTCACTTGAAATCGCTCAGATTGACCCCTATTCCGGGATCCAGCCTGGTCCAGTGCAGACCTGCATTGACTCTGACTACATGCTGAGTTGGCCTCTGAACCAGTTCCTGTACCATTCCCTTAGTCTGATGGACTTGCCAGCTCCAAATACTCAGAACGTGCCTCTTGTGGTCCTAGGATCAAGTCCAGGGTCCTTAGAATCAAGTAATGAAACAGGTCCTTAGTAATCCTGTGCTGTAGGGATCCACTGTTAGTTCCTGGTACTCCCCAGCATCTGTGCATTAGCTTGATGGAAAGGAAGCTGTGTTATGCCTGTCTTCAAGTTTTTGCTTCTGCTGTTTCCATAGCTGAGAATGTTTTTCCTCTTCACTACTCTGCTACTTCTCCTTCCATCCTCAATACTGAATAGCAGAAAGTGCCGCTTAAGAACACAGGAAGGTCACCATAGCTTTAGTTTCTCCTTAGCTGCCAATTAGTTCTTTGGTCCTAAAGTTATTAACTTTTCTGAGTCTTGATAGAAATGCGGAGACTTAAAAATATTTGGGGGAGACATTTCTCCTTTTCTCACTAAACAACAGAATGAAAACCTTTTCTAACAGGTTTAGAAAACCAAAGTCAGAAAAATTGTGAGGAAATAGAATAGGTTTTTTAAATTGAAATAATTTCCAAGTTCCAGGTGGATCTGTAAAATAGGGACAAGATCATAACTTTCAAAAGGCAGCACGCTAAGTCAGGTGATTCCTTTCCCCCATATGCCTTTTCTGTGGTTTGAATAGGTCAGAGATGCCATCTTTACATTTCCAAGTCAAATTCCTCTTCCTTCTTGAAGGTTTTTGGGATTTCCCTAACTTGTATAGATCTACTTTCCCATTACTCCTTTTGAGTTCATAACCCACGGTTTTGCTGGTTGACAGTGATTTGTCTTGTTCCTTGCTTGTAATTTTATTAGGACCATGGAGCCAAAGTGGCTGGTTTGAATCTCAGCTCTTCAGTAGCTAAGCTCTCAGGCAAATAATTTAATCTTCTTGTGCCTCAGTTTCCTCATCTGTGAAATTATAATTTTAATAGAATCTACTTTAAACATTCATAGAAATCAAATTCGTACACATGTCAAGTGCCTAGAATAGAACCTGGCACCTGGTATTAAGCCCTTGGACTTCAACTGCTACTGTTCTTAGGGTTGTGACATCCTCGAACAGAGATGTTCTTTGGATAGAAATATAAGGCTTACTTGATGTTTGATTGTCCTTGCCATTTAAATATGTTATAGAACCTGGCACATAGGTGCTCAATAAATGTATAATAAAACTTTATTTTGCTAAGGTGTTTATTAACAAGATGGCATGTTGCTTATTAAACAGTTGTGATTTTTTTTTTCAGTAAACGATGGTCATCCCCCTGCAGTTTGCCTTCCATTTCAGAGATCTGTTTATTACACTTTCTCCCTTAATATTGTCATTTGTCAATTTCTGCTCACACCTGAGAGGTGTCCAGTGTGCACTTTGCCCATCTCGCCTATGCATAGGCTCCATCTAGTGGCCAGAAGGGAAATTCAGCATATTAGGTGACTGAATTAATAGTGCCCCAAGGAGGAAGATAGCGATCCCAACCCACTCTCTGGCTTGCTTCCTGGGGACTGATTGCAAGAAAATGTGGATACTACAGACTTCTGTAGAAATCACTGGGCTACAGTTTTGGATTAAGGTTACTCTACTGTGTCAGTGCGAGCTGTCCTGAGAGAATTAGGGTCTTCCTAAGTGATGCAGACAGGCGCACTGCAACTCCATGGCAGAGCTGTTAACACCTAGTGTGTCTTTTACAGTTAGAGTTTTAAGATAATTTTACAGGACTTTAATAAATTTAAAGCTCCAAAATATTTGAGATTAGAGATTAAAAAAACACTACTGATTTCATTTGGAAAAATACAGCAAGATTTACCTTCCATTGCTCTATTTAAACAGGTAGTAACACTTTCATTCTCTTCTCTCTCCCCTTTGGCTATTCTATGTGGTTAAGATGCTCGCCAGCCAGAAATACTCACAGAGAATAAGAATAAATACATCCAGTGTTGTGTTAGGTCCCACACCGTCTATATTTCGCTAGCTAATTTTATGTATTTTGTTTCATGTTTTATTGATATTTTCAGAATCTTTCTTGCTGAGATTACACAAAATATATAGCTGGTTATTCAGTTTTACGTGTCAAAAGCCTTAAACCTGTTTCCCCATGATTGCCTTTTATTATTTTTAATTCGGAAATCTTTGTTTGGCTGTCTGAGAGAGAACTTCAGCCTCCCTTCCTCCCAGACATTTTGAACAGTTCAGGCTGTACTCATTCGTGTCTCTTTGTCTTGGCAGGTGGAAGCCCCTCTGCTTGGAATAGCAAACAATACTACCAGCTTGCCCTCTGGCAAGCTCCTTTAAGAGTTAGCTGTAATTTCACCCTCTCTCTGGCCTTGATTCTGCATGCAGAATGATTGCACTGACTTGAGCTCCTGTGGTCTCTTGCTATACCTCCTATTTGGGCATCTCCCCCATATTGCTTTCCCCCACCATTGGGGAGGGGAATGGTACCTTGGTTATCTTTGAATTCCCAGGAGGTGGCCCAGTGCCTGGTGCATAGGAGGAGCTGAAGAAACGGAAGACTTCTTAAAGGGATACTCGCCATTCACTTTGAAGCACTTCTTTGTACAACAAATTTATTTTCATCTGATCATTGCACCTCTGCTAGCCAAAACATTTTATCACACCAGTTACTGCTGCATGGAACTTGAAAGCAATAAAATTATCTTTAAAATCATTGTTTGATTAGGCTTTTTGCACATTGAGGTGAATAAAAAAAATTAGAACTCCTGGAAGGGTAATTTGTGAGTCTGGCCTTGTGTCAAGATCACCTCATCCCTGTGGATGGAGACTTTGTTCCATAAGTTCCCTATAGATAAGATGTAATGAATAATTCATTGGCACCGATTTATGTCTGTAGTGTGCTTTTAAACCCTCTTGGAGCTGGGTTCCTGAGGAGGAAGCATCTGCAGGCTGGACTCGGCTGCCTGGTGGTCTCCGGAGTGGCCTGGTGCAGAGGGCCAGGGTGGCATCTCAGAAAGTTGGGTGGGTAGGGTACTTGCACACCTGCTGACCTTGAGTTACAGGGTGGACCTAGGTCATTTCACAGGCCCTTCCAGCCTTCAGATCTCAAGATACTAGGCAGAGAGAGAGATGGAGATTTGAGGGAGATGTGGTTGGAACAAGCAGAATCACCACGTATGGAAGTTGGCTTCTATTTTTTGCATTGTTTTCTTGGTGAGGCCAGTAAGCTTTTGCCTCACTCCTGGGAGGGACAGTAGCAAGGTCTTACAGGTCTCTCTATCATTGAAGCACCCTCTCCAACCCTGCCGGTTTTGGTTGCTGGTGAAGGCCTTTGACAGTGTCCTGGTAGGGCGACGGTGAGGCCAGCTCCCGACCTCTGGACAGAAGAAAGCTTACTTGTCTAGGTTGGTGTCAAGGGGACTCCTGAACTTAATGAACACCTTAGAAATTATCCTTAAAGTCTCCTCTTCCGAGGAGTGGGGTGGGATATTTCTTGCAGAAAATGTAAACATAATCATTTGAAGCTGGAATGTTAATATTCAAGAGTAGCTTGTAAAAAAGCATCTTGTGAAATTCTCATGTGAATGCTGAACCGGCTGGATGTGAACTTAGCTGGACAGCCTGGCCTGTCTTTGCTCTGCTCTTCTCCGTGCGGTTTGCATATGTGCAGGGCTTCCTTTGAAGCCTTGTCCCCTCAAACAATTCACTGTCTCCCTCTCTCCCACGCATGGAGGCATGTTGGAAAGGGAGCTCCAGGCCTCAGTGTCTCTGCCTGTGATTGGAATAACACTGCTCTAGCAGGGATGCCAATGAGAATTAGCAATAGATAATGTATCCAAGCTGCCCAGCAAACCTGGCAAATAGAAAGCATCCAATAAATGGATGCTTTTCTCTTTTTTTCTCCTCCTCATGGTGGGTGGCCCTGGTGGGCTCTCTCTGGGGCCTCCAGTCCTCCTTCCCCACAACACTGGGGAATTGCTGCCAGTTGAATAGGGCCCTTTTTTTTTTTTTTTTTTTTTTTTTTGAGACAGTCTTGCTCTGTTGCCCAGGCTGGAGTGCAGTGGTGCAATCTCCGCTCACTGCAACCTCTGCCTTACTGCAACCTCTTCCTCCCAGGTTCAAACAATTCTTGTGGATCAGCTTCCCAAGAAGCTGGGATTACAGGCGTGTGCCACCACGCCTGGCTAATTTTTTTTTTTTCTAGTAGAGACGGGGTTTAGGCATGTTGGTCAGGCTGGTCTCAAACTCCTGGCCTCAAGCAATCCACCGACCTCGGCCTCCCATAGTGCTGGGATTACAGATGTGAGCCACTGTGGCTGGCCAAGGAGGGTCTTTTTTTGCACATCTACAGTGAAAGGTTTGAACCCGGACGTCTGAGTCTCAGGTCAGTTGTTGAAACCACTAAGTAACCACCTTGCTTCTCTGTGCCTGAAGAGAATGGGTTTTTAGGTTAACCAGGCTGACTGGTTCAAGGTCATGTCCCTATCTGTGGAAGGGGAGTGGGAGTGGAAGGTGAGTGGTGACAGAGTATGGAACCCTGTTTCTGATATCTAGATTATTTGAGGGCCTCCAGTGGTCTCTGCTCCATGGAAAGCATATGAAAGAATATGATTTTTTTTTTTTACTCGAGCTTGTTGTCTAGTTGGGAAAACTCAACTACTGGTGGAGAGTAACAGATGCTATGAGTTTAGTGCTAAGTTATGGGATGCTGACCGGAGAGAAGTATGTGGGCTGCAGGCAGTGGGGTCACGGAACTGCAGAATGGCTTGAGAAGCTTTAAGGAGGATGTCTGACTTTAGTGTGCCCTAAATATTTGACTCTCAAGATCCAAGGAGGCAGCTCCCCAGGAGAGGAAGGGACCATGTGTGGTGTGGGTGGCAGTGTGCACTGATGGAGTGGAGAGGGTGTCAGAATCCGGTGTTTGTGTGGTGGGAAGGAATTGACTGCTGGCTAGAGAATGAGGAGCGCTGAAACCTTTGCACCATTGCAGTGGACCCGCTGAGAAGGGTGTTCTGGGGAGGCTGCTCTGGTCTCTCGATGGAGTCAGGATTGGGGGACAGATAGACACCCCGGTGTGAGCCAGTGATGGTATAGATGAGGGAGGCAGTGAGGACAGGCTCAGGGAGGGAAGTCTTGTCTCTAGACCTGAGACCAGGAAGCAGGAATGGACTGGACAGGTTGGCCCAGCTGAGGGAGGTGACTGGTGAGATGGGTCCTCGGTGTGAGGGGCTGGGTTGCCAGAGGAGCTGTGGGCTGGGGTGGTTTGTCGAGAGAGCAGTCCCAGTTGATGGAGAGGCAGGACCCGCAAAACAGGTTGGCTGCAGGACTGGGGGCGGTAGCACAGGGCAGCTCCCGAGGAGACACCTGGCACTTTTAAGGCATGGAATGGAGAGAGCTAGGGGAGAGCACACCTGCAGTGAGGCAATTCACATAGCAAAGTTCTCCGGAAACTGCAGTGTTCAACTTTTTTAAAGAATAGCTGGATGTTAGAAAAGTGGAGGAACTGTCACCTTTATTAGGGGCATCATGGATACCTGGTAGCATCAAGGGCTAGGGTTAAAACCCGTGGAGTAATACGCCCTCCTATTGTGTTCCTCTCCTCTAAAAATGAAGGTGAAACTGTTTCAGGTGAGCGCTGTTGTTGTTCGTTTGCTGGGGCACTGCTTTCTGATTTTTAGAGGAGTCCAGGCTGGAGACTGACCCCTGCCTTTTTCTGAGTTGGGCCGGCTGGGCCCGAGGCTGGTTCTGGGCTGGGCCAGGCTGATGCAGTGGCCTTGGGCTTCCCGAGGCTGGGAGAGGGCGGTGGCCCCCGCTACCCTGAAGAGCTGGCCAACGCGGCAGGGCTCTTTCCAGTCCTTACCATGCAAGTGAAGAGGAACAGTTTGTTTAAAGAGGGGTGCCAGCTTCACATCCAGGCCTGGACTTTGCTACTGGTGCTTTTGAACTTGTGTTGATTTATGTTTGTAAATTGACTGGACACATTGTGGTTCTTGATGAGAAGCAATTGCCCATCCTTAGCCCACGATTAGTGCCACTCTCTGGGTGCTGCCTGTTCTGCCACTGTAACTGTTTTCACTTGACAAATAACATTAAAAAACACAGTTCTGCAAGAGACTTCCTGGGAGGGTGGTATCATTTGGCCTGTGGGCTTTTGTAACACTTTCCTGCTATTAGGAGAGTGAATTCTGAATTTTCAATCACGTTCACCTGTTGGAGCAAGTAGAGTTTCAGACGGTCTCCGCTTTTCTCGACTAGAAAGCAGGCCTTCTCCCTTTTCCCCCCAGTCTTGTTTCATGACACCATTCCCCTCTGAGATGAGGGTTGGAGAATTAGAAGTCTACTGATGCATTGTACCGGGGCACGTTATTGACCCTCTCTGCTCTCCTTTCCTCATCTGTAAAATGGAAGATAATGCCACCCATCAGGCCGAGTGCGGTGGCTCATGCCTGTAATCCCAGCACTTTGGGAGGCCGAGGTGAGCGGATCACCTGAAATCAGGAGTTCGAGACCAGCCTGGCTAACATGGTGAAACCCTGTCTCTACTAAAAATATAAAAATTAGCCAGGCACAGTGGCATGCACCTGTAATCCCAGCTACTCAGGAGGCTGAGGCAGGAGAATCACTTGAACCTGGGAGGTGGAGGTTGGAGGTTGGAGGTTGGAGGTTGGAGGTTGCAGTGAGCCAAGATCGCGCCACTGCACTCCAGCCTGGGCGAGAGTGAGACTCCATGTCAAAAAAAAAAAAAAAAAAGTGTCACCCATCTTGGAGGATCGTTACCAATACTTCATGAGTGAATACATACACATTTCTTAGAACCTAGGGTTTATAAACACTAGGAGTTAGCTGATACTATTGTTGCTAAGGATAGAGGAAATACGCATTAGAAGTTATTTACTTCCTTTAAAAAAAAAAATACCCTTTGGGTGTGTATTGATTCTGATGTTTTGCTCCTAGCTACATTTGCCGTTTTTTTTTGACTGCAGAATTAGGAACCAGCTTCATTTTTTTTTTTTTTTTTGGATGGAATCTCGCTCTGTCGTCCAGGCTGGAGTGTGGTGGCGCAATCTTGGCTCACTGCAAGCTCCACCTCCCGGGTTCACGCCATTCTCCTGCCTCAGCCTCCCCAGCAGCTGGGACTACAGGCGTCCGCTGCCACACTAATTTTTGTATTTTTAGTAGAGATGGGGTTTCACCGTGTTAGCCAGGATGGTCTTGATCTCCTGACCTTGTGATCCGCCCACCTCGGCCTCCCAAAGTGCTGGGATTAAAGGCGTGAGCCACCGCGCCCGGCAGGAACCCAGCTTCATTTCTTGTAAAGAGAGTTTGACAAGCGCTCCACTGGGGATAGCAGCACAGCTTCCTCCTTTTCTGTCCCTGTCTCCCTCCTGACTCTGCATCTGCCTCCGTTTGAAGCATCCTCCTCCAGTAAGTGGGTCATTTGGATTCCAAGGCCCTTTTGAGGCCATGGTGATGGATCATTTGCGTTATCAATGTGAACTGTGGATGTCCCTTCGCCCTTCAGTCTCTTCCTTCTTCAAGGAGGGGGAGGTAATTGGGGGTCATGTGGCCTGGGGAAGAGCCTGGTCACGAGCATGAGGGATGTGAGTGGGACTATGTTTCCAGCCAAAATTTAGGGCACAGGATCTGAAAAACACTTAGATTAAGTATCTGCAACACAAATTAGGGTATTTTAAATTGAATGTGGAGAACCCTGAGAACCTGTGCCCTTTGTGCGTGGATGGCTGCTTGCAAGGATGAGCATCCCCAGCTGGAGCGGCCCATGGCTGCCAGAACAGGAGAAGGCTTCAGTCAGGTGGGAAGCCAGCTGCAGTGTGTTGCCTGATGCAGGATGGTGCGAGAAGGAGCTGCTCTCTTGCTCTGCTCCCTGGATCGCACAAGGTCTTCCTGAGACCAGAATTCAAGGTTAGTCCTGTTTAGGCAACTTGGTAGATGGACTTGAATGGTCTTGCTAAGCGAATATTGCCTATGGTGGTATTTGCAAGGAAAACAAAAGTGTTTTGAGCCCAGACTAACCAATTTAACAATGCTAGTAGGTAAGGATACTACTGTTTGCTTTCTGTGATGAGAGGTCTCTTAGGAGGAGGGGTTAATTCTTTTGATTTAAAACTTACTACTTGAGGCAAATAGGCACATGAAAAGATGTTGAAAGTCACTAGTCATTGGTGAAATGTAAGTCAGACCCACAATTGGTACTTCATACTCATTAGTATGGCTATTACCAAAAACACCAGATGATAGCAAGCATAGGCCAGGATGTGGAGATGTTGGAACCCTTGTGCCTTACTGGTGAGACTGTTAAAATGGCACAGCCTTTTTTTTTTTTAACAGGAAGATGATATGGTGCTTCCTCAATAAATTCATCATAGAATTGCCATATGATCCAGCAATTCCACTTTGGGGTATATGCCCAAAAAGAAGTGAAAGCAGGGGCTCGAACAGATATTTGTACACCCATGTTCATGGCAGCAAATAATTCAAAATAGCCAAAAAGTGAAAGCAACTCAAGGGTCCATCCATAGACGGGTGGATAAACAAAATGTGGTCTATCCATACAATGGAATATCATTGAGCCTTAAAAAGGAAGGAAATTCTATGATGTGCTACAATGTCTGTGAACCTTGAAGACACTCTGCGAAGTGAAAGAAGCCAGTCATGAAAGGACAAACAGTGCATAATTGTTACCCTTACGTGAGCTATGTAGAGTAGTCACATTCATAGAGACGGAAAGTAGAATGGTGAGGGGCGGTGAATAGAGGCTGGGGGGAGGGAGCAATGAGGAATTGGTGTTTAATGGGTACAGAGTTTCAGTTTGGGAACATGTAAAAGTTCTAGAGGTGGATGGTTACGGTGGTTGAGCAACATTGTGAATCAGTGTCAGTGAACTATACACTTAACAAGGGTTAAAATGTTAAATTCTTTGTTGTGTATATTTTACCACAATTTTAAAAAGCTTATTTCTCAATTGTTTATGCGAGTATATGTGTGGAATAGTTGGGGAGACAAATTCAAGGAGACCAGTCCTTGTCCATGGCGGTCCTAGGTACCACGGGATCACTGCGGGGGAACTGTGAGGTCAGGAGAGGCCTTGAAAAAAAACGCAGGTTTGAGCTGAGTCAGATGGAATGGGTCTGTTTTCTATATCAAGAGACAGTATTGCAGATAATTTTTTTCTTTCAAGGAAAGCAAGTCAGGAGTCAAACTCATGCCACCGTAGTCACAAATGAAATTTATTGCTAATCAGCCATGTGACGTGTAATTGCTTTTTCATTTTCTTATTTTTCCAGAAGAGAGATTTGTTTAGATGTTTGATTCCCTCACTGATTATGATTATACTGGAAGTTTTTCATTTGTTTTGACAGCTCAATTTTTTTTTTATTGTAAATGGACTGCCTCATTACAGAGGGGGGAGCCCTTGAAAGAAAGGGATTGACCTCTGCAGGCAAGAATCTGAGCATCCTAAAAGTAGAAAAGGGCTAGAGGCTTCGCCTTACAGGCCAGGAAGCTTGGAGGGACGCGCTGCTAGAGACCATGGCACGCATGCTGTGTGTCGAAGGCCAGGTCCGCCTGTCTGCCTCTCCAGCAGATACTCTCTGGGGCTATTTTTTTCTGCTTGGTTGTCATCCTTTGGTTTAACCAGGCGCCAGGGCTCAGGCCTGGACCTGCTGGATTCCAAAGAAGACTTCGAGGTGGCCGAGCTTGTCTGGCTTCCAGAGGAGCTTTCTCTGTCCCGCCCGGGGGAGTGGCTCACCTTGGTCTGAGACCAATGGGAGGAAGCCTGCTGCGGGCAACTGGTCTGTGCCTGGAAGTTGGACTTGCATTTTCTCTGGACCTCCAAAGCAAACCCGAATGACCACTCTCATCCTCCCCTTTTGCTTGTTTGTGTATGTGCTTGTTTTGCCTGGTCGTCAGGCAGGAGGTGGTGTCAGATGATGAGAGGTGTTGCTCGTCCCTGGGTTGGTTCTCTTACGGGGCTGTATGGATGTCTTAGCTCAGACTGCTGTGACAGGTTACTATAGACTGAGGGCTAAAACCACAGACTTATGTTTCTCACAGTTCTGGAGGCTGGAAGTCTGAGATCAAGGTGCCGACCAAATTTGGTTTCTGTTAAGGGTCCATTTCTTGGCTTGCAGATGACAAATGTCATGTGTCCTCACAGGGTGGAGAGAGCAAGGGGCTCTGGTCTCTTCCTCTTTATGTAAGGGCATTGTTGCCATTATGGGGGCTCTACCCTCAGGACCTCATCTAAACCTGATTACCTCCCTAAGGCCCCACCTTCAGATACCACTGAAGGTATCTGGGGGTTGGGGCTTCAGTATATGAATTGGAGGGGACACAGTCATGCAGTTCAGAACAGTGGAGCAGTGTGCCATAGTGAAGGGATCTCCAGACCAGGATTCTCTATGGAAGTTCTTGGCCAGGTCTGAGAGTTGGTTACAGATCATTAAAATTTACATGGAATCCAGTACTTGAAAGTACATGTCTTCAGGATGGCGCTGAGCACATTCGCCTCTGTAACCAAATGCCTGAAATGTGTAGTGCACCTTCTGAGCACCCCAGTGCTTTCCTTAAAGTGAATGCAGTTTGAGAGGAACTCAATTATTGAGAAATTTTATATGACCCCATTTCTCTCATTTTAGGACAGATAAGTTGCTTATTTTAAACTCTGCAGGAGCTACATAGAGGAAGTTATACTCCAGGAGAGCTTAAATTTCACTCTCTGAAAACTCTGTTCCATGTAAGTACATTCCTCCTCTCTCCCCTCCTCAGTGAGCACGTACCCATCAGATGTGTGGAATTCTATTAAAAGCAGCTCCTCGTGACCCTCCAGGGTCTGTTTTGTAAAGCTGACACCAGCATCAGTGAGTTGGAAGGGGCTGCCACAGAAGACAGACTTACTGCTGCAGCCCGCTTCAGAGCCCTCAGTAGTACTTTTTCCTCTCCCAGCAAATCCAGGAGGCTGGGAAGGTGATTGTTAATTGTTTATGAGCATTAACTGTTTACCAGTCATACTTACTATTTTAAATCTGACCCTGCCATTATGTTGTTTTGTTTCTGTTCACAGCTGAGCTTTAAGCTGGGTAGAATTTCGTGATGAGTCACTCCTATGACTGTAAAATCAGTATCGATCAAGCCTTCCTGTTCATCCTGTGAGCAGTTTAGAGACAGATGAGACAGGCTTATGGTTTCCACTGGCTCGGCTCCGTGCGTGTGCGGATTGGGCTTCCTGAGAGCCTGGTTAGCCCCTTTTATCTGCTCTCTGAAACCTGCGCAAGGGTGTTTAGCATGCACCTTGAAACCTCTGCTGCCTGAAGACAGTGTGCTTAAATGAAGGGTATACAAACCCATGTGAGGTTTTCTCTTCCCTTTTCCATGAACTCCACCCCAATTACCTGTTTGAATTTTGCATGCCAGTTATTTTCAGGGAACTAGTGACCCTTTTCTTGCCACCCTGGGCTTTGAATTGAAGGCCAGTGTGCCACCTTTTCTTTGGCTTTGTTAGAACGTTGCCCTCAGGGTCATATGTGCTGGCTGCTATGAATTCTTACTGCTTGATGGACAGAGAAAGGTGAGGGTTAGATATCTGGACAGGGCATGACAGGGCGGGTCATCGAGTAGGAACATTGGGACCTTTTGCTTCCAGGCTTGAGCAGTGGGTGAGAAACACTGTCTTCCCATTAGGGCAGTGGGTGAAACACTGACTTCCCTCCATCCTCTGGGCAGCCTTGTCAGGTGGGTGTGGAAGCTGAGGTGTGTCTGCCCCAGGCTGTGCAGTCAGCCCCGTGTTCTAGCTTCCCGTGCCGAACCTGGCCCTGGAGGCTGTCTGCCTGGCAAGGGGGCTGCACAAAGCTCGGAGGGGCATTTCTGGTGCTTGGTAGATGGTAGGCCTGCCCCCAGTGCACTGATAAGAGCATGGGCTGAGAGTGCCACTTGGATTCGGCTACAGTGGGCGGCAGAGTGGGGGTGACTGGTGTTGCTTTTACTCTAGAGCAGAGGAGGCAGATGAGGTAGATCGGGGCCCCAGGGATGCTGAGCTGAGCTGGGTAGAGAGAATTTGGTTTTGTAGGATTTGGAGACAGAGACAAATTTGGAGTGTTTGGATGTTCGGGGACCTGCAGGAGGTATGTGAGGTGTGTAAAATGCAGCCCCTGTTTTAAAAAGAGCTTACATTGTCTCTTGAGAAGATAAGGTGTGCCCAGCTGTGGAATGGAACCAGATGCTTTTATGAGTGAGGATGGAGTGAGCACACTGGGAAAGAGCCCTGGAATTGGAGGAAGAGATCATTTTGCCCAGAGGGATCTTGGAGGTCTCCTGGAGGAGGGTACTTAGATGATCAGAAGGATTATACTAGACTTGATGGGGTGGTCTTGGCATCAGAACTTTAAAAATGTATTTTGGGGCTGGAAGCAAGGCTGGAGAGGAAGGTTTGTTTAAGTTGTAGTGGGGGATGAGGCTGGGGGCAAATCAGGGATGGTTTTCCAGGTCTGTAAAGGCTGGGGTAAGAGGAATGGTTGGTTCTTAAGAGCAAAAAAAATCCCTTACATATTGGTTCTCTTATTTGTGCTAAGTTAAATACATGGGAGGCTACTGGTGTTTATGAAATAACCCTGAGCCTTTTTGGGGAGGTAGTAGTGGATGTCTGATGGAAGAGATAGAAGACTGGTCCCAGGGGTTCTTAGTGGCACCTTCCTCTCAGGTCATCACTGTGCTTTTGCACATTGCAGTTATATTTGACTACATTTGATTATGGCAGATTTACTTAGAAGGGCACTGGAAAAAAGCCTCCCAAATTACAACTGACACAGGAAATGACTTTATTTTCTTCTATTTTTTTTCTTTGCTTTTCTCCCCCAATCAACATACATTTTTAAACCTGTCATCTCACATGACCTGCCGGTAGAATTGATATGTTTAATTTCTGTAGAAAATAACTGGAAATATTTCACAAGCTCCAGTAGCTTCCTGTTGTAGGGACCCTTAGGACTTTGGAATGAGAAGTTTTCTATTGAGTTGTCATATTTGGAAGGATAAAGGTGCCCTCTTTTCCCTCGATCCACATAGTAGACTCCTGTGTGCGGGCATTTGTTTGGTGTCTCACGTTGATGCAAATGCAGCCATTGCAGAGTGAGCCCCGCTCTGTTACTGGATCTCCATTTGCTCAAAAGAGAGCAGTGTCCCCCTCCAAATCTGCATGTCTGAAAGCATTCATGCAGGTTCATTGCATGGGTCTTTGCATTTTACTTAGACTTAGCAAAAATCAGGTATAGTCTTTCCTGAAAACAAAAGTGACCATTGTTTTTAATCAACTGCAGGGTGTTTGGAGTTGTGAAATATTTAGGGTCCCGAGTCCATTCCAGATTCAACATTGGGAAAGAATGAGAAAGCTGAAGCCTGGGGCAGGCTCTGTCTGCAGAAACCATGGGCTATCACCCCCTCTCCTTAGCAGCATTGTAAACAAACGTCATTTGTAAGGAGCATGTCCCAACTGAGCTTGTAATTATAGGGGCAAGATTTGTGTGGTGGTAGGGGCATGGAGCTGGAGACTGGGGGCTTCCTTATTGGTTCATTTATCCTGGCCCTTCTCTTTTCTCTCAAGTCTCAGCTCTTTTAAGATTCAGAAAATAATGCAAAATGCCTAAGATTTCTGAAATTCCTGGCTTCAGAGACTTGACTACATAAAAGAGCCAGGATTTTCAGGCTGGCCATTTCAGGATCAGCCATTTCCCACTTCCTGATTCATAGCTTCCAGGATTTGTAATGCCTGTAGACTTTTTTCTCTTTTGCTTAAAAGTGGCCATTGAAAGAAAAAATAAATAGCAAAATCCCCATCCCAGAAGTTCTACTTCCTGTTGTTGTACTATTGAGCTCTGAAAAACAGCTTTGTAAGTTTAGGCTCTTGTTTGGACTATTTCAGTGGAATTCTTGAGATCTTTTTGTTTGGACAGGCAAGTATGAAGGCGATAAGTCGAAAGAACTACAGCTTACTCAGCACAGAAATGCAGAGGCTCAAATTTAAGTTCTTCCTTAGCTTTATGGTGTGTATATTAATATAATCCAAGCAATAGTGAGTTGCTTAGCCAGGGTGCACAGACATTTTCCACAATGCCAGTTGTTTCCCTCATAATGTTTAATGTTTATTTTTAAAGGACATATTTGGGCACACGTTTCATTTTTGCCTGTAAAAGAATTGGGAATATTTATGATTCTTGCAACAAAGGAGAAGGATCCAAAGTAACCAAGAAAATGATGGACTGGCAGCCTTCACATTTTCCCACAACTCTTTTCATGAAATAAAATGTAGATAAGGCTGGGTGCCATGGCTCACGCCTGTAATCCCAGCACTTTGGGAGGCCGAGGCGGGCGGATCACCTGTGGTCGGGAGTTTGAGACCAGCCTGGCGAGCACGGCGAAACCCCGTCTCTACGAAAAATACAATACAAAAATTAGCCGCGTGTGGTGGTGTGCGCCTGTAGTCCCAGCTACTCGGGAGGCTGAGGTGGGAGAATCACTTGAACCTGGGAGGCAGAGGTTGCAGCGAGACAAGATGGCGCCATTGCACTCCAGCCTGAGTGACAGAGCAAGACTCCATCTCAAAAAAAAAAAAAAAAAAAAAGTGTAGGTTAGCAAAAGTGCCTACAGTTCAAATGCTTCCATGCTAAACGTTGTATTTCTTCCGGTCTCATTTGTGATGAGAGTCATAAGATTTTGAGAAATACAAAAACCTTTCCAGCTTTATAGGATGATAATGGCTTGGCCACTCAAGTAGTTCTGATTGGGTTAACTAATTTTGGTCCAGTAATCATTTCATTTGGGGTGAATGGATTTTTCCCCCCTAAATACGGGTACCTGGAAAGTTGAAGCAGTGAATCTGGTGAAACTTAATCAGTGATTTCGTAAGGGTTAACAAATGTTTCTGGGTGGGATTCCTAATGTCCAGCTTCCTCTGTGTAGCTCAGTAAGTCTTCTTTGGAGACACTAGCCTGCATTGTAAGACTGTCACATGGGAGCATCTTTTTATTTTATTTTACTTTTTTTTAAAAAAATGAGGTCTTTATTATCCTGGCTGGAGTGCAGTGGTGTGATCATGGCTCACTGTAACCTTGAACTCCTGGGCTCAAGTGATCCTCTTGCCTCAACCTCCCAAGTAGTTGGGCTGATAGACATGAGCTACTGTGCCACGTAGCATTCTTGGGGATTATTGTAGGGTCCTTTTGGACCACACATGGTTTTATACTCTGTAGCTGATTGATGTACTGGCATGTCAGTGACATTGTGTGTATCATTACACTATTTGGTTAATTGATGTACTGGTGGAATAGCCATCTTCTGGAGGCTCTTGTTTGCATACTTCTCTTAGTGGCGGACTAGCGGTTGTACAGTAAATAGATGATCATTCTCGCTCTGTTTTACCTTTCCTCAGCTGCTCTTCTAGTAGGAAAATAACAGCCCTCTTAGCTGTAGTCTTCTGGAGGCTCTCTCAATAATAGAAGTGGAAAGAAAAGACTCAAATCCCTGGGCAGTGACTTTTTAGTTGTTTCATTTGCTTTTAAGGCAGAAACACCTTTAACTCTTAGTAGCCTTACAGATCATTTTTGAAAACACCTGTGCTTGCCTTGAATGGGGCGGTGACCACTGGATCCCCCCATGCTGGGTACATGTTTTGCAGTCACAGACACTGCTGGCCTCACCTTTGGTGGTGAAGGAATGTTTCCAATTTCTGCTGATGGTGTAGTGCTCTTGGGAGCTGGGTGCTCTGAATGAGCAGATGGGCATCTGCTTTTTTAAGCGTGCTGTTCATTCTGCAAAATAGTTATTGTGCAAATACCTGATAAGCACCAGGTCTGTGCCAGGCGCTGTATTTTGTATTTTGCATGTCTGAGGCCAGCATCTTTTTCCCTGTTCCTTTTTCTCCTCATCCAGTGAACTTTCCACTGTGGTTGTAGTTTGTCTGAAAAAGATTTGGAAAAAATGTACAGCCATGTTTCTCTTGTCTAGAGAAGCTGTCTTAAGGACTTCGACAAGTTTCATTGGCAGAGTGAATGAGTGGTGGCCTCTGAATAGTTGAAATGTTAATGCTATCTATAGGTTCTAGAGAATCTGTGTCTTTAAAAGTCATAGCGATAAAGTCTCAGCTTTTTGAGAGAGTGGGTTTCAGACATATTTTAAAATACTACTATACAGGAAATCTGATTGTTGCATTGAAACAGGATTTGTTATCACATCACGGTTAGACATACCCAAAAGGCAAAAACTACAGTGGTCATGATGGCTTTACATAAGATTTTGGAGGAGAAACTGTTAGCTCCATGAAAGCAGGAACTGTGTTCACTCTTGAATGCCTGCTACCTGCACATGGTGAATGTTCTATAAATGTATATTAAAGAAATGGAGGTCCTTAGAGTTCCAAGATCACC
Source organism: Homo sapiens (assembly GCF_000001405.40). Classification (NCBI taxonomy): domain Eukaryota; kingdom Metazoa; phylum Chordata; class Mammalia; order Primates; family Hominidae; genus Homo; species Homo sapiens. Next base: position 98,674,392 of record NC_000015.10, read on the forward strand.
GTCAATATCATCACCCTAGGCTTCCTCGTCCTTCCAGTTACTTCTTTTCCAGAAGAGTCCATTGCCTCCTTTATATGAGGTCTACAGAGCGCGTTCAGAGGGCTCTTATCATTGATTCAGCAATCACGTGTACACATAGCACTAGAATGACTTCACATATTTGACCTGTTTAAAAATAACGTGCAGCTATGACGAACAGCGAACCTTTGATTAGGGACACATTTGCCTGCCGCCAGACACTACAAGTATTATGTGTATTGCTTTTTTCAAATTATAATAGTAATAGATGATTATGAGAAGAAAATTAGAAAATAAGTTTTCTGTCTCTCTATAAAAGGAAAATAAAAATTATCCTTAATCTCAAGGTAACCATTGTTAATATTTTGTTGTGTTTTCCTGAGATTTTCCCCCTAGACTTATATGTGTATCTATATATTTAAAAAAATGAAATTAGTAGTATACTATGTACACACATATTGTGAATTTCTGCCCATAACATTATATCTTTATCACCTGGAATGAGGTCTTTAATGAAATTATTAAAATTAAAATTATTCTATAAATGCTAAATTTAGGTATTTTACAATTTTTTTTTTTTTTTTTTTTTTTTGAGACAAAGTCTTGCTCTGTTGCCCAGGCTGGAGTGGACTGCAGTGGTGCAATCTCAGCTCACTTCAACCTCTGCCTCCCAGGTTAAAGCAATTATTCTGCCTCAGCCTCCCGAGTATTTGGGACTACAAGTGCATGCCACCATGCCTGGCAAATTTTTGTATTTTTAGTAGAAACGGGGTTTCACCATGTTGGCCAGGCTGGTCTCAAACTCCTGACCTCAAATGATCTGCCCACCTTGGTCTCCCAGAGTGCTGGGATTACAGGTGTGAGCCACTGTGCCTGGCCCATTTTATAATTTTGATCATTAAAAAATGATGTGATAAAATTATTGTGTATTGTTGTTGATACACTACTCTGATTAATTCTTTGGGCTAGATTCCTAAAAGTGGAAAGTAAGGAATAAGAATTGTGTAAGTGTGCATGATCCTAGATAAATATTGCCAAAATATTTTGCAGAAAATTCTTAGTTTCAGCTTCCAGAAGCAGTGTCTGTCATCCATACTCCACCAGAATTGAACACTAAATTGAGCTTTGCAATTTTAGCATTTAAAAAGTTGTATCATTTAATATAGAATAGCAGTCTCTTCATTATGATCTTCCCTTGCCTAGTAAGTTTATACTCAAGTCAAAATCGGTTAATCATGCATATTGATTCCTTGTTTATCTTTTTCTTTTAATTCTTTAATACTTCTAGAATGTATTTGTAGTTAAGTGAAGTAAGATACCTCCTCCTGTTGACGATTTAGTTTCCCCACATTGTGCTGTTTTTTTTCTTCACTGGATTATGTAACAATATCTTTTCTTTTTTTTCTTTCTTTCTTTCTTTTTTTTTTTTTTTTTTTGAGAGAGTCTCGCTCTGTTGCTCAGGCTGGAGTGCAGAGGTGTGATCTCTGTTCAAAGCAGCCTCCCCCTCCCCAGTCCAAGTGATTCTACTGCCTCAGCCTCTTAAGTAGCTGGGATTACAGGCGTGCGCCACCACGCCTGGCTATTTTTTTATTGTATTTTTAGTAGAGATGGGGTTTCCACATGTTGGCCTGGCTGGTGTTGAACTCCCGGCCTCAGGTGATCCGCCCACCTCACCTTCCCAAAGTGTTGGGATTACAGACGTGAGCCACTGCGCCCAGCCTAGAGACTCTATTTTATTAGTGTTTTTTGTAGACAAAGTCTCACTCTGTTGCCCAAGCTGGAGTGCAGTGGCGCCATCTCGGCTCCCTGCAACCTCCACCTCCCGGGTTCAAGCAATTCTGCCTCAACCTCTCGAGTAGCTGGGACTACAGGCATGTGCCACCATGCCCGGCTAATTTTTGTATTTTTAGTAGAAATGGGGTTTCACTATGTTGGCCAGGCTGGTCTTGAAATCCTGACCTTGCGATCCGCCTGCCTCGACCTCCCAAAGTGCTAGGATTACAGGCGTGAGCCACCGCTCCTGGCCGAGACTCTATTTTAAAGCTGTCTTCTCCCACTGATTTGCCTTTTGTTTGTGGTAAAATCATTTTGTCTTAAACACTGTAGCTTCATTATACATGTTAACATCTGCTAGGAAGAATCTCCACTCAGGTTAAAAAAAAAAAAATTTGAAGCACCATTATTTCAGGTGAACTTTGTGTGTGTGTATGTTGTTTTGTTTTTGCAATTCTTCTCCGCTACTCTTCCAAAAAAGAAAACACAAATTCATTAGGTTTTGATTGTTAATAAATCAGTTTGGGAGAAAACATTTCCAGATATTTGAATTACTCATTCAAGGACATTTCGTGTTTCTCCATTTACTCAACTATTATCTATCTATGAAGAAATCACAGAAGGTCATAGAGGTTGTATACTTTTCCTTTTGGGTTATTTCTGGTTAATGAATGCTTTTTGTTGCTAATGTAGAAGGAATCTTTATTCCCCATTGTTTATTTTATATTTTTAAATTTTTTTTCAATTAAAAAAAATTTTTTTTTCATTCCTGAGACAGGGTCTCGCTCCGTTACCCAGGCTGGAGTGCAGTGGTGCGGTCATGACTCACTGCAGCCTTCAGCTCCTAGGCTCAAGTAATCCTCCACCTCAGCCTCCTGAGTAGCTGGGACTACTGGTATGCGCCACCATGCCTGGCTAAGTTTTTTCTTTTTCTTTTAGGGGCAGGATCTTGCTGTGTTGCCCAGGCTGGTCTCAAACTCATGACCTCAAGTGATCCTCCCACCTTCACCTCCCAAAGTGCTGGCATTGCAGGCGTGAGCCACCATGCCTGACCTTCCTTGTTTCTTTTAGGTGATTATTGGTTGTGTGTGAGGAAAGCTCTGGTATTTTCTGTACTTATCTTGTACCTACCCAATTTGTTGATTGCTCTTATTCGTTATAATAGTCTTTCAGTTGACTCTTCCTAATTTTTTTGTGCCGAGAATCATTGATGACAAATAAGGATAATTTGGTCTCCATTTTTCTGGTACATAATACGTCTTTACTTACCATCAGTTGTGTGTCACTTAGGAATATAAATGGCTGAAAATAACTGAAAGCCTGCCTAATAAGGGAGTAGGCCGACAGGGGCTGACTTTTCTCAAGTTCAGGCAGTCTGGAGGGAAGGAGTCTGTGGCTGCTGTGAGGTGCTCAAAGAGGGTGTGAGGACTGGGCTCCTGGCTTCTGTTTGTTCATCCTTAGCCTGTGGCTTTTGTCCTCGTGAACACAAGATGACCTCCAGGAATTATGTCTGTTTCAGGCAGGAAGAAGTTGAGAAGGAATGAAGACAAAAGGCAAAAAAGGCAGAATGACAGGTCAGCAAGCGCTGCTCAGCCAGTAGGCCCTGCTTCTCCTTGGCCAGAACTGAGTTGCATGCAGCTGGCTAGAAGGTGGGAGATGAATGTGGGTATGGCTAGTGGGTTGGGCATGGGGGTTGGGCCAACCAAGCATGGTTGGTCATAGGGTCTTGCTGCATTAGCCTGCACATCCAGAATTGTTACATGTTGATTACAGGCATATTTGTCCTTTTTTGTCTATATTAATGATAATGCCTCTGTTTCTCAATGTGTAAGGCATCTTTTGGTTTAAGAGGTTTTCATCATGTTGAAGAATTGCCTGTCTTGTTTTCTTGGGTGATTTATTAAGGATGGGTGTTGAATGTCATCAGATGTCATTTTGGCATTCATTTGGATTCAGAAGTGGTTGTTACACCTATTAATTGAGGTAGGAATAGATTACCTAGTAGTAATCCCTCCTCAAATTCCCGTGTTAAACTATTTTTGGTTGCGGTGGGTGGCTGTTTAAATTCCTAATTAAATTTGGTTTGCTAACATATTCAGATTTTTTAATCTCTTATTTTAAATGAGATAGCTTTACAGTTCTCTTTAGATGAGTTCTTTTCCAGATTTTGCTGTCAGGCCTAGACTAGTTTTGTAAAATGAATTAATGACTTTTCCTTTTTACCTTCTCTGTAACAGTTTTTATAGTGTGGCAATAAACTGTCCTTTGAAGGTTTGGAACAACTCACTTGTTAAATGCCTGGAGGCTGACACTTAAAAAAAAAAAAAAAGAATAGTTTTTGTTGTGTTTCTTTTTGTTGTTGGTGTTGTTTTTAGTCTTCAGTGCAGTGGCATAATCTTGGCCCACTTCAGCCTTGACCTCCCAGGCTCAAGCAGTCCTCCCACCTCAGCCTCCCTGGTAGCCGGGACCACAGGTGTTTTGCCGCCACACCCGGCTAATTTTTTATTTTTTTTGTAGTTTTTGTAGAGATGGGGTTTTGCCACGTTGCGCAGGCTGGTCTAGCATTACTGGGCTCAAGTGGTCCACCTGCCTTCGCCTCCCAAGGTGGTGGGATTAACAGGTGTGAGCCACCATGCCTGGCGTAAAAAGATGGTTAGTTTTTGTTTTGTGACAGCTTTAAAAAAGGTCTTCCATGGGTGTTGGTCTGTTCCAGGGTTCTGGTTCTTTCCTCTGATGCTCTTTTTTTTTTTTTTTTTTTTGAAACAGGATCTCGCTCTTGTCCCAGATGGTGTACAGTGGTGTGGTCATGGCTCACTGTAGCCCCAGCCCACTGGGCTCCAGCAAGCCTCCCACCTCAGCCTCTGGAGTAGCTGGGACCCATACCTGGCTAATTTTTAAATGTTTTTTAGAGACAGAGTCTCGCTATGTTCCCATGCTGGTTTTGAACTCCTGGGATCAAGCGACCCTCCTCCCTTGGCCTCCCAAAGTGTTGGGATTACAGGCATGAGCCACCATGCTGGCCTTCTGGTTCTTTTTAAATCAATTTTAGTAATTTAGTAATTTCCAGCAAGTCAATTAAAAATTATAGCTCAGTTGTATGTAGTATTTTCTGTGTGGTGTTATGCCCTCTGTATCTGTTTTCTCAGATGTTTTAGTTGCTTTTCTCTCTTAATCTTGATTAGATCTGCCAGAGCTGTGCTTATTTTGTGTCCCCATCCAAATCCAGAATTAATTGCCGTGCTCCACATGTTTTGGTCAATGGTGGACCTCGTCTGTAACAGTAGTCCCATGAGATTATAATGGGGCTGAAAACAGTGCTGTCCCCTAGGGATATCGTGTCTGTTGTAGTGCAAGGCACTGCTCACGTGTTTGTGTTGATGCTGGTGTAAGCCCACTGTGCTTCCAGTCAGATGAAAGTGCAGCGCATACAATTGTGTGCGGTACCTAATACTTGATAATAAACAACCATGTTACTGGTGTATGTATTTACTATGCTGTACTTTTAATTGTTAGAGTGTACTCCTTATACTTATTAAACACAAAATTAATTGTAAAATAGCCTCAGGCAGGTCCTTCAGGAGGTATCCAGAAGAAGGCATTGTGATCATAGGAGCTGATGGCTCCGCCTGGGTTACTGCCCCTGTAGACTTCCAGTGGGACAGGATATGGAGGTGGAAGACAGTGACATGGATGATCCGGACCCTTTGTAGGTCTAGGCTAACGTGTGTGTTTGTGTCTTAGCTTTTAACAAAAAAGTTTAAAAAGTTAAAAAAAAAAGTTAAAAATAGAAAAAAGCTTATAGAATAAGAATATAAAGAAAATATATACAAGAACCAAAATTTAAGAAAAATAAAGTTTGTAAAAGTAAAAAAAGTTGTGCTTAAGCTAAGTTTAATTTATTATTGAAGAAAGAAATTTTTAAATAAATTTAGTGAGGCCTAGGTATACAGTATTTATAAAGTCTACAGTAGTGTACAGTAATGTCCTCAGCCTTCACATTCACTCACCACTCACTGACTCACCCGAGGGAGCAACTTCCAGTCCTGCAAGCTTTATTCGTGGTGGTACTCCCATATACGTATGTATACTTTTTTTTTTTTTTGAGACAGAGTCTCGCTCTGTCGCCCAGGCTGGAGTGCAGTGGTGCAGTCTCGGCTCACTGCAACCTCCACCTCCCAAGTTCACGCCATTCTCCTGCCTCAGCCTCCCGAGTAGCTGGGACTACAGGCGCCTGCCACCACGCCTGGCTAATTTTTTGTATTTTTAGTGGAGACAGCGTTGCACCGTGTTAGCCAGGATGGTCTCAATCTCCTGACCTCGTGATCCACCCACCTCGGCCTCCCAAAGTGCTGGGATTACAGGCGTGAGCCACCGCGCCTGGCCTTTTGTTTCGTTTTTAAGAGACAGGGTCTAGCTCTGTCACCCAAGCTGGAGTGCAGTGGCGTGATTATAGCTCATTGCAGCCTTGAACTCCTGGGCTCAACTGATTCTGTTGTGTCACCCTCCCCAAGTAGCTAGAACTACAGGCTCATGCCACCACACTTGGCTAATTTTTGTTTTTTAATTTTTTGTAGAAATGGAATCTCACTATGTTGCCTAGGCTGGTCTTGAACTCTTGGTGTCAAGCAAGTGCTTGGCCTCTGAAGTGCTGAGATTATAGGTGTGAGCCTGGCCATATGTACTTTTTTTTTTTTTTTATCCTTCTTACTATATTTTTATTGTACCTTTTCTATGTTTAGGTATGTTTAAATACACACATACTTACCATGGTGTTACAACTGCCTGCAGTATTCAGTGCAGTAATGCACTACAGGTTTGCAGGTTGGTAGCCTAGGAGTAATAGGCTATACTGTATAGCCTAGGTGTGTAGTAGGCTATACCATTGAGGTGTAAGTATACTCTGATCACACAATGATGAAATCACCTAACTGTGCATTTCTTAGAATGCATCCCTGTCATTAAGTGATACGTAACTCTGCTTCTTTAAGCCTCTGTAGCACTTTGGTTATGTTAGGATTCTGTGTCTTTACAAGTCTGCTTTGCTGATCGATTGTGACATCTTGAGGGCGGCTGCACTACTTTCTGCCTGCACCTTGTTTCGCATGTCTACCTGGCGCATGACATACACCTCGTTGTTCAGTTCTTGCTTCTCTGCTTGTGTCTTTGCATTCACCACCAGCTATTCTGATAGTTATCAGGAGGTTTTCATTGATTGCAGTCTCGTGCAATGGGTGCAGGTAATGGGTAGCCTTATGGAGGAGAAAATGCTTACCTATTTGGGTTCATTCCAAGGAGTAGTTCAAGGATAAACCTCTAAGTTTGGGGAGTGCTGTAATTTGCTGGATATGTGAGCCATAGAAGACAGCTTGGATGGCATCTGATGCTTCCTGGCTGCAGGGATGGAGGCAGCAGACCCTCCTGCCTGGGGTGGTTGGTTGCCATCCCTGTCGGGGGCTCATGCTCCACCCTCAAGGCTATTCTTGGGGGAGTTGTGACATGGCTTTCATAAAAACTCAGTGGAATTTTACCCTGTGTATTAGTTAGTAAAGGTGAGTCTGGTTCAGTTGGTTTGAGTCAAAAAATCTGTTAATATCTCTGCTTTAGACCTGCATCAGGCTAATACTTGAATTTAGGGTCTGTCCCTGGTGTCATCTGAATTTTTGTTTGCTATGTGTGACCAAGGAGATGGTCACTCTTCAGGATGGGTGGGTGGAGGGGAGAAATGCTATGATTTCTGTTGGGTCATGTGAAATCAATTTGGAATGTGGATGGGGCCCTTACACTTTTTCTTTTGAGCTTAGTGATTTTCTGTGTAGGGTGGAGAGCGATTAGGAAGGAATTCACCACCCTTAGGTCCTCAGGCATAGGGTCTTCTAGGGGCAGGACTGATGAGTGAACAGCAGGGTGGATGGAGCAGAACCGTTGGAACCTTCAGGGCAGGACCTGCCACCATTATTTGGTCACAGGAAGTGTTCAGTGGTGAACTTGTTGGAAATGATTTTGAGTAACTTCCGTCTCCTAAATCATATTAGGACTCTTTGGTCTCCTATGGTTATCTGAGTTGTTTTCCAGGAGGAGCTGGGAAGGTACCAGGAGAAAGATGACTGTCCCTCTCATGTTTGCTGAGGGTGTTCCTGTAAGGTGAGCTAGTGTTCCTTTTAGGGCCCGTGGAGACCGACCTTCACATTGAAGAAGCATATCTGTGCTCCGAGATGTTTTCATGGGGAGAAGTGTCAGGTGTAATTATAAAAGGAGTCTTTCTCTTTAAATACTGTAGGCGATTTAGAAATAGTGGAGGTTTAATTGAAGAGCTTGTCTACGTTTTTACATTTTCCTTAGGCACAGAGAAACTAGTATCTTTCTCTGGGTTGCCTTTTTTTTTGGAGACAGAATCTTACTCTGTCATCCAGGCTGGAGTGCAGTGGCCTGATCTCGGCTCACTGCAGCCTCTGCCTTCCGAGTTCCAGCAATTCTCCTGCCTCAGCCTTCCAGGTAGCTGGGATTACAGGCACGTGCCACCATGCCTGGCTAATTTTTATATTTTTAGTAGAGATGGGGTTTCACCATGTTGGCCAGGCTGGTCTGGAACTCCTGATTAGGTGATCCACCCGCCTCTGCCTCCCAAAGTGCTAGGATTACAGGCATGAGCCACCACACCTGGCCTGGGTTGCTTTTTAAATTCATACCTACTGTCTTATTTGGGTCTCAAATGTGATCAGTGGTTATACTTTTCTTGCTATGCATTTAAGTTGGAGCAGGCTCCGGGGCACCACTTCCCTCCCTAGAGTTGATGAACCCCTCATATCAGTGACCTCCCCATGTCACAGTGTATCTCGTGTGCACTGCTAGATATTCTGATCACACAGTGCTGAGATTACTGGTTTCTCTCCCTTTCTCTTTCTGTGGTTATAGGGATTCTTTAAGGGCAGGCAACATGTTCTTTGTTTCCATAGGATCTGACAAAGTGCATGGCATAGGTAGGTGTTCATCAAAAGGGGTGGAATAGGGTTGATCTCAAGGGTTTTAAGAGAGATCTGACGAGTTTGGGTGTGTGACTTAAAAAGCAGATACAGCGCCTTTTCACGGATACACCTCCGTGATTCCTCAAGTGGTCTGGCTGTGTTTATTTTAGGATTCTAAAAGTAAAGTGTTCTGTTCTGAGTCTTTCACGATCTGATGTTCTCCAGTTCTGTGAGGTCTCCTCCTTTAGTCCCATCATTGGGGCTGTTTCTGCTCGGAAGGCCAGGAAGTTGCTGGAAGTCTGCTGGGCTTTGCAAAGGGACTTTTGCTTGTGTGGGCATTGCCCAGTTGTGTTACAACTTGTTTACAGCCGTTGGTTTTTAAGGGATGAGGTAATCTTAGCTCAGCTTAGTGTAATACACAACAGTTTTGTTTATTGAGAAAATCATTGTTGAAGTTTTTCAGATGTTAGAGATGTTATGAATTGCAATCAAGTCGGTATCCTCTTATATAAGTGCATCTGACAAGCCCATTTCACAACTACATCTCATCAGTCACAGTTGGATGGCAAGGTTTATTGTTTAAAGTTTTTGTTTTTTCTTTTTTAAGTTGGGAAAGGAAGACAGATGGTTTCAGAAGCCAAGAAAGGGCACAAAGGCGTGGATATTTGGAAATCGGGACATAATTCACCATTCTTCTTAATTTTTTCTGATCTCTAAGACACTGAGACAGCTGTTAATTGAATTGCTTGTTCACAGTATTTGAGACGTAATGAAATGTGAGTGTCCTAATCACCTGGCGGGCGTAGATCTTTGGGATCCTCCTGGAGGCTTAGTAGGGCTGCCCTGAGCAGTATTGTCTTCTCCAGCTGGGCCTCTGAGCTGTACCATGTGCCCGTGCTCAGCCTCAGTCCCTCCCTCAGCCAGTTGTTAAATCACTTTGGACGTGTGACAGCCTCAACATGTCACAGCTTTAAAAGTTCAGATTTTAAAAAGGTAAGGAAATGATCTCCTAGTGAGACAACTTCTGCCTAAAAAATAAAAGCTTCTAAGACATAAATTCTGTGTTATGAACAACTTGCAATTTTCATAGTTTTCAGTTTTAGCTCTGGCAGCCTCTGATAGATCTTAAATATGTTTATCACAGCTGGAAAAATGTTTTATTGTCATCTTTGTTTATCATAATATGCCACCTACTCTGGTTGTGTCTTACAACTGTAGCTCTGTGGGGTTTTTTTTGTTTGTTTTATGCTTGCTAATGGGGGAGGTGGGGGGTGTGGGCGGATGAATATAAATGATACCTAGAAATTGAAATTGGAAAAAAAAATGTATTCAGCCAGTACTCTTTCCAGGTTATAGCTAAACGTCAGTTGGCAACCTCTATGCTGTGGTTTATTGAGTAACACTTAATACTTAGCACAGCCCTCAGTGAAGATCTTTTATGGCCTTTTCTGAATGTTATACAAACATAACTAAAGCTTATCCAGATGAGGACAGGGACCTTTCTTTCCTTCCTTTTTAAATGGAGCAAAATTTGGCCACTGGGTTGCTGTGGATGAGAGAGTAGAAGGAGAAAGGCAGTCATCGGGAGACTGTGTGCTGAGAGAGCGCATGTGGGATTTGGCTTCAGGAAGTCTGGGCTTGCATTCTATCCAGCGCTAATATTTAGTGAGTGTGATTTGGGGCAAATTATTTCGTCTCCCTGAGCTTCAGAATGTTTGAAACTTTGTGAGGAGTCTGACCCCACACTGTAGGCTCCCTCCATGTATATATTTCTTCTTCCTTTTCCTTTTTTTTTTTTTTTTTTTTTTAAATTTTTGAGATAGTGTCTCGCTCTGTAACCCCAGTTGGAATGCAGTGGCATGGTCATGGCTTACTGCAGCCTCAACGTCCCAGGCTCAAGGGATCCTCCTGCCTCAGCCTCCTGAGTAGCTGGGGTCACAGATGTGTGCCATCACGCCTGGCTAATTTTTAACATTTTTTGTAGAGATGGGAGTCTCACTATGTTGCCCAGGCTGCACTCAAACTCCTGGACTCAAGCAGTCCTCTCCCTCCAGCCTCCCAAAGTTCTGGGATTACAGGCATGAGCCACCATGCCCGGCTGGAACTGTTGGCTTTGAAGAAGAATGATGCTGTGCTTGCCTTTGCAGTCCTGTCACCATACTTCCTGGAAAGTGGGTGGACACGCTGGATGGTAGATGTTGAGTTCTTTAGATGCCTGGATGCTTACATGCTTTGTGTGGGTTCTTACTGGGGCTGTAACTTACTAGAGGACAGACTCCAACTTCTGCTTACTTAGTCTGGGGAGGTTAATAATAATCTAGGGCACCCGCTTCCCAGTGGGTTTCCATCAGTCTCCTCCAGCCCACTCTACTCTCTGTTAGCCAGCTGGGCACCTCTTCCTCTGTGTCCCTTCGGTATCTTCCCAGTGGCTCTTTCCACGACTGGCTCAGACCATGTGTATATCTGCTCATTGTCTGTCCAGGGTCCCTCCAAAGATGCCTCTGTGGGCTGGGCCCCTGGTGGTGCTTCCTCCAGATAATTGTTGAAGATGGAACAGGAGTGTGCAAGAACACCAGCGTGCTTCCAGTATTCAGGTCTAGCGGCAGGTCCCAGGCATCAGCGGCTCACCACTCCACCGCAGGTAGCCTGATTGCCCAGCCTTGGAGCCGCAGCCTCCTTGGGTGGTGTGGCAGCTGTCAGTGTCTGAAACCATTTTGAACTTTAAAGGGTGGTGTCAGACAGCAGCTATTGAGGCTACTTAAAAGAATTTTTTTAAATGTACGAGTTCAGTGGCATTAAGTACATTCATATTGTTGTGCAACCATCACCACTGTCCATCTCCAGAACTTGTTCATCTTCCCAAACTGAAACTCCATGTCCATCAAACAACTCCCCATTGCCTTTTTCCCCAAGTCTTTGGCAACCGCCATTCCACTTTCTGTCTGTAAATTTGACTGTCTGGATACCTCATGTAAGTGGACTCGTACACTATTTGTCCTTTTGTGACTGGCCCATTTTATGAGCATAATGTCCTCAAGGTTCATTCAGGCTGTAGCATGTGTCCAGAATCTCCTTCCTTTTTAAGGCCCAATAATATTTAATAATATATGTATGTGTGATAACACATTTATATAATGTCCATTACCATGTGGTATATATGCTTATCCATTTGTCTGTCGATGGACACTTGAGTTGCTCCCCCGCTTTGGCTACTGTGAATAATATGACTGTGATCATGGATATGCAAATATTTCCTTAAGTCTTTCAGTTCTTTTGGGTATATACCCAGAAGTGGAATTGCTGGATCATATGGCAGTTCTATTTTTAATTTTTTGAGGAACCACTGTACTGTTTTCCATGTAGACTGCATAAGAATTCCAATTTTTCCACATCTTGCCAACGTTTATTTTTATTTATTTTTTTAAATTTTTTATAGTAGCTATCCATTCTAATGGATGTGAGGTGGTATCTCATTATGGTTTTGATGGGACTTTTGAGTTTTAGCAAATATCAATGAAGTATTTAATTTTTTTTTTTTTTCTTAGAGACAGGATCTCACATTGTTGTCCAGGCTAGAGTGCAGTGATGTGAGCATAGTTCACTGCAGCCTCAACCTCCTAGGCTCATGTGATGCTCCCACCTACGCTTCCTCAATAGATGGGACTATGTTCCTGCGCCATCACTCCTGGTGAATTTTTAAATTTTTGTAGAGATGCGGTCTTGGTACATTTTCTAGGCTGGTCTGGAAGTCCTGGCCTCAAGCAGTTCTTCCACCTGAACCTCCCAAAGTGCTGGGATTATAGGCGTGAGCCACTGCACCTGGCTTATTTAAATTTTTATGGGTATGAATTCACTTAAAAGCTGAAGGTTTTGAGAGGAGAGGGAGCATGTGAAAAAACCTAAAGGTTTTGGGAGGAGGAGGAGAAGGAAGAGAGGGAGCATGTGAACAAGAGCAACTGATTACTTCCTTGTCATTCATTTGCCCAGTGTTTACTAAGCACCTGCTGTGTCTCAGACCTGTGCTGGTTTGGCCCTTGTGAAGGACAGTAAATACAGTGCAGTTCCAGCTGCGCATGGGATCACAGTCCAGTAGGTAAACGAGTGCCTAAACTTAAGAGAAATGAGTGCAGTTGGGGTCCTGTGGCGGTGAAGGGGCGAGTCTGCACCCAGGCGAGTGTTAAAGGCCTGGCCTAGAGAAGATGGGTGTTTTGATGGAAGGAGCTGCTGGGAAGCATGTGTACTCGGTGTCTTGGAGTTTAGAAACCTCAGTTGGCTCCATGTCTCGTCCTTAGTAAAGGAATATCGGGAGCTGAGACTGGATGTATTGACACAGGTCAAATCACAGAGTCTTAGGCCATTTCAAGGAGGTTGGATTTTTCTCTGGAAGGCACAGGGAGGTTTTGAAGGACTTAATGCAGAAGAATGGGCACTGTCAGGTTTGTGGTTTGGAAAGTCCGCCTTGGTAGTAGGGTGGAGGGTGCATTATGGAGGGCTAGACCAGGGTCCAGCCCCCAGCGAGATGCTGTGTGGTAACCAGGGGAGAGAGAGGTGGTGGTGTTAGAAGCCACGACTTGGCATAGAAGCCAAAGCATCCCCAGGTTGTCATTGTGTAATTAATGGTTAAGTTGGGGCAAGAAATAAAGCTCTTAAAAGTGTCCAGCTGTAGAGCTCTCTGCCTGTTTTTATCTTCAGATTTTTGTCTTTGCCATCTCTGGCCTCCAGTGGAAGGCCGAAGTTACTTAACTTCCTTGCTGGAAGCAGGGCTCCTCATGATTGCCAGCCCCTGTTTGGTAGTGGTCCTGGAGTGCTGTGGAAATGGGATACTTGGTGCCACTTACCTTGGGGCTTTGCTCCTGAACTGCAGCGGTGTCTTGTGCTCTGTGGTTTGTAGCATGGAACAGAGGCTGATGGGCGGGGAGTTTGAGTCCCAGTGATTGAGGCCCCCTGCCTGCCTGCACCTTACTGAAGGAAGGACATGGTGGCTTCTCAGTGTGCTCTCTGGTGATCTGAACCTAGATTCTTGTTTCACGGGTAGGGGGCAGGGTTTTGGATTCAGCCCTGGCCAGCCCTGGCCCAAGTTCATAGTGTCAGTAGTATAGTTCTCCCACCACCCCCTTCTCTCCTGCTCCTGTTTTCTCCCCCGCCCCTTCTCTCCTACTCTCCTTCCTCTCCCACTCTCCCTCCTCTCTCTGCCTTTCACTTCCCCCCACACTCTCTCTCCCCCGCTCCCAACTTTCTTTCTCTCTTCGACTCACCACACAACACACACCTGTGTGTGTGTGTGTGTGTGTGTGTGTGTGTGTGTGTGATGGCACTGTTATTTCATGTGTATACCTTTGCGTAGCGTTGGCACATGTGGGAATGCTATTATAATGCTTTCGTTGGGGGTCTGTGCTAACCACTGCTGAGTGTGCTTCATGTTTTCTAGACAGCATGAGACCAGAGCTCTCCACCTTGCCATTAGCTGGTGGGAGAATTTTGAGAAAGTCACCCAATTGCTCTTAAGTCCTCATTTTTTTTTTTAAATCTGTAAAATGGTATCACAGATGCTTATAGCTCAAGACTAGTTGATGAGGGTCTGTGACTCAAAAGGCCCCATAGATGGGGTTCAGAGGGCCTTTGGAAATGGCGTGCAAGCTCTTTGTAAGTGTATTTTTTTTGGAGAAAGGGCCCAGCTTTTTATCAGACATCCTGAGAGATTCAGGACCTAAAAAATAAACCTTGATTAATCTTGGAAGCCTCTTTTTACGCAGTACGCTTTGATTCATCAGTATATGCATGTGGATGGGTTCTCAGATGGCCTGATGTTTCTCCTCCTTCCTCTGTGTGGTGGGCGACGACTTTGGCTGCCCAGATGTTAACATCAGTAAGCAGAAGCTCAGTCAGTGTTAGCAAAATTAAATCACTCTGCAAAAATCAATGTTAGTGAAATTAAATCACTTGATCTTAAAAGCAGCATGAAATAGCAGTTTTTCATCTTCATTGTGCTGTTTTCCCACTCTAGATATCTTGCAGATTTTTTTTGGTTGCTTGGTTGGTTGGTTTTTGGCGTCCTTTTCAAGGACAAGCAGCTTTGGACAGTTGCACTACTTTTTTTTTTTTTTTTTTTTTTTTGACAGAGTCTTGCTCTGTCACCCAGGCTGGGGTGCAGTGGCGTGATCTCAGCTCACTGCAACCTCTGCCTCCCAGGTTCAAGCAGTTCTCCTGCCTCAGCCTCCCAAGTAGCTGGGATTACAGGTGTCTGCCACCACACTTGGCTAATTTTTATATTTTTAGTAGGGACAAAGTTTCATCATGTTATTCAAATTCTGACCTCAAGCCATCTGCCTGCCTTGGCCTCCCAAAGTGCTGGGATTACAGGCGTGAGTCACTGTGCTCAGCCAGTTGCACTACATTTTTTTTTTAGATGCCATTGTTGAGGATCCAGGGGTTTGTCATAGATTGATTAATCAGAAAGTATTAATCTAAAGTATTAGAATATATTGATTGCAGGCAGGGACCTTGCATAGTTTAAAGATGACTCAGAAGGCACATTAGGTTCTTGCCACACTTTGCTGCCATCACAGATGGATGTGAGTTGCCCCCTTATATAGGTCTCTCGGGATGCCCCAGTGGAGAACAGCATTGATGTTGAACAGATCCTGTCCGATGGAGAGATACCAGCGTTTCAGCCAGCGGTGTGAGTGAGGGCAGGGGCCACCTCTGAGGGTGCTTGCTCCCTCACACTGTCCTCACGCTGCCCTCAAGCTGTGGGCAAAGGAGAGGGATCCTGTGCCATCACAGCCCTAGAAGCAGAATTCCAAAATGTGGGCTCCTTTGGGTGTGGTTTGGGGGTCAAGGAGATAGAGCAAGTAAGGAATGAACTTTGAGGGTTTATGATCATTTTCATGATGATAATGACCTAAAAACATGCTTGGCTGGGCATGGTGGCTCATGCCTATAATTCCAGCACTTTGGGAGACTAAGACAGGAGGATTTCTTGAGTCCAGGAGTTCAAGACCAGCCTGGACAACATAGGGACACCCCATCTCTACAAAAAAATTAAAAAATTAGCCAAGCATGGTGGTGTGCACCTGTAGTCCCAGCTACTCAGGAGGCTGAGGCAGGAGGATCCCTTGAGCCTAAGAGGTCAAGGCTGCAGTGAGCCATGTCTGTGCCACTGTACTCCAACTTGGGTGACAGAGCAAGACTATCCCAAAACAAAAACAAAAACACATGCTTATGGTAGGCAATTAAAACAGGAGGTAAGGAGTAAACATGCCAGGCCCCTCCTCCTCTCCTCTGACTCTTCCTTCTTCCCCCCTGCTTCCCAAGGGTAAGCTTTGCAGATACTTGCTATGCAAGCAAAAATGCTATTCTTAGCCATCGTTTAAACACAGATTTGCAATTTGTGGTTTTTCATTTATATAAATTTTGGCTCTCTTCCTATAGCAGAATGATCTTTGTTTTTAAAATGATTTTAAGTATACAATTAATATGTGAATGTATGTTTCTTATGGAAATTAGAACAATACACAGTTACAGAGTAGAAGGTGATAGGTGATATAGCTCACCCTCTCCTCTTCCTGCTACTCTCCCCAGTCTGCTTCACTCCCCGGAAGGAACTACTGGCCCATCAGCATGTCTCCTTCCAGGCATTTTTTCCATGTGGTTATGTCCACCTGCATAAGAAACTGGGGGCGGCAGGGTGGGGCGGTGTTGGCGGGTCAGGCAGAAGCAAGCCACAGAGCAGTAAGGGTACTTTTTAAAAAAACATTTAAATAGATCCCTGTTGTCCTGCGGCTTACATGCTCATGCATACTCACTGTTTCTTTAAATAAACTTTTTCTTTTAGAATAGTTTTAGATTTACAGAAAAGTTGCCGCGATAGTCTAGAGAGATCCCATGTACCTCTTAACAGCTTCGCCTCTGTTAACATTCTGTGTCACCATGGTAATTTGCCACAGCTAAGGAACCAGCATTAGTCCATGACTGTCAGTGAACTAAACTCAAGACTTTTTTTGGATTTTACCAGTTTTGCCCAATGTTCCTTTCCTGGTCTAGGATCCTGTGCAGAATAGCGCATCACAGCACATTACATTTAGCTGTCTCCTTCACCTCTTCTGGTCTGTGACAGGGTCTCAGACTTTCCTTGTCCTTGGTGACTTTGACAGTTTCGAGGGACACTGGCCAGGTTTTGTGCACACTGCCCCTTAATTTGGAGTTGTCTCATGGTTTTTTTTGTTTTTTTTTTTTTTTGAGACAGAGTCTCACTCGTCTCCCAAGCTGGAGTGCAATGGTGCAACCTCGACTCACTGCAACTTCTGCCTCCCAGGTTCAAGCAATTCTCCTGCTTCAGCCTCCCGAGTAGCTGGGATTACAGGTGCCTGCCACCACACCCAACTAATTTTTGTATTTTTAGTAAAGATGGGGTTTCACCAGGTTGGGCAGGCTGGTCTCGAACTCCTGACCTCGGGTGATTGCCCACCTCGGCCTCCCAAAGTGCTAAGATTACAGGTGTGAGCCACCCTGCCCGGCCCATGGTTTTCTTATGGTTAGTCTGGGACCATGGGTTTTTGGGAGCAAGACCACAGAGCTGAAATGCCCTCCCTTCAGTGATTTGTCAGCATGACCTATCACCATTGTTGTTAACCTTCACCACCTGGATGAGGCAGTGTATGCGTGGGGACATACATCTATTTGCCCCACTGACATGAGGGTTGGATCTCTAGAAGAGGAGTCACTGTTCAGAGGTTATAGGCATTTGTATTTTTTGGCAGATGTTGTCCTTCAAAATGGCTGTACACATATGCTCCTCCCAAAAGTAGGAGAGTGCCTGTTGCCCCATGTCCTCACTCAAGCTTGGTGTTATTAGATTGGTAATTTTTTTGTGTGTGAATCTGTTAAGTTAAAAATATTTCTTTCTTTGGCCGGGCACAGAGTGGCTCATGCCTGTAATCCCAGCACTTTGGGAGTCCGAGGCGGGCAGATCACTTGAGCTCAGGAGTTCAAGATCAGCCTGGGCAACATGGTGAAACCCCATCTCTACCAAAAATACAAAAAAATTAGCTGGGCATGGTGGTGCTTGCTTTTGGTCCCAGCTACTTGGGAGGCTGATGTGGGAGTATCACTTGAGCCCAGGAAGTTGAGGCTACAGTGAGCCGAGATCGTGCCACTGCCCTCTAGCCTGGGTGACAGTGTGAGACCCTGGCTCCAAAGAAAAAAAGAAGATTGATTGAGATAGGGTCTTGCTCTGTTCAGGCTGGAATGCAGTGGTGTCATCATCATAGTTTACTGTAGCCTTGAACTCTTGGGCTCAAGCAGTCCTGCTCCTTTGGCCTCCCAAAGTGCTGGGGTTACAGGCATGAGCCACTATGCTCAGCCAAGCTAAAAATATCTTAGTGTGCATTTCTCTAATTGTCAGAAGTGTATTTATTTACCATACCCTGGAAACCTTATGTAAGATGATGGTGAGTTTGGACTTTCCAGTAACATTTGGAAACTGTTTAGTACCAAGCTCTCATTAACAATATAAACAAAATAGGGGTCTACCCTTAAGGAATCAAAGCCATTATCTAAAAGCTCTTTCCCGCAACAACTACCTGAGATAATGTCCTTGGTCATATGCCCCAGCATTTAAAAATGGAGTTAGTGAGAGTCTGTTGTTTACCACCTGATACATTGGTAAGAGCTGCTTGATGGTATGGGGACATCAGTAGGGAGGATATAGACGTAGCCACCCCCGCCCTAGATAGTAGGGGCCTCAGGGTGGGGTAAGCCTGGGTGGGGGAGGTATGAGTGGTGGAACAGTGGGAGACCCTGGATCCTTAGTCTCCAGCGTGATTGCATTTTGCCAAGGCTTTGTCCCATGTCCCTTTGTCCCGTGTTCCATTTGCCCGTGGTGTTGCCTAGAGAGCATGGAGGGGCTGGTGGAGCATGCTCTGTGGTTCCCTAACCCAGGGCTGTGTGGGGAGAGCTTGCAGCACCCCCCTGACCCCATATGAACGTCCTTGCTATTTCCTGCTGTGCCATCCAGCAACTATAGGATGCTGTGCTGTGGCTGGGAGACCTGTTTGGTCTTGGAAGCTGGGTCCTGGATGAGCAGAATGAGGCAGGCATAGAGGTGATGTTGGCTACGGGCAGGGGAGCGTTTGCTTTGCCTTGGAGTAGTGCCATTTCCATGTAGAGGGGCAAGATTTACCACCCTGTTGTGGGGATTTGAGACTTTGGGTTTTGTTTTCCTTTACACCTTGAGCTTTGTTCTACAGCAGGTCCCTGGGAAGACTGGTCCACAAAGCTGCTGAATGGGGCTGCTGTCCTTCAGCCCTGCCTCCTGCTGCAGAATGCAGAGGACGCTGTAGACTTGCTTGGTGGGTGCCTGGGGTTTTCTGCCTCCCTGGTGCACTGGGCACAGCGGCTTGCCTGCCTTTTGGGTCGTCTCCACCTCCCAGGGATGTTTTTGTTCCCTGATCGAATGACCTCCTGTTTTGTTTGTTTTTTGAGACGGAGTTTTGCTTTGTCACCCAGGCTGGAGTGCAATGGCATGATCTCGGCTAACTGCAACCTCTGCCTCCCGGGTTCAAGTGATTCTTGTGCTTCAGCCTTCTGAGTAGCTGGGACTTCAGGTGTATGCCACCATGCCACGCTCATTTTTGTATTTTTAGTAGAGATGGGGTTTTACCATGTTGGTCAGGCTGGTCTCGAACTCCTGGCCTCAAGCAGTGCGCCTGCCTCAGCCTCCCAAAGTGCTGGGATTACAGGCGTGAGCCACCGTGCCTGGCCTGACCTCCTGTCTTCTGTTTTTGCCCACTGTCAAGGGTAGACTTCTTCAAGGCTGTACTTGTGCTATCCTAAAGAGGAGTAATGGGAGACATTTCTGACTTTGTCAGCATGCTGCTTGGCAGCACCTGCCTCGTTTCTGGTGACCATTTGGAAATGTGTCCTTTATCTGGTAGCAAGGAGCATTTACATTGATCCCTATGCACTTAATTGGCATACTTTTATTCCTCTGGATTTTTTTTTTAAAGCATAATTGTTCGTGTCTACATGATGTAACATGCTGCTGACTTTTAAGCAAATTAACAGAGTTCGTGCTGAAGCGCAAGGGTGCAGGGAAACAAAATGGGAGGGTTATTAAAGGGGTGAGGCGGCTCCTCAAAGATGTCACTGCACCATTCATTCTTGTGTTCCTGGCCCATGGCAGGCTCATTAATCCTCCACGACAATCCATTAGCATGCCTGTCAACCCTTCAGAGAAGATGAGCCATAGGAAGGCTTAGGGATCCCCACTTGAACTGCTGTGTGGCTCTATGAACATCCCCACCTTCCTGGAGTGAGGTGGTTGTGGCCACCTGACTTTCCCCATTTTTTTTTTTTGGACCTCAGCCTCCAGCGCTCCTGGGCCAGACTCAGGGTGGGGGGGATGCAGGTGCCAGTGACTGACACTTGGCCCCTCACACTTCACTGCCTGATTTGCTTTAAAGGCAAGGGTTGCTCATGCTTGTCTGAGCTCTCCATCTGTTTGAGAATTATATTGTTCTCAACTGGAACTTGTAAAAGAGAAAAAAATGTACTTCTCAATTTCCATGGAAGAATATAGATTTTCTGGTGGGGTGGAAACTTTCTTAGCATGAAGGGATCTTTGTGTGATCTGCGCATCAGCACTGAATAAAGAATGGGTGCGCCGAAGTCGGGGAGGCCGACTTTCCTGTGGCTTGCTGGGGAAAGTTTGAACTGTGTGTAAGCAGTGCGTGGAAGGAAAGCTAAGTGTGGAGATAACGAAGGGAATGGGATTTAATAGAAACAGGGTGTGATGAGTGGCAGTTGCCTGATGAAGTGGAAATCTTGTGTTCCAAATTTGTGAGATCCATTTCTGTCCTCTAAGGAAAATGTTGTATGTGCAGGAGGAGTTCATGTAGTTGGGTTAGATTGTGTTTTCTGTCTTTATTTTTTTTCCTGCCTCTATGGGTTGTGAACAAAAACAAGAATTTGATATTCTGCAGTATAGTTAACTCGTGCAAACAGTGTATGCTTTTCAGTGGGATATAAGGTCTGAAATAATAGGATTTTCCCTAGTAAGTCAGTTTCATTCCTTTACATGTGGGTTATGAGATACAAAGTGAAGCTCTGTAAAGCTTTTTACGAGCTCCCTGTGTTGCCCTCCTTTGACGGGTCAAGGCATTGGGGTTGACAGAGGTTTCTACTCTCAGAGGCTTTAAAGAGGTGCCCACTCTGGTGAGATGGCTGTCAGCATGCACGATGTGTGTGAGAGAGCACCTCTTCAATCATATGCACCTGGCTGTAGCATCCTTGTCAGCCTTAAGAGATACCTCCAAAGCGGAATTTTCTACCCCTAGAATCATGTGAGGTCATCTCAATTTAAGCCCCAGCTCTGCTCCCTAAATTACCTGAGTGATCCCAGGTAGGTCATTTGCTCATTGTTAACCATCAGTTTCCTTAGCTGCAAAACAGAGCAGATAACACCCCAAAAGAGTTCTCATAGTAAATCACATCAGGCTTACACAATCTCAGAAATGTGCAGCTCCACAGGAATCTTCATTACCTCTTTAGGCAGTCCAGTCGGGTTTCAAATGAATCCTACTGTCTGTTCTTATATGGAACCACAGTCCCTCACCCTGTGTTGATCTAAGTTCTCTGTTTCTCTCCTCCAGCAGGGTCATAAAGAGCCTGACCAGTCCCCCTCCCTGGAGACCTTTGTGTGCTGGGTTTCTGCAGCCGTTCTCCATGAGAAGGGACTTCTGGTCCCTGCTCTCACTTGGATGTTCTTCCACTGACTTATCTCTCTTAATGTGTGGAGGCAGAAACCCAGTTTTCAGGGTCTCTCCCCTGGCCCCTTACTAAGTCTCCCTTAGGTACAGTCTAAGACTGCCTGACTTTTTCTTCTTTTTTTTTTTTTTTTTTGGCAGCCACAACATCACATCGTCACATACAGAAATTATATCCAATTAAATCTCCTAAGTCTTTTTCACACCTCCTACATTTGTGCATTTCTTTTTTTGCACCCAAGTGTCCAAATAGCATTTATTTCCTCTCTATTGCAATTCCAATCTGTTGATCTTTTTAGCTCTTGACTCTGTCATCCAGTGTATTTGCCATTGCTCCTGGAAACTTGTCATCTTTGAATTAGATAAACATTTTATCTGTGCCATCGTTCAAGTAATTGATAAAAATGTTGAAATCTACAGTACTCAGAAAGAGACCTGTGGCCTCCCACTAGAGACCTTCCTTGGTCTGTTCATTAATCAGCACTTTGTAGGGTAAATTGAACATTTACTAAGCTATTCAGATGTAGTTCATATTTCTTCACCTTGTCAACAAAGAGATCTTAGCAAGGCATTGTAGACCAAGTATGTGTTCCTGGAATATACATATTAAGAAAAAATCCTTATGCCAAGAAAATGGGCACATCCCCAAAACCCAGGTTATTGTAGTTTACGGCTTCTGACCCAGGGCTTCACTTTGTAGCAGTGTTTTTCTTCTGTTTTTGCCTTTGGCTGATACCACTGCTAGAGTGCAGATAAGAGAATGTTACTACCAGGGGGCTTGAGTGTCGGGCTATGATTGGCTGTCATCTGGAGCAGAGTGGGACTGAGCTGCTCAGGAGAAAGGTCTTCAGGTGATTTTTTTTGGGAAGCTAAGAGCACTGGTTTTAGACATCCTCTCCTGGCTGATGATGGGATTGGCCTTCATGGGGCTGCTGTCTGGCTGGGCTGGTGGGCAGAGGTTCCTGTGGGTGTGGATGGAGAAATCCTAAATGCCGAGGGTACCTGGTCTTAGTAGAAATCGTAGGATGCCTCAGTGAAGAAGTCAGGGATGCGGATTGTCCTCCGGATGCTTGGATGAGCGTGCAGTGGAAAAAGTACTCCTTTGGGGGAAGAGGTGAATCTGGAGGTGTTAGAGCAGAAGAGTAAATGCAGAAGTTGTAGCAGATACAAAGGCTTTGGCAAGAGTGGGAGTGATCATTGAAGGGAAGGCAGGGGCTTGCTGGGACAGGCTGGAGCCGTGATGGACCCTCATAGTAACCCTGCTGCATTTTACAAAGGAAGAACTGTGTTGGGGTACAGATGTGCCAAACACTCAAAGTTAGAAAATCAACGCAGTCGGTTGTGGCTTCTGCCCTTGAAACATCAGATAGTGAGAACCTGCCACTGTTCAGTTTGCAGAGTGGTTGGTTGCATACAGTGTTTTAGCTCTTGCCCACTCAATACAGAGGTTGCATGCGGGCGTCCACCTGCTCCGCCACCTCTGCCTGCTTGTGGCTGTGTGCCCAGAGCCCATTTCCCTGGGGAGTCAGTGCAGCACTCCTGGGGGACCCTTCTGTTTGTGTCCTGACGAATCTGACTGTGCTGGATGCAGTCCCACAGCCACACCTGGTATGGGTGGCATCTTTAAAGGCCTGGCCTGTGTGTGCTGTATCTGCAGCAGAGCTGTGGCCAAACCTGCTTTCCTTCCATCTGGGTTCCCCTTGGTTCTCGGTGGTGGACGGGCTGTGTGGTCTCCCCTCAGCTGTCCACTTGCACTTGTGTTAAAATGCGGCAGAACTTTCCCTCTATACTTAAATTGTGGTGAAATACGTATGACATAAAACTTACCATCTTAACTTTTTTTTATTGAGACAGGATCTCATTCTGTCACCCAGGCTGGAGTGCGGTGGCGCGATCTCTGCTCACTGCAACCTCTGCCTCCTGGGTTCAGGCGATTCTCATGCCTCAGCCACCCGAGTAGCTGGAATTACACGCGCCCGCCACCATGCCTGGCTAACTTTTGTATTGTTAGAGATGGGGTTTCGCCATGTTGGCCAGGCCGGTCTTGAATTCCTGGCCTCAAGTGATCCCCCTGCTTCGGCCTCCCGAAGTGCTGAGATTACAGGCGTGAGCCGCCGCGCCTGGCCTTCCTTTTTTTTTTTTTTTTAAGAGATGGAGTCTTGCTCTGTCGCCCAGGCTGGAGTGCCGTGGTGCGATCTTGGCTCACTGCAACCTCTGCCTCCCAGGTTGAAGTGATTCTTCTGCCTCAGCCTCCCGAGTACCTGGGATTACAGGCGCCAGGCACCATGCCTGGCTAATTTTTGTATTTTTAGTGGAGATGGGGTTTCACCATGTTGGCCAGGCTGGTCTTGAACTCCTGACCTCGTGATCCGCCTGCCTCGGCCTCCCAAAGTGCTGGGATCACAGGTGTGAGCCACCACGCCCACCGGCCTCCCATCTTAACATTTTAAAGTGTTCAGTTTAAGTACCTTTACACTGCTGTCCAATCAATCTCTAGAACACTTTTCATCTTGAAAAACGGAAACTCTGTACCCATTAATAACTCCCATTCTCTCCTACCACAGCCACGGGCAGCCACTTTCTGCTGTCTCCGTGAGTCTGACTACTTTGAGTACCTATGAGCAGAATCCGCAGGATTTCTCCTTTTGTGACTGCCTTATTTCACTTAGCATAATGTCCTCAAGCTCCATCCAGGTTGTTGCATGTGAGAGGATTTCCTTCCTGTGCATGAACTAGAGTGATGCAGGGACTGACCTCTGGCCATGTGATGGGTGGTTGGTGATGGATCCAAGAGGTAGCTGGTCTCTGAATACTAGCCCAGTCCTTTTCCTTGCTAGGAAAGTCCCCAGATCAGATAGAAAGCCTCAGTATTTCAAGAAGCTTCTGTTTTGACACCACATCCATGAAGAATCACACTGCAGGGTAGGGGAACAGATGAGTGGGATTTCTACACTGTTATCAGCTAGACTTAGATAACTGGCTAATTGAAAAGAGTACAGGTCACTTAAGGAAACTGGAGCATTGTAGGGCAAGGTAAAGTGCTTTTGAAATGAGGATGTGAACTGTAACTGGAATGATGTAATGTGTTCTACAAAATGAAGCCAGTGAGAGGACAGGGGACACAGGGCCGACTTTTATTTAGGACATTTGCCTGGTTCTGAGAAGAAAGTTGAAAGTCACGAGAGAGAGGGAAAGGAAGGCAGAAGGAACTTGGTTTTTGCAGGTGCCTGCTCAGCATGGGCCTTGCCCCAGCTTGGCTGTACCTCACAGCACCATCCACTGGCTCTACAGTCTGTCCTTCGGAGGTTTAGGGTGCTGTCTCATGCACAGTGGGTGCTAGGTGGTAGTGAGGACAGGGTGTGGGACTAGGCAGGTGCTGCCCCTCGGAAGGCCTCATGGTGAGGCAAAGATCTCTGGCTCCGAGGGACTCTATCTCCTGGTGTCCTGCTTCATCGAGAAGCCAGCCACCCATGGGAACTGTGGATAATTAGAAAGGCTTAGAGGCTCTTCTAAGGGTGTTTTTTGAAATATGGAGACCTAGAATATTGGGCTTTGGGATATTTTAAGATGAGAAAGGCATTTGGAGTAACTGTCAGAGCAGATAAAGTTGTTTTTATGAAGATCCGGGAAAACGGTTGTTACAAATACAGCTCTGCACCAATTCTGCGCCAGTCTGTTTGGCTACAGATGCTTTCAGTGGAGGGGACACTGGGGCTTGTGTTCCCTTTAGTCTTTGAATTCCCGTTAAAGTTTCCATGTCTTAAGTGGCGTGGCAGGATAGAAACATCTCACCCATCTTAGTAAGTTCTTTGCTGTATGTAGCACTCTGGTTTTAACGTTCTGAGCCTTCAGGACTGCCCTTGATGTGTGCATTTATTTTGTTGATATGCATGATGTGTGGGTGGCTCTGCGGCAGTAAAACAGTTCACATTCAAATTACACTCGGTTTCTAATTTCTGTTCTCAGAGTTTCCTCTGTAATGGAAATCTCTTACATTCTTATCATTGCCTTCAGTTATTGAATGTGTTAGGTGGCCAGGATTGCTGTCTGTGTGAAATGGGAATGTATATATACAACGTAAACATGTTCTGATTGACACGTGAAGATAAAGGGCTTAACATGAATTGTGTCGGTTTACACTTACACAGAAAATTCTACTGTAATAAACTGAAGTGTCAGTAGTGTTTGTTATCATAACATTGTCTTTTTCCCTCTTTTCTGATCTCTGATTTTTCAATTAGGAATGAGGCCTAAAGAAACCCATGCTCTCTCTTCTCTGAGCGCAAGGAGGGTGTGCTGAGACCTTGAAGGGCACAGCATGGGAGGATCATATACTAGGGAGAGTCTGTCTCCACCCCATTTTTCTTCTGCTTTGCTTTGTTTCGTAGTTTCTTCGGGCTTCTTGGGGGTTTTCTGAGAGAGAGAATGTCAATTTGAGAAGTAACAGGTGCACAGGCTTTACCTGCACCACACTGCAGATAAGGTGGGTAGGGAGGGTAGTGACAGGTGGTGTGGTGGGTTATTCAGTTCTTTCCTAGGGCAGTGGGTCTCACAGGGTGGTGCTTAGGCCAGCAGCATCAGCATCACCTGGGTGCATATTAGAAACAAATTTTGGGGCCTCACCTCTTGCGTTTTAACAGTTCCTTCAAGTGGTCCTGATGCATGTTGAGGACTTTGAACACTCCTCCTACAAGCAAAGTGAAGTTGACCTCCCACACACTTGTCTCAGTCTGCTTTCTAGCATCTGTCCCATTGCCTTTGTTGTTCTCCCCGCCACACGGGCTGCACCCCTGGGATTCCCCCAGCTGCCACCAGGCATCAGCTCCAGCTGCCTCCCAGGGTGTGCTCCTGCCTCTGCTTGGAGTACCCTGCCTCCCACTCTTCCTGGCAAGACCCTGCTCATCTTTCAGGGTCGTCTCTGCTGAGAAGTCTTCCTGACCTCCTCGGAGATAGGGAGTTGTGGGGCCTTGTCTTTATGTTCCCAGGGTTCTGTCTATTGCGCTATTAAAACTTTTTTTTTCATTTAATTTGCCACTTGCTAGAGAGATGGTTGTTCTGCCTTCGTTGTGCAAAATTCAGTGATACACTAATCCTCTCCTAACCTCTTAAATCATTTTGACTTTCACAGAGTGATAGTGTCTAGAGAGGGTTTTTGTTGTACTAAGTTATTGGTTCCAAAGAATTCATTTTAAGAGGAGTAAAGAACTACTATAGTATGCCGCTTACTGAGACAAAACCGACTTCTCACATAAGCCCAAAGGTTTTGTTATGTTGGATTTTACCATTAGAGTTAAAGATGATGATTGGTTCACTAATGTGCTTTACCTTCACAGTGTGCCTGTAGACCTGTAGTAAAAGAAGGCTAATTATGTTTCCTGATGTCTTTTATTTCCAACTATAAGCTAAGCCTATCTCATTTTTTTTTTTTTTTTTTTTTTTTTTTTTTGAGATGGAGTCTCGTTCTGTCACCCAGGCTGGAGTGCAGTGGCGTGATCTCAGCTCACTGCAAGCTCCGCCTCCCGGGTTCATGCCATTCTCCTGCCTCAGCCTCCCAAGTAGCTGGGACTACAGGTGCCCGCCACCACACCCGGCTAATTTTGTTTTTGTATTTTTAGTAGAGATGGGGTTTCACCGTGTTAGCCAGGATGGTCTTGATCTTCTGACCCGTGATCCTACCGCCTCGGCCTCCCACAGTGCTGGTATTACAGGCATGAGCCGCCGCACCCGGCCAACCTATCCCATATTTTTAAAGAAGAGTTGATCAAGTAGTTACCCATTTTAACTAAATGGATAACTATAACATTCTTTAATGGAATTGTTGACAGAGGGATAATCAGTGTTTTTGCTAATTCATGCCACCCTCCTTTGTTGTATGTTAGTAATATTTACATTGGGGCAACAAAATAGATCAGTATTTCCATTAATGTTTACTTAATAACAGCTGCTAAAAGGTATTACTGTTTGCAGTAACACAAAAGCACTTACCTGATTCTTATGCCAGCTTCTATAGGGTAGGTAGTGACAGCCCATTTTGCAGGTGAGGAAGATGGGGTTTAGAGGTGAGGTGTGTCTGCCTGAGAGCAGGAGCTGGTAAATGGCACTCTGGGCTCATGGGAGTCACGCTGTTTTTTTTTTTTTTTTTTTTTCCTAGGACCTCAAGGTTGTGTCTAAGACATAATTTACAGTTCTCGTGTAGGTCTTCCAAATACTTAGCTACACAGCTTTGGGGCGTTTTCTCAGCCAAATGCTTTTCTTTAGCCCTTCTCATATTAACATTTAGTTCTTAGGGATTTATTTTCAAAATATATATAGCTTGTATATGCCATTCACCTAAGTTGTTAGAGCAGACATTCTGCCTCTTGATCTTTAGAAAATACCTAAGAGTATTTTGTTAACAGTACTCATTTCAGCTGAAAGACTTTATTTTAAAATTTAATTTAATTTTATTATTGTTTTTTGAGACAGAATCTTGCTCTGTGTCTCCCAGGCTGGAGTGCAGTGGTGTGATCTTGACTTGTTGCAACGTCTGCCTTGTGGGTTCAAGTGATTCTTGGGCCTCAGCCACCCAAGTAGCTGGGATTACAGGCGTGCACCACCACGCCTGGCTAATTTTTGTATTTTTAGTAGAGATGGGGTTTCAAACTCTTGGCCTCAAGCGATCTACCTGCCTTGGGCTACCAGAGTGCTGGGACTGCAGGCATGAACCACTGTGCCTGACTTTTAAGGCTTTCTTTAAAATGGCATCTTTTGGCCAGGTGTGGTGGTAATCCCAGCACTTCTGGAGGCTGAGGCTGGAGGATTGCTTGAGCCCAGGAATTGGAGACCAACCTGGGCAACATAGGGAAACCCTCTCTCTGCCAAAAAATTAAAAAACAAAACAAAACCTAGGTGTTATGGTGTACCCCTGTGGTCCCAGCTGCTTGGGAGCTGAGGTGGAAGGATTGCTTGAGCCCAGGAGGTCGAGGCTGCATTGAGCCACGATTGTGCTGCAGCACTCTAGCCTGGGTGACAGAGTGAGACCACGTCTCAAAAAACAATAAAAAATAAATAAAATGACATCTTTG
Source organism: Homo sapiens (assembly GCF_000001405.40). NCBI lineage: Eukaryota > Metazoa > Chordata > Mammalia > Primates > Hominidae > Homo > Homo sapiens. The sequence continues at coordinate 98,702,973 of NC_000015.10, forward strand.
GAGAAGTGAATTCTACCCAGGTACCAAGCCCCTGCCTGCCCCTCCCAACTCCCTTCCCTGACTCCCAGCACCCCCATCTGTTTTGGTTCTGCTGTTGCCATTCTCTGGCTTTGGGGACTTTGCTGAGGCCCCACTGTCCCCATCTTCCAGCTGTACCCTTTCTCTCTGCTTCCCTGCTTGTCTTATTCTTTACAGGGCTGCCTGGGATCTCACATTCCAAAAGTTTTTGGGTTTGTTTTTGGATCATGCCAATATCGGTTGCTTTGAGAAGGGAGAAAGGGTATTTTGCATTTTCCTTTTAATCATCGGTGAGTAGCCACAAAGGGTGTGTCTCTCCCTCTTGTGCTGTGTTTACTGTTTACTCCCTCGGTGCATGAATTATTTCATGGCACCAGTGGAGCATATTTTCTTCTCTTTCCTGTTTGTGGCTTGCGCCTCCTGAACGCTGCTATCATTCATGGTCCAGCTTGGTTTTCTTTTTCACTGTTTCTATCACAAAACCTCCTGAAGACCAGTGGTGTCAGTCATAGGCTCCAAAACAGCTGGTTCCTAGGCCCTGCCTCGTGCTCTGTGGTTTGGGCTTGTCTTTTCTTCCAGAGTAAGTGGGTAGCTTCTTCCTACTTTTTTTCTCTTTTCTTCTATAAATGGGAGGAAAAGTGTGAAGTATGGAGACTGCTCTTTCATTTGAAGGAAATTCACAGTTCCAGCTCTGTAGTGTGGCCTCTGTTAACTAGTGGTCAACACTGACTGTGGAAGGGGGGCCAGATGGCAAAGTGAAGCAGATTCTTTCCTCCTGTCTGCATTTTGATTGCAGTATGAAGTTCAACTTGCTTCAGTCTTTGTCTTCATGTTGTTTCACTAGGTACTGAATTTTGTGATCTGTTGGAAATAACAAGTAAATAGATGCCTAACGCTTTATACAGGTTGAGCCTGTCTAATCCAAAAATCCAAAATCCAGAATGCTTCAAAAGTTTCAGCTTTTGGAGCACTGACATGACACCACAAGTGGAAAATTCCACACCTGACCTCATGTGACGGGTCACTTTTCGAAACTCAGGCACACGACACACAGTTAATTTAGTGTCCCCAGGGGAAAAAAGACCCTCCCGGCCCCCTTCAGCTGTGATGTGTCTTTTCCACACATGCCCAGATTCCCTCAGACACCTCCACAAAGGGTAATAAAATGGTTCGTTGTATACAAACTTTGTTTCATGCACAAGATTATTAAAAATATATAAAATGACTTTTTAGAGAAGCGAGAAGAGAAATGAGAGGTAGGGGAGGGAGGGAGGAGTTGGGGGACAGTTGGGGGAATAGTTGAAGCTAAGGTGTTTAGGCAGAGCTCTGAGGAGGTGACGTTTGAGTGGAGACCCAGATGGCTAGAGAATGGGGCAGCCTCCTGAAGGAGCAGAAGCACTGTGGGCGGCAGGGTATCACAGAGGAGGAGCTCGGTGTGTTGGAGGTTGGTGAGTCCCGTGGAGTCTTGTCAGATGGTGTTGGGACAGGGACGGACCGTGAGGAGGCTGGATCATGGGGAATGTGTTGCTTTAGGCCAAGCTGGAGTTGATAGTGGCTCAGATCAGAGCTAAAGTAGTGGAGACACACAGACATTGAAAGAATGATGAAATTCACTCATTCTGCGTGTGTCCCATGTCATGTGTCCGCTGCACACCAAGTACTGTTTTAGGCACTGGTGATATAATTGTGAACCAACTGGAGCTGCGGTGAGAGAGACCATGAAAAGAAGGGCCAGAGCGGTGTCCTGCAGAGGGTGGTGTACCTTGGGAGGGAAGTGTGTAGGGTTGTTGAGGAACAGCGTGCTGCACAGGGAGGAAAGACGTGGGGCAGCATTGTGGGAAGAGCAACCAAGATTCTCATAGGCTTGGGAGCGGAAGCCCTGAGGTCTGTTGCTGGACTAGATATGTGAGGTGTGAGAGGAGAGAAGAATCAGGAATGACTCTTTGATTCTTAACGTGAGCAACTCAGAGAATGAGAGTGCTGCAGTTTACAAGCTTGGAAGGTGGATTATGTGGGGGGATGAGTGAGTTGTTTGACACCTCAATGGATATACTCGGATGTATACGTTAGAGCTCAAAAGAGTCTGGGCCAGTGACATGAATTTGATCATATCTAGAGTATGAGTGGCACAGGAAGCCACTTGTCTGGATGAGGTGACAGAGGAAAAGGTTGAGGATAGCAACCAACATTTAGAGGTAAGGTAGAAGGCAGAGCAGTGTGGAATCAGGGAAGCCGAGAGGAGGAGGCAATGCCAGGTGACTGGAAGGTCAAGTGACACTTCGACAGTGTCACTGAGGGCTCTGCTAGGAGCTATTCGGTGTCATAATGGGGACAGAAGCTCAGTCGGAGTGGGTTAAAGGTAACCAGGAGGTGAGGGTGCTGAGAGGTGGGACTATTGACAAGCCTTGTGTCAAGTTTTGCTATGTAGGGGCTGAAATCTAATGTATGTGACTGTGTATAAGTGACTTGACTTCCCCAAATCTGTTTCCTCACCTTTAAAATGGGTGTTTGCCAAGTGCTGGTTTCTGCTATTCTTTTCTCTGTCTTAGGGGTGTCATTTTCTCTTTGGTAAAACAGAAGAATTAGATGATATGAAGTTTCACATTCTAAGTTCTCAAGCTTTGCCCACTCCTCAGCCCTTGGGTCCCTCCACTTCCTCTTCTCTTCGCTATCTCTGCTCAGTTTCTGTCTTTGATTGTAATGTAATGCCCAGTGGGACTTTTCTTCTCTCCCTCGTCTGTTCACTTATTCCGTCCTGCACTGGGCCACCAGATTAATCCTGCAAAAGGCCTCACATGGGCTTCTCTCCCGCTCAGGAGCCTTGTGGGGGCTTTATTCCTCTGAGATGAAAGTTCTTATCCCCACATGTGATCCTTTATGACTTGGGTGCTATCAAATTCATTTCCTCAACTGCTCCCCTCTTCACCCTGACCATCAGATCTGCTGGCACATGGGCATACCTTGTTCTGCATTGTCTCTGGCCTGTGGGATATTTACCGAGCTTTAAATCCTAGGCACCCTTTGGGAGCCGGCCTGTGTGCAGAGCTCCCCTTAGCACGGTGGCACAAAGCTTGGACACCACCTCTTGTCTGTCCTGCTTAATTCCATTCACATCTAGAGTGGACTCGCTGTGTGCACACCACTGACCACCTGCCTCATGTGACAGTTGTTCCTCATGGGTCTTAGCTCTTTGCCTTCACCATGAGCCTCCTCAGAGGGCAGGGCACTGCCTGTTGGCATTTCTCGTGGTATCATACATGTTGGGTGCTTCCCAAATTAATTACATCAGTCAGAAAACTTCACTCTATCTGAGAAGCTTTAATAGTGTACTTGGGATTATTAAATCCTAAAAAAGGTTATCACAAAGAGTTTTCTTGGTGTGTGTCTGTGCTTAGAATTTAGAAAATAAGTCATCCAGTATTGAGGCCATTTTATGAAAAGCCTTTAAAATCTGCAAATGCGTTGGCCCAGCACTTCCACTTCTAGGGATTTATCCTAAGAAAATAGTCTTGGGTATCTGCCAATAATGTTCACTGGAGTGTTGTTTATAATGTGCAAAACAGGAGCTAACCTAAATGTCCAACAATAAGGGATTGGTTAAAAAAAAAAAACAACCCTCATGGTGTGTATTAATACTCTGGAACTACTGTCCCCTTAAAATGGTGATGTAGAAGGACATGTATTGACCTAGTAAAATATTAAGTGAAGGAAGTGTGTTTACAAATGTCATTTTTGTCTGATTTCACTTACCTTCATTTATAGAGAGTGGATAATTGGCATAGATAGTGTTAACATTGTTTATCGTGGAATGTTGAGATCGTTGATGATTTTTACTGGTTTTTTTTTTTTGGTTATTACCTCTAAACTCTGTAGGAAGCATGCTTTCTTGATCAATAAAACTTAAAGTTGGAGTTTATGCTGCTTTTATTCATAAAAAAATCACGTTTTTAATCTTGTTAGGTTATCCTTTATGTCTACATTAATGCACGTGTGGAGAGAACACAGTCTACTCGGCTTATGTCAAATGGTAGTGGGAAGCATGGAAGCATGCGTTTTTTAGTCCCCACTTTACAAGTCACAGTGACGGTTCTCCAGTGTAGAGTAGATTGATTGCCCTGTGTCCTTCAGGCAGGGTGCAGTAGTAAGTTATTGATACTTGGCTGCTGAGCTGTCGTTCAGGCCTTGGCAACTGACGCTCTGCAGAACGGACCAGGAGTGTGCGGTGGTGGAGTCCGGCTGGCCTGGGTTGCAGATTTAACTTTCGCCTCTGCCTCTGTGTGCCTCTGGGCTGTAAGCTTTAGTTTGCACGGTTAACGGGGATGGCCTCTCCCATGGTCGGTTGGAGTGTGTTGCACAGCGTCTGGTCCAGTGTTGGCACTGTATAAATGCCAGCTAACTGGTTAGCCACCTAAACTGTCAGTCTGCAACCCACAGCTCTGCAGTGAACAATTGAACCTCATTTCTTTAATAATAATACAGGATTCCTGAAAACCAACTGTATTATTGTTTGGAAAATAGTTTAAAAATTATTTCCTTCTAACTGAGACGTTTACCCTCTTGTCTCCCTTCAGTCTGCGGGCCAGGCATCGACATCCGCAACGACTATCAGCAGCTGAAGCGCCTGGAGAACTGCACGGTGATCGAGGGCTACCTCCACATCCTGCTCATCTCCAAGGCCGAGGACTACCGCAGCTACCGCTTCCCCAAGCTCACGGTCATTACCGAGTACTTGCTGCTGTTCCGAGTGGCTGGCCTCGAGAGCCTCGGAGACCTCTTCCCCAACCTCACGGTCATCCGCGGCTGGAAACTCTTCTACAACTACGCCCTGGTCATCTTCGAGATGACCAATCTCAAGGATATTGGGCTTTACAACCTGAGGAACATTACTCGGGGGGCCATCAGGATTGAGAAAAATGCTGACCTCTGTTACCTCTCCACTGTGGACTGGTCCCTGATCCTGGATGCGGTGTCCAATAACTACATTGTGGGGAATAAGCCCCCAAAGGAATGTGGGGACCTGTGTCCAGGGACCATGGAGGAGAAGCCGATGTGTGAGAAGACCACCATCAACAATGAGTACAACTACCGCTGCTGGACCACAAACCGCTGCCAGAAAAGTAAGAATGATGCTGACTGCTGCTTTCTCTCTGCCTCTCTCTCTCCTCTCCTCCTCCTTGACCTCCCTTCTCTTCTGAGTGCACGAGTTCCGCTGGGCAGGGTGCAGTCGTGTTGCATTTAGGACGTGGCATGCCTGCTGTGCGGAAGTGGTTCCCAGTGGGGGTCTTGGTTGGCTTTCCTTTGCATCTGGGACTCTTGGATTGCGGGACTGTGGCGTGGCTGGAGGCCATCATGGCTGCTGTCAAGACTGTTCAAATCACATGTTAGAAATAATCCAGCACACTCCTGGGCTAGACACTTGCTGACCTTCAGCTTTGAATTCCTGATGAGAAAGGTGACCTGGTGTGCTTGGAAGTCCCTGAGCCTTGGCAGCTGGGGGCTGCTTATGTGTCAGCTCTTTCATCCTTTGTGCGAAGTGATATTTTTTGTTCTGCAGGACTTCCTTAGTTTGAATGGACTTGGAATATGGTTAAATAAAGGGAAGGTAAAGCACTAACTCATATCCTGTGAAAGTGGTCCTTAGGTCCTAGTGATGATGTTATGATACTCAGGTGTCCTGGTTATGACAGAGCACCTGGCCCAGGTGGGAGACCTCTGGACCCATTTCTGCAAGTCCCAGGTTCAGGCTGTACTTGCAGGTAGCTGTGTAGCAGGGTGCATTTTTAAACCTCTGGGATTCTGTTTTCGTTCTTTTATACCTGTTTACTGAACAGTTGTGAAAATCTTAAGATTTCACGAGTGAAGGAACTTTGGAAAGTATTTACTGTTCTGGGGGTCAGATGGTGGTATTTTGAAGCTTCTTGTATATTTATCTGCAATATGCTTATTTTCCCTTGAGAATAACTGAGCTCTTGCCTTCATGTGATCAGTTCCTTAAGAACCAGGCTGTTTGGTATTAAAATGTGACTCTGAGCCTTCACCTTATTGCATTCAGCAATAGTTATGTATATTGGCTAGGAAGCTTTTCCTCACTGGTTTGAAGTCAGTGTGTTAGCTATAAATAGCTATTATTTAAGTGTTGGCCCAGTTAAAGATGTAAGGAACCCATGTTCTCTAGTTATGAAGAACCAAGAAACCCCAAATTGTTAGACTTGCCTAAAATAAATAAAAGGCGAGACCCCACAGGGGTGAAGTGTGTAAAGTAAATAAAGGACAGACCTCCCAGGTAGCCCTTCAGTTCCCGTTCAACCAGTCCTGAGGCAGGAAAAGGATCTGTGTACCCTGATCTGCCACGCACTTTTCTATTCTGCAGAATTGGATCAGTGCGTATGTGAACATTGATTAGTGAGGGCAGGGGTCCCACTGGCTGCAGCCAGTACCTTGTAGAGCTCTGAGAATGCAGTCAGGCCACTTTAAGGTTGGCTGGAGTTGGAGGGAGATCTTATGCTAAAGTCACTTGTGTGGTTGATTAAAACTGCCCTATCATTAAGTTACCCACTGGTTTGAGAAAACAACAAAATATATTTTTTAAATAACCTTGACATTTAAAAATTTTATCTGAAAAGTAAAAGGTGTTATCAAGGGAGGCAGCATGGAGTAGAAAAGAGATGTTGAATGTGGTGATGAGGGCCAGGAATGACCTTGGATGGGCCAGCCCTTCTGGGCTGTAGTTGGGCTTTTTTAGGATATTTCTAGGGCAGTCCAGTACATCCCTTAGTGGTGATCATATATGGGCATGAGGATGTTTTGAAAACTCATAAGCTCTTTAGAGAAGGGAGGTGCCATATGAAACGTCATTAAGTGGAGAGTTGTTCACGAACTAGGTAGGTAGTTACTTTGGTCTTGCCATAGGTTTTTGGCTGTTTCTGATGAGCTACTGATTGAAGACCCCTGGGGTAGGGGTGAGGCCTGCATTCTGGGTCCAAGTCTAAGAGTGGCGACTAGAAATGAGCAAGTTATTTAAATTGCCTGGGCCTTGGTTTCTTCATATGTGGAATGGGGTAAAGCCTGCCTTCCTCATAGGGCTGTTGGAAGATGAAAAGGAGGAAGGAAAAGCACCGTGAAAATGTTAACGATGGTTAGAAGGTGGGCTCTGCTGGTGACAGACAGAGCCTTGATATCACCTGTTGGTTGGTCACCTGCTTCCCCAAGGCCACGCCCTGCAGCCTTCTCCTTGACCATCCCAGCCCTGCTGATGTTCCTTGTGATTTCACAATGGAGTACTTATATAAAATTGGTAACTGCTTTCCGGGAAATTGACTTCCCTTCCCCTTGTCCTGAAAACTCAGGCATGGGCATATTTCTTGGAGATTTTCTAGTTGAATCAGAACTTCCTCTTGGTTTGCGTAGATTCCATTTAGACCTGCATTGTCCAGTGTGGTAGCCGCTTATTGAGTAAGCCACGTGGCTTATTGAGTACTTGAACTGTGGCTTGTCCGAATTGGGACTGCTTTAGGTGTAAAATATACACTAGATTTCCAAGACATAGTATAGCAAAAACTCTGTACACCATTTCATTAATAATTACTATGTTGATAACATGTTGAAATATAACATTTTGGATATATTAGATTAAGTAAAATGTGTTCTTAAATTTCACCTGCCTGTTTCCTTTTTATTCTTTTTTTTTTTTTTTGAGGCGGAGTTTCGCTCTCATCACCCAGGCTGGAGTGCAGCGGCGCGATCTCGGCTCACTGCAACCTCCGTCTCCTGGGTTCAAGCGATTCTCTTGCCTCAGCCTCCCAAGTAGCTGGAATTACAAGCATGTGCCACCATGCCCGTCTAATTTTTGTATTTTAACTGGAGACGGGGTTTCACCACCATGTTGGCCAGGCTGGTCTCAAACTCCTGACCTCAGATGATCCGCCCGCCTCAGCCTCCCAAAGTGTTAGGATTACAGGTGTGAGCCACCATGCCCGACTCTTTTTAATTCTTAATGTGGCTACTTGAAAATTTAAAATTACAGATGTGGCTTGCATTCTGTGTTGGTAAGCTGCTTTAGAGCATTTCTTTTAACACCAGGAGTTCTTCCCCTCATCATCTTTTTGGCTGAGTCGTCACTGCAGCGCTCATAGCCCCGCATGTACCTCTCCAGCCAGAACCCTTAGGAATCATTTGGGGAGCTCCATGAAGGGCATTGAGTCCAGGCAGAATGGCTACCTTGAGTTCAACATAAGCATTAAGATGGCCATTCGAAAACATTAAGCACAGAAGAATCCCATTCAGGTAATCTTCTGTTGGCTGGCTGTAGAACTACGGAGAACATCTGGAGAAACACGTCAAGGGTGTGTGTGAAATCGTTGAGCCTACTCGATTTTGTCGTGCTGTTGCGCGGTTTTCACTTGGCACTGTCCTTTAAACTCCTTCTGTGCCGTGACTCTGCAGTGTCTGGCAGCGTAGTAGACTCTACTCCCTCTATGGACGTGATCCCTCTGTGGGTTCTCTGCACACTTCTGTATTTCTCGGTTCTTTTTGGATTTAGGAGTGGATTTTATACATTTTTGAGTCATTCCTAAAGAGCGATTGACCCTTAAAGAACTGTGTACAGTGGTTTCCTTTCAGTAAGAACATAGTTGTGTGGCACCCCCTGACATGTGGTGTGGTTGATTCTTCTTCCTTGTCTTCCAACGCCACCCTCTTATGAGTCTCTTCCTACCCCCACAGGTGCCGCTTCTCTGTCTCCCTTCCCTCAGTCTGGCTTTTAACGGTGGTCTCCTGACATAGTCCATTCAGGCTGCTGTAACAAAATCCCATACCCTGAGTGGCTTACACACAACAGAAATACTGCTCACAGTTCTGGAGGCTGGAAGTCCAAGTTCAAGGTGCTTACCAGATTAACTGTCTGGGGAGGGCCCACACTCTGGTTCACAGAAGCACCTTTTCACTGTCTTCACATGTTGGAAGGGGCGAGGGATTTTTTTTCTGGCGTCTTTTTTATAAGGGCACTAATCCCATTTGTGAGGGCTCCACCCTCATGGCCTAATCACCTCCCAGAGCCATCATACTGGGGATTAGGTTTCAACATAAGAATTTTGAGGGGACATAAACATTCAGATCATAGCATGGCTGGAGTTCTGTCCTGGGCTCTCTTTTCACTTTCCTTGTTCTCATCTCATCCACTGGTAACTGCATTGCCTCCTGTCTCCACCTAAACTTCCAAGTATCTCCAGCCCAGAACCCTTTTGAGTCCAGGACCTGTCATTCATATCCATCCCAGAACCCTTTTGAACCCAGGACTTGTCATTCATATCAGACCACCACGAGCATTTCACTACAGCCTCTGATGGTCTTCCCTGTTTCCTCACTTTTGCCTATTTTTTTTCTTTTCTATTCCCTCTTAAGTGGGCCACACTTTTGTTCCCCTGGTTCTTATGTCAGGAATGTGGGTGTCCTTTGGACACTTCCTTCTCCAGTTGGATACCAGGCCCTTTCCCTCCCGAATGGAATGGAAATGCTGCTTCAGCTGTGTTCCTCTGCTCCTCCCCCTTACAGCAGTGACATAGCCTCTCTCCTGCTATTGTGTCCTGTGGCTCCACCGAGCACTGGGGAGCTTTTCAGTATGCACTTTTTTTTTTTTTGGAGAAAGAGTCTTACTCTGTCACCCAGGCTGGAGTGCAGTGGTGCGATCTTGGCTCATTGCAACCTCCGGGCTCCCAGGTTCAAGTGATTCTACTGCCTCAGCCTCCTGAGTAGCTGGGATTACAGGCCCGCACCACCACACCCAGCTAATTTTTGTATTTTTAGTAGAGACGGGGTTTCACCATGTTAACCAGGCTGGTCTCGAACTCCCGACCTCAGGCGATCCACCGGTCTTGGCCTCCCAATGTGCTGGGATTACAGGCATGAGCCACTGCGCCCGGCCATCTAGTGTGCACTTTGGACTGATGAGCTCCCCTACCTGAAATCCTGTAGCAAGTCCCTATAGGATAGGCATGTGGTACAGTGTGAAGCTCCTGAGTGGTCAACAGCTACCCCGTGACAACATGCCACACTCCATGTGCCACTCCCTCCCGCCTGCCTGCTGTGTCCTTGGCCCCAGTGGTGCTCTCCCGTGCTGACCAGCCGGCACGGCTCACCTGGCCGAACTCTAGCCTTGCCTTTTCCTCTCAAGGATGTAAAGGCTCTGCAGATTTCGGGAGGCCTGTCTCCCAGCACCTGATGGGACACTTTTTGCCCCACTGTAAATTCTGGGTGTATCCTCCACTGTATGCTGTCACCCCAAGGGCAAGCACTGCATCTGCTTAGTGAAGGATTTATTGTTCGGAAGATACATTTTCCCCTTGAGCAGAGAGTAGCGTATCCTGGCAGTCTTCGGTGAGCCAGTTGTACCAGGATTATGAAATGCAGATGTTTACTGTGTCATTGTTGCTGTCATTGCTACTGAGGAGTACTGACCAGAATCATCTGCAACTCTTAGTTGGCAGAGAGGACCACTATGGCGGGTAGCTCTTTTCTTTCCTGCCATTGTGGGGATGATTCCAGGCCAAAGATGATGGAGAAGTATGGAAATCATCTGAAAGGTTGAAGCTTGGCACGTGAAGCCATTCATGACTTTGTAAGGCAGTTTTGCTGAAGGCCAGTTCTGCCCTGGGAGGGACGGAGGTGAATCCTCCTGAGTACCTGTGGTTTTCTTACTTCCTGCTGAATTTACCTAAGTGCCTGTTGTTTGCTTGCTGTGGAGGCTTTCTGGTATTTCATTTCAGGTGCAGATGCCTTCACTTTCCCACAAAAAAAACCCCAACAAAACCTAAGACCTTACTGCAACTAAGTCTCCAAGTACTTTTTAACCCATTGGGATGAACAGCCTGTGGTCTGCTCAGATCACCCTGAGTGCGTGTGAGAAGGCCTGGGCTTTGCCAGGAAATCCAGGAAGGCAGGGCCGGGCTGTGTTGGAAGCTGGCTTAGCTGGTGGGGCAGCCTTATTTCAATTAAAAGGGCATTGACTGGGAGCAGCAGTCCTGGAGTTTGTTGCATTTCCTATTGCCCTCAAAATGAGAAACCAGGAAAATAGCAGATTGGAGCCTTCGAGAAGGCAGTAAATGGCTGTTTTTATTGACAAAAGGAAAACATTTTACTGCCATCTCACTGATGGCATCTCACTGACTTAAAATGAAGGCAGGTTGTAGTAAAAAAAAAAAAGTCTACATTTTTCCACCGCCACGTTCTTATATCCTTGTTTGTCAGCCACTGCTCACAAGGGCAGTGTTGTCTTGCGGAGTAGAGGCGCTCTCCTTCCCTCGTTTTCCTCTATAGGTTGGTGTGGCTGACCTGCTAGATCAAAGTGGAGGACCTGTTTAAGAATGTGTAAATTGAAGGCTGGGCGCAGTGGCTAACACCTGTAATCCTAGCATTTGGGGAGGCTGAGGCAGGAGGATCGCTTGAGTCCAGGAGCTCAAGACTGGCCTGGGCAACATGGTGAGACCTTGTTCATATAAAAAAATTTAAATAATTAGCTGGTTGTGGAGGCACGTGCCTATAGTCCCAGCACTTTGGGAGGCTGAGATGGGAGGATCCGCCTGAGCCTGGGGAGATGGAGGTTACAGTGAGCCGTGGTTGTGCCACTGCACTTCAGCCTGGGCGACATAATGAAATCCTGTCTGAGAAAAAAAAAAAAAGATTTTGTAACTAAGTTTTATGGCTAGCTTTGAGAAAGGAAAATAATAATAAAAAAAGAATGTGTAAATCACCTGCTGGATGGGGGGAAGAGGGGCACATTGTCTTTGTAGTGAGACTTCACTCATGTGATGTGCAGTATTTCATCTTAACATTTTTTTTTTAAACTTAAGCTACTTGTGAAGAGCTGAGATGTTTCTGTTAAGCACTGTGTGGTCTGCTGCTGGTCTTCTGCAGGCCACTGTTCCCCAGACTGCTAAGACGATCATGACACAGGCTTGCATTTTCAGGTGGACTCTTGGGAGGGGCTTGTGGACCCTGGAGGAGAAGGCAGCCAGGAGAGGGGCATCTGGCTTTGTGTTGTTGGTAGGAACTTGTCTCGGTTGCCCTGGAAGGCCTCTGCTCTGGTCAGCTGCTCCCAGTGTGGGGGTGATCTTTATTTAGAAGGGGGTCACATGCCCCCAGGCCTCATTGCTATGCCTTTTATAGTCAGGCGTGGAGCTCACATTCTCTTCTGCCTGATTGCCGACGCTTGTTGCCGAGATGGTGAAGCAGTTTGTGTGCAGGTTCCCTGGGACCTGGCTTAGCCCACCTCATTTCTTGGGGCGTGTGCCTTGTGCCTCAAAGACTTTGCTTTTGGCTAATTGTCATTAGTGATGGTGTCACCATCCTGGGCCTCCTTCAGAAGTTTTTAATAGGGATCTCGTCTAAGAGACCAAAAAGCTTTCAGAACCACTGACTTGTGGTGATTTTTGCATGCCAAGTATTTGGAAAATATCTGGAGCCCCTTCAGCTCTCACCAGTTAAACCTATTTGTACAATTGTTCTGGTTTCTTCCTGTGCTTGAAAAGCCTCTTTCTTTGTTGCGTTAATACCTCTGTCTTGCTTTCCTCATGTGTATGCCAGTGTGACATTCTCGGCAGAGTGGGGATGACGTGGAGCGTGTGGGCCCGTGGTTAATCTTGTCCTGAATTGCCTTGCTCAACTTGCGTGTATAGGGTGGTTCAAAAGTTAAGTTTGGCTGGTGGTGAAGTTGGAAGCATCACTTAGAAACACGCCTCCTTTGGGCATATGGTGTGAATCAGGGACTCTGGCTATAAAAGGTGGGGTCTCTGAGCACCATCCTGGTTGGAATGTTCCCCTGACTTGGAGGTAGCGAGAGACAGCCAAGGTGTTTGTTCCAGGGAGGCTGGTGGGTGGGAGATGGGATTTTTCTGTCTGTGGCACAGGCAGTATTAAGTAGAGCAGGCTGTTTAAATCACATTTTAAGTAAAAACCAAAGTGCACAGATGATCTGCAGAACTTCTGGGGGATAAGAAGCTGCTTTCCTCGAAGAAGTTCATCTCCAAACCAGCGCCCATGGCTCAGCAGCCAGCATGGCAGCCCCAGGGGTACATGGGACTTGGGCATGTGAGGCTGGTGAGGGACAGGGACAGCTGGGTCCAGCAGTGCCTTTCCTAGGGACGGTTGCCACGTCACCTGTCTGCCCTGTACTTCCATTTCCTTTCTTTGAACTCGGGGGGCTTGCATCGGACTACCTGTGCCGTTTCCTCAAACTCTAAAATTGAGTAAGTTACTGAGGGTTTCCGTGGTCTGCTCTGAGAAGATTTCTTGCTTCCTGATCTGCCTGTGTGTTCGTGTTGCTTGGTCTCTCTCTCTGTCTCTCTCTCTCTCCTCTTTGATCCTAGTACATACAGGCAAGGTATGCAGCATTTAAAATGTTCATAACTCATCAAATGGCACACTGATCATCATGTATAATTTGGGAATCAGGGTTTAAGAAATTTAGAGATCATTTATATGGAAGAAGGAACCCCAAGTAGAAACCCAAAATCTAGACCATTCTGGGTTCTAATCTGTACCTGCCACTGGCTAACATATGGCTTTAAGCTGGATGTTACAATGAGAGCTGGAGTTTCGTCTGATTGCACATAGCCTTGCTTTTCTGTCTTTGGAAAAGTAGCTCACTGTAGAGCCCTGGTAAACGTTTGAACTGCATTGCGGGAGTAGGCAGAAGAACAGAACAGTCCTTGGAGCTTGGTAGGAGGTGTGAGGGCTTATGGGGGACAGTTGTCTTTTCAAGTCAAGGAGGAATAAGGGCTTCTGGGGCCGGTGGAAAGGGTGAGTCTTAGGCAGGGAAGGTGACCATCCAGGTTAGATCACTTCTTCTGCGGGGTCAGCTTGGCCGCTGTTAGGTTTTCAGGATGTCATGGGGCTGGCCAGGCCTCACCCCTGATATCCCTGAGCATCTGTTCCTTACAATATTGTGGAGTCCGTGGGGGCAGAAGCTACCATCCTGTGCCTGCCCTCACTCTCAGTGTGACTGGTCTTCAGGATGTTTAGGTGGCTCCACATGCGGATGTACAGCTTTCCCCTGCTTGTTTTCCCCATGGCATATTAACAGCGAGATCTGCAAGAATACATCATTTTGTACAGAACAGGATGTATTTCTTTTAAACTACGTTCCTGTGTGGACAAGTGGTATCATATGCAAAGGTTTAAGGACCGTTGATGCCTTGAGATAGTGCCATCTGTTTGCCTCAGGTATGTGGTGCTAGGACAAAGCTGCCAGACCTCACCTTCCTTCAGTGAGACAGGAATAGGACAGTATTTGAAAAGCATCTAACATGTTTCCAAGCACATAGGTTTTTGGTAAATGGTGGCAGCTGCTGCTATTTTTTTTTTAAATTAAACTATCTAAGAGTTGCATTCTAAGACCATCTAAAATTCTGAGTCTTAAGCTGTGTTGACTATATATGTTCACTACCATAACTAAATGGTCCTTCTGTATTGCTTTTCTAAATTGTAGAATTTCAATTATTGTAAATAGCGGGCCATACTGTAGGTGTGGTTCTTGCTAATTTGATTCGTACTGTTCAAATTCTTGTGTCTGTCCAGATAAACTGTATCTTTACAGAACATTCAGCGAGGTACATATGTCTATATCGGGGTGCCAGTGGAGTCACCCTAGTCATATGTAAACTCTATTTATTTGGTTCCGAAACTGAATTTATTTTGTTTGCAAGTTTGGTATTTGGGAGCATTTAAGAAATATCCATAGATTCTTGTATGATACTGACATTAAATCATTAAATACCATATTTTTTAAATGCCTCTGTCTGTTTGCATGGATAACATTAAAGTGGTTAGAGTGGGCACAGTTATTGGTAAAGATTACAAAGATGTGCATTTTTATGACAACTTTAGGTCTCACATAGGTAGCCAACCATCTGCTCCAGGATGAAGCATGTGCCTGTTTATCCTCTTCTTTGGTAACGCTAGGTATATGTGTGCACACGTGCACGTGTGCGTGTGTGTTTGTGTATGTGCGTACCACTTTATTCTCCCACCCAGCCTCTTCTCCTGTTTTGTTTAGTTTCATTTTCCTCCTCTCACCCCCATTGCAGGAAACAAAC
The DNA here is from genome assembly GCF_000001405.40 of Homo sapiens. Taxonomy (NCBI): domain Eukaryota; kingdom Metazoa; phylum Chordata; class Mammalia; order Primates; family Hominidae; genus Homo; species Homo sapiens. Next base: position 98,718,077 of record NC_000015.10, read on the forward strand.
ACTGGCTCTCTGTCCTCCCTTAGGTCTTCCTTCCGTTCAAGGGGATCAGGTGGGTGGGAAAATGTTGTGCAGGAATGCCAGGCCTCTGCCCGAAGCCGGGCTTCTGTTTCATCTCATTATTGAACAGAAGTCGCTTTTTGTTTCTTTGCCTTGGTCACAAACAAGCGCCCAGTCCTCTCTTCTTTCTTCCTGCCATTTTTCCCAGAATCCATGTGGGATGGGAACAGAGGCAGCGTATTTAGGGACTGTCGGTTGCTTGATACCCATGGCCTTGTTTAGAGAAGCTGCACCCACTGCCCCAACGTGTAGCTGCATCTGATTTGTTTTTGCAAGTCCTAATGAAGGGACCTGGATGAAGTTAGTGAGGTTGCCGTTCCTGGGGTTAATGCAGAGTGGCCCATGGAGCTTAGCCACCCTTCATGCAGAAGGTGGGGCTGAGGGCAGCCAGTGTGACTGAGGCTCGCTGGCCCACCCTGAGCTGCTTGTGCCCATGGGGCCCCTGGGGAGGAGGGCCCAGCTGCAGTGCGCATACATCTGCCCTTGGCAGCAGATCTGTGAACCCAGGCTGCCATTCTGGATTTCCGGATAGATGCAAAGTGCTTGGACGTGTTTTAGCAGCTGCTGAGACCAGGAGTTGGGCTTAGTAGTAAAAAGGGGGAACAAAATAAAAGAAGATCAGGAGACAAAGAGCCTACAGTACAAAAAAGGAAAGACGAAGGTTGATATTATTAGAAATACTTCCTGGGCAGCCTTACTGTTTGAATTAGGATCACCCCCACCCCCACCTCCCAGAGGTATTAGTTGTAATGCAGAGACAAATGGAAACTAGTCAGATCCTTGGGTCCTAGAAAAGACCAGCTTTGTTCCTGGGGTGGTAACCTAGTACAACGTTTCCGTTCCTATTTCTTGACCTCTGAATGGCCCCTTCTGCTTTGCTAAGTAGATGATATTATTAGGTGCTTAGACTATTCTTCAGATAGGATGTAAGGATATATTTTTGTTCTCTTCCTCAGTGAACTTGAAATGATTGGATTATTTTGTAATACGTCGATACTACTTTTAGAAGCTTTTGAATAACTGTGTCAAAGAAGCTTTAGAAGAGGTTTTAAGCAGGATTGCAGAGAATGTACTGAGTGTGTTTTTCCACTCACAAGGAAAGACAGCAGCTGAATGCAGAAGTGTGTGTCTGGTTCTAACTCTTTATCACTTCAGGGACTGTCCAGGCAGCACCATCCGTTGGGTCTCCTGCCCTTCCTCCTCCCACCCCTGCCTTACCCCTGGCCATTCTTTTGTGACCAGTAGTCCTTTATGAATGGAATTCTGAGAATGTATAATTTTCTCAGAAGAATGCTTCTTTAGCTCACCAAATATTTCTTGTTTGCTGAGGGGGGAAAAAGATCCTCCTTGGAAAAGTCACTGGGTGCCAAAGGTGGGTGATGAGGAGAGATGAACTTCTGGGTGTGCCTAGCAAAGCTGTTTCTGTTGATAGGCGATTAACAAAACAGCCAAACTTGACCTAACAGACTGCCATTTTGAGAGGAATTTGTTTTGCAGGATTAATTGGCTTCGAGGTGTACTGGTGGCTGTGCAGTGATGACGGCTGTCGTGCCTCCTGTGTCTTCTGCTCATTGTGATGCAGGGCAAGTGCTTAGGCCTCAGACACAGGCTCCCTGAACTTCGTGTTCAGTGCTTTAGGGTGGGGGGACTTGAGACCCTTGACTTGACTCGGTCCCACTGGAAAGCTTCTGTTGCTTATTTGGGTAACCCCAACTCTATCTTATTGGGCGGTAGTGTTATCCTAATTCTTGGAAATACTCAGTGTAGAATAAAGAGCTGATGAAAATGTGTAAGAAGGGAGTAAGTGGTCATTAGAGAGAAATGGTAATTGGGATGATGCTCTGACCCCTTCAGCAAAAAATAAAAGGTGAATGGTTTATTATGAGCTAGTTCAGATTCTGTTTTTGGAAATGAGCTTGGTTATACATAGTGCATTTGAAAAGCGTGAAGCATGGACTTTCAGATGCCAGCTCCTCAGCCTCCTGTAACTCCAGTCGCAAAATCCCTCCAGTGTATCTAAATAAATGCAAACTCATCAGTGCCTTACCATTATAAAGCTGGGCTGGAGAGGCAGGTGGCCTGGAGAATCAAATGACAAGAAGTATAGGGAGCAGCCCAGCTTCATGATCGGGGGAATTTGCATGAAAATTGTGTACACTTAAGCACCATTGTCTATTGCAGAAAGCACGATCTGGCCTCTTCTACTGACTTTCCTTCCAGCTCTGAGATTCAGTTTTGAAGACAAGGTTGTTGGGGACCTCGGATAGATCTGTTGGCCGTGGCTTTCAGTAAACACTACTAGAGACTGAGGACATGTTCTAGACTTGGAATGGTATGAAGCAGTCGAACTTTTTAGGATGGGCCCTACCCTTAGGGACTGCCTACGAAACTAGATCTAGAAGAGGAGGCTGTGGACATTAGGAGGTGGCTGCAATTGGAAAGTTCCAGAGAGCTTACTGAGGGATAACGGATGTAGGACAGGAGGCTGGCAAAGCACCTCAGTGATAGGGCAGAAGGAAATAAAGTGGTTAGGGAAGGAGTTGAGAGCAGGAAATTCAGGTAGGATTGATGTTAAGTCTTAGATCTTTGAAGTGACTTTCTCTGGTCTGGCTTTTGCTGTTACCAAAGTGAATTATTCATAAGTGCATATGAGAAATGCTGATGTAACTCGATTATGTGGAATGAATTTAAATTCATTTAAGTCATTCTTTTCCACTAAAGTAAGCTTTCCCTCATCCAGAATCTGAGCAGCCCGATAGCCAAGCAGGAGTTTCCTTGTGCCATGGCCAGTGATTGATGTCTTCTTCTATGATGCTGCTGAAATGCTGGGGACTCTGAAGCGCAGCTGGAGTGATCAAAGCAAAATTAAAATACTTTCTCAGTGGTTTGGGAGTTGGGTGCGTTCTGCTGTATTTTTTGGTTTTCGGCATCTGGGTTTGGTGTGCATGCATGGTGAGCTCTAGCTGGAGCAGACGTTACCTACTGAGGCTACGCTCTTCGTGGTTTCTCCTTAACCATCACCCACTTGATCTTCCATGAAGCCCCCCAAATCTTCCTTACTGAGGACTCTTGCTTCCAGGTTGCTTTTGTGCTCATCCATTGCTGGGTTATTTGGTCAGTGATGATGGTTTCTCTGTACTTTTTATCAGTAGGTTCAGAGGACCTTGTTTACTCCTCATTCATCTCTCTCCCCAAACAGTTGAGAAACCACTTGTGGGTTAGGACTCATGCTTTGTTTATAATGTTTGATTCTCCAACCTCACAGCTAATGGGAAGCCCGTGGAGGAGATACTCTGTAAAAATCCATCTCCCATGTGGGCTTGACCCCACTTAGTGTCTGAGTGGTTTGGTCCTCATAGTTCTCTTGGGGGAGGAGGAAGGGAAGGAGGAGGAGGTGGCGATGGCAGTGGCAGCAGTGGTGGCATCTTGGACCAGAGTGAGAAATCTTGGACCAGAGACAAAAGAGGTCTTCTCTCAGGGTAGTGCACCATGAGAGGGAGCACCTGTTTACATTTTGTATCCTGGACACCAATCTTGCCTTGCTCTGGTGCTGGCCCTGAGAGGTGCAGGAATTTTATAAAGAGATTTACAAAACATTTTTGGATGACCAAATTGGTCCCTGGTTCTAGCTGGAATGAATAAACAAACTAAATAACAGTAGAGTGTGAGAGTAAGTGTGTGTGCTAGAGAATGTGTGCACATGTATGGCCTAGGTGAGTTCTTCACTTTGCTGACTTGTGAATTATTTGGGGTCCTATGGTCCTCCCCATCATTCTTATTCATGTCAGTCCACCATCATTAAGGAAGTGGAAGCGAACACATTGTGTACATATCACTCCCATAGAGAGGGAGACTGGGGAAGAGGTTTGAGTTATAAGTCGCACCTAGGTTAGGTCTGGATGTGTCTTTGCAGGTTTCCTTGCTAGTTCCTTGGCCAGAGTTTCCATCGTGTCCCTCAGCTGCACAATTAAGGTGCCCCCGTTTTGTGCAAGTCTCATGCTAGGCAGTATGAGATGACACAAACTAGGATTCTGTTGTGAGATAAGATAAAAACACTTGACATTTAAAAGAGAGAGACAACTTATGCGGTGTGACGAGACACTCTACGACTTTTGCCAGAAGAGAAATAGAGGCAACAAGTGCTAGGAGCTCAGAGGAGGGTAAGTTCCACATTTGGAACTTTGGATTAAAAGAATATTTGGGTCTGGTTGAAATCGAGGCCTTTCATGAGAAATGTCCACACTTGCTCAGTACTGTTTGCCGAACACTGTATACAAGGCCCTCGACTCGTGAATGAGTTGTAATGCAAAACTTTGCCAGGCATTTGGAATGTGGAGTATACTATTTTGTAAAGATGAGGTCTGAATGGTGGTTTAGGTCCCAGGCCAGTGTCCCTCTGCCCCCCACCTCCATATGTGCCCTCAAGCCGGTTTGGCTTAGACATTATTTATCTCTGACTACTGTGTACAGCTTAGTTCCATGGGGAGGAAAAGGCTTGATGAACCCTACCCTGGAAGGCTGGTGGCTCTGTTTTCTGATGGATGAGGTAGGAGTGGTGGAAAGCTGGTAGTTTCTACTTTGTGCCTGTTTAAAAAGCCCCCTCTGAGGCCTTAGCACTTAACAGATGTTCAGGATTGGGGGAATAAAGGAGCTGCCTTTGCAGAGGTCTGTGGGCATGCAGTGGGTGAGAGAGCAGGCACTGAGTGCCCCGAGTTTCCTGCCTGTGTGGGCAGGAGGATTCTCAGTGGAATCAGGAGCATCTCCGCCTGGTGCTGGAGGAGGTGTGGAGTTGAAGGTGGGATTCTTCCTCTTGAAGGACTTGAATGAGTTTCTGTGTGGCTGAACAGAAACTGGTTCAACACCCATGTCATGATTTTTGTGAAGCGAGGACTTGGGGTCCCAAGTCTAGGTTTTAGGTTCCCTGCTGTAACCCGTGGCCACCGAGAGAGAGTTTTATGATAAAATGTCAGCAAAGTACCTGACAACGTCTCACGCTAGAATGAGTTTCGTACATGTTTAGTTCCCTCTCTTTTTATTCCACGCTCCCCCACCCCAACTTTAAATCAGAAACGTGAGGGTGCTGATTGAAGCTTTTTATAACTTTTCTTATTGAGAATTGTTCTCTGGAGTTGTCTCCAAGAACAAAGGAATTCCAGACGTTCTTCTTCTCTCCTTGTCTCTTCTGTCCTCCAGTCAAAGAAAAACTCTGCATATGATCTTTGGCCTGGAGAAATATTAAATCTATGTTAAGTATGCAGACATGAATGGGCAAATGAAGGATTTGTGGCAAAGAAGATCTGCCGAAACAAATAAGTCATGTAAATGGGCAGAGGGAAATATTAAATTGATTGCATCTTTCAGCTCCTGGTACTTAATGCAAAGATAAAGTAGTGGGAAAAGGTTGTCATTTGAAATAATGGAAAGATGAGGGAGTTTTGAAGCTAGCTGGGATTTTTCTGCCTGTTAATAGAGTGACTTGGATTACAGACTATAAAGATAAAGAGTAGGGCCGTTGCATTTAGTATGGATCATGATGCTGATTGCTGTCTGAGCAACCTCTGTACTAAGGGAGGAGAAGCTAACATCCCCGGGCCTGGAAGATACTGGATACTAGCTCATTAAACTCTTGTGAGAAGCCTTCATTAGCATTATGGGAAGACTTGCTGTATCTATATTATGAAGGCATTTAGATTTTTTTTTAAATGCATGTTCTTAACATTTTTTGTTTATTAAGTGGGGCAGTAGATTAGGACTGAATGGATTTGATTCTCTCATCCTACATAGTGTGCCCAGAAGCCAGAAGGTTTCCCAGAATTTGTATTATGGCAGCGAGGGCAAATTTAATTAGCAGATAGGAAAAGCTTTGGAGCAGTTTAGGCCAATCCATTTAATTGTATCAGCAATTAATATTTTGAGAAAATGGAAATAATTAAATTTACATTTCTTCTAGGACTTTATTTTGTTATCCTTTAAGGTTATTGTAAATGAGGAGACTTTTGAACTCACAGACTAAAGCAAACTACACCAGATAATCATTAACTTTTTCTATTGTGTGCCACCCTTCCCAACCAGATTGTTCCATAGTATCACTTATGAACCAAGAACCTGTGAGCTTGCAAAACGCATTTTTAAGGAGTCTCAACTTTTCTGATTTGTGTTAAAGTTTAGGTGTGGGTCCCAGAAATGAGTTTCATGGAGGGGAGAGGTTGTCTCTCTGGGTGGGTAATACAGGGGCCACTGGGGGCTCACTGTGGCTTTCTGGCACAGACATTTATGAAGCAGGGGTGACTAAAGTGGGAGAGAGCAGCCAGTTCTCCAGCAGCCCCAGTGAGAGCTCTCATGGATCTGCCTATTGCACTGGGGTAGGAGCCATCACCGTCAGCTTTTCTCTGGCCCACAGTGCCATTTTCTGATTAAGCTGAGACCTCTGTAATAGACACGTTGTCATTTTTTCTTGTGTCTAAAAGTTTGCTTGACTGCAGTGGGTCTCCAGCTCAGAGCAGGTCTGGCTAGAGAAAACAGGAGGTGATGACTGGAGCACTTTGCCCTTATGGAACGTGCTCTGATGTAGAAAGCAAGAGGATTTTCCTTGCAGTCACTGAAGGTACCTTGTGTACACAGAAAGAAGACAGAGGGAGCCCCGGATGCCTCGGTATCCCTCAGAGCCGGATCCTTCAGACCTGTGCAGTACCTGTGGATTTGGTTAGTCGATGATGCGCTGCCATTAAAACAAAGGCATCGGCCCTGGAATAGAGAAGTTCAGTGAGAACCTCTGTACTCCATGGGCATTTTCTAGGAAATAATTTCACCTGCCCTGTGTAATTCTCTGGAAGAATCACAGTGAGTTGGAAGGAAACTTAAGACTTGGAAAAGGATTGAGAGGTTAGCCCAGACCACACCAGGGCTCTGAAGGCCCAGCTGGGGTTAGAACCTGGGACACCCTCCAGCCCACTGTCTCCTGTTCCCTGGCCATTTACTGCCCCACTCCCCTTTCTACTCTCAGGGGCCCTGGATCTAATGAGGGGATTCGTGCAGTTTGCTGCACTAATACATTGCAAGTGGTGCCAACCTAAAGGTATTCTGATGGTGGAATCAGAGCAGTAGCATCTTATTAGGTCAGAATCTGTATCTCCTCTTCCAAGATTTTTACATGATTTAGTGTTTTCTGAATTGGAAAAAAACAAAAACAAAAACACACAAAAAAACCATGTCTAAATCCTAGCATTTCATCCCATGTTGATGAAAGGGCATCTTTTTTTTCCCCTAATCTGTGGTTAGAACTCTCAGAAACTTTTAGAAGATCCCTCCTATGTTTTGGAGGTTTGCAGATTTGAACCCCAGTTCCTCCCACAGTGCTTCTCCAACTCCTGGAATGAGGTAAACCTCCAGGCAGCCTGTTGACCCAACCCATGCATGCCGGTCTTTGGGACTCCTAGATGTGGACCCTGGAGTGAATAGGGATCAGGTGGGAAATGAGTTCCTTTGATCAAGATCCTTGTACCAGTGAACTGACCCCACTCCCCGTCTGGATTCCTGTGGTGATTACCCTCTGTATTAGTCTGTTTTCATGCTGCTGATAAAGACGTACCCAAGACTGTGAAGAAAAAGAGGTTTTAATTGGACTTACAATTCCACATGGCTGGGGAGGCCTCAGAATCATGGCAGGAGGCAAAAGGTACTTCTTACATGGTGGCAGCAAGAGAAAATGTGGAAGAAGCAAAAGTGGAAACCCTGATAAACCCATCAGATCTCGTCAGACTTATTCACTATCATGAGAATAGCACGGGAAAGACCAGCCCTCATGATTCAATTACCTCACCTGGGTCCTTCCCATAACACATGAAAATTCTGGGAGACACAATTCAAGTTGAGATTTGGGCGGGGACACAGCCAAATCATATCACCCTCTTAGCAAGGACTGTGTTCGTGATCATGACTGGCATTCACTGAACAATGACTAGGTGCCAGGCACCTCGCCAGTATTCTTTAATCTTTGCACAGTCTGTAGGGTGGATATGGATATTACTGTTCCATTTTTTGTGGAAGAGGAAATGGAGGCAAGAGACCTGATTATAACTTGTGCAAGGTGCCATGCAGCTAAGCAGCCAGCCCAAATCCAGACCTGCTTTCCTATGATTTTCCTGCCCATTACTCTCCCATCGTAGCTCACCTAATACTTCCTAGTGGGCTGCTGCTGAACACACACCCAGGGATGACTTAGTGGCTTGTCTTGCTCTGAAGAAGGCTAGGCACCATGTTGGATGAGTTCTTGAAGATGTCTTGCTCTAGTCAAGAAACTTTTAAATCTTTGGAGTTTTTGTCCACATCTGCCTAGTTCTTAGTAAACATGATGTGGGTTCTATTAGCATGGCGCCCTCCCTCCCTTCCTACCACCTTTATATGAGCGGAGAACATCTATGACTCTTATGAGAAAGGAAAGATGAAAATCAGAGTGACATAGTATAGTTAAATTGCAGATGCTTAATTATAAAACAGCTTGTTTCTGAATTTTAATTCCTTGCTTTTCTCTGACTTTTTAAATTCCCCTCCTTAGGCAGAATTCATTTTTACATTGATGATTTTTTTTTTTTTTTTTTTTTTTTGAGATAGAGTCTTGCTCTTGTCACCCCGGCTGGAGTGCAATGGTGTGATCTTGGCTCACTGCAACTTCCGCCTCCCGGGTTCAGGCAATTCTCCTGCCTCAGCCTCCTGAGTAGCTGGGATTACAGGCATCTGTCACCATGCCCGGCTAATTTTTTGTATTTTTAGTAGAGATGGGGTTTCACCATGTTGGCCAGGCAGGTCTCGAACTCCTGACCTCAGGTGATCCACCCACCTTGGCCTCCCAAAGTGCTGGGATTCTAGGTGTGAGCCGCCACACCTGGCCTGATGAATTATTTTCATGTGTGGAACAAAACTTTGATGCTGATCAGTGATTAGGTACCTTTGTTTGGTTCATTTTTAACTAAGGAGATTTCTTTCTTTTTAAAACCATTCTTTAATCTTGTAAAAATATCATTTAATGGGTGGATGTTTTAGCTGTGATGAATGACAGGTTGTCGTAAAGGAAGAAAGGTATGTGGTTTCCAGTAAACTTTTAATTCTTTTGCAAAATAAAAATAACAGTCGTACAGAGAGTAAAATATATGAAGAGTCAGGAAGTGATTTATCAAAATCAGATCTTGGACTGCTGGTTTTACCATGAATTAGGCTCTTGGAAAGTGATTGGGCCAGTGTAGGTTTACATTTTTTTTTTCTTGTTTTATTTGTCAAAGCAAACTTGTGGTTGCCTGCCCGTAGTTTAATTCTGCCTCCTTTGGGCAAACAACCGACTTTTACTGGGAGTCTTTCTCAGGGAGATAAAGGTGCACCCTGAAACTCTGCTCTCTGATTCCTCAGCAAAGTCAGTCCTGAGTATGGGGCTTGGGTGTCTCTGCAAGGCCTTGCAAGTGAGATGGGCTGTCACCTGAGCTCAGGTGGGGCTGCTCCTGCCTTGGACAGCCTCCCCAGCTTCTCCTGCATTATACCCAGGGGCTGGAGGGCAGAGAGCAGGTCTTCTTCTGCTGGTCGGGGCAGTCACAGGCTTTCCTCTCGGCCTGCTTGTCCTCCGGGTGGGTCCAGCACCCGCTGGGATTCCTGTGGGCTTAGTCACTGTGTGGCGGCGGCAGAAGGACTGGGGAAACCGCCGGCCGGCCCTGGTGCGCTGTCACCCCGAAGGAATGCGGGCCAGGCCGGGGCTGCTGGGCCTGGAAAGTTCTCCAGTCCCTGTTGCAGATCTGGCCTGCCGACTCAAAGTAAATCTCTCTTCCCCTTTATTTCCCATCAAATAAAAAAGGAACACGAGGTAGCCACTGTACTCACTGAAGATGCATTGTTTTTTTTTTTTTTTTTTTTTTAAGCGAGCAGCAGCAAGATTTATTGTGAAGAGTGAAAGAACAAAGCTTCCACAGCATGGAAAGGGACCCAAGCGGGTTGCCCTGAAGATGCATTTTTTAACTTGCTTTTTAACTAAGTATTTTTGCTCTGAGCTTTCCTGGATCTGTAAACACACCCCCAGCTATTCAAGATGGGCTTCTTGGTGAAAAGTGATGTGTCCTAGGAGAAATCACGCCTGTTGTTGCCGCTGGCCATCACAGATCCCGGTGCCTGTCTGTGAAAGGCTGGCCGGGCTGGGTGGGGATGAGAATGGTCGGGTTGTCTAGACTCAGCCTGGACTGTCTTTGACTGGAGGGGCCTGAGCTCCTCCTCCACTGCTCAAGACCCCGGTTAAGGGGACAGCAGAGCAGGGATGAGAAGTGGCCCTCTTCACATCACCTCCCAGCAAGAGGGCCTGACTTAGTGCTCCCACCATTGCCAGCCCCAGTTTCAGGGTCCCACTCAGTTGTATTTGAATAGGTCTCATGACATGTGCTTTGCTTGAAGAGCGGCTATTAGCAGCAGACGTTCAAGAGGCTGAGCTCAAGCAGGTGAGCATGTTCTGAGCCATTGTGAACCCAGTGAGGTGCCTATGCTGATGCCCAGGGCCGCCTGGGCGGGGTCAGGCCCCCATCGCTTCTTCATCCTAGCTCTGGGAGTGCATTCTGCACTCTCCCGAGGCCAGCTGGTGGCCTTTGGTGATCACCCTCTCTGTAAGTTTTTAAGTGGCTTCCTTTCCTCTGGTGGAGAAGCCAGCACCTTTATCCTATGACAAGAAAGCTCTTTGTAGTAGGTGGTAGTAGAATCAGACAGATCTGGCTTAAAATCTTGGCTGTGCTACCTCTTGGCTCTGCACATTGGTGAAGAGAATTTACCTTCCTAAGGCCTCTCAGCTACACGACTGTGGACACTCAGCTTCCTTCTAAGGTCGTTGTGAGAGGTAAAGAAAAGGGGTTAGTCCAGGGCCAGACATGGCACAATGCCTCAATGAAATATTAGCTGATACTATCATAATTTTTAAATTCCCATAGGACTCACTGTTAAAGGATTACAAGGCTGACACAAAAAATACTGCATTTTGAATTTGTGTCTGATTTATACATTTCCAAAGAGTGGAATTCTCACTACAACAGCTGTTCTTTGAAAGGTTAGATCTTTGTTCTGAGATAAATTAAGTGGAAAAAGGTGTAGAGCATTATATGTACTCTGATTCTTCAGGGCTTAATTTAAAAAGAGCATGTTTGCTGGTGAATGCTGGTTCAATCATTAAGAAGTTTTTGAGAAGGAATCCCAGAAAGTAATAAGCACTTATTTTTCATGGAAAGGAACCGGAAGTGCTTGGTGACCTCCACAGGTAATCTTGTATTATTTTTGCACTGTTTGGAATTTTTTAACCATGTGCTTTTATTTCTTCTATTCTTTTCAAAGGTCAGTAGGTGTTATCTGGACAATAGGGTTCTGGTCTGTTTTCTGTTTTCTTCATTGTACTGTGCATTAAGAAAAACCCTAATGTGCTTTTTTTTTTTTTTAAGTGAACCTTTCCACATCTCATTGTCCTTCAGTGAGAGCAGGCTGTGTGTGTGGTCTTGGTGAACTGTCCCGTTCCCTGGAGACAGTATCTGGGGGCCTCCCTGCCCTTCCCAGTAAGAGCTGGGCCTTCACAGGAATAGAGGCCTAGGATTCGCCTTCATCCTCTTGAAGAGCCCTAACAGTAGGTCCTGGCTGGGGTCTGGCATAGAATGCCCTTGGCACGATGTGTGTGAGTGTGTCTTTCCTTAGTAAATGGCCTTGAAAATGCCATGTGCTTCTGGCAGGCCTGGATAAGGTTTGCCCTGCATAACCCTTGGAAAGCACAGTTCTCACTTGTAACACCCTGTCTGCAGGTCCATGATATTGTAATTAAAAAGTTATGGGATCACAAGGGCCTATTTAAAGGGCATCTGGTCTAAAGGCACAGTTAAAAGCAGAATTTGTGTCAGTGGCTCCCTTAATTTCTCAAATATGGTTCTGTTTCTAAATTCATCCCACTGGATGTCTGTGTTGAGTTTTCTGTTGATGAAAGAATGTTTAAAAATGAGGCAGATCCAAATTCTAATGTCTGAGTGTACCACTGCTTAATTACTTTGGGCAGGTCACCTCACCTCTCTTGGAAAGAAAGGTGATATACTACATCTGTGATTTTCAATTTTTTTTTTTTTAACTAGACCCACAGTAAAACATAGATATACACCATGATCCCAGGACAGAATAAGTATATAACTAAAATAAGTGTTTTGAAATCACTTCTTGTCTGACACAGCACTCACGCTTTCTATTCATGTAGTACCACGATACTTTCTTCTATTCTAATGCTGGTAAGAGATGCCTTAAACTGATTTTGAGAACTACCAATGGGTAGCAGCTAGCGGCTTAAAAAGGATGTTATTAAGGTCCTTTTCACCCTGATTTTGACTCTGTTGGCTCTCAGCTGAGTGCCCCATACTTAGTGCACATAGAGTTGGCCTCTGAGGTCAGCCTCCTGTTTTCCTGTGAAAATGAGGATGGAAGAGAGTCACTTGTTTCCCTCCTTCATGGCTACCCCCTGAGGACTGGGAAGAATTTAAGAATTTGAGTATATGTTCCCAATAGCATGATGTGTTTCATTGTTCATCTGTAAGCATTTTTAAATATTCGAGATCTGTATCTTGGGTAATTTTTATCAACTTTTTATTTGTAAAATAATTTCAAGTCAGTTATTAAAGTAACAAAAATAATGGCAAACTTGATACCTTCCCGTATTTTTTTTTCATATTTTTCCTTGAATGCTTACAGAAATATTAAAGAATATTATCACATCATTGTAGTCACCGATGAATTATTTTCTGGTGGCTTATGATTAGAAGAGCTTGACTCGGAGTGGAAACAGATAACATTTGAGTGCTCTTTCTGTTAATTCATCCTTGTCAATAACCCCATTAGCTAACTTCCAGCAAGGCTGTGTTAGGAATGTGGAATCAATTAGATGAATTTTGAAAATAACTTGGTCTGTTCTAAAAGGCCCTATGAGATCCAAACTGTTGTGGCCTGGTGCCTGGTAACTTTGATGGCCATTTTGAAATGTTACCGTAGTGATAATTCTTCTGGAATCTCAAGTCATTAAAAGTGATATGGCTAACTCTGGGCCCTGTGCTATAAAAATAGATGTCATGGGATGTGTGAATCCTTTCTTCAGTGTTATAGTTAATAGCAACTGAAGGAACGTTTTGGTCAAATCCCGAATACTTATTAGGGGCTCACTGCTTGGCTGCATTTTTCTCCTCTGCGTAAATCATCTATCCATGTAATTATTAACCCCTAAGAATGAATAGCATTTTTAAAAGGGTTCCATTTTCCCCTCATATGACTTTGGTTCATTCTCCTCCTTGTTTCTGTCTCTCAGTGAACTTTCCAAAAGATGGGTTATGATGAAAGGTGAATCGTCGTTGATAACTGCTCTTACTTATCTGTGTATCGAAACTGCAGGTAGTGCTCTTCAGCTCTGTGGCTGGATTTAGTGCCTCTTCTAGGGAGGGGTGGGTGTTGGCACAAAGCGTATCCCATTTCCCTGAATGTCGTGTGGACACGTGAGAGGACAGTGCACCCTTTGGGCTTGGTGCTGCCCCCTTCACGCTACTGAACCCCAGGGTCATAATTAAAAGCTGTGTTAGCTCTTCTCTGGTTAGAGGCATACAGGTTGGAGGCTTGTACATAGCCGTGAGCCGGTTGGTCTAGGCCAGGAAGCAAACCATTGGAAAATGTGGTTAGCAGTGACAGTTGACAGCATGTTTGCCTGCAGTAGTGGTGGTTGGTGCTGCGTGTTGACTGGAGTTGCTTGCATTGGGAGAGCCTGACTTGGCCAAGTGTGTAGCTTGAGACCAGTTGGATTCCTCTCAGAGAGACAGTCTTCACCCCCAAGCTCTGGGTGTTGGGCGTGCAGCATTCGTATTCAGCAAACATTTGCTGATTTCCGCCTCTGCAACTACTGAGCTCAGCTTTGGGGATCTGAAGATGAATAGACACAGCCACACTTCTGGGGAAATCTCCCTGTGGGGAGGCTGACATGGAAACCAACCAAATGGGAGTGTGGTGCATATCTTATTAGAGCTTTGTGCAAAGTGCCACAGGAAGCAGGAGAAGGGGTAGATTGGTGTGGAGGGGGCAGGGGAAGACTTGCCTAGGAGCAGGGCCTCGCAGGATGCAGAGGAGTTTGCCAAGTACCAGAGATTGTGGGGTAGGTGAATAAAGGCTGAGTATAAGGATAAGTCAATTCAGGCAGATGTCCTCTAAGAATGAAGGTGAGAATGCTGGCGGAAACCAGTTGTGGCCCTGTCTGCCTTCCCTAGGAGACTGGACCTGACTTTACAGGCAGTGACGGTGAAGCAGGGCAGTGCCACGAGCAGATCTGTGTTTCCTGAAGGGTCTCTGGCAGCTGTCTGGGGAAGGAGGGAAGCTGGCAGAGCCGTGGGTGGAGGCAGATGCCATTGCTATGGAGTGAGCATGGGGAAGGGGGTCGGAGGCCTTTTGGAGATAGATACAGCAAGACTTGGTGAAGGATGAAGTTGGGGCAGGTAGAGGAAAAGCAATGAGCTTACGGATGACTGGAGACTGACTGGAGAAGATGACCACCCTTGCCATTAACTAGGATAGGAAACAACAAAGGGTAGGAGTTTGACAGGGGAGAATGTTTGTGCTGTTGAGTTGTTGAGTTTAGGTGCTTGTGGCACGAGCAAGGGGAGTGAGCTGGTCTAGGAGGTTTTTGGAAACACTGACCTGGCTGCAGAGAGGGAGATCCTGGGACACCTGTTTTGGGAGTTATCCCAGTGGGGAAGGATCACTGGGAAGGGGGCCACCCCTTTGGGAGGGGTCAGTGGGACGACTCCCAAGGGAAGAGGTTGGTTATAGGGAGTTAAAAGAAAGGAGCACCCCTCACGCGAGCCCATTTTTCAAGGATACATGTTTGTCTTTTAGATTCTATAAGGAGTAGCTGCTACACAGAAAGATGTCTACGTGTGGGTGAACACCTGGCGTATCCCATGCAGGGAGGCTTCAGCAGACCTTGGTGGCGATGGAACCACCACAGTGATCCGAGGATTGGGTCTGAAGGCTCCTCCGAGTCTCCAATAAAAGGGGTTGTTTTGAAGGGCTCAGGTTCTTCCTGGGCTTTTTTGGGACAGTCTTGCTCTGTTGCCCAGGCTGGAGTGCAGTAGAGGCAATCATGGCTTATTGCAGCCTCAGCCTCCTGCCTCTGGGCTCAAGTGATCCTTCTGCCTCAGCCTCCTGCGTGGTTGGGACTATAGGTGCATACCCCCATGCCTGGCTAATTTTTAATAGAGATGGGGTCTTGGGCTCAAGTTATCCTCCCACCTCAGTCTCCCAAAGCGCTAGGATTACAGACATGAGCCACTGTACCTGGCTGAGAAGGTTTTTTTTTTTTCCCCCTTCCAAACCCCCATGTGGTCCAGACGAGGCCAGAGGATCTCAGGGGAATTCCCTCTCCGAGGAGCCTCCACTGCTATTGCATGGCCCCCAGCATAGTCATTTGAGTGAAGAGCCCTCCAAAATCATTAAGCTGATTTGTAGAATCAGTTTGCTGTCTGACTACCTGATGAAGATGAGAAGTGGTAGACCTCCCCCCACTGTAAGGTCTTAACAAGATCTAGGTGGAACATGGGACTGTTTGCAAGCTACTTCTGTTTCTGAAATCACATGCTTGGGATCCCAAATAATCTACTGAAAGCTGTCTTCGGGAGGCAAAGCCCAGGGATTTGTTTTGTTTGCCCCTAATCATCTCTTCCATCCCCTTTCTCAAAAGTCTTATATCTAGATAATTTAGTACATTTGATCTACTAACAGCCAGGGCCATAACAGGAGCTGATATTACATACCCCGGAAGTCCTTTGCAAACACACTGTAGTGGCGATTGATTAGTGTTCCGAGCCATAGGTAACATTAGCCTGCCTCGTAGGACCCTCAGATGCTGACCGTATCTGCTGCAATTCTTAGATGTAAAAGAGCGCGCATCGTATAAATCAAAACTAGATGATTATTTTCATTTGAAATTGTTGTTGCACTGTAATTTCTCAGGGTTTTGTATTTTCCAACAGTGGTGTCACTTAATGGGAAGATCGCTCAGGCTTTGTAACTGGGCATAATACCAGGTATTCTCGTTTAGGCATTCTGCTCAGTAGTATTAACCTGAAGCCATAGGACATGCCAATGTTTTTTTCCGTGTTTTTTAAAAAAATTAAAATGGTTGGCTACAAATGCATCCTTTTTTACTTCAGAGTAAGTCGGCCTTGGTTAAGTCTTAATATTTCTCATGCCTATTTTTTTTTCTTCAAATGAAAACATACGGAGAGAAAATAGCATGTTTATGCCTTTTGGTTGTACCCAGCACTGCCCAGAATGGCTTACAGAGTTTATACCCATGGAGGTTTCGTAAAGGTGACATTAACTTCGCAGTAAAGTCACTGACCCCGAACCTGTGTCACTTCAGGCTTAGCCAAATGCTAACAGAGCAGCTCAAAGCTTAAGCAGAGGTATGTGCTTGCTAAGTAAGTGTGTGTTTTGGACTAATTGGTGACTACCATTCTGAACATTAACTGCCCTTTGTGTTTTAATGTTGCCAGGAGGCCGATTGTGTAACCTTTGGAGGCTTCCCTGAGTTTGGAGAACTGAATTCATGTGGTGACTTCCTATTTATAATGTCTTTGGGGGAGCTATGAAATAACTTTTCTTCTAAGTGTGATTTTTGCTTTTTTAAAAGTTTTTATGTTGTTGTCAATTGGGTATTTCCCTTCTATGCCAAGACGAATTGTAGGTTCAGGTTTCTATGCAGCCTGTATGTAAACACTGGCCCTAAAGAAGGACTCTATCACTCTACTTTCAGTTTCTTGCATTAAAACAAGTATGGGTAGCGGTATCCTTCTTATTTCTGCTTCCTGGTCCTGTGTGAGACCCTGAAAGGTCCTAATGGCAGTGCTGATTAGATTGTGGCCAGGGTTCACCCACAAGTTCCGAAGCTGGGGAAGGTGGAAGTGCTGTTAACTGACTTGTCCCATGTCTGGGGTTTTGCAGCCTGGGGAGAGGTGACCACCCCTCGTTTCAGTCCAGGTAGGGTTTTATGTCCCTGTCAAAAATGTGTTGTGTGAAGTACCTTGACTTTCATTTCCCAGGGAAGAAAGCCCGTTTCAATTGGCTCAAGCGGAAAAGAGCACTGTGGGTCCACTTAATGGAAGAGTCTAAGAGTGGCTTCAGGAAGTCCACTGGGGGCTCCCCGTGACTCTGCCCACCTGCATATTGTCTTCATTCTAAGGATCCAGGTGGTAGCAAAAGGGTTGTTACAACTTTAACCCTGCATCCCCACCTTCAGGTTCAGTACCCAAGGGTGAGCAATCTGTTCCAGTGGCACAGACCTGTTTCAAGAGGTCTCTAGCCGTGATAGTGCTAGGCCACTGCCCTCCACCAGTGTGTTCCAGAGAAAGATGCTCTGATGTGCCAGCCCAGGCCATGAGGTTCCCGGCCTCAGTAAGGAAGAAGGAGGACAAGGTGGTCCCTTAGGAGAAAATGTGGATATTCAAGAAAGAGGGTCGCAAAATAGCAAACACCCACTATGGCTGGGCAGTACAGGGTTGCAGAAATATATTTTGATGTGTGATCGCATTGGAGCTACTTCAAAGAGCAAACACACCACTTTGATTTATTTCTCTTAGTGATACAGTATTTAGAGAGGGAGATACTTTTTATCTTCGTGGGATACTTACAGTGGTGCTCTAGAAGCCATGTACTGCTTCTGGCTTCTCCTTCCTTTCCTCCAAGGCTCCTCCTGCCTCCTCCCAAAGCTCTGTGCCCTGAAAGAGCCTTGAGCCATTGCTCAGATGTCAAAATTGTATTAAGCAGACACATCAAATTAAAACTTTTGGGATCACTCACCAATATGGTTTCCTGTACAGTACTGCCCTGAGGGGGGATTACAAGTAGTTATGCATCCATTTCATTGATGTATCATTTTTATTAAAAAGAAAAACAATCCAACCAAGAGAGGAAGTGTAGCCAGCTGCCTAAAGAGTGGCGATGATGGGAGATGATATTTTGATTACATTAATCCATATCCTGTTAGTTCACTTTGCTTCTGTCGCTGCTGCTGGTGAAGTTACTAATGTGAACTAATTACATTTGCTCTGAAAAGCCAGAATTTTTAATGCATCTCAGCAAGAAAGGTTAATATTATCAATTTAACAGCATGAATGAAACATTGTGTGTATTGAACTTGAACTGTCCTAAAAGCTTGGATAATAAAAACCCAGTGGCTTCTTTTATAACTCACTGGATAAACAGTTATTGGTGAGACATGGATAAGGCTTTCTTCTCTTTCAGTTTTATGGGGGGTGGTAGGCAGTCAGCATTAGATGCTGTCTGTTTACAGGGTGATATCGTAACTTCGTGAAATTGGAGGCCACATTTAAAAAGGCACTCCTTCCTTTTAAAAGCTTTGCAAGGGGGCTGCATATATTTTCCTAATTAGTGGGAATATTTTCTTTTTTCTTTTTTCTTTTTTTTTTTTGAGACAGAGTTTCACTTTATTGTCCAGGCTGGAGTGGAGTGGCATGATCTCGGCTTACTGCAACCTCTGCCTCCCGGGTTCAAGCAATTCTCATGCCTCGGCCTCCTGATTAGCTGGGATTACAGGCATCTGCCACCTCACCTGGCTGATTTTTTGTATTTTAGTAGAGACGACGTTTCACCATGTTGCCCAGGCTGGTCTTGAACTCTTAAGCTCAGGCAATCCGCCTATCTCGGGCTCCCAAAGTGCTAGGATTACAGGCGTGAGCCACCGAGCCTGGCTGGTGGGAGTATTTTCAAAGAGAACAACAATTCACCACACCCCAACATGGTAACAGTCTTTTTGTTTTAGAAGCATCTGTGAATTGCCAAGACTCGTAGAACTAAGATGTATTCAAAGTCAGTCGATTTTCTGGAAACGACCCAGTCCCTGAAGATAGTCTTTTGGGGAGTTGAGTGTTTTGAGAGGGACACCCCCTCTACAGGGACTTAAAATGGAATGGCTTTTTGTGTGTGCACATGGTACCTGCAGTGATTTCTTGTGTTTAATTACTTCCTGCACTCATCTGACTTACACAGTGGTAAACAATGAGGATGGGAACAGGCGGCAGCTGCTCTGTGCCATCCACCGTCTTGGGAACCCCAGCGTGGCATTCTCTCTGGGGCAGCATGTTGAAGTGTTTGGCTGGTGACATTTTGGTGACCAGTTGGCTCCTCATTGTCTTTCAATGTGGAGATTAGGAACCGAGCGAGGATTTGGAACCCTTGCGTTTGTTCTGCCAAGAACATGACTTGCCTCTGGCCTGAGAGCAGTGGAGTAAGCTGATAGGAGCTAGAAATACTGTTTTGGGTAGGACTTACCCAAAAGAGTGGGCTGAGTCACAGAACTCCCAAGTTTGAGCCCTGTCAAATAAATTCTGAATTGTTCTCAGGTATGTTTCTCAATTGGAATTTTTTTAAAAATTTAATTTAAAAAAGACTTCGAAAAGTTACCTTGTTCTCATTTTTCTTCTCCCTCTTTGCCCCGTCCCCACAATATCTTAGGGCGAAGAAAAGCAGGTTTGAGAAAAGCTTTTTTTCATCATGTATTTGTAATAGCTGGAGCCTGCTGAGATGATGAGGTAGAGTGGAGGGAGAAAGAGACCTTGAGGAGGTGTGGAGGGGGAAGGGGTGGAAAGTTCTGTCGTCTTCTGTGCCTCTCTCTCTCTCTTGCTCAGGGTCTCCAGTCAGCCCTCTGGGTTTGTGCCCTTCGTGCTGCACTGACAGGTCAAAGCCGACTCAGGCCTTTGATGTCTGCTCTAGGAGCAAAAGTGATTCCTGGTCCCGCAGCCGTTCCCACTGCCTTGTGTATGAAGGTCTGCTGCTCTGAGGTGGATGGTGGCTCTAGGCAGGCTGTTTCCGCTGGGTGCGGTTGTTGCTGCAGGTTTTTCTATATAGCTTGGTCATGCTCCTGTATCTAGATTAAAATCCTATGACAGATGGGCCTGCTTATATCTAAACTTATTCAGAGAGTCTTATGATAGGCAACAGGTTACCCTTTACCGGGGTAAAACATGGTTTATTCTACAGTTTGGTCCCGTTGTAAGGCCAGGAGATAGAGTCTCACTAGTTTGCCCCGGCTGAACTCAAACTGCTGGACTCAAGGGATCCTTCCGACTCAGCCTCCCAATTAGCTGGGACTGTTGGTGTCAGGCACACACCACCTTGCCTAGCTTGAAGATCTTTCTTCTAAATGAGCGGGCTTTAAAGTGATCAGTGGGACCTGGGCAGGTTGGCTCTTGCCTATAATCCAAGTGCTTTGAGAGACCGAGACAGGAACATCACTTGAGCCCAGGAGTTCGAGGCTAAAGTGAGCTGTGAGCACACCAGTGCACCCCAGCCTGGGCAACAGAGTGAGACTCTGCCCCAAAGCAAGATAAAATTATCCCACAGGATTTTAGTCCTGACTTGTGTATTACTATGCAGTTGTGTCTGTCTGAGGCTCAGATTCCCCCCCATTTAGGATTTGTGTGGCTAAATCTCAGATCTCATTTTCAGGTGAATTTCTCTATTAAGGTTATAAAAGACCAAAATAACTGGAAATTCAACTCTGTACTTGAATACTTGGTAATGCCCAGCATTCTCTTGACTATCCCATTTCACAGTTTGCCGGTCATTTCCCCAGTGTACTCACTGGATTCTTCCCGCAGCCATGAAAGGTAGGTATAATTAACTCCAGTTTACATTCAGGACAATAGAATGTTCGTCAAAATGCTTTTGCACATGTTTTCTCACCCTGAGTGGCTACACTTGTACAGTCATACCCTCCAAACTCTAAGATGTATACTCTTACATACCAAAACACAAAGAAACAACAGGAAGAACAAAACTCAAGAGGTCTGAGTGACATCTTGCCTTGCTTCACAACTTCAGAGTTTGCATTGCTTTAAAAACATTGGTTATAAGTGAGTGTGGAAACAGTGTGTTCACTATTTTTATGCTGTGGCTGTGCTGTGCAGGAGCTGGGCTTTTCGTGCATTTTAGACAGAATTGACCTTGGTTAATGCTTGACTTGGGAACTATGCAGAAACATCCAGGAAG
Source organism: Homo sapiens (assembly GCF_000001405.40). Lineage (NCBI taxonomy): Eukaryota > Metazoa > Chordata > Mammalia > Primates > Hominidae > Homo > Homo sapiens. Next base: position 98,739,209 of record NC_000015.10, read on the forward strand.
TGGTGGTGGCTGATCCTGACCGTCCTCAGTTTTGTGAAGCAACAGCCTCTGTGCCTCTTTCTCTGCATGCTCTGTTGACGGTCTAGTCTTGAGAGAGAACCTGCTGCTGTCCCGTCTGTCATAGCCTTCCTAGCAACTCTTAGGCCTGCGTGCTGTGTTTTCATGATCTCCCCCAAAGCGGCACTTTGATGTTTTTTCAGAGTCAAAGTATCACTGTGGATATTTATCCCAAACAAAATTGCAAACTGATCAAATGTTATGTCTTTTGATACCAAATCAAAAACGATTCTTGGTGGCTGATCAGGTTGTCTCCTAAAAATTTGCCTTTTGAACCTATACTGCCTTTATGAGATGATTATGAAAGTAGAAAATAGCCTGTGAAAAATGGTACCTTTGCTAAAAAGAAAAAAAAATTTTTTTGAAACTAAGAGTCTCTGTTGTCCAGGCTGGAGTGCAGTGGCACTATCTTGGCTCACTGCAACCTCTGCCTCCCAGGTTCAAGTCTCCCGAGTAGCTGGAACTGCAGGTGCACGCCACCACATGTGGCTAATTTTCATATTTTTAGTAGAGATGGGGTTTCACCATGTTGCCCAGGCTGTTCTCGAATTCCTGAGCTCAAGCAGTCTGCCCACCTTGGCTTCCGAAGGGGCTGGGATTACAGGCCTGAGCCACCGCGCCTGGCCTGCTGTAAGAAAATATTAAACTTAGGATGGGAAATGTGATCTGAACAGGATTCCTGTGAAGGTACCCAGTGTAGGTCTTAGTCTCCTCTCCAGTGTACATTTATGGAGGGGCAAGATTTCACCATTCTGTGAAGAACTCTGCGTGTTGACGACTGCTCACGCCTAGGGAATAAATTTCAGAGCATGCGTAGATAGTGCCATTTTCTACTTAAAATACTATAATCCATTATTTACTTCGGAAAATAAAAGCATTAAGGCTGAAAGTTTTGGGTTAGTAATCTTGATGTTTTAAAATGCCTTAGCATTCCTTCATTTGTTTTGCTTGCCACGTGGTTTTGCTCTGATTTACACACCTCTGTGCATGGCTAATCCACTGTGCCACTCTTGGGGCTTTATTAACTCTTCTCTGCCAGTTTTTCCCTTAGAGAATATCATGGCCATTCTCTAAGATGATAAATGGGACTAAGAGTAAATGCAGGCTGAAAAAGCATTTAACAGGTCAAGGATCTGAAGCTTTTAAGAAGGCAAAACAATAAATAAGAAACCCAAACAGAGTCTTGAAGCACACCCATCGAAACCCAAGTTTCAGAATTTGCTGCAGCCTTGCTGCCAAATCACAGTAAAAGCTGAAAAGGCTTTTGTGGTTAGTTACGTGTGATACAAGAAATCGATGTGTCTGAGAGAAGTAGGATTTCTCTTTTTGAGGGGGAAAAATACAGCAAGGGGAAATGTTTTATTAACAATAAATATGCGGCTTACCATATCTGTAGGGCACAGATTTGGTTAGTAGTATTTTGGAGGCAGGATAAAGGAAGATCCTAAAATCTCTGTGCTGTGTAGCTTCCATTCGAGCTGCACATGTTAAAAACATTCTAGGATCCACACAGTTTAAACAAGGTGGCTGGCTTAGGAAATGCTTCTCCCCATTCCTTGGCATCCCCACAACCCTATTCCCCTACTTTCTCTTATGTATCTGGACTGGCTTTTAAAAGATATTTAGTGAAATTTAATTTTCTAGGGAAACTCCACTTTGTCAAAAGTGTAGTATTCCTCAAGGATAGCTTTGCTGGTCGGCAAATCTCAGTTGAGTGTATTTGTGGTTTAAAAAAAATTCTTTCTGAATAGAAATACAAAGAGTGATAATGTTTAACATTTTATTTTTTTAAAAAGCTTTACGCTGTGTAAATTGTGGGTTGACTTCATGTTTCTAAACTTTGTCTTTTAGAATGACTCTCTTGGGTAAATTATTAGCAGACACTCTCGTGTTGACATGTCCATTTTCCTTTCCATTAAGCTGTCTCCATTGCAGTTCTGTTGATATGGCTTTATATAGTTTTCCTGAGCTTTTTTTTTTTTTTTTTTTTTTTTTTGGTAACAAGATACCTATGCAAGCTGAAAAACTCTTGGCTTTTTAGTTTGTATCACTTCCAGAAACTTTTAGATGCTACGTATAGAAGTGGCTTTCTTTTAGGGTTAGGTAAGATACTTCCTTTTTTGGAAATAGTTTTGCCATTTGGTCTCGCTGCCTGATTTGTGCTTTTTCTTCTTCAGCAGGTAGTGGGAGGCTGTGTATTGTATTGCCTTTTACCAGACACCCAGAGGGGTCATGTTGGAAAATAGCATCCTCTTAGCAAAAACACAATCCCTTCTCTGAGAATAAATTGCCAAGTCTTTCCAGGTCATTGATGGACTCTCAGGTGCTGCATTTCTGCACGTCGGGGAACAAGGGTGAAGAACAGAGCTAGTCCAGCACTGCTCCGTCCTCCCGCATTTCTTCTTCTGTAGAGTCTTTTGCAAACTAGAGAGTCTTGCAGAGAGTTGTTGGGTTTTCCCAGGAGATACTGTATGCAAAGAATTGTCATGAAGACATAAAATCAAGTCTTGGTGTAAAACTTTTAATAAATTTAAAGGCATGTCTCTGTTTTTCTCCTCCTCCATGGGGATTTTCATGTGGTTAGTAATAAAACTGTAGGCAGTTGTATGTCTAGATTTCTATGTAATTTGTTTGTGTTCGTATATGCACACCTGTATACATGTGCACATGTATTCAAGAAAGACCTGCAGTATGCTTGAAAGGATTGAGGTGCCTAGTTTGTGGTAGTAGCTGAACAGAGTGGGAGGTCAAAGTTAAGTCATTGTGAGGCAAGGGAACTTGACTTAGCCCTTTAAGAATTGGTCTGTCCCTGCTAAGCCAAGGCTATTAGTGTTTTCTTCCCTAGCTGTGTTCTGAAATGGTTCACCTGACATTCAGCTGGGTTGGGGGAGAACCTCTTTAAACATCAGATCTTATTCCGGAGGAGTGTATCCAGCCTTCTCACAGCATATCCTGTTAAATATCTGTTCAAGGTTAGCCTAGGCCTGGAGTATGGACAGCATGAAGCCAGATCTAAAACAGATCAGTTCATGGATAAATGATGAATTTAATAAAATTTGAAAATAAACCCCACATAACTAGTGCTGCTATTGATCATTCATATAGCCAGCAGGAGTGGTGAGAGGCTTGGTCTGCCTGAGGTGTGGAGATGCTTGTGGTGGGGGGCAAGGTGGACGAGGGCTGGGGCTGCTCCTGGAGCATCTTTACGCGGGTGGAGGAGCTCTGACACAGTGGCAGTGTTTGTAACACTTTCCAAAGGGATTAAAATAATTCTGTAGAGTTAACCCTAGGCTAGTGTGGCTTGATCTGAAACAGTCCCAGCCAGAAGGTAAGAACTCCTGTGTTATGTTGTTAGCATACAATTTGCTGAAGTTCACATTTTAAATTTTATATTTAAAAACCAAAAAGTAGTACTGATCATTTTGGACTGTTTCAAAGTGATATTGTTTTTACTTGTTACAAACATTGGCTTGCCTGCATCTAATTGCACTCACAATGGGCCGGATGTGGTGGCTTACACCTGTAATCCTAGCACTTTGGGAGGCTGAGGCGGGTGGATCACCTGAGGTCAGAAGTTTGACACCAACATGGTGAAACCCCGTCTCTACTAAAAATACAAGAATTAGCCAGGCTTGGTGGTGGGTGCCTGTAATCCCAGCTTCTCGGGAGGCTGAGACAGGAGAATCACTTGAACCTGGGAGGAGGAGGTTGCAGTGAGCCAAGATTGTGTCATTGCACTCCAGCGAGTGCAGTGTAAATCCCTTAAGGAAACAGTGTGTTGTGGTAATCATGATATCATAGTAAATAGGTTTTGTTCGTTATTTTTTTCTTTTACTTCCTTTTCTACCAGTGACTAGTCCTAATGTGTTCTAACTTTTGAAAATAAAGTACAAATTAGATGGATTTAAACATACGGGAAGTAAGACGGAAATTCATTACTTTTAAAAAACAATTTGTTGTGGATAAGATTTAGAAATGGAAACACAATAAACTGTGTTTCCATGACACAGGTATACTACCAAGTTCTTACAATGTACCTTTGAGGTAACGAATTTTCATGTCATTTGGAGTAGGGCTGGGCCAGTGAGTCACTCATCTCCTTGTTCATTCATTACGTGAATACCTAGTAAATGCCCACTAGGCACCCTGGAGTCATTTGTGTAGAGTGGCATCTCTATACAACTGTTCGACTAACTGTCGGAGACACCCTAATCACCCCAGCCACAAACAAATAGAACATTGTATGTGTGCTGAATCCCACAAAGGCCAGACATGATGCCATGAGACCAAGAAGGAAAAGAAATAATGTGGAAAGGGTTTGGGGTGGAAAGGTGGGGAACCTGGAGGCGGGCCACATGGGGCCCCAGAAGCCATGTTGAGGGTTTTGTCTTCACCAAAGGATCAGTGGGAGATTAGTGTAGAACATTAAACAGAGGTGGGGTATGTGTCATATTTCCATTAAAAAATTCATCCTGGCCACAGTGTAAAGAATAGATTAGGGAGGAAGCCAATCAGGAAGCAATTGGAGTAGGCAATGCAAAAGGCAAAGTGAACTTGGACTAGTGGTGGAGATAAGTTGACTGCAGAGAGAGTAGGAAGTAAAATTGGCCAGGCCTGTGTTGGGGGTGGGCTTGTGAGCAGGATATCAAAGATAATGTCCAGGATTCTGGCTTGGATGACAACTATGGCAATGCCCATTACTGAGCTAGGAGATGCTGGAGGAAGATCAGGTGGGGACTGTGAGCATGAGTTTGATTTTTGCAGATACTGGGTTTGAGACACTTCTGAGTCAAGCAGGCATTTGGAAATGTGGACTGGTGCCGAGAAGGAATTCCCAGCAGTGACTTGGTTTAGGTGGTCCTGGAAAGTAGAAACACACATGAGATAATTCTGGGGATGGAGCTTAAAGGGACGTCAGCGTTCAAGGGCCAGGTAGAGGATCATGAGCTGTAAAGGGACCCAGGTGGCTCCAGCACAGCGAGGAAAGCATGCGAGTGTGATGGCCAGGCTTCCAGGGAGAGAGGAGGGTTTTAAGGAGAACAACGTGCTAAAAGCCACTAAGAAGCCAAGCAGAGTGAGAAATGAAGACCTCCACTGGGTCTTGCAAGAGGGGAGGCCTTTGAGGACCTCACCTGAGAGCTGATGAATGAAGTGATGGCTGGAAGCAGCTCTGGAGAGGGAGGAATACTGTGGGGAGGGGAGGAACTGAAGAAGTAGAGAAGCATGGCTGTGCACAGGGGAGGTGGGATGGCAGCCAGGGAGGAGCAGAGGTGGAATGTGGATCTTGTTTTCCCCAACAGAGATAGAGGGGGGCTAAAAGTCCATGGAAGGGACTCTGCTGAGAGGGAAGGGTGGATCCATGAGACAGAAGGGGAGAGCTCCAGTAAGGACCCAGAGGTCTGAGGACAGGCCAAAGCACAGATGGAGGGATTAGCTTTGGATGGTAAGAGGAAGGACAGATGGCCCCTTAAACATGACGGTAATGCAAACTGCTCTGTTTTTTTTTTTTCTTTTGGCGTTTGTGATGAACTTTGTATATGCTTTCCTTGTTTGATCCTTATCAAACCTTATGAGAAGAAACTACCATTCTCCTCATTTGATGGATGAGGACCCTAAGCCCTGGAGAGGCCAGGAAACATTCCCAGAGTCCCTCAGGAGGAGGACTAGTGCTGGGCTCCTTTCCTCCTGTTCTGCTGCCTCTGAGAGGAGCCAGGATTGAATCGTAGCCTTGTCCTCTGACCTGGAGGTCTGGGAGTAACTCTCTTATGACTTTTTTAGCCTAGTAGAATTGAACATGAACTTCATGTTTTAAGGGATGGTTGCATTTGTTTGAATGGTCACTTCTTTTTCTATCAGTATTAGCTAATATAGGGAGAAGGAAGTCATGCTTCTCAAGTAAAGCAACAGTATCTGTGTATCCATTTACTTGATTGAGCTTTCTACTGAATTACAGGAGTTAAATTATACTTTGTTACACTCTTGATATTACAAAATGATGGCCATGCCTTTATTATAAAATGACACCAGTTATTCTTTCCTGGAGGATGTGCCTTGTGTCACTAGCCGCACTAAGCACTTCCCCACTAGTGGCCCCATGTGGTTGTGTGTCATCGCTGACTACCTGTTACAGGTGAGGAAGCTGGGTGGTGCAGAGACAGAAAGCCGGTGGCCCAGTCAGGAGCTCCTAAGTGGCAGAGCCCTGTCTCCTGGGTTCCTTCTCCTGTCTTTCTTGCCTCTCACTTGAAATAAGAGAGGACATCAGAACTGGCCTGAATGGGGCCCTGGTAGGGCAGGAACAGGACACCTCTGTGGTTTTGTTATGATGTCCTGAGGATAAAGGAGTGAAAAAAAAATCTTTGAGGAATTGAAGATTTCTTTATGAAAGATGGCTGAAACTCCTGACAGCTTTTCAAATTCATCTTTGGAGAAACTTCCGTTTTCTCTTTCCTGTTCCGAGGCTTAAAGCTGCCCTGAAATCTACACATTTATCAACAGTCTCTTGTCAAGACTCCAGGGAGACAAGAACTCTTATACATTGCTGTTGAGAGTGTAAAACGGTACAACCTTTATGGAAGGCAAATTGGCGTTATAAATGCGTGTTACCTTTGACCCAGAAATTCTACTTCTAGGAATTTATCTTACCAATACACCTGCCCACATACAAATTGCAGCATTGTTTTTGATAGTAATACGTTAGAAATAACCCACGTGTTCTTCAGTGGGAGACTGGTTAATACACTAAGATATATGCACAAAATGGAATGCTCTGCTGCTGAGAGAAACCACAAGTATGCCCTGCACCCCTGTGAATAGATCTCCAGTATATTAGGTGGAGAAGGCAAGGCAGGCTTCTTTTTTGTAAAGTTAAGGAGGGTAAATAAGACTGCATGTTTGCATCTGCTTGTATTTGTGCAGACTGACACTAGAAGGGAAACCAAGTAACTGAAAAACACGATGATTCACCGGGGTAGGTGGGGAAACATCTAGGTCGGGACAGGTATGGGAGTGACACACCTCAGTGTACATCTTTGTATCATTTTTAAAAGTCTGTGCTTGCATTATGTATCAAAACTTAGTGCTATCTCCTCAGGTGCAGGGTTCTCTGGAACTCTGTCTAGGTTGGTCTCTTGGATGGCATTCTTGCAGACTTGCCGGAAAACCAAACAAAAGGTGTGAGTGCATGCCTCCTGGATAGATGTCTTTTTAGTGTAACTTAGCACACCTTGTACACTGTCAGGGCGCCTCTCAGATGAGTCATCCCGGCAGCCCCTGCTCCATGAGTGTCTTCCCCACAGTCCTGAGTGCTTCTAAAATCATCTACACCAGTGGAGGCAAAACTAGATATTTTCTTAGTTTGCAGAAAGGAATATTTCCAGACAACATGAACTTGTTCTCCTTTGGTCTCCTTTTCCTTGTCATTGTTCAAGTCACAAGGTCTGCTGATTAAATTTCCCCTTGGGTTTCAAAAGAACTTGCTTGTTTGGTTGTTGTGTTTTGCCTTTTAATTTGAGAGTTGAGGCCCCCAGGTGCATGTGGTAAAGAATTCAAAGGGCTAAATGGGTGTGTGTTGTTCGTTATTTCTTTGAACCTCTTGGCACTTGAATGGTGTCAGTAATTTCACTAATTATGGTTGGCAAAGAAACTCTGACACATGGCTTTGGAGCTGTGTTGTTCTTACATCATATCTCTTGAGTTGAACCTATGCTCTCTTGATGGATGAACTCGTAATTCACCAGGTGCGTGGATCGCTGTGATTAATTGTTTCAAGCTATCAGTTATTTAACTCTCTAGTGCCAAATGTTCAGGAGAAAATGTAAGTGCAGTGTAATGTAAAATCAAGCCGGCAACTCCAGCAATTTGCTCTTCAAACTATAGCTCTATCAGTTCCCATTCATTTATACACTTACACTATTCAATTTGTCGTTGTTGTTGTTGTTGTTGTGTTTTTGAGACAGAGTTTCACTCTTGTCACCCAGGCTGGAGTGCAATGGCATGGTCTCGGCTCACTGCAACCTCCACCTCCCGGGTTCAAGTGATTCTCCTGCCTCAGCCTCCTGAGTACCTGGAATTACAGGCACCCACCGCCACACCCAGCTAATTTTCTGTATTTTTAGTAGAGACAGGGTTTCACTATGTTGGCCTGGCTGGTCTCGAACTCCTGACCTGGTGATCCGCCCGCCTCGGCCTCCCAAAGTGCTGGGATTACAGCCACTGTGCCCTGGCACTACTCAATTTGTAATAAATCAGGGTAAGTTATTTTTGGTGCCAAGTCGATTAATTGAATATAGGTTATTTTGCATCTTAGATTCCCTCTGACGACTAAATCTTATAAGCAGAGGTATGTGAGCATGAGAACTGTGTCGGGTGGTCCTGAAGAGATTAGTGGATTAGAAGGAGATTTGGAGATTTTTAAAAAAGCCTCTGGACAGTGAGTTAAATGGTGGGTTGACACTCTGTGGTCGGGACTTTTTGGAGAGTCTATAAAGTTCTGCTGTATTTCTCAAGAGCTAGAGAGAGATGATACTATGACCAAATTTGGTTTGAATGTATTATAATGTACTGAGTATCACTAATTTGTTGGGAAATGACTGTTAAAAATACTTACTGACGCTTAAAAATATCACCTATAGCATTAGTATAAGTAGCCAACTGATTTACATATATTTCATGTGTGTGTTGGGAGAGGGGTGTGGATTCGTTAGGCCAAAGATTTCGGTAATATATTTGGAAGAGATAAATGAAGATAAAGAGATAAATTACCTTTTGAATAATTCCAAAACTAAAAATGCTTCCCTTAATTTTTATTTCTGATTTTCTTATTTCTATCAGAGAAATGTTTCTCATGTGACAAATATAATGCTTTCATATTTACTTCTGCATGCACAACTTTTAATTAAGTATTAATTGATTAATTTTTTAGAGACAGGATCTTGCTGTGTCATCCACTTTGGAGTGCAGTGGTGTAGTCATAGCTCACTGGGACCTCAAACACCTGGGTTCAAGGGATCCTCCTTTTTCAGCCTCCTGAGTAGCTGGAACTACAGGCATAAGCCACCTTGCCCAGCAAATTTATTATTATTATTATTTTTGTAGAGATGGAGGTCTTGCTGTGTTGCCCAGGCTGGTCTCAAACTCCTGGCCTCAAGTGATCCTCCTTCCCCAGCCTCCCAAAGTGCTGGGATTACAGGCGTGAGCCACCACATGCAGTCCGTGTACACTTTCACACCTTTTAATTTCTTTACTCATTAGGTGCATTCTTTAGCAATTATGTGTAAAGTGGAAATGAGCGTGCAAATCGTCATTTTCTATTGACTTGCACTCCAGAATTGGAAAATTGGAAAACTGTAGGAAACTGGAAAATTAGAAAACTGTAGGATCTAAAACAAATCGCTTCTATGACTTATAATATTCACTTGTAGAACTCACTGGCCTTTGTCAGCTTTCAGAGTATGTGAACACTTTTTGCCATGTAAGTAGTTAGTCCATTGGCAATGGATATATGTAAGTTGGTATCTTCACTGCAAACATTTAGTTAATTGCGTTTATTCTTGAGCCATTCTTGCTCTACCCTTAGGACTTGATTTTCAGTAGCTACAGTGGTTATTCCAGAAGTTGTTAGAATTAAGAGCCAGGAGGAGGTACTATGTAAGCTACATTTAGACTCCACTGGACACTCACATATTGCACGTGGAATATCTTAAAGGGGTTGTGTGCTGTGGTCAGGGTGGGAATTATCTCTTTTCTTTCCATGAGACCTCCACTGTGCATTATTTAAGGGCCTGTCAATTGCCCGTTATTCAAGTTTTGTTGTTCTTGGAGGACACTATTGCCTATTTCTTTCCTTGTTTAAAAAATTTCATTTAGGTAGGCTTAGCATAGTTGCAGTAGAATTTAATAAATCCTTTTTTTTTTTTTTACAGAATAAATCTTTTTATTACGTAAATACCCTTTAATTTGCCTATTTTTAAAATTCTTGTTTCTGTGCTTACCTTGTTGTTAGACAGCCAAGGGGATATGCTGCTCTTTTTAGTGCCAAGGTAAAAGGTAAAGCTGTATCTTAAATATTTGTATTTCTCTTTGGTCTTGGTGACCCAAAGTGATTTGGGTCATTCTGACATTTAATCAAGTTTAAACAACATGGCTCTTAGAAGTATGTTTACCAGGTAATCTGAGGGCTGGTTACCTGGTAACGCAATTGAGAAATTTCATCAAGACTAATTGATTAATTTATTAAGCACTTATTGTCCAGTTTGCCTTTAATTTTCATTTTTCTAAGTTTCCATTAGCTATCATGGCCTCACTTGTTATTTAATAATGAATGGTTACAAATTGTTTGTGTGTTTTTGTAATTAGAATGTAATAGCAATCGTCTACCAGATGAGCTGACATTGTAATGACATGAAGTCAGTAACAATTATGCCTTACAGGAAAATTAATTCTGTAATCCTATCATCCCATATTTTGCCTAAGAGATTCGATTTGGCTGCTGCTAGGCTGCTTAGGCAGGTGACAGCATGGTGGGACACTTCTCATTTTTCTGGTTAGACTACTTAACCATAACGTTCATGGTGCCACCTGAAAAAATAATTTTATCGTTTTAGACTTTTAAAATATTTTTAGGCTTTTTTTTTTTTTTTGGCTTAAAAAAAGAATCTGTTCTACTTGGGTATTTTGTTCTCCTTATTTCTTAGTGAACAAAGATATTTGCTCGACTTCTATCCCAGAAGGACCATCCTTTCTTCTTCCTTTTCCTTACCTCTAAGGGATATGAAGCTGTGAGAGGGAATTGCATATAGCAATACCATTTTGATTCCAGTGAAAGTTCTTACCTTTCTCTTTTGTCATTCTCAACCTCTTACCTGAAGAGTCCATTCCCTCAGTATATAGAGCATCTGGAAGTCTAAGGTGCAGGCAGGACTGAAAGAGCTGAGAAAGGCCTCACATCAGGTGACACTGGGGCACCTGGCTGTGCTCCCTTGTTGGGGGGTCCCTTGGCCTGGGCAGTTTTGCGCTTCTCCCTGTTTCCCTGTGCCCTGAGACTTTGTGGGTCACAGGCAAGGGGGCTGGCCTCCCTGATCAAGGGCCCTTGGCCTAGGAGGGCCCCTGGATTTATCTAGTCCAGCTTCTCGTCGTCCAGGTGCAAAACTGATGCTCTGAGATGTTTAGGGATTTGTCCAAGAGCAGAGTTGGAGCCACAGTCCAAATCTTCTGAGCCTAGTATGGTATTCTGTCATCCTTGGTTTCATTTTGTTCTGTTCATAAAAATTGCCCAAAACTGCTGGGCAAAGTGGCTCATGCCTGTAATCCCAGCTCCTCAGGAGGCTGTGGAGGGTGGATTGCTTGAGGCCAGGAGTTCAAGCCTAGCCTGGGCAACATTGGGAGACCCTGTCTCTTAAAGAAAATAATTGCCTAAAACTATTCAGGGTTAAAAATTTGTCTCTAAGCTTAAGAATTTGGAAAAACTCAGAAAAGTAGCCACCTATAACTCCAGCATTCTGAGAACAGTTAAGTGTATTTTCTTCTAGTTTTTTGTTTGTTTTTGAGACGGGATCTTACTGTCACCCAGGTTGGAGTGCAATGGCGTGATCACTACTCACTGCAGCCTCTACCTACTCAGGCTCAGGTGATCCTCTTCACCTCAGCCTCCCGAGTAGCTGGGACTACAGGTGTACACCACCATGGCCAGCTAATTTTTGTGTTTTTTTTGTAGAGACAGGGTTTCATCATGTTGCCCAGGCTCATCTCAAACTCCTGGCCTCAAGTGATCCACCCACCTCGGCCTCCCAAAGTCCTGGGATTACAGGCGTGAGCCATCATGCCCGGCCTTCTTCTAGATGTTTAAAACAAACACATTTTAGTGTAGTTGAGCCTCTGATCGTTACATGTTTATTTCCTAGCATTTAAAAGCCTTTCAGCGACATACACTCCTTATTAGCTTAATTTTTTCTTTTAAGAGCTGTGTTCTTGCTCTGTCACCCAGGCTGGGGTGCAGTGGTACCATCGTAACTCACTGAAGCCTTGAGCTCCTGGCTTAAGTGCTCTTCCCACCTTAACCTTCTGATTAACTAGGATTACAGGTGTGCATCACCACGCCCAGGTAATTTCTAAAAAAAAAAGTTTTTTGTAGAAGTGATGCCTCGCCATGTTGCCCAGGTGTCTGTCTTGAATGCCTGGCTTCAAGCGATCCTCTCCCCTCAACTCTCAAAAGGCTGTAACCCTGATTTTAATGGTAGTGTAAAGTGACATGGGATGAAGGAACCGTAACATTCTTAAAGTTTCCCCATTGTTGGGCATTTGCATTGGTCCCAGTTTTTTATAAGTAAAGAAGGCTGCAGCAAACTCTGTTGTACTACTTAATCTTTGTCCTTTATTTCAAATTATCTCCCTACAATACGTCCCTTGAAATAGGATTTCTGTGGAAAGGTATCAGTTTAAAGCTCTTGACCCATATGGCCAAGTTGCTTTCCAAACAGCTTACCTGTTGAGACTCGGACCTATGCTTCTAAAGCCTATGTGTGAAATGTTCACATTGTCTTTGGGAGAAGCTTCCCACGAATAAGAAAAATAAGGGAAGAACAAATAACATAATTGTTTGGATATATGCTGTGGTTTGTGTGGACGTCTCCCACCCTTTCCCTTCCCCAGCCCAAGTCAGTCTTCTGTATAAACAACTTACATAATACAGACTCTTCACTGTTTGTATTATACATGTATTTTGTGAGTCTGTGTCAGTATTTGTTTACACGGGAATTAGGGCATCAGGCTGTCTTCCTAGGGTTCCTCTGTGCAGACTTGTAGACAGTATGGGTTCTTTGCGTGCTGAGTTGAGGTGGCCCCAAACCTTTCAGACAGTTGCTCAGATACCTGGCAGTTGCTCATTTACCCTTCCAGACCTTCCTGCCTCTATATTAGCCAATGACAAGCAGATGCTTTCCACAAAACATTCGTGTGTGAACTGTTGACATTTATGACTGTTTTCTGAGCCCACACCAGGTCATTTTTCTATAAAATCAGAACTGTGAGAGCTCAGGGCATGTGGCCATCCTGGATAATGGGTCCTGCTGTCTGGGGAGTCGTTTTCATCAAAATTCACTTTTAAAGAATAGAGTGTTTATTAACGAAAATATGTGAGCCTTGGCTGGGCACTGTGGCTCCCGCCTGTAATCCCAGCACTTTGGGAGGCCGAGGCGGGTGGATCACAAGGCCAGGAGATCGAGACCATCCTAACGCGGTGAAACCCCGTCTCTACTAAAAATACAAAAAAAAAGTTAGCTGGGCGTGGTGGCGGGCACCTGTAATCCCAGCTACTCTGGACGCTGAGGCAGGAGAATGGCATGAACCCGGGAGGCGGAGCTTGCAGTGAGCGGAGATTGTGCCACTTGCACTCCAGCCTGGGCGACAGAGCGAGACTCCGTCTCAAAGAAAAAAAAAAAGAAAGTATGTGAGCCTTATCCCCCAAATGTACCTGACATGTGAATAATATGGCTCAAACTAATGATGTGTATAATATTAAATTGACTTTGTTATTATAAGTGATACATAATTCAATTTTAGTTAAAATGCATTATTTCAATCAATATCAAATATTGCAGAAGGAAAACCTAAAATAGTAGCCAAAGTTACTCAGATGAGATAAAGAATATGTTTAGGGCTGGAAAATCATACTATTTTTTTTTTTTTTTTTTTTTGAGATGGAGTCTTGCTGTGTTGCCCAGGCTGGAGTGCAGTGACATGATCTTGGCTCACTGCAACCTCCGCCTCCAGGGTTCAAGCGATTCTCCTGCCTCAGCCTCCCAAGTAGCTAGGACTACAGGCACGTGCCACCACACCTAATTTGTTTGTGTATTTAGTAGAGACAGGGTTTCACCATGTTAGCCAGGATGGTCTTGATCTCCTGACCTCGTGATCACCTGCCTCGGCCTCCCAAAGTGCTGGGATTACAGGTGTGAGCCATTACGTCCAGCCTTTTTTTTTTTTTAAATAAAGAGGGTCTCAGGCTGGCGTGCAGTGGCACGATCTCGGCTCACTGCAGCCTTGACCTCCTCTGCTCAAGCAATCCTCCCGCCTGAGCCCCCCAAATAGCTGGGACCACAAGTATGCACCACCATACCTGGCTTTTTTTTTTTTTTTTTTTTTTTTGTATTTTTTGTAGAGACGGGGTCATTCTATGTTGCCCAGGCTTGTCTCGAACTCCTGGCCTCAAGCGATCCACCTGCCTTGGCTTCTCAAAGTGCTAGGATTACAGATGTGAGCCACTATGCCTGGCCAATAATTATATAAATTTTGATATAAATTCCTGCTCTTCAAGGAGATGTGGGTTTTTTTTCCTCCTGAGAGTATATTTATAAAGTTAATTGGATTTTATACAAAAGAAGCTTTTGACTCATTTCATTTAGCTTTTAATGTTATCATCTGGGAGGAGATGGTGAAGAATTCTGTTAGCCAAACCATGGCGAATTAATGTTTCTTACAGATGGTTTTATTACTTTTTATGATATTATTTGGATCATGAAACAAGTATCTTGGAAAATGTGAGATACAAAGATGTGAGTTGGGAGGTCTCTCTTGTATGTGAGTTCCTTCTATAACAGAGAAAGGATACTTTCAGTTTAAGCTGAGATGCTTTTTCCTTTTCACTCTTGAAAAGTCTTTGTTGCAGGAATTTTCTGTGCCCTCCCTCCTCTGGGACAGATCTGCTTCTTGATACTGCAGGGCTCCAGCCTTCCTTCCAGCCAGCTCATTTCTCAGGGAAGCCTTGTTTTCCTTTTTCAGAAAATTTAAATGTATATTTAACGCACAATTTAACTCCCTTTCCTGTTGATAATTTTTTTCTTCTTCATATTTTGTTATTAATAATAGCTTACAGAATGGGATCAGTATCAGGATCGGGAGGTAACCAGGTCTCCAAGTTTTCCCTTTCGTTTTTCTTTTCTGCTTTTAATGAGCCTTAATTAATCCAGGGAGCTAGGCTGCAGTATCTGTGGCTCTCCCTGATGTTTTCTTTCTGCCTTTCTGTCTTGGAGGGGAACCTGAGGATTTGGAAGTAGAGGGCTCTACTAGTGCTTCCTTTTTGTCCTTTTCTCATTGTCCAAAAGAGTCTTAAGCGATCTCCAGGAAATCCCCTGCTCCTGCCAGGAATCTGCCTGTGAGTATTTGAGTGAGTTGCTGCTTTTTAAGTACCAGTTGAGAAGCTGAAGGTTGGTGTTGTGGTTGTGATAAACTCCCAACATGAAAACTGAGGACCACCAGCGTTTTCAGCTCACCTTTGACTCACGCTGGCAGCTCCAGGAACACTGAACAGGAGTCCCCACTGAACCTTTGCTGCGTTCCGAAGCAGCACAGCCATGGTTAGGCACTGCCAGGCAGCTCTTGGAAACCACAGGGAGGGAAGTTTTGGTTCCTTCTTTCTGTCTTTGTTTTTGAGAGGAATGAGCTTGGAATAAAAGAACGCTAGTAATGACTGATTTGCAGGTTAGGTGTAAACATTAAATCCTCATAACAGGCTAATGAGAGGTGGGAGAAATTATCCCCATTTTACAGATGAAGGAACAGAGGCTCCTAGAGACTAAAGAACTTGCTACTCAATGAGGTCAGGATTCACACCTAGGTTGACCTGAGGATAGCTGCTGCAGTGCTCACCCTTCCTACCTTCCCAAGAAACAATACGCAGAGAATTTCTTTTCTAAATATTGTGTGCCTAGAAGGTGCTTTGTGTTATCGAAACAGATATATATGTGTATATCTGGTCTCTTTAAAATTCTCTTTAATAAAAACAAAAAGTGATGCTAGTGTAAAATAAAAGATATATATAGAAAATTGTGTGTCCTCGTTAATCTTCTTTAGGAAAGATATATGCATATATGCAGTATAGTTTTGGGTTTTTATAAAAATGAGATCATGCTATTAGTATAGTGAATAGCCTCTATATAGTCTTTCGTAACATTTTTACTTTTTCTCGGTGTATGGATATCAATTTAGGTCAGTTGCTGCGGAGTTTGAAACGAGTTAAAATTTCAGCAGTTCACAAAATGGATGATTCATAGTTTAGTCGAGCCATCATCTGTTGATGGACAGTCATGTGGTTTCTTGTTTTTTCTTTCTCTGTGTTTCACTAATGAAACAGGATTACAGTAAATTGACTCGTGTATGTGTATACATCCATCTTTGCTGGTACTATAGAAAAGTGTATTGCTGGCTGGGCATGGTGGCTCATGCCTGTAATCCCGGCAATTTGGGAGGCTGAAGTGGGTGGATCACCTGAGGTGAGGAGTTTGAGACCAGCCTGACCAACATGGCAAAACCCTGTCTCTACTAAAAATACAAAAATTAGCTGGGCGTGGTGGCAGTGGAGGCTGAGGCAGGAGAATTGCTTGAACCCAGGAGGCGGAGGTTGCAGTGAGCCTACATCGTGCCACTGCACTCCAGCCTGAATGACAGAGCAAAACTCCATTGCAAAAAAAAAAAAAAAAAAAAAAAAAAAAAAAAAAAGGCATTACTGCCTTGTTCCTGATTTAAATAAAAAAATGTGTTTTAACAAGGAATATGTTAAGTTTTGGTAAATATAGTTTATCATATTTAAGTTGTGTATACTCATTCATGTTTTAATTTTTATCGGAAGAGGCTGATGAATTTTATGAAATGCCTTTTTGGCATGATATAATTGTGAGCTTTTGCTTTTATTTGGTGGTGTAATAAATTACGTTGATTAGATTTCCCAATATTGAATCATCTTTGCATTCCTGGAATAAGCCCTAATTTGTTATGGTGTGATAATCTTTGGATATGTTGCTATTTGATTTGCTAATATTTTTTTAAAAATTGTGACTGTAGCCTACAAAGCCCTACAGATAGGGGTCTTTAGTTTTTTTCCTTGTTTGCATTCTATCAGGTATTGATATTAGGATTATGTTTTTTAAATAATTTAAGAAGAATTTCACCCTTTCCCAGCATCTAGAAGCATTTACATAATATAGGAAATAACCTGTTTTTTTTTTTTTTTTAAGTTAGAGTAAAATTAACTGGAAAACTTCATAGGCATCCCCTGTAGTCCCATCCCAGAACATTTTAAAACAAATTTTTTAGTTTTTCAGAATATATTATAGTTGTTCTGTTCAGCTTTTAAGCCTTTTCTCTGGATTTTGATATTTTCTACTTGCTGGGAAAGAATTTATCTACAATTTGAGTTTATCGCACAGTTATTTGTAATATTGTTATCATTTCTCTGGTAATCATAACCCTTTCTCATTACTAACACATATTTTTGCTCTTTTTTTGCTTTTTTCCCCCTTAATCAAGTTTGTTAGAAGTTTATATATTTTATTGTCTTCAAAAAACTAGGTATATTAATTTTATATTTATCCTGCTTTTAATTTCATCTCAGTATTTAATTTTTATTCACTTTTTCCATTCCTTTAAGTTTATTAAGTTGAATGCCTGTCTCATTTGCTTTTTAGTCTTCTTAAAATAATGGCATTTAAGGCTATACATTTTCTTTGAAAATTGCTTTTGTTACGTATTTTTGGTTTTAGACAGTTGATCTCCTTTTTGTTGTTTTCTAGATGGTTTGTAATTAAAATATTTATTTGATCTTTGATTCTGACATTACTTAGAAGTATGTCTGTCCTTGAATTTTTCTTTTGCTTACCTTTTGATATTGTTTATATGATTTATGAATGCAGCTCTGAGGTATCTGAGAGGATTTATTAACGTTTACTTGCATCCAAGTACATGATTAAGTTTTAATTGCTTTGTGGACATTAAAAAATTATGCCCTTGGTAAAATGCAAAGGTTTTATTTTCTGTATTTAGTAAATCAAACTTACTGATTGCATTATAGTCAGATCTTCCAAATTCATGTATGTTTTCAGTTGTCAAATTGACAGTTAATGATGCACCTTTTATAATTTTTTTTTTTGAGACAGAGTTTCACTCTGTCGCCCAGGCTGTGTAGTGCAGTGGCGTGATCTTGGCTCACTGCAGCCTCTGTCTCCTGGATTCAAGTGGTTCTCCTGCCTCAGCCTCCTGAGTAGCTGGGATTATAGGCACATGCCACTGCACCTGGCTAATTTTCATATTTTTAGTAGAGATGAGGTCTCACTATATTGGCCAGGCTGGTCTCAAACTCCTGACCTCAAATGATCTGCCTGCCTTGGCCTCCCAAAGTGCTGGGATTACAGGTGTGAGCCACCACACCGGGCCCCTTTTATAATTTTTAAACTTTTCATATTTCCAAGAGAAATGCTTAGTGTATTTATCTGCCGTTTTGCTTGATGCATCAATATGTGTAATTTTTTTATTTTTCAGGGATTACATATTTATCACATGTAATATCCCTCTCTGTCCAGTTTAATGCTTAATGGCCTTGAGTTCTTGGTTTGATTTTACTATTGCCAGCTTTGCTTTCTTTTTACTTGACTTTGCTTGGTATACTCTTGTTCAATTGTTTGTTTTTAAATAGAGCTGGACTTTTAAAACCCATTGAGACATTTTTGTTCTCTAATAGGGACGTTCTGCCTTGTCTTTCTTTACTGTGATAATGCATACATTTTGCTTTATTGCTTTCATCTTATTCAATGGTTGCCATTTATTTTACTTTCTGTTATTCTCAATTCCCATGTTAATTGAACAAGTCCTTTGCTAATTTGAAAAGTGTGTTATTTTCAAAGCTACCGGTGCCTAACAATTTGAAAATCTGTATTTTTCTCCTGAAATAGGTACCAGCATTAAATTACTAATTCTTCCACCAGGGTTTGCATTTCCGCAATTTCTGCCGTTCCCATGACTTTCTCTGTCTCCTGGATGTGTTCTCTGTCTTTTCACTCATGGATTCTAGTAGATTCTTATTCCTTGCTCTTGGGCGCTCGCATTTCTTCTTCTTAATCCTCCAGAATCTGATACTCTAGAGCAACAGATCTTTTCTGTTCAATTTAAAATTTTAAAGTGTTTTTTTTTTTTTAATTCCTGAAAGTTTTTATACTCCAATTGTGTCTCCACATATGCTCTTAGACTCCTCTTCCCGTCTAGTTCTCCTTTCTTGGTTCGATTAGTTCTGTTTCAGCTGGTGCCACCTGTTGCAGCTGAGCTTGGTCACCCTCCCTCAGGCTCCTGCGTCGTCCTCAGTGGGTCATGGTTTTTCTTTGCTTGCCGATGGCTGCCCTCAGCCGTCACACAAGTCATGGGTTAGTGTCACTCAAGGAATGGCAGACCAGCAGATGGTAGGTGATAAGCCAGGAAACAGATACTGTGCCGCTGAGTTGCTCTGTTCCCAGTCTCTTCCGACAACATAAGGCTTGGGAACAGTTCCACCTTCCATGGAAGCCCCCCTTCCCTCTGGTTTCACCTGGGACAGCAGGATGAGCAGGGTGCAGGGCCTTCTTCCCTGTGGATGGACTCTCAGTTACAATGACCATGGAGAACTGTACCCGCTCTCTGTTTTGGAGATTTGGGAGATCCTGAGGGCCTCAGAAGGCCCTCACTCTCATCCCATGCACTACCTGTAAGCTCATTAGATTACTGTCCTTGTTACTTTAGAGAGGGGACTGTGAGGGAGGCAGGACCAAGTATGTTTATTCAGGCCACTGTCTTCCCCATAAAGACTATATTTGTGTACATTTTTCTTTGCTGTATTGTGAGAAGGAGGTAGAAAAAAGATGTGCATGTCTGCATTTGGAAACAGTTCTGAGAGTGGTGCTGCATCAGCGGGGCTGGATTGCCCTCAACTATAAGAAAGTGGGATACTTATATAAAGGAAGCATAATACAGCATGTTTCTCTTACAGGAAGGACTGTTTCTTAGAGTCCTCATCCTCTGTCTCCATCACTCAGTATAGCAAATCATACATTCCATCAATGTTAATGACATCAATTGTATGCCTGTAAGTATGTACACACGCACAGGGGCAGGGGGCACTTCTTCACTCCACAGCTGGAAAACTTGGGACAAAATGCCTAGCCAGCTTGGCCCAAATTTGAGGGTATTGCCATCTGTATCTCAGTGCAGGTGTTTCTGTCTGATGTTCACAGTCTGTTTATCCAGAGTGCCCCAGAAAGGACAGTAGTGTTAGGTTAAACCTGTGTATGTCTGTTCTTGGTTTTAATAACAGTCCTGTCTTTGGAATTATTTAGTGTGTTCTCTCATTTCTCAGGAAGTCAGGATGTTAGTGCCGAAGCACTTCTCTGACTTGGTCCGACATTGAAGTACCTTCCCCTGCATTACAGAAGAACGGCCCCCCAGGGGGTCTGTTTGATGAACACATGTATTATTGCAGTGAGATACTCTAGAAATAGCTTCATGTCCTTGCAAAATTGCCAGCACAAGTAAGGACCTGGAAATTGTTGCTATGCATGTATGTCAGAAGATTTCTTAACCAATTCTGTACTGAATAAAATAAAATTTATTTTCAAGTTTTGTAGGGACCTGGGGCAATATGTCAGATAGAGTTGAATATTTTCAAGGCATTTTTAGTTCATGGGGCACATAGTTGGCTTAAGATATCTATGTGTATCAGGACTGAAAGGTAAAGTGCCCGAACCTGCTAATGAAAGAGGTGTCTGTGTGGCCATCTGAGGTTCAGCCACAATGTGTCTTGCAGAATTATTTTATTTTGCTAGTTTTTAATTTCTCAAACAGTTCAGCTGCCTGTCCCGTGGTACCGTGAGACTTCTAATTCAAGATGACCAGTATTTGCAGACAGAGCCACTGCCTTTGCTGCCACATTTTGCTTGGTTATTGTGTGAGAACACCATTTTTCTCTTTTTAAATGAATTGTGTTTCTCTTTTTAAATTGAGCATCTGACTGGGCGCGGTGGCTCACGCCTGTAATCCCAGCACTTTGGGAGGCCACGGTGAGTGGATCACCTGAGGTCAGGAATTTGAGACCATCCTGGCCAACATGGTGAAACTCCTGTCTCTACTTAAAAAAAAAAAAAATGCAAAAACTAGCTGGGCATGGTGGTGCACATCTGTAATCCCAGCCACTTGGGAGGCTGAGGGCAGGAGAATGGCTTGAACCTGGGATGCGGAGGTCATAGTGAGCCAAGACTGTGTCATTGCACTCCAGCCTGAGCAACAGAGAGAGACTGCCTCAAAAAAAAAAAAATCCGTTTACATAGTGATAAAT
The DNA here is from genome assembly GCF_000001405.40 of Homo sapiens. Lineage (NCBI taxonomy): Eukaryota > Metazoa > Chordata > Mammalia > Primates > Hominidae > Homo > Homo sapiens. The sequence continues at coordinate 98,760,384 of NC_000015.10, forward strand.
AAAGTAATTACTATAGTGGTGGCATTCTGCCTAAGTCATCTTGAAAACTGAATGCAAAATCTTTTTAATAGCTCCATAATGGTCTCTTGAAGTGTTACAGATTTTTATAACGATAGCTGTAATACAAGTGCCTTTATTTACTGTGAGACTTGAACATTTTGACCATTTACATGGGTACTTGTGTGTCTCCAGCTGAGCTGAGTGCATGTCGCTGCGGCATTGCAGGCGTGTGTGCATGTTGGCTCTTGCAACGGGGCGTCTGCCAGGGGTTGTCTCGGGCAGGAGAAGGAGGCCAGACTGGCACCACTTGTAGTGATTGGAATGTGTCTAGTCCAGCTCTTCAGTTCCATGTAGGAGGTTTTAGGATGGAGATTGTGTTTTGGGAACTCCAAGTCACTGTCCAATTTGGAGAGTATTATGTAAGAAGGCTTATGTTTTCTGATTACCCATCCTTCGATACAGACCAAATAATACCACAGTGATAAAAATGGGAAAGGAGCTGTCGCTCAGCTCTTCTTGGCCGTGTTGTTTGCTTTTCGATGTCTAATTTATGAAAGCATTTCAAAGTGACATATATACTGAACAGCTTCGTCTTGCCAAATGTAAAATAAACTGGAGATGAGTTTAGCACAGAGCTTTGTAGATTGTTGTCCTCTTGGTAGAGTCGGGGCCTAAACACCACCTGGCCTCTGTGCCAGTGGACAGGTGACCTGCCTGTCCTACTGCTGGTCTCTGCAGCTCTCTGTCTTGGGCAACCCTGGCTCTGAGTTCCAGAGTGTTCTCCAGTAGGAGAGTCTGCAGGGGCACTGTGGAGCACCTGGGTATGTGCACATCTGTTGTTGGCTGGCGTTGTCTCTGATGGCTTGGGGTGTCACAGAGACATGACAGTACTGTCACTGCATACCTCTCAAGCTTTTGCTGAGTCCTACATGAGTTGCAGGGGCAGAGAGGGAGGGAGAAAACAATGCCTAGCCACACTGAGAAAGGGGAAAGTGCTACAGAGTCCTGGAAGGAAGCGAGGATGGACATGGACGGGGAAGCATTCATACCAGGCAGGAAAAGTGACTTCATGGACCAGTCACAGAGGACAGGGCCAGGGATCAAACCTTCCGTAATTTGCCTCCACAGTTTGTCTGAGACTGGCTACCTGGTTGAGTCTGCCAGAGCCCTGTGTGCAGGTACTACCACTCACTGTCACCTCCAGGCAGGAAAGGCCATGTGAATGCATGCATCTTTGCAGGAACTTGCCCCTTTCCACTGAGGTTTGAGGCAGACTCCAACCACATTTCCATCCAGTGGCTTAGTGGTCTTACCCGTGAGCTTGAACTGTTGTCCCTGCCAGGACAGTCTTTGCCTCTGTAAGTATCTCCATATTCCTCCATCCTTTCAGGTCCCATTCAGTCCCTAGGTCCTCCATGATGGAATATTGGTTGATGCACTTATTCCACAAACATTTGTTGGCCACCTTTCAAGTGCCAGACAACCCTTCTAGGTATGGAGGGGTACAGTGATGAGCAAGCCACTGTTTCTGGCTGCAGAGGGCTCACTGTTTAGTGGGAGAAACAGACAAATCATACATCTTAACTACACTGCCCTTGATTGCTCTTTACCTGTTATATCAGTCGATCTTGCCTGCCTAGCATTTGTTCCCTGTTTGGGGGCCTGTATGATGTTCGTTTGGATACCTCAGGGTACATTTTCCCATCTTTGTGATGATGTAGCTCACTTGGTCTGAATGATATGTAATCCTGCACATGTAGAGTGACCATTATATTTGCATAAATAGCATTGGAGGAATATATAAGAAATGAATAAAAGTTGTTATATCATTTGATTTTTCTTTTCTTTTCTTTTCTTTTTTTTTTTTTTTTTGAGATGGAGTCTGGCTCTGCTGCCCAGGCTGGAGTGCACTGGCACGCGCATAGCCCATCGCAGCCTCAAACTCCTGGGCTCAAGTGATCGCCTGCCTCAGACTTCATTTTGATTTGTGAACCTCGTGATTCTATTACTTGTTCCACAAAAAATTTTAAATGAAAAAATATTTCAAAAATACATATATTCCGGCCAGGCATAGTAGCTCATGCCTCTAATCCCATCACTTTGGGAGGCCAAGGCAGACAGATCACCTGAGGTCAGGAGTTTCAGACCAGCCTGGCCAACATGGTGAAACCCCGTCTCTACTGAAAATACAAAAGTTAGCTGGGCGTGGTGGCACGTGCCTGTAATCCCAGTTACTCGGGAGGCTGAGGCAGGAGAATTGCTTGAACCCGGGAGGTGGAGGTTGCAGTGAACCGAGATTGCATCATTATGCTCCAGCCTGGGCAGTGAGTGAAACTCTGTCTCCAAACAAAACAAAACTAAAACAAAAACAAAAACAAAACAGGCTGGGCACGGTGGCTCATGTCTGTAATCCCAGCACTTTAGGAGGCCGAGGCGGGCCGATCACAAGGTCAAGAGATCAAGACCATCCTGGCCAACATGGTGAAACCCCATCTCTACTAAAAATACAAAAATTAGCTGGGTGTGGTGGCAGGTGCCTGTAGTCCCAGCTACTCAGGAGGCTGACGCAGGAGAATTGCTTGAACCTGGGAGGCGGAAGTTGCAGTGAGCTGAGGTCGCACCACTGCACTCCAGCCTGGCGACAGAGCTAGGTTCCATCTCAAAAAAAAAAAAAAAAAAATTCCTCCACAACATATATTCCAATGTTTAGTTTTTCTGTTACAGAGATCACATGTACTCTAACTTGTCAACTAAATTTAAAAGGAAAAGACAACTTTGAGAGAAAATTAAAACCAATGCAGTGTGTGTAAATGCCATTTTGATAAGCTCTTATTTCATGTTGACATATTCTATGGTGCTCGTCTTACATAACCTAGTTAGGGAAATGTTTTGTTCCAGTCTGGCTTTGTTTTTCTTCATGTGTTTAGGTCCTTCCACTTTCCTTTTGTTAATTTTTGGTGTTGTACTTCAGGAAATGAATTGAGGGTTGCAAATGACCTGGAGGGCCTTAGTTTGTTTGCTTGTTTGATTTTAGCAACAGTCACCGTGGTACACCTGACGTGGCTGGGACTCCTGATTTTTTTTTTTTTTCTTTTTGAGAACAAAGAATGTGTCCTTGTCTTGGCATGGACTGGGTAGCCTTGTTCACCTCCCCACCCATCTCTCCTTATTGGTGAGGCATTGTAAACCGTGTTAACAGGTAGCATCCACAGAACCCTGGAAAGGTTGTGAAGTCCCTTTGGAAGCCTAAGGGTTTTGATCTCATCCAGGTTGTAATCTTAAATTCTGGTACAAATTCCCTTGTTACAACTGGGTTAAGTGGTTTTAACCTCTTTTGTGCCTTCATTTTGAATGCTTAGACTGGAAAGTCGTTCAGAGACTCCTGACCGAATAAAGCCTACTTCCAAATGAGTGGGTTGTCCAGGTGTGCTTGTAGATGTCACATACTTCTAACAAGGCTCTGCAGCTGCGATGTCACCTTGCCCAGCGTGACCTCATTAGCATGTATGTGGCTTTCAGTGGCCATGTACTTTGCTTCTAGAGCTTTCTTTCCCATTCTGGGTTCTTAGGAGGGGGCTGTGCTTTGTGTGTGGCCAGGCAGAAGTCCATGTTTTAGCTTTTCAATTCTCTTGAAGAAAACAAATGTTGTTGATAAGAACACTTGTCATGGCATCCGATTTGTTCTTGTGAGGGCTGTATTAGCAATAAATAGACATTTAGTTTGCATATTTAACACCTCATCTTCTTTCAGCCCACACGTCTTCACTACAGGATTAGCTTTTCATTACTTAGTAGAGCTTTTAATTACCTGAAGCTTTCGTGTCTTTACTGGGATATAACTTTTCTCCTTATTAACCAGAAAAAGTCACAGAAAATCTTGTAATTTATAATGGAATGGAGTAATATTCACAAACAGGCTTTGGCAGGATTTTTTTTGTTATTGTGTTTTTTGTTTTTGTTTTTTTGTTACACTAGTTTTATCACAAGACAAGAAAGAGGGGAACTTTTAGAAATAAAAATTATGTGCTAAAATAATTAACCTTCCTGAGTAACACACACAGAATGTTGGTATAGTGTTTGCACCAGAGGAATTACATATGGAAGAATGCTGGGATCTTTTACCAAATAAGGGAAAGTAGAGTTCATTACAAATAGAGGCTTCTAGCACAGAAAAGAGGACATTTTATAAGTACTGTGAAGCATTTTCAGAGATAATTAAATAATAGAAAATATTAAACCAATTTAAACAATTTGTAGTTTTTTTCTAATAACCAGTAAGTTCTTCGTCTTCGAATAATTCTTTTATACTGTTCTATTTCCAGCTCCACTGAGTGCCCCTGTGTTTTCAGAGAAAACAGGAGTCTGTTTTGGACTTCCTCTTTGGTATATATGGTGGGAGATTTGTTTAAAAAATTTTTTTATAGAGGTAAAATTCATATGACATAAAATTGTCCATTTAAAGGTGAACAACTCAGTGACATCTAGTATATTCATACTGTTGTGCAATTGCCATCTCTATCTAGTTCCAAAATACATTTGTCATGCCGCAAGGAAAGCCTGTACCCCTTAAGCAGTTAATCCCCATTCCCCTTTCCGCTCAGCTCCTGGCAACCACCAGTCTGCATTCTGTTTCTATGGATTCACCTATTTTGCATAGTGCATATAAATGCAGTTATATAATATGTGACCTTTTGTGTCTGGCTTCTTTCACTTAGCATAATATTTTTAAGGTTCATCCATGTTGTAATGTATCAGTACTTCATCCCTTTTTATGGGTGAATAATAGTCCATTGTATCCAGTTGTATCCAGAAGATTTGCTTTTCATTGCCTAACTTCAGGGCTTCAGACACCTCAATCTTTGTTCTGAGATGGATGTAAACTTAATGTATATCTCTCTCTCTCACCCAATGATCATGCCAACACCTTTTTTTTTTTTTTTTTTTTTTTTTTTTGAGACAGTCTCGCTGTGTTGCCCAGGCTGGGGTGCAGTCTTGGTTCACTGCAACCTCTGCCTCCCAGGTTCAAGTGATTCTTGTGCCTCAGCCTCCCAAGTAGCTGGGGCCACAGGTGTGAGCCACCACACCTGGCTAATTTTTTTTTCTTTTCTCTTTTTTGTTTTTGTAGAGATGGAGTGTTGCCATGTTGGCCAGGCTCGTCTCGAACTCCTGGCATCAAGTGATCTGCCCGCTTCAGCCTCCCAAAGTGCTGGGATTACAGACATAAGCCACCTTGCCTGGCCATGCCAACAATAATTATTTAGAAGTATGTTGAGAATACATCCCAATAATAGAAGTGAAAGCTCTTTAAAAAGAAAAATATTCAAAACTTACCAGCTGATCTTATGTTTCATTTAGAATGGCTGCATTCTTTGCAGTACCCTAGGGTTGTAGAAATTCTCCCCCATGATTGCACAACCCACTCCTTCTCAGCCAGTGTGCACCTGGAGTCAGCTGTGTTTGGCCTTAAGGTGTCCATGGTCCAGCAGGGAGAGGGCAGATGGGTCAGTGTTGTCCTGCTAGTGATGAGTATCCCATGGTGGGCATGCTGATGCCACGCAAGGGAGAGGGTGTCTGGTTCTGTGCAGTGGCAGTGGTGCAACCCCTTACCAAGGTACCGTGGGGACCTGGGTTAGGGCAGGAGGAGGAAGGTGTTCTCTACAGACTGCAGGGCTTGGAGGCAGCCTGTCATGGGGAAGGGTGTGGATGAAGGGTGAGCCGGGACCCCAGGCAGGTACGGAGCAGTTCAAGGCCGTCAAGTGTGCTTCATTCTTCAGTCATTAGGGTGTCTCTGAAAGGTTTTTCATTGAATCAGAATTCCCCTAATTCACGAATTCTAAAGCTTAAGTAAATTCAGTAATAATAAACTGTCAATTATCCAAGCGATGAATATAAATCCATAAGGTTTTTCAAATCCCCAGAAATCCCTTTCGTCTCCCACCTGGTTTTGCTGAGCGCCTGTCTCTTCTGTCTCTTTTCTGATTCCCACCTTTCACTTTTCCTCCATTTTTCGCTTAATGGATTTATACTTTAAAGTAGGTATTCTGAAAATTCCAATTTTATGAATGGTGTGACGGTGAGAACTTTGATTCATTGAAAGATAAAAATAATCATTACATTTTATACTGCAAGGGTCATCCTTAATATTCTTCGTATTTTTAATATAGCTGCATGATTTGAGTAGTTGAGTTGGGGATTGGATAATGTATTTATTGATTGATTAACTCTCTGGGGGTCCATACATACCCCTCTTTATATCCCTGTGGTCCCTTTTTAGTCCTTTTGTAAAAACTTGATAATGTTAACCTCTGCCAAAGTTGATGCGGTAGTTGTGAGTGGTGGGACGCAAGCGTGTTGATTTATTCTTGGAGACAGCAGAAACAGCACCACCTTCAACTGTTTTGTCATGATCATCTTGTAACCATAATTCTGTGCTAAGTCAGAATTAATGTTATTTTGTTAATTCAGGTTATTGTGAAAATCTCCACAGGAGGTTATTTAAGCAAGTCACAAATTGATGTTTCTGTTTGTAGAAAAACTCCAGCTCATCCAGCCAGCCACATTATTCCAGGGCTGCATGGTGTCAGCGTAGGGACCAGGCTCGGTGTAGAGACCAAGGGTGCCTTTCCCCTTCCTTTCCGCCCGTTAATTGCCTACTCGCCCAGTGGTACCTTCTGAACTTTTAGAAATCCAGATAGGATTTCCACATGGTTCATTAGAATTCATTTATTTTTTTCCATCTGTATTTCTTTTTGTTGTACTCCCTAGATCATTATTTTTAGTTACTTTTTACATGCATTGGTTAGGTTTTTCATGTAATCTCTCAGTAAGCGTACTGGGGGATGAGTGACCTCAGTATTTAAATTTTTCATAGGTGGGATGAAATGTCTTTTCTGAGTGTGAGTATTTCTGTTCCATTCTTCTTTTCCAGGCAGGCTCTCATTCTGTGCTGCAGTTTGGATTCAGGGAGCACTGACCCTTCTGTCAGGTTGCTCCTGCTATGAAGGATGGAAGGGCATTTTGATACATGAGGCATAACTGTAATTATCCGGTGGGGCTTGGTTTGTGCTGTTTTCCACCTCTTCGTCATATTTTGGAAAACTGAGGCCAAAAGCAAAGTTCATTTTCCCCTTTAAAAGCTTCTTTAAAAAAATGATGAAAGAGCTTTATCAATGTTTTGAATAACCCAGAAAATATTTCTTATTGTTGATAATCTGCAGTTTGCAAGTGCAGCGAATCTTGTAGGTAGATTTACCTTGAGTTTTTTGAAACGGTAGAATTAATGTATTAAAACATATGGTTTTTAGTTAAAATAGGATGTTAAAGGAATAGAGCGCACGAACAAAAAACTTTCCACTTGAACCCATGTTGTTTCATCTGACAGTGGGTATGGTGTCCCTGGCAGGATAGGGCTTCCACCTCCTGCTGGTGCCGGTAGGACAGGGAAGAGGTGGGGAACACTGTGTCTCCATCTCCCAAGCATCTTACCTCCCAAGTCAGATCCCTGGCATTGTTTGAATACTTGCGTGTTTGTGTGTGGGGTGATGTTTTCCTGAGAATGTGGCAAAATAATAGAAGGTCCCAGGGTTCCTCAGTCTGCAGACCATAGCTGAGTGGTGTGTGCCTCTAGCCATGAGGTGAAGCATAGGTGAAATTCAGATCCATAGGAAGACAGACAGACTTTGCAAGTTAGTAAGCTAACTTGCTAGAGGAAACGGTAGACTCCTGTGCTGGCTGCCAACTAAAAAGCCTTTCTCCACAGTTCTGTTCTCATGTACACCCTCAGGACCTTGGATGAGCTTGTGTGTTCAGGAAATTGGGCACCGAGATTTTTTTTGTATCTTTGATTTTAGTTGATATGTAGTCCTTCCAAGGAAAGTATTCGTTGGATGCCCTTTCTACACTTTGGCATTGTGCAAGAGGTATCAAATTTTAAAGTAAAAGTGCACAACCTGGCCAGGCGCGGTGGCTTACGCCTATAATCCCAGTACTTTGGGAGGCTGAGGCGGGTGGATCATGCTGTCAGGAGATCGAGACCATCCTGGCCAACGTGGTGAAACCCCATCTTTACTAAAAATACAAAAACTAGCTGGGCGTGGTGGTGCGTGCCTATAATTTCAGCTACTTGGGAGGCTGAGGCAGGAGAATCACTTTAACCAGAGAGTTGGAGGTTGCAGGGAGCCGAGATCGCACCACTGCACTCCAGCCTGGGTGACAAAGCGAGACTCCATCTCAAAAAAAAAAAAAAAATGCCCACAACTGGGCATGGTGGCTCATGCCTGTAATCCCAGCACTTTGGGAGGCTGAGGCGGGCAGATCACGAGGTCAGGAGTTCGAGACCATCCTGGCTAACACGGTGAAACCCCGTCTCTACTAAAAATACAAAAAAAAAAAAAAAAAAGCCGGGCGCGGTGCCGGGCGCCTGTAGTCCCAGCTACTCGGGAGGCTGAGGCAGGAGAATGGCGTGAGCCCAGGAGGCGGAGGTTGCAGTGAGCGGAGATCACACCACTGCACTCCAACCTGGGTGACAGAGTGAGATTCCGTCTCAAAAACAACAACAACAACAACAACAACAACAACACCTCACAACCCTGGTCTCCCAGAGCTTCCATATTAATAAATCTAGACAATGTGAAATGCAAATCCACTTAATATTTGATGCAAAAAAATTTTATTTGACCTGTTATTTTAACTCTTTGACATAAAATCTCTAAATCAAAATAATCAGCAACAGTTTTAAGTGTATAAATATGTATTTCTTTCAGTGCTTGAACATTTTTAGACAGGAAGATTCTTGATCTTCTTTGTAAGCAAATAGCATCAAAGAGTAACATTTCTGTACCTTTGTGGTATGTACCTTGTGGCTAATTTGTCCATGAAGGGATAGGCATTGTGTTTTGTTGCTTAAGTCGCTTAAGGCCTTTAAAGCATTTCCAAACTCACCTATTTTTGCTCTAAGGGGTATAAGGTGTTAAAAAATGAATGGAAGTTAACTCATTCTCACCTTGTCTGCTAACTTCCTTTTGTTCTTTTTCTGTAAGAACTCATAAAGCTGTATGCATCAGCTGCTCCCAGGGGCCTTCTAAGGCCTCAGTCCAACAACAGTGCTACAGGTGAGGAAAGGAAAGAAGACACTATGTCATCATGTCATTCTTTTAGACTTGGTAAGAAGTATATTCAAGCAGATCAGATGCTCTCAGAATCACAGCGTGTTGTACTGCTAGTAATTAAAACTGAAGTCCACATTGAATAAGAAATAATTTTTTATTGATTGCTGGCATTTGTGAGAAAGGGTTTAATTAGACCAGGATATGGAGGGGACTTATCGACAGTTCCGTTGTACATTGTTGACATGGTTATTTTCTGTATCTCATTTTGCCTGGGAATTTGTCATTCTCTTCTATTTTCTTATCAGTAGCACTGCTTTTACACTTATTAGCCCTAGCTGTTTGTCTTGCTTATTTAAACTTGTACATGGCACATGCTCAAAGATTTTTCCAGGCAAAATTTCTTTAAAGCAGGATTTGAGATTTTCTATCCCCTTCCGTCTGCTGGATTATTCCGGTGAGTGTTAATCTCCCGCCTTTGTCTTAGCCTCTCTGTGGTCTTCGGTTGCTTCCTTGTTCTCTGTAGATCTCCTGAGTTGGCCATTAGCTGTCAACAGTCAGCACTTGCTGCCTCTCAAGTCTCTTCCCCTCCTGGCTCTGCCCTGGTTTTGCTCTCTGACGGGGATCTAAATTGGGATTCTTTCCAGTGTGGAATCCTGGGTGTCCACCATGTCACTCTGACTTCCAGATGATAATGAGTGTGACCATGGGCTGAATGAATGTCTCTCTGCTGGGATTAAAAGTTAGAGGAAGGCAAAAACAGATATTGCGTGTTCTCACGTATACGTGGGAGCAAAAAAAGTTGATCTCTTGGAGGTAGAGAGTAGAGTGATGGTTACCAGAGACTGGGAAAGGGGGCGATGAAGAGGGGTAGAGAATGAGTACAAACATTCAGTTAGATAGAGGGAATACATTCTAATAGGGTGACTATCGTTAACAGTAATTTACTGTATATTTCCAAATAGCTAGAAGGTTAGAAATGTTCCCAACACATAGAAAGGATACATGTTTGAAATGATGGATATCCTAATTATTCTGATCATTATACATTGCATACATGTTTCAAAATATCATATTAACCCCATAAATATGTACAAATATCACACATCAATAAAAAATAAAGGGGAAGACATAGGTGTAGGCATAGATTTTTAAGCTGAGAACCTTTTGACAGGGAAGACCAGGGATGGTTTTAGGGTGTGGGGAATCTGTGTAAGTTGGCCGTTAGCTGTCAACAGGCAACAATCACTGTCTCTCAGGTCCCTCCCGCTCCCTGCCGTGTCCTGGTTCTACTTGCCGGCAGGGATCTAAGTTGGAATTCCTTTCCAACATGGAATCCTGAGTGTCCACCATGTCAAAATTGTGTCAAAATTCGTCTGTATGCATTTTTCTTGGTAGAAGGGTCCCCAAAAGTCACCACATTCTCAGAGACTTCTGATCCCTAAAACTTTAGATCAACAGTCAATAAAAAGGTCCCAGTTGTGTCTTAGTCCCCATGGCAGTACTTTTGAACATTTAAAGGTGGAGAATTGCTACTGAGGACTTTGTTCTGTGGATGAAACTTCGAATGAGGATTGTTGGTGAGAGTTGGATTGTTGTTGTATGAGGAAGTGCACCTTGGAATCTAATGGGGTCTTCACGGAGGGGGAGTCAGTTGTGGCACTGTTTGTGTATTCCATTCATCATTCATCCCTCCATCCAAGCACCCACGTGGAGCTCAGAAAGATGACTAACACATACCCCCTGCTGCTCCTGTTTTTCTAAGGTGTGCTGGGACCATTTACATTTAGTTCTTTGGAGAACACAACTACTTAGGATTTTTGTTGTTGTTGTTGTTTTCCTGTACATTGTCTTCCTCTCTCCCTTCTGGTACCCATTCCACCCTCTCTCCCCTTCCTCACTGCCGTTTCATAGGGGTTCTCAGATTCCTGTGAATAAAGCAAACCGATGTGCAGATATGTGTGCTTACACATGTGGACGTATTTGAGGAGGTAAGAGGGACCTGCACAAGGCTTTAGTGAGTAAGCAGAGAAGTTATTTATATATAGTGAGACCCAGTAAACGGTGATGTCGCAGGTGAGGCAGTTGATCTGGTCAGAATATGCCTCCAGAGACATCACTGGTGAGGCCTGCATGCATGTTGAAAAGAGTGTATCTTACATCTAGGCTTGGGTTTCCCCCTGCAGCTCACTTATGAATAACAACGTATGCAAGAGATTTGAACATTTTCATGTTCAAATGAAACATGAAAAGGGAAAAAATTTAAGGTTACGGTTAAGTTTGGATTGTTTGCTTATTGGTTTGGTTATTGGCAATTGCTACAAAGTCCAGGGTGTTCTTTATCAGCAGCATGCTTATCAAGTTACTGACATTCAAGCTGAGTTTCCTTCCCTCCCTCCTTCCTTCTTCTCCACTGACATTTTTTTTTTTTAAATAGGTAGGGAGGCATTTAATCTTGTAGCAGCATGAGAGTAGCTTAAATGTCCCTCCTCTAGCAGTATGTTTATAGCAGCGTAGGTAAGGAAAGCCCAGCTTGCACAGCTGAGCTCTAAAGTGCATACATCCCTTAAGTTCTCATACACACACTGGCCAGTGAGACCCCCAAACTGCGAACAGAGAATTCTAATTGAAGTAAAAGCATGAAGTTTTTCTTTATTGACCATGTAGCAACTGTGGAATCATTTGAAAATTTCTGAAAACATGAAACAGGTGTTTATAAGGAGTTTTCTGACTTAACAAAATTGGTGAAATACCAACTTTACTAAAAACTACTAATTCATAATTTTTTGATTAATAATTTCTAGTCTGGAAAAGAGGAATTTTTTGAAAATCACTGATATTTTTGATATACTGTTGTTTTCAAATTGAGTTCTCATAGTGTGGTCGGCTCTGTTCTATGGAATTAATATTGAACAAGCTGTTCTGAACCTAAGAAAGGTTTGTAAAAAATAAACATGAAGGAAGACTTCATTCAAGAGGTCACTTAAAAATTATTATTATTATTATTATTATTATTATTATTATTATTTTAAGAATTAGGTCTCTGTTGGCCAGGCTGGAGCACAGTGGCACAATCATAGCTCACTGAAGCCTCGAACTCCTGGGCTCAAACAGTCCTCCTCCCTCAGCCTCTCTAGCAGCTAGAACTGTATATGTACACCACCACGCCCAGCTAATTTTTTTTTTTAACTTTTTTTTACTTTTGAAGAGGTGAGATTATAGGCACTAGCCACTGTGCCCAGCCAAAAGGTCACTTTTTTTTTTTCCTTGTTGGGGAGGAATCAATAACAGGAACACCAGTCATGATTTGGTGTTTTTTCCAGGGCAGACAAATAAAGATGATATTACGATGTTTGTTATCACAGAATATGTTTGCTTTTGATAGGGGTTGGGTGCTGAAGGGTAAGTGGTTAGAATCATTCTTTTTCTAAGGGTACAGCCATTAATACTCCTTGATTCAAATCACTATTTAAGTTATAAATACATGGATTTATTTTCTAACCTCAAAATTATAGCATCTTACCACATATTTGCATGCCTCTCTTGAGTTAACTACTGGTGATGATTCTTAGCTCATCTGTGGCCAAGTATAGATAAGAGAATTAGAAAGTTGTTTCCAGCGTGTGAACTTTTATGATTTTCTTCCTTGGTTACTGTACTCAGTTCTTTTTTGTTTTGTTTCTATACAAGATGAGTAGCTGGTGGCTCAGATGACCCCCGTGCTGCATGTACAGTCCCATCCAGAGAGTGTTGGGGGCTGTGTAAACCTCGAGGCTCAGAGTGGCTGCCATTTTCCTAAAAGAGAAGTATGGCTGCTGTTGGCCTCAATGTTCAGCTTTACAAAAACTCCCGTAATTAATGAAGGTCAAGGCATCTGCAAACATTAATGGGGTCACAAGGGACAAATCAGTTCCTTGAGGGGAAGTTAAAATGCTAGATTGCTTACCGCTCCAGACAAGGCGTTCTCAAGAAGTATGTGCAGTTTCAGCACAAGGATTAACACGGAGCATTACTTGAGCCATGGGGTGCCTTGGGGGACATGGATCAGCAACCATTTCCTTTTGCTCACAGCGCCCAGATTTTGTTCTGGGGACCACTCTTATCTGCACTGCATAGCAGCCACACATTTTGAGTGAAATTAACCCCAACTAGCATTCGAGCGTCCTCCCCTCCCCCAAAAGATGGACTGTACCCCACACTGTAATCAGCAGGGAGGCATTTCCTGGCCACAGTTCAGGTTGGTCCCTTAGAACGCTGCTCAGAACTGTGGTTTGGTGGCTCTGGGAAGCAGTGCTCTCTCTGAGTGTGAATAAGGATCCACATAGCTCCAGTAGGTGTCTGACGACATCTTGTGATCCGGGGGGAAGCCAGCCTAAGGACAAAGCCATTGTGGGGTGAGAGACAGGATTGGCACAATCACTGACAACCGCAGTAGTAGCCCAGAATAAACTGTGCCTGAAACCTACCCTATTTTTGTATTTTTTCCAGTTTTAAGGAAATAAATCCCCTTTATTGTATACTCAGTTTGAATCAATTATTTTTATCTCTTTGGGATTGGTTTTTGGTTAATCTCAGCAATTCAGAAATAGCTGAAGAACTATGCTGTGGGTTTAGACATCATGCCGTGACAAAAAGAAGAGGATCTTAGAAGCGGGGGACATTCACTGAAGCTTTATGAGCCTTTCCTGAATCCCTTCAAATCAGATCAAGTTCTCTCTCTCCTGTGCTTAGAAATGCTGCCTGTTAAGTCACGTTGGCTACAGCACCCATCTCAGATCCCTTGTGATTCAGTTGTAAAGTAGATTCTTCTGGTCTGAATTAGAGGCCAAAACACAAGACAGATCAAAAATGGGGAACATATTGCAAATTTCCCCACAAAAGACTGAAGGATGTGTTTACCATTGATTGCACAGGGACTGCAGTGTCTATGCTTTTAGGCATGGAAAATGCAGGGTTTGACTATCGAGTTTAGATTTTAAAGTTGAGGATTGTTTCTTTAAGAAGAAATATAGAATATTATTCAGTCCTAAAAAGGAAGGACATTCTGACACATGCAACAGCGTGAATGAACCTTGAGGACATTATGCCAGGTGAAATCAGCCAGTCACAAAAGGACAAATACTCTATGTGATTTCATTTAGATGAGGTTCCCTGGAGTAGTCGCATTCAGAGACAGAAAACAGAATGATGGCTGCGGTGGTGGGGGGGTGGGGGGTGGTTTGGGGAAGGGAGTGGAGTGATGGTTTCACTTTTGCAAGATGGAAAAAGTTCTGGAGGTGGCTGGCGGTGATGTTGTACAACAGTGTGAACTTACTTAACATTGCTGCACTCTACTTAAAAATGGTTAAAACGGTACATTTTGTTATGGATATTTTCCCACAATTAAATTTAAAAGGAAGATGAGTAGTACTCGACTCATTATTGGATATTACATCAGGGAACTGGAGGTAGGGTCTCACTTACTAGTTACGTAGCTCAGGAACCTGGAACCAGACTCCTTCTCCAGCTGGGCAGTCCCAGGTTTGAGTCCTGGCTCCACTGGAGGTTGTCTGACTTGGAGGTTAATAATAACCTGCCTTAGTCCCAGAGTCCTTAGAGGGAAAATAGGTTATAATACCTGAGTCCATGTGTATCAAGCCATTGCTGGTTCCAGGCCCCTGGAGCACTCAGAAATGGATGACCCCCAGCTGGGTCAGGCCAAGTCCTCCCTGCTGTAGCAAGCGGGACCATTGCCTCGTTCCCCCCACCTCCACATGGAAGGTGCCTTTTGTGTCCTGCCCCATCTCTGTTTTAACAGTCACAAGACTGTAGGCAGATCTAAACTTGTTTGCACATTATTATCACCTGGGGAGCTTTGACGATTCCAAAGCCAGGCTGCCACCCCCACCTCTAGACCAACTGAATCACCATTTCCAGGGGTGGGACTGGGCATCCGTGTTTTCGAGGCTTCTGGGTGAGTACCTTGTGCAAACAAGTTCAGGGACCGTTGCCCTAGACACTGTTCTTCCCCTCATGTCTCAACCTGGGCCTCCTACCACTGCCACCACCACAGCTATGCCACCTGGGATGTGTCCCAAGCCCCCACTTGTCGGGGAAGCAGCTGGGGAGGGGTCTTTGGCCACCTCTGCAGCTATAAGGATCAGAGCAACACCTGGCTTCTGTGCCTGTGGCCCCTGCTGGTGCTGGGTCCCTGGTCCGCACTGAAGGATCCAGGCAGAGTACAGTGGGTCTCCCAGGTCAGAATCCCCTGGGTTGCTTGTTAAAGCTCACAGGGCTGGGCCCCACCCCAGGGTTTCCGATTCAGCAGGTCTCGGGCTGGTTGGATGATGAGAATTTGCATTTCTGTCAAGTTCCCATGTGATCCTTTTTGGGGTCTGGGACCACACTTTGAGAACCACTGGTCTATTAAACAAATCTTTGCAAATTAGGGAGGTGTGTTGTGGGAGGAAGAGACTGATAGTTGAAAGAATATTTGCCTAAATACAGTGCCTAGTATTTGCCAAGTACGCAGCCTTCTTTCTGGCTTTAATCATACAGACTTTCTCAATCACATGTAATTGCACATCCTTTAAGCAGCTTTTGACTGACTTTGGTTTTCTCTTTTGTGGTGATTTTCCTTAAACTCCCGAAGGGAGGGTGGAAGGGGCAAGAGAAATTTTTATTTATTTATTTTAATTTAATTATTTTTTATTATTTATTTTTTTATTTTTTTTTTGAGATGGAGTCTTACTCTGTCGCCCAGGCTGGAGTGCAGTGGTGTGATCTCAGGTCACTGCAACCTCCGCCTCCCGGGTTCCAGCAATTCTCCTGCCTCGGCCTTCTGAGTAACAGGGTCTATGGGCATGTGCCACCATGCCGGGCTAATTTTTTGTATTGGTAGTGGAGATGGGGTTTTGCCATGTTGGCCAGACTGGTCTTGAACTCCTGACCTCAGATGATCCACGCGCCTTGGCCTCCCAAAGTGCTGGGATTACAGGTGTGAGCCACTGCGCCCAGCCAGATTTTATTTCTTTAAAAAAGAAACTTACTAGTTATCAGGACACTTGTGTTCTTGGTACTTGATTTTGTCAGCATTATTTTTAAGAGCCTCTTCCCTCCTTCCCCCTACCTCCCTGTTGAGCCCAGGCTCTGAAATAACATAGGTGCATGTGAAGTTCCCCTACCTGCCATTACCAGACATTGGTGCTGGGCGGCCCTCACCTCCACCTCCTCTCACCTGAGGCCACAGCGGTGTGCAAGGATGTGGTCTGTCTTGAGTGTGTTTTCAAAGCAGCTGTTTGGTCTGTGCCTTGGATGTTTTTCCACAGATAAGCCCAAAAGAGAACCACATCTTAAAACGCCCGTGACCTTGAATGGTCTTTCCGGAGGGGCGGCTGGATTTGTGCTCTCATCGTCTCAGGTATGTGTCAAGCCACTGTTGTTTCAGAGCTGGACACAGGTGCTTAGGAAAATTCCTCACTGAAGGGTTTTCAGGATTTACAAGTTCTTGCTGTTTTTGTGACCTTGTGTGGTTTCTGGTTTCACAGAAGGCTTTGTTTCTTGGTTCTTGTTGCTGCTTTCAGCCTTGGCCTGTAATCACTGGGCGCCAGGGAGGGCTGCGGTCTGTTTCCCGGGGTGTGCTCAGATACCGTGTCAGTTCACATGTGTTGCTGCAGCGGCAGGGGGCCAGGCAGGAGGGGCGGGTGTCCTGAAGCACGCTCAATTTGCTGATCAGGGCCTTCACTTGGATTTTGCACTTGCCGCAGTGGAGACATTCCTCGTAGCTACTCAGTGTGGTTTGTTTTAAGTGGGCCATCCGTTAATTCATGTGACCTGGAACTTGGTTAATGTACTTGCCAAGGTTAAAGTTGAGACGCTGTTTGTTAAACCTTTCAAAGAGGGAAGAAGGTTGCCTTGAATTCAGTTCCAGGGTTTGGGAGTCTGAGAGGGAGGTGGTGAGGGGCCCGGGGAGGCCCTGAGAAACAAAATGCTGGTTAAGGACACAGTCTGCTCACCGACCTCGGAAGTCTCTAGACGTCTAAAGAAGTCCAAGCAAGGAATGATGACCGAAGAGGAACCTCAAGGGTGCAGGCGGCTCTGGGATCTCAGCACATCTCAGTGATGGAATGAGCTGCCGGGGAATGACCCCTGTGGGGGCTGTCCAAAGTCAGAGCAGACACAAACGTAGCTCTCCAGGCCCCATACCTTGGTGGGCAAGAGGGCAGCAAGTGCATCCTCACAGTTGATGGGGAGAGCAGCATTTCAGCCTGCAGAAAAGAGAACCACACAGATGTAAGATGAGGTCTGCACTCACTTGCCTGGTCATGCAGAGACGGAGCTGGGAGCAGCTGCATGACTTTTCAGAGAAGTGGCACACGTTTACTGTAAGGGTCCCAAATGTAGACCACTGCAGATCGTAAGGTCTAGATGGAGGGACCAATAGTAGGGAAGTAGGGGAGAAGAAAGTAAAACCTTACAGTATAAAGACCCATAGATGCTCTTTTGTTTTTGATGTGTGTACGGGGGTTAGATATTTATTGAGCACCTACTGCATGACAGAGTGTTCAGCAATGACAATGCAGAGCTTAATAAGAACAGGTTCTAGACTAATCTTTTAGGGGGTGAGGATAGAACAGAAATAGGTAATTATGTCCTGAGAACATGAGAGAGTGTTGGTGGACAGAACGGCGATGTATCCCCAAGGGCAACTGAAGCCTTCACAGAAGATGCAAAGCCTGTACGTGGTCCTCGGAGTCATGCCACATGGTGACTGGTTATCTTAGTCGTAGGAAAACTGAGAAGCTTTGAGGCATGTTCTATCTGTCTTTGTGGGCATCATCTTCATTATTTGAACAATTCAGAGTGCTTGATGCCTTTTGCTTCGTTCTCACAATCCTTGACACTAAGCTGTGGGCTTGGGTTATAGTCACTCATTCTGTTATTCATGTCATTTTGCCTATCCTTCCACTTCACAGATGAGAAGACTGAGACCCAGAGAGGGTCATGGTTTTCATTAGCCAAATGGTGCAGAAACCCAGTGGTCACAGTGGCTCTCTAGCTCTTTGTCACCCACAGGGCCCTTGATAAGAGTACGGTCTTTCTCCAGGGGAGCAGGGTTGAGGAGTGGGGGCAGCCCTGGCCTGGGTGGCCATATCCTGATTTCCCCTCCCTTGGCCCATAGCTCTCTATCTTGGGTGAGGTGAGAAAGTAAGGCTGCTCCTTGACTGTGGTCCCTTTTGTGTCTGTCCTGCACTGGGCCACCTTCCCAGGGGCCTTGTGTCAGCCTGGTAGTGGTGCTAGTGGCCTTGAAGTGAGAGTGGGTGGATCACACATGGCAGATCTCTGGCAGTGACCTTTTCTGTGGATTTCCGGTGACTGATGATAGCCTCTTTGGAAGTCAGCATATGCATAGCTCTCTGTCTTTTGAAAACAATGGAAAAACCCACCACCAGCCCCAAAACCAGCTGTCTTTCTTCTTATGAATAGATATCCATGAAAAGCAGAAGAGTAGTTTCTTGTAAGTACTCTGGGAGTGCATAATACATTTTAAATAAGATTAAAAATTATGTTTTATTCTTACTAGCATCACTGTCAGATAATTGAGCGTGAGAGCATTCAGTGCTGTGTGCTTGGTACGAAGTAGTAACATCAATTCAGTGTTCAGTACATCCACTTTGTTCCAGAACAATGTATTCAAGGTCGGTGTATTTTGGCTGTGCCACAGAGTTCTGGAAATTCCCAAGAGAATAAGTTTTCACCTGTTATATAATCCAGCACAAGTGACTGTGTAGCAGCAACCTCATGTTTCATGATGACTTTAAAATGCAATTGATTCTAAAATTTAGCTTTTAAAAATTTCGACTTCAGATTTTCTCTGAAGGTTTAAGGTAGGCTTCTCCTTTATTAATTTTTTCAAGAAATATTTAAGAACACTGCTCTGTGCTATGTACCATTCTAAGCACTTTACAGATACTAATTCATTTAATCCTCAGCCTGGTTAGGTAAGTACTGCTATTCCCACCGTACAGATGAGGAAACAGCCTCAGAGGAGTTAAAACAAGTTGCTCAGGTTACACCGTCAGCGGTTTGGACTACTTCAGTTTCAGATAATCACTGTGAAATTTTACTGTTTTGAGCTACACGTTTCAAAATCTTTTCTGATGCGGAACTATCATTAAATCATATAATCCGCTTCTCTGGAGTCAGAGGTTGACAACACATTAGCACTTGACTCGAGCCTCTCCCTGGAGGAGGACATTCCGTCTGCGGGGAGCCGAGTCCGAGGCTGGAGCAACTCTGGAACCACAGCCCTCCAGTAGAGGGCACACGAGAGCAGGCTATCTGTGGAGATAGCCTGTTGGCACAGGGGTGAAGATGACAGAGGCGAACCCAAGCAAAGAGAGTTAATTAGCAGAGTTTGCCCTCCAGGCTCGGAGGGCAAGTCAGCCTGGGGACCTGGAGTTAGTTCCCTTTTCAGCTGTGACCATTGAAGACATTCATCAAGTTCTCTGGCTCCGGGATGTCAGCTGTGGTAGTGACTTGCATGGGAGGTTATCCGACATACCTCACACACTTTAACTCCACCTCTTCAGAGTTTGTGGCCAAGAATGGAGCCAGGTGGCTATTTTTTTTTTTTAAATTTATGTAATAACAAACATTCGCATTTATTGAAAACTTAAAGTATAATAAAAAAATAAATAAAATAAAAAAAGAAAAAAGAAAACTTATTCCTGTGTCAGGCACTTTTCTAAGTGCTTTGCAGTGTATTGTCTCATTTAATAGTTGTTTAAATTAACAGAGTAGGCCGGGTGTGGTGGCTCACATCTGTAATCCCAGTACTTTGGGAGGCTGAGGCGGGTGGATCACCTGAGGTTGAGAGTTCAAGACCAGCCTGACAAACATGGAGAAACCTCATCTCTACTAAAAATACAAAATTAGCCACAGTGGTGGCGCATGCCTGTAATCCCAGCTACTCAGGAGGCTGAGGCAGGAGAATCGCTTGAACCCGGGAGGTGGAGGTTGTGGAGAGCCAAGATTGCATCATTGCACTCCAGCTTGGGCAAAAAGAATGAAACTCTGTCTCAAAAAAAAAAAAAAAAAAAAAAAAAAGAGAGAGAGAGTAAATAAAATTGTAAGGTGAATATGTTATCTACTTGATGGAATTTTTTAAACTACCTTGAAAAGTTTTATAGTTTCCTATTTACAGATGAAATTAACATACTAATTATAAATCATGCCTCACTATTCACTTTAGGCAGTCTATCTCCTTAAGGATCTCCTTACGGTTTAGATAGATAAGTGAATTGCTTAATGTTTTTGGAAGTAATAAAACTGCATTTCTTTTTAATTAAACAATCCAGATAACAAGAAGTAATTCTAATAGGAAACTTGTAGGATGTATTTACAGAAAATCTACACAATCTTACTGAACAATGTAGAAAAGAAGATTTACCAGCCTGGGCAACATGGCAAGCTTTGTCTCTTAAAAAACAAAACAAAACAAAATTTAGCCGGGAGTCGTGGCATACAATTGTCATGTCCACTTCTCAGGAGGCTGAGGTGGGAGGACTACTTGAGCCCAGGAGGTCAAGACTACAGTGAGCCACATTTGTGCCGCTGTACTCCAGCCTGGATGACAGAGCGAGACCCTGTTTCAAAATAAAGAAAAAGAGATTTAAATGAAGCGAAATGCCATTTTCTCTAGGTGAGAAACTGGAATATTATCAATGTCACTTCTTCCCAAATTGATTTATAATTTAAAAACAATTTTAGTACTTCTGCAGCTTGTTTGGAGCTTGATAAAATGATTGTAGAGTTTGTCTTGAAGCTTTAATAGTGAGGCAGGTTTAAAATTGGGGGCAAAAAAGAAATGGGTTTTAGGGTGTAGAAGGGACTTGCCTGATCACTTTTGCTAGAAATAAATGTCCCTCCAAATTAAATTACTAATGTCGCACATCAGATCGTATTTAAATCCATTAGAAGATTTTACTGTTCCATTAGAGCTACCCATAGCTGGTGAAGACTCTGCTTATAGTGGAACCTAGTTTCTCAGTTTTCCATTTATATTTATTTACCTGAGCTTTTTGTAAAGTAGTAAGTACTTGACTGAATTTCTGCTATTTATCAAATGCTTTTTGAATAGAAATAATGAGTTAATAACATTTAGCCTTTTTTGGTAAATAGTATAAACAAGATAGGGCAAATATGTAAACTACTTAGAACTTTATCTACCTTGCATATTTTGTACCTCTTATTTGCATATGCATGTCACATGCTCCTTATGTACCATGTGCTATTACTGTGCCGGGGTACTGGGGCTATATTGAGTCTATTTCCTGTCTTTGTAGACTTGATGGATAATTTGGACAGCATTGTGATATTCCAGGTTTAAGAGTCTTAAGGTTCAAGACTACATTAAATGTTAATGTAGTCCAACATTTCTTGAACTCTGAAATCCTCTGAGCATCTTTTCATGCACTGGCCTAAAATGTTTTCATAGCCCAGCAAAAGGCTGATTACTTATTTCCCTCCTATTGATTTTTTTTGAGATGGGGTCTTGCTGTGTTGCCCTGTCTGCTTGTGAACTCCTGACTCCGGTGATCCTCCTGCCTTGGTCTCCTGTTTATGTTTTAAATAGCATTTCTCAAACCTATTTGAGCAAATAACTTTCCTGTTAATATGTAGTATTCCTTGAAAGAATTGAATTTGTGAGTCCCTAATCTAGACACTTTTAAAGAAGAAACAAAACTCAGTAACACATTTGGATAAAAACCTGAATATGTCCATTTTGGGATGAAAGGAAGCAGCTTTGTTTACCATGTTGAATTAAGTGGAAAACATCTTATTTTAATCATGATTGATAGAAATCTAAATTTGTAAATTCTGATTTTTATGTTTTTTTTACAATGAAAATACATTTTAAATGTCACCATCCCCTTCCCCATGAAGTCTTCATTACAACTAATTTTGAAAATACTCTCTCATTTATTTATATTATATATGCATATGTTCTACTGTATAATTTTAAATACTTAAATGGGGTTATCTTTTTGCATTGTTCTGTATCTTTTTTCAGCTTAATAATTTACCTTGCTTATAATTATTGTCAGTGCTTGCGGACCTGCTCTTTATGCATTTTTAACCATTGCATAAAGCTGGAATGATGGACATGATTTCTTTAATCACTCCAAATTAGTCATTTAGTTGTTTCCAGTTTTTTAGTATTACAAATAACTCTGCAATAAACGTGTCTTGGGTATGCATTCTTTTAGTTTAAAATAGTCTTGTTCCTTCAGAAAGTTGCTCAATAATAGACTTAGAAATTCTTTTGTGCTAATTACTGTAATTGCTCATTTTAAGATCTCCTTTTATTGTTTTCATAGTATATAATCCTAAACTGTTACAACTGAAATAGTCCTTGAGCTAAGAAAGCAATGTGGCTTAAAGATAGGATTTCTAAATAGAGACTTAAAAATTAACCTTTTTGGAGCTGTGACTTCCTGATGAAGTGGCAGCACACAGGCTGAATATGTTCTACATCTGGATGGCCCAACATCATGATGCTGTGATTTGCGAGAAGCTCTCTGCCTGCCTAGGCTGCTGGAGGATGGCAAGTTAATTTATTTGTTGTTGGGAGACCTCCCCCTGCCCCCATTAAAAAAATTATTTTGAAATACTTGTAGATTCACATGCAGTTTCAAGAAATAATAAAGAGTAATTCCATGCACCATTTTCCTCCAATAGTAACATTTTGTGAAACTAGTACAGTATCACAGCTAGGATATTGACGTTAATATAGTAAGGATATATGTCATCACCACAAAGGTACACCTACTTCCCTTCTATCTCTCCTCTCTCCTTCATGCCTGGTTACAAACTAACCTGTTCTCTCTATATAAAATTTTATCATTTAATAATGTTCTGTAAATAGACTCATAGTATGTAACCTTTTGGAACTGAAGTTTTTCCATCAGCATAATTCCTTATAGATTCATTCAGGTTGCTGTGTTTATCAATAGTTTGTTTCTTTTTATTGCTGAATGGTATTCTGTGGTGTAAATGTACTACATTCCATGAGCATGGCATGTCCCTCCATTTATTTAGTTTTTCTTTGATTTACTTCATTAGCATTTTGTAGTTTTTGTAGTCCTGTGTATGTTTTGGTAGAGTTACACCCTAAGTATTTAATTTCTTTGCTCATTGCCAGTATATAGAGATACAACTTATTGAACTCACTTTTTAGTTTATGCTAGTTTATTACTAATTATCAATACATGCTCAAGATATGTCAACTCCTTTTATTTTTATTAGGTGTCACTTGCTACATTTTGTGGAGAATACCGATGCTGTTGCTAGAAAGTGCTGCTGTCACAAAGTGGGTTTATAGATAGTACCACGCTATCCTTCTTCCTAGGCTAGATTAGAAGTTATTTATGTGCTATATGCACATAGAGTTTTTGATTGGTCTATTGCAAATACTATGGCATCTGAAATTTTTTTTTTTTTTTTTTTTTTTTTTTTTTTTTTGAGATGGAGTCTCCCTTTGTTGCCCAGGCTAGAGTGCAATGGCGCAGTCTCAGCTCACTGCAGCCTCTGGCTTCCGGGTTCAAGCGATTCTCCTGCCTCAGCCTCCCAAGTAGCTGGGATTGCAGGCACCCGCAACCACACCCGGGTAATTTTTGTATTTTTAGTGGAGACAGAGTTTCACCGTGTTGACCAGGCTGGTTTCAAAGTGCTGGGATTACAGGCGTGAGCCACCGTGCCCGGCCCCTGAATCCTATTTTTAAGTATAAAAAGTCTTTTTTCAGCTCTGGATTATGGTGCTGCAAGCTGATATTCTTCTCATGGCAGTAAACAGAGAAGTCCTAGGGGTAATCTTACCCCTCTGGGGAGTCCAGGATATCTGAGCATCTCCCTTTTCTTTTTACTGCTAGAAAGAATTTCTGCTAGTAGAATTTTTATTTTGGCCAACTCTGACCCCTTAGGTTGATGTCAGAATGAGGTGTACCAACCTAGGTGGTCAGAGTTGGCCAAAATACACATTTTCCTGCTGAGCAATTTAGTCTAGGTTAAGTCATACTTGACCATATGCCCTAGTTTAGCGTCCAGTTTGTGAACATTCTTTACCTGAGTTATTGTAATTCTAATCTCTTATGTAAAACTGCAGGTAGTCAGCCCTTTGTCTCCTTCAGTTCTACATCTGCGGATTCCTTCAACTACAGATTAAGAATATTTGGGGGGAAAAACAGTAAAAAAAAATTACAATACAACAATAAAGACAACAAATTTAAAAACTAGTATAACAACTTTTTATACAGCATTTGTATTGGGTATTGTAAGCTAGAGATGGCTGAAAGTCTATGAGACGATGTGCATACGTTATATGCAAGCGCTGCCATTTTATTGCAGAGACTTGAGCATCCAAGGATTTTGTATCCGTGGGAGTCCTGGAACCAATCCCCCTTGGATACTGAGGGATGACTGTATTTACAACATGTCTAGATTTTCGACAACTTGAATTAAACCAGAAAGAATATGAACACACAGAAGTTCATGTGTATATATATATGTGTATGTGTTTAGAAGGGAGCAAGCTGTTAAACATGGGAAATAGTTGCTAGTAGTTTGTAATTTTATGATTACAATTTTAAAATTCAATTTTGCAACTGGAATTTGACTTGATTGGTTAGTGCCTTACAGTAATTAACCTCCAAATCATCAGAATGTCATCTTGTTATTTAGGTAATTGAATCTACTTTTCTTGTATACAGAATGCTTTTTGGAAACAATACACTGTATATCTAGTTTGTACCAAGAACTAATTGTACACAGTCAGATACTTGCAGTTCTTTTGGACTTGAGTTTCTTTATCCTTCTATCAGATGTCACAATTCCCTCTTCCCTTTGTAGCATATGAAAGTAGTTGTGTGTGCACTGTATTTGAGAATGTCAAGTAATAGAATCTCTAGAAAACATTCATGATTTCAGTCCCAGGTAATCCAGAGTTAAAAATAATGTTCATAAGGAAGGGTAGCAAAATTTAGATTTTAATACTTATAGGAGGTGTGTTAATTGGCCCCAGGGCCGCAGGCTTTAGCGTTCAGAGGACTTTAGCCCCAAAGGTTTTGTGGAACTTTTCCAGAGTCCTCACCAGTACATTGGGAATAAATGGAATGCCTTTGGAAGTACTTTGAAGATTGAATTCGATAGTGTTGGTAAAGCAGTCTAGCCTGCTGTGATTGTGCTATTGATGCAAATATTCTCTAGCCTGTATTATTTTTCCTTGGAGCTCAGGAAGTGATCCCCACCCACCTCAAGCAGTAAAGGAAAGAGAGGCAGGAGGGTCTGACCATGTGAGGTGCCCCAATAAAGCATCTGTATTGTAAATCAGGAATGTAGGTATTGGGTTTCCTTAAAACAAAGCACACCTACGTGACCACTAGCTGGAGCACAATGTGGGCTCGGTCTGCTGAAAGAGTCAGTTGGTTGCGGCTGTCTAATCCAATTATGGATGGTCCCAGCGCTCAGCCTTTCAGCTGCTGCCCCTCCCCTGCAGACTCTGCCTCTCTCACCCTCCCTTTTAGGGCTTGGTCTGTGGCTACCCCAGAAATCACGTGCACTCCTAGGCTTCAGCGAGTACAGCCTTGTTAATCTCAGACATGGAAAGCAAGTTGCCTAGGTCTACAGATGAGTATTCAGTTTCCCCACCAGTTGACCTCAGTGCAGGTTTTGTTGGTTCCAGTCATTTGGGGTCAGCACCTGTTTGAAGCCAGGACACTTAGAACAAGGTGGAGGAAAACCTGAGGGTACATACAGTGTGGTTTCCTTGGCTCATCTAATGCAGAGTCAGAATGATTAGCCACATTGCAAATTGTCTTTACTCAGTGGTTTAATTGTTAACCAGGGAGTTAATTTTTTTTTTTTATTAAACAAAGAAGAAAACACCTCTAGATTTTTCTGGGACAGATGGCCCCATTGAAAGAGGCCATGTGCTGCAGCGAATGGCCAGGCCTCGGGTGTGGCAAGTGCCTTCCAGCTCAGTGCTTGCTTTGTGCTCCTTTGCCTATTTGAAGACGTGGATGAATCAAAATCTATAAGCCTATTTCAGTCAAGTATTCTAAGGAACCTGGAAACACAGGGGATTTCTCTGTTGCCTCTAATACAGTGAAAAACCACTGTCTTTTTTTGTTGTTGTTGTTGCATTGGGGGAAGAAAGTCCAGGTTTGCATGTACATTTTCACTCATAGGATTTTTTTTTAGAATAGTTTGGGGAGGACATTGTGCTCTGGCCAATAACTGGGCCAGTGTCTGGTCACAAGATGATCAGGCAGGTGCCTGCATGACTGTAGGACAGAGAACTGGGCAGCTAGAGAGCCTGTGTGGAACGTGAAGCCTTTCCCCACTTTGTTGCCGTCCTAACCTTTTCTCAAGTCATGGAGAATTGATCCTTAGACATTCCTTACCTCTCTCACCCACTTGAGGATTGCTCAGAGCCTGGGTTTCGGATTGAAATAGCACTATTTCTGGTTGGTGACGACATTCTGTGAGCCAGCAATGTAGTTTAAATATCCACAAGAGCGCCCTGGTTCCATCAGCGCCCCTTCGTAATTGGTCATGAGACTTGGACCTCCTTCGGGGCTGGGACTCGGGCAAGGGAGTTGAGTAGAGCTTCTCTTTCTGGGCTCCTGGGAAGGATTCATGGCATAAAAGTGGGACTTCAGCATTCTCTGGGCACACCTGTCTCTGTTTTTGTCCTCTCCTGAATCTTTCTGGCCTGCAGAGCAGAATAAAGTCACTCTGTGCCAACCTGACTTTTGTTCATGACTATATTAGGGGCATGGATAGAAAGTGCCCCCATAGCACTCTCAGATAAAACACCTTCAAACAAACCCAGAAACCCATGCTCACAAAACCACCCACCTTAAATTATGAAACTTTCAGGCTGACTAAATCCTGAAGGCGTTGGAGCGTGAGCAAAGGGAAAATGGTGACACAGAGCTTTGCCCTTCCTAATCCAAATGAAAAGCTCTGTAACCCTCCCCCCACCTTTGCTATCAAGAAATGTTGGACCTTTGGGAAGCAGATGTAGAGTATTGATCCTTAAAACAGAGACCTCTCACCCTAGGTCTCTTAAAACAGAGACCTTAAAACAGAGTATTGATCCTTAAAACAGAGACCTCTCACCCTAGGTCTCTTAAAACAGAGACCTCTCACCACTTTCTAACTGAAGTGGGTTCCACATTGGAAGTACTTTGCAGAAACTTCTATTACCGCAATTACTTTTGCACCAACAAATAGTATCCTCAACTCAGAAGGAAAGAATTGGAACACTCAGCTGGAGGTGTCTGGTAGGGACATGTGTCTGCTTTTTGAATCAGTCGTATATGTTTTTGTTCCTGTGCCTGGAGGCCCTTTGTGGTGTGAGAACATTGAATTTGGAGAGGGAAAGGGAGACAAAAGAGAAATGGGGGTGATGCTTAAGGGAAAGTAGGGTTTTTAGTTTGTTCACCACGCTTGATGGCAGATTTGCCTCTGGATCCTCAGGCCACGTTCCTATGGTGGGTAGGGATCTCTCTCTCTCTCTCTCTCTCTCTCTCTGTGTGTGTGTGTGTGTGTGTGTGTGTGTGTAAATAGTGATTTCTCTAAGTTAATAAAGAATGTGGGGTGACCTCCTACACATGCCCGTATGCTATTGTGTAGGAACAAATGCATGGTAGGAATGGGTAGACTCTAATCTGAAAGCATCAAGTTGTATGCATCTTCTGCAATTAGGAATCTGCTCACCAGCACGAGTGCTGTGGTTTCTGTAGTTCTGGGATTCAGAGGAGCATTTTAAAGATGTAGGATGTTAGAGGAGGAGGTGCAGGGATCTCCCCTTGGGTAAAGAGTGGGAGACAGTCTCTGAGTCATAATCTGGGACCAGTGGAAGGTCAAAGGGAAGAACTGTCCTGTTGTCTGCTAAGTCACAGGCTTCCTTCCTGTTCTCTGAGCCCTGTCACTTACCCAAGGTGCAGCAACAATTAGTGTCTGTTTACACATAACAGACATCTCTTTCATAAAATAATTTTTAAGGCATTTGTTTGGTAGAAGCTTCCCTGTTTGGGGGAGTCTTTTCCCTGAATGCATGTAAATAACTTCACAGTTTGCGCAAGTTTGCAAACGGTCTATACTGCTCAGCCTTGATTGGGCTACCCAAGGATGCGCCCGCCCTGCTGAGGTCTGACAGCTCTGGGAGGCCAGTGAGGCCTGTCCTAATCCCTGTTCTGGCCGGTGATTCAGCTCCAGGTGGAGGCTGTGCAGAAACAGCC
Organism: Homo sapiens; assembly: GCF_000001405.40. NCBI lineage: Eukaryota > Metazoa > Chordata > Mammalia > Primates > Hominidae > Homo > Homo sapiens. Next base: position 98,788,774 of record NC_000015.10, read on the forward strand.
CCGGTCATCTTTGTGTGAAATACATTTGTCGTCTTCATTTTCTTTTTTCTTCTGCTGGTATCTTCATGGTTTTCAGCAAAACTGTGTACATTACATTTTTTTCTTTACCATTTCTCCGTAGTTATTTCTAGCATTTTTTTTTCAGCTGATGAAAGCAAATGAAGAATTTTTATGCTCCATAGTCAGTCAAACATTGATTTCTCTGACTTTTAACTTAGAAAGTCATTTTGCAGTGGCTTGCGTGTGTGTATTTAGACTGTGCTTCTACAAAAAAGCACACG